>NC_000001.11:119553835-120288534 GCF_000001405.40 Homo sapiens | reverse complement strand
CCAGCAGGGAAAAGCTGTTGCTGGCAGTCCATGCTTACAGAATCTCAGCCTTGCCCTAGCAACGAGGCTAATTATAACTCCGGCTACCTGGTAACCGCACTAGATTTCCCTGCATTGGCTGGCAGTTCTAAAGCCATCTCAGCTCTGCCTGCCACCTCCCATCCTGAGAAGCTGTCAGAGAAGCTGAGAAACTATGAGTCTCTTTTAAGCAACTATCTAAGCTGTGGTGAGAACACCCATGTATCATAGAGCTTCCTTTCTCTGCGCCCAGAGAAAGGCTGCCCAGAATCACGGGACTTCAGAACTGGGAGGGATGTGTGCGTCAATCCTGGTCCAGCCCACTCATTTAAACACAAAGAACCAGAAGCCCAGAAAAAGTGACTTGCCTTAGCCTGGCCTTCCTCTTGATTCCTTTCCCTCAATTCTCCCATCCTGATCAATCATCAAGTCCTACAAATATTTTACCTCTTAAATATTTTAAAGATGAGTTGCCTCCCCTCTATTCCTACTGCCACAGCCCTCATTCGGGCCTTCATCTTCTTTGGCTTGGCAAGTCTGTTCTCACTCACTTCCTGCCTTGACTCTCTTGAATCCACCTTTCCCATGCATCAGAGGGATCTAGCAGGTTCCCTGCAGCTTAAAGCCCATCAGTGGTGCCTTGTCTTCCTCAGGATAAAGTCTACAATCTTTAAAATGGCACAAAAGACTGTGTCCGTCATATCAGTCTCATTCTTCGCCTAGTACTTAAATCCACCAACACTAAACCACTTCTAATTCTGTGCAAGCACCCTATGGTTTCTTGCCTCAAGGCTTTTGCTTGTGACAAAAACTCTGTCCTTCCACTTCATCATCCATTGACTGATTAGTGCTTATTCCCCTTTGAAGACGAAGTTCAGGGGTCATCACGAATAATCCTTTGCAGATTTTCTTTCCATCCACTCTATTCATTTGGGATAGAAGTGCCCCCTTTGAGTTTCCTTACACTTTGTACACAGCTCTGTTACTGCCTTTTACTATACTCTAGCACCTGTGGTTTGCTCATCTTTGAAGTCCCAACTTCTAGTACTTGGAACATAGCAGGTACCTAATTAATGTTTATTAATGAATGAATGGATAAGTCCAAAGCTTTCCATGATTTCTCCCCTGCAGCCTCATCTTACCACCACCACAAGCCCTCCAAACCACATGATCTAGCCATACAGAATGATTCCAGTGTGCCAAGTGCACATTGCTTTTGTACACCTCTGCTTTTGTATATTGTTTCTTCTGTTTGAAATGCCTTTTCCCACCAGGCGCGGTGGCTCACACGTATAATCCCAGCACTTTGGGAGGCCGAGGTGGGTGGATTACCTGAGGTAAGGAGTTTGAGACCACCCTGGCCAGCATGGCGAAACCCCATCTCTACTAAAAATACAAAAATTAGCCGGGCATGGTGACACACGCCTGTAATCCCAGCTACTTGGGAGGCTAAGGCAGGAGAATCGCTTGAGCCCAGGAGACGGAGGTTGCAGTGAGCCGAGATCATGCCACTGCACTCCAGCCTGGCTGACAGAGCAAGACTCTGTCTCAAAGAAAAAAAAAAAGAATTTCTGGATTTTCCAGGCATGGTGGCTCATGCCTGTAATCTCAGCACTTTGGGAGGCCGAAGTGGGTGGATCACGAGGTCAAGAGATTGAGACCAGCCTGGCTAACGTGGTGAAAACCCGTCTCTACTAAAAATATGAAAAATTAGCGTATGTTTCACAGCATCTGTAATCCCAGCTACTCAGGAGGCTGGGGCAGGAGAATCGCTTGAACCTGGGAGGTGGAGATTGCAGCAAGCCAAGATGGCGCCACTGCACTCCAGCCTGGGCCACAAAGTGAGACTCCATCTCAAAAAAAAAAAAAAAAAAGAAGAAAAAAGAAATGCCTTTTCCCATTTCTTGTTATGTTACTACCTTTTAGGATTCAATGCAAACTTCAAACACTTGGCAAGGCCTTTCCTGGTGGATTTTATTGCACTATAGCATAATCTGTCCATACCTCTATGGTAGCCCTTATTATACCATTTTTATTTATTTGTTGATGTCTTCTCCACCAGAATCTAGCACAGTAGCTGGCATATAGTAGATAATCAATAGACATTCGACTGAATATACCAATGCATATGTGCAAATATGAGCAAAAAAATGACTAAAATGATATTGCAAACAAGGGAAACATTTGAGACAGAAATTTAGAATGTCTATTTTTTTCAAGTGTAACATGCTACTTCTATCAGTGCATAAACCTGAATGTACATACACTATAGAAAGAAGTGGCCTTGTAATAAGTTCATGCAGAAGTATAAATTATGTAGACATTGTTAGGGGGATAACTGAAAGTGGATTAGAATTAAATTAGGGCCCAGAATTTAGTCTGGGATTTGTTTTCCAGTGGTTGAAAGAAAAATTCCTAAGTATTCAAAGGGAAGAAGCATTTCTCAACAGGCAAGTATTATGAATTCTAATTAAAAGCTCTGAAAAAATGAGATAAGTTGTGTTAAGGAAAAGCAGAAAACAGAGTTGCCTTTGGTTAAGAGTTCCACTATTTTTATAAGCAACTGACTTTTTGGGGAAAGTTGCTTTAAGCATTTTTTTTTCTGTGTGTATGTGTGAGATGGGGTCTCACTCTGTCACCCAGGCTAGAATGCAGGAGCACAATCATGGCTCACTGCAGCCTCAACCTTCTGGGCTCAAGCAATCCTCCCACCTCAGCCTCCCAAGTAGCTGGTATCACAGCCACACACCACTATGTCAGCTAATTAAAAAAAAAAAAAATTTACAGAGATGCAGTCTTGCTATGTTTCCCAGGCTGGTCTCAAACTCCTGGGCTCAAGTGATCCTCCCACCTTGGCCTTGCGAAGTGCTGGGATTACTGACATGCGCCAACATGCCAGGCCTAAACATTTTGTGTGTGTGTGTTAAAATATACATATAATAAAATTTGCCATTTTAACTATTTTAAAGTATATAGTTCTATGGCATTAAGTACATTCACATAGTTGTTCAAATATCACTATCCATCTCCAGAACTTTTTCCCAAATGAAACTGTAGCCACTAACTCCCCATTCCCTCCTCCCCACAACCCCTGGCAACCATAGTTCCACTTTCTGTCTTCATTATTTGACTACTCTAGGTACTTCATTTAAGTGAAATAATAAATATTTGTCCTTTAGGGACTGACTTTACTTAGCATGACATCTTTAAGGTTCACTCATGTTACAGCACATGTCAGAGTTTCATACCTTTCTAAGGCTAAATAATATCCAGTGTCTATATAGCCCACATTTTGTTTATCCACTCATTTGTCAATGAACACTTGAGTTGCTTCCACCTGTTGGCTACTGTAAACAATGCTCCTATGAACACAGAAATACAAATATCTATTTGAGTTCCTGTTTTCATTTATTTTGTGTTATACCCAGAGTAGAATTGCTGGATTATACGGTAAGTCTATGTTTAATTTTTTGAGAAACTCCATACTGGTTTTCACAGCACCTGCACCATTTCACATTCTTTCTAGCAATGTGCAAGGGTTCCAATTTCTCCACATCTTTACTAGTATTTGTTATTTTCTGGGTTGTTTGATTTTTAGTATAATAGCCATCCTAATGAGTGTGAAGTTTAAAAAAATATTTAACCAAAATCATAAATATTGGTTACAAATATTTAATGGATGGATTCCCTCTATTTCTGCCAACTTTCATTCCCTGAAAGAAGAAATAGGTAAGCATGACCTCACGAACCTCAGAAGGCTGAGAATGGGGAATTGGCACACACAGTGTGCGTAGACACAGACACACATGGACCATGTTCATACTAGGCTTCCAGAGAACCATTTAAAAATAGTTTGGCTAATGTAATCTTGTCTGTCTCTTATGTTCCTCCTTTCCCATCATCCACATTTCTTAAAGTTCGTGTAAGTAAAACATAGGAGAAAAAAACATAGCCACTAATTAAATAAGGCATCCAACTGTAAAAGAAGAGCAAACTCTGCTACATATAAGAAGACAAGCATTAATTCTGGCAACAGCAGCCACACAGCCACTTTAGACAATAACCTGAGCAGGTGCATGCTTTCTAGTATGTGTCTCCAGCTATGCAGGATAGAAATCACAATCCTTTCTATTTATCTAACGTCTAATACACTAAAACATGTTTACCCATGGGGGAGAAGAGCACGACAGGAATTGATGACTCTAATTTAGGAAACTAAGGTTCACAGAAGTTAAGTGACTTGGCCAAGATCATGTAGCTAGAAAAGGCAGGTTAAGAATTCAGGTTTCCTTAGAGTTCAAAACTTTTATCACAACATTTTTGATAACCCCCCAAGATACTCATCCTTCTCTAATAGCCTTCCTTTGGTTCAAGTCCAGCTTCCTAAATCCTACCGCCTGATGGAGTTCCTGAGCTTCCTTGTAAGTCTGCAGGTATATTGTTCCTCATCATGTTGCCCAAAGCCTAAAGAAATCAGGCTAGGACCAAAGAAAATCAGTCAATGAGCCAAAAAGAAATTTAATCAACCCAGCCTTTCTTATTTATTTTCTTTGAATGAACATTTGTATCTGAGAATGCCAAGGTAAATTTGATGCAATAGGGACACTTGGATTATATTATGTTATTTACACACAAGCAAACAACAATTGAGAATTGAGACAAATAGGACAAATGGTCCCAAGTCCACTATTGAGGAAAAAGAAACTGATTTGGAATAAAAAATAGTCCAGCATGAATGTGTCAGTAATTAAGACTTATCCGGATAAGTTTGCCGTCTCTCAATTTGTCACAATAATGGCAAATATTTATTGAGAGCTTACTATGTGATAGGCATTATGCTGAGTTCAGCTAATTGACTCATTTCATCCTCCTCTAGACCCTGTAAGATAGGTGTTATTACTGCCCTTGCTTTAGCTCAGAGAAATTATGGTATTTTTCCCAACACAAATAGTAAGTAGAAAAATCAAGATTTCACCCCAGGTCTCGCCAATTTATAGCTCTTAGCCGTTATGCCCAGCAATAACAGAATAGTAAAAACAATGACAATTTGGTAGGCAAGTAAAATCAGTAGGCTGTTTACCATAGCTATAGAAGTATGCTATGCATAAACCTCAAAGATTGCGCAGGAAAAGTATCATCCAATCTCAAAGATGAGAAAACCAAAGAAGTTTCAATCTCAAAGAAGTCAGGCAGCTTAAGGGTCATAAAACAACGCAACACAACTCTCTCAACTCATATCTAAGGGCTAAGTCCACTTTAACCTTCCAATATCATTACATCATATTTAAACATTGACTCTATCTGGTCAAGGACGACAACATTTTATTTCTCCTGACCCTTTTGCTATCAGATCTGGCCTTGTCAGTTTTTCAATTTCATTCTTAGAATGGAAACTTAATTCACACAAGTTGAACAAGTAGTCATCAGGGGGCAAAACCCAGTGGATGATGGTTTTGTGTGCTGTTTGGAGACTGGGTGTTTACCACACAGCAGTGGATTTCATAAATTCCAGGGTCAGACAAGATTCCAGTAGCGACACACTTGACTAATATGAGAAAATGCAGGATTAGGCAATCAACAATGAGGAAGTCAGCCAAGTTGCCACCCAAAAATTACTTACCACAGCAGCTGCAGTCCAGAAATGCTAACAAGCCAGTCTCCCTAGGAGTGGGCCATACTCAGCTGTGGACCACTCACAACATTTTCTCACTTTATTTTGCTTCAGAGTCAGTGTACTGCAATGATTTCTCCTTTGCTTGCTTTATATGTTTAAAATTGTCTTCCCTAAAAGCTGAACTTAAAATTAATGTTTGCTACCAAAAGGGGGTAGCAGTGCCTGGTCATGTAGGCATATGTCCCACTCTGTCGGTACAGAGGGTAAGCAGCCTCTTCCTTTTTAAAAAATTTATTATGATGATTTACAAAAATTGAAGCTTACAGGATAAACACTCAACAAAAAAGTAGCCAGTCTCAAGAAACCAATTTTTATGTATGAATTAATATTATTTTATTAATCCATGGCCAGGATGATTCTTAAGATTATTTCTTAATTCTCTGAACAGCTTAAAAGAGAGAAACTCCTTCTTTTTTATTTACTTGCTTTGAGGTTGATACTCTTAGGTTTTTAACATAACTCTCTAGCTTTGACAACTCCTCTTATAATTTAAAATCCTTATAGCTTCCATTTACAAGTAAGGATTATATCTATTTTAGTCTCCTCAATCAGCTACCTAGGAGAAGACTTGCCACTTGGAAAGAGAAAGATAGCACCCACTCTCCAGTTCTCTTCTCCCAAAGTTGCCCGTATTTCCCTTCCCTGAAGCCAATCAAATACTTTATTGTTTCTCGCTAAGAGTAATTTTTCACTCTTAAGTACAAACAGCTCAACAAAAATTCCCGGTAGCATAAATATGCACATCAATAAAATAATTACTACTCACAATAGACTTTCCATTACATATGTTTCACAAGCATTGGTTTTCTTAAAAAGAACCACGCATACAGCACTCAAATTATTGCAGATTCTAACTCAGTAGAGTTTGATTTAATGTTTTTACAATATTTTTTTTAAAGAAGTGTCCTTCCAACGCTAAAGAAAAAAATCAGAATCAAGAAAATTCTGTTTCTTAGCAACAGAAAAATCAAACTTCTGTTACTAAGTTTGGTAACAGAACAGTACTCTAAATTATCCTCTGAACCACCTGATTTACCATGTGATGCTGGGCACATTGCTGCTAATTAATCTTCCTAATCTCGTGGGATCACAATATGAATAACAAGAATGAACATAAGACACATCTGTGGGAATTATGAGGGGGAGATTATAAAGAGTCAAACCTTGTCCCCATATTTAAATTTTATAACTATAACTACTAGTAGAAATATAACTACTACCCTCTCATATATATGTGATGTTATTAAGTTTATAAAGTGTTTTGATATGTTTCTTATTTCATCTTCATGGCTGCTATTTATTCATAGAAAAATAATTCTCAGTATCTGTAGCATTATTGTTAATGTCAATCCTATAGAGGCTGGAACAGGCTCAGAGAGGCTAAGTAACTTGCCTAACTAAGTCTCCTTGTTGACAATAGGTCTTAATGCAGTGTTTTCCGAATCCCTCGTTCTTACATCAAAACAGAACTGTGGCTGGGTGTGGTGGCTCATGCCTGTAATCCCAGCAATTTAGGAGGCCAAGGTGGGAAGATCACTTGAGCCCAGGAATTTGAGACCAGCCTGGGCAACATAGTGAGTGAGACCTCAATCTCTGCCAAAAAAAAAAAAAAAAAAAATACATACACACACACACACACACACACACACATATATATATAAATAATTAGCCAGGTGTGGTGGCACACCTGTGGTCCCAGCTACTTGGGAGGCTGGGGTGGGAGGATCATTTGAGCCCAGGAGGTCAAGGCTGCAGTGAGTCGTGACGGTGCCACTGCACTCTAGCCTGGGTGACAGAGCGAGACCCTGTCTCAAAAAATAAAATAAACCAGAACGGCTCTAGTTCCTATCAATCACTCATCATGACATAGTGTGGTAAACTAATTTCAACTCTGAATGATTGATAATGGCTTTATGTGTTCTGTTTCCCAAGTAATAAGAACATTTTAGCACAAGCCTTTAGCGCTTTTCAAATAATCATAGCCAAATGAGAAAATTAATATGACAGGCAGATTGAACAAACATTTGGTGAGAAGGAAGAGGAGGGGATACAGTAGTTTGAGATCCCTCAAATCATATGATGCAGTAGCTGCCTGACAACTCTGCTAACACGTAAGACTAGATAGAGACAGGGCCATATCTACTTCCTGTATGGGACCCATGGCAATACTAGAGTCTAGCAAAAGGGTTGTCCTCTCTGCATGTGACAACAGGCTGTGTTCCACTCCCCCCACATACACCTTGTGCAGCTCCTATAATCTCATTTATCACACTTCTCCAGGTGAGAAATGGTGCCTTCTCACACCCCACCCAAAGTTGTTTCCTAAAGATCTTTCGCTAGGGCAGAGCAGAGAGTGAGACCAAATGATTCAGACAGCCATCTGATTCAGCTTTAAAAAAAAAAAAATCCTGGTGGGGCGCAGTGGCTCACGCCTGTAATCCCAGTACTTTGGGAGGCTGAGGCGGGTGGATCGCCTGAGGTCAGGAGTTTGAGACCAGCCTGGCCAACATGGTAAAACCCCGCCTCTATTAAAAATACAAAAATTAGCCAGGTGTGGTAGCAGGCGTCTGTAGTCCCAGCTACTCCAGAGAATCGCTTGAACCCAGGAGGCGGAGGTTGCAGTGAGCTGAGATCGTGCCACTGCACTCTAGCCTGGGCGACAGAGTGAGACTCTGTCTCAGAACAACAACAACAACAACAAAATCCTTTCCCTCAAATTACCTAAGAAATTGTCCTTTCCTTCTTTGCCCTGAAGACAGTTAATGGGGAAAGTTCCTCCCTCTGCACAGTGAATACATCCATCCACTATTCCTACCCTAACCCTAAGGCAAAACCTCCCACTCATCCTCCGTCTCTCGCCATCTCTCTGTTACCAACCCTCACTTGGCAATATCCTTCTTGACACGTGGCAGCTCCAATGAGGCACACTCATTACATAGCCACGTAAAAGATAAAAGGTGAATCTGGACCAACTTCTGGAAAATTTGGACTTAAAACATGGAAATGCAGGAGAGACAGGAAATAGAGTTAAATCCCCCAGATTTAGCTATACACATTAATTGAATTAACTAAATAATCATTTGGGTCTCATAGACACCAGCTATTTCCCTGATCCAAGATGTTATCTAGCAGCCTGTATCGCTTCCCAGTCATCCATCCTCTTGACAGGACAGAGCACACATAGAAAATGGTATTTGTATAGTCCTCTGGGGTAAACAGTTGGAGAGTTAGAATCTCTGATAAGGTCAGAGGCAACCAGTCCCCGGTCACTTGGGCCACTTCAGGTCCTGCTTGTCCAGACACAGAGAGGGCTGAGGAAACCAATATTGTGGTGACCAGCTACGAGGCTTAATCCTCATAACCCATAGCCCAATGTCCTCTTATCAAGGTGCTGTCCTATCTCACCCACAGCTCAGCCAATCCAGTAGGTCTTCCTTCCCCACCCTGATCACTGACCCATCAATCAAGATAGCCCTCTCATCCAAGGAAGAGGCCATTTCCCCTCCCACTCCACCCAGGCCAACTGCTATCCCACAGGTTACTCTCTTCTTCATTTTAAGGCAAGCTATTCCAAAGACTAAAAATGCCTAAGATTCTGTCCTAAAAGCTTATCTGCATAGTCATCTTCAAAAGCAAACATGAATTTCTCAAGGAACGGAAACACCCTTAGCCCCTGCCCTTTTCTCCATAGCATCATTCTCTGCCCCACCAAGCCGGAGCTAGGAGGGCACTTTCTCTAGGAGAGGTATGACCTGGAGATGATCTGCTTCAGAGCCACCTCAGGGATCTTGCTTAAAAATGCATATTTTCCCAGGCAAAGTGGCTCATGCCTATAATACCAACAACAGTGGAGGCTGAGGTGGGAGGATCTAAAGGCCAGGAGTTTGAGACCAGCCTGGACAACATAGTGCCACCCCTTTGGTACGAATTTTTTTTTTTTTTTTTGAGACAGACTCTTGCTCTGTCACCTAGGCTGGAGTGTAGCGGCACAATCCCGTCTCACCGCAACCTCCGCCTCCTGGGTTCAAGCAATTCTCCTGCCTCAGCCTCCCAAGTAGCTTGGACTACAGGCATATGCCACCACACCCGCTAATTTTTGTACTTTTTAAGTAGAGATGGAGTTTCACCATGTTGGCCAGGCTGGTCTCGATCTCCTGACCTCAAGCCTTCTGTCTTCCTTGGCTTCCCAAAGTGCTGGGATTACAGGCATGAGCCACTGTGCCCTGCCAATTTTTTTTGTTTTTAATTATCTGGGCCTGGTGTCCTGTGCCTGTGGTCCCAGCTGCTCAGGAGGCTGAGCCAGAAGGCATCACTTGAGCCCAAGAGTTGGTGGCTGCAGTGCTATGATGGTGACACTGCACTCCAGCCTGAGCAACAGGGCAAGACCTGTTTCTAAAATAAATAAATTTTAAAAATGCAAATATCCACCCCAGCCCCACCCTCTCCCCCCACCTTCCCCCACATTACTACATCGGAATCCCTAGGGTGAGGCATGGAATCTACATTTTAAACCAGCTCCCAAGGTGATTGTTCCGCACAGTTCCACGTCAGTGTTTGAGAGCGGCTCTGATTTATTCCAGTCCTCTTTCTTTACAGAGAAGGAAAGCAGAAAGCAGGCACCAGAGAGGTGAAATGAGCTTGTCCAAGGTCACAGGTTGTTAAGGTGACCAGAGCTGGACGAAACCCCACCTCTCTCGCTGACTAGCACAGCGCCAGCTAGGAAGAGCCTAGAATAGCGACCAACTGGCAGGCCAAACCGTCCCCTGCCCCTGCCCCTGCCTCGGAGAAGCGGGCCCCTGCACTCACCCGCTTGTAGATGTCCTCCCGGCTGGCCTCATACTTCTGTTGCATGCGCTCCTCCAGGAAGTAGATGAGCAGCTTGAGGCTGAAGTTCTCCTTCTTCAGGTCATTGAGGTGCTGGGACAGAGTGCGATATCCATTAGACATGATGGGCAACCCATGGGGAGGAGCGTGCCCGATTGCCCCCTCAACCCAGGAACATGGTGCAGCTGCACCGCAGCATGAAGCCAGCCGGCTGGGACGCTGCTGAGGCTGCGGACCGAGAGGCTGGGGCTATGGCGACATGGCCCCTATTGCTGGAGCTCTCTCCGGGACTCGGGACTGGGCTCACTGCTCTGGGTGCTGGAGCGCAGCACACTTTCCTTTTTTACCTCAGGGAGATATTTGCGGAATCCCTGACAGAGGAACATGCTGCGTGAACTCAGACACAAGTGGTGTAACCCGACTCCAAGCCAGGACTCTGCTGTCACCCTCCTGGAGCCTCCCAGGCCCAACTGTAGGCAGTTAACAGCTTCTCGGAAAAGAGAGACTGACCCCCAAGAGCTTCCAGGAAAGGGGGAGGGGAGATATTCAAGGTGACAGTGGGTTTGCAAAGAAGAGAAGGAAATAGAGGGTGGGGAGGGGGTATTTAAATGACTTGTGGCTGATTTGGACTATAAGACCAAAAGGAGTGTGGCCAGAAGCAAGAAATAAGGTTGCTATAGAAAAGACCATGTACATAAAATGGCCCACAAAGGTAACCGCATGTCAAATATCCCCTTTCTGTCCAGTGCAAATCTTAAAGAGCTTCTAACCAGAGGAGTCTCAATTGCCTTTGATAATCCAGAGCTCACTTCTAATGAGTTCCTTTGCAGTTTTCAGCCCCAAGCTTTTTGAGCTCTGAGGCAGTTCAACTAATAGCCTTTATTGCCATGAGCCTTCCCCCGAAACACACCATAGCTACCCGCAAAGAAAGAGCAAATCTTCTAGCTCAGCGGAATCTTTGCAGACTCTATTTACCAGTTACAAAGCTCAGAAAGAGGCAGGGTCAAGGTATCCTCCCTCCATGGAAGAAGGGATGGGCAGAAGAGAGTGTGGGAGGATGACAGAGAGGGAGCCGTCATCCTGGAGCACAAAGATTTCAGGCAGTCACTGGTTCTTAACTCTGGCACCTGCCAAGTGGAGCCGGGCACTCATCACCAGATCTTGCTCCTAAAGTAATTTAAGATCCTTGAGTGACAGCTGCAACATTAGCAGGAAGTATTATTTATACCACATTACATTGAAGGTGATGGGAGACAACCCCAGAGCACAGATAACAAACACGGGTTCTTTGTGGCAATAATATTAGGTTGAAAAAATATATATTAACATTCAAGATAAAGGAAACTACAAAATTTACACTTAATTCAAGCCCTCATTTCCTCCCCAACCTACCTGCTTTTCATTCTTCCAATTCCTTCTCAAACCTTCATAATCATTCCGGTCAACAACTCCTGAGTACTCACCAGGTAGGACATTGGGCATGAGGGATATATAGATCAAGAATGTCCCAACCCTCAAAGAGCTACGTGGCCATACAGCTGGCCATGATATGTTAAGATATGTGTTTTACATTATGATCCTCCAAACCTGTGTTTTTCAACTTTTATATGTTACGTTGCCATCTAGTACATATGCATACACTCTTAACTGAAGTAAATGTTTCAAAAAGTAATTGTCACCATCACTATGTGTGATGTCCTCTGATATTTCCTATTTCTTTTTCTGCCAGTGACCCACCCGACGGATTTCATGACCCACTAATAAGTTTCAGCCTGAGTTTAAAAAGCGTTGACTCTGGGGGAGCCCGTAAGAAAGAGTAGTCAGTTCTTACTGGGGTGATCAGAGAAAGCTTCATTAGGAGTTGAATTTGCACTTTGCCTTGAAAAATAAAAAATGTTTGAGTGGATAAAGTGGCCTCAGGAGGACATAATTAGAGTGAAGCATTCTCCCAAATAGATTTAGATTATAAATAGGCAAAATAGGCAAGCCCAAATATTTACCATTTGAAAAAAAAAAAACTACACATTTAAAATCCATTTAACTATTTTCACTAAATCTGAATTCTTAGAATTTGAGAATGCCAACTAGGCTTAGTTAGAGACAGTGAAGAAAAAAGTCTAAGTTAAAACAACTCAAAATATCCTTTTCCATTCCCAGTTCTCTTACTAAATAGCTATGTTATAGACCATTTCTCTAGAAGCCTAACTGTCCTCACTTAAAAAATGAAATGGCTTTAAAAATTGGTGATTTTTTTTTTTTTTTGAGACAGAGTCTTGCTCTGTTGCCTAGGCTGGAGTGCAGTGGTGCAATCTCAACTCACTGCAACCTCTGCCTCCCGGGTTCAAGCCATTCTCCTGCTTCAGCCTCCTGAGTAGCTGGGACTACAGGTGCCCGCCACCGCGCCCGGCTAATTTTTCATTGTTTTAGTAGAGACAGGGTTTCACAGCGTTAGCCAGGATGGTCTCGATCTCCTGACCTTGAGATCCGCCCGCCTTGGCCTCCCAAAGTGCTGGGATTACAGGCATGAGCCACCGCGTCTGGCCAAAATTAGTGATTTTTAAGGCCCTTTCCTGGTCTAAGCTCTTCAAGGTGATAACCCAGTTAATATCACCTCCATTTTGCTCAAGGGGAGCCAGGCTGCCAGAGTTTAGATAAGTGTTTAATCATGCTTTGGCTGTCTACTTAGATTCCTTTATCAGGTAAAATAATTTCATAAAAGTTTTACCGGAAGTAAAACTGTGTATGAATCCAGGGTATTCTTATGCATCCTAGATTTCTGTTGGACATTTATGCTTATTTCCTCCATGATATCTTGTTCTTCTATCTCTCTGGATCCTTTTCTGTGTTTTTTGCCAGCTCCTGAAAGTGGGTATTTAAATGATGGTAAGTCCTTAGCCTTCTACTTTTTTTTCTCTTCACATTTTTATCCATGGAGGTTTTATCCACTTTTAGGGCTATACTTTCACCTTCGAAACAATTCCCAAATCTCCAACCGAGTCTTCTCACCCAAGATCTAGCCGTACATATTCAACTCTTGGCTTAGATCATTCAACTTGAGTGTTCCCAAATTCCACCCAAGCAAAGCCTTTCCTCTTACCCTAGCCTGGAAAGACTTCTTCCTCTTTTGAACTCTAAGGCAGATATTAACATTCAACAAGTGTTCATATGCTGCCTTATGACGTGGCTTTTGTTATCTTCAAGGGTTATTTACATCTTTTAGAGTTATGCGACTTTTTGTGTGTTTGATCTTTCCAACTAGTCTGAAGCTGCCCAAGGAAAAAGTCAATGACTAACTAATACATCTTCATAAACTCCTACAGCTTCCATAACAACCTGAGACCTCTCCAACAGCATTCATCCCATTGTGCTGTCACAGTCTGTTTACGATGACCTCAACCTGGCTAGAGTGTTTTGAGAGCTGACAAGGCATATTTTGTGTCCTTGTATTCTTGTTGCATAGTACTCAGGAAGCACTCCCTAAATATCTGTGGAATCAATGAACAGGAAAATATTCCATAAACATTGTACGTTTTGCTTTGTTATATATGGGCTGGCTCACCTGTATTATTCTCATAGATTTCCAATAATATGAAAAAAGTTTGTTTTAATAGTCCTAAATAAACTATATTTGGTAGAACACTTATTCTAGAATACGTAGAAAAATGACGTTTTGTTCACTTACATTTCTAAGTTTACATGCCCACCCTGATCTTTTCCCTGAACTCCAATTGATATCTGACTGTCTAGTAGAAATCTCTGCTTGAATTTAGACATCACATACTTGTGATATCTAAAACTGAACTCCTGATCTTTCCCAGTAAACATGCTCCTCCCTCACTACACCTTTTTTCAATTTGTAACAACTCAATATTTTCAGATTTTTGAGCCCAAACCTTTGAATCATTTCTTGATTCATTCTCTCTCCTACATATCATCTGTCTGTAAATCTTACTATGTATATTATACATTATAGTATATATATTAATAACATATATGGTAGTATAATATATATGTTGTAGCTGTTGTATTATGTATATAATATATAATACTATATTATATATACTATTATACTACTATATATATATTTTATATATATGTTATACTACCACTACTGCCACTGGTATTTCTACCACCCTGACCCACAGTACTGCCATCTTTTCCTTACATGATCTGAATAGCCCCTTAACTGGTGTTCCTGCTCCCACTCTTGTTCCCTTGTAGTCTATTCTCAGCACAGCAGCCACAGTGACCCTTTCAAAATACGTCAGATTACTCCTCTGCTGGAGAGCCCCCTGGCTTCCCATCTAACTTAGAGTGAAAGGTGATGTCCCTTCACCAGACTGCAAGGCCTGAGGCCCTACACCCTCTTCTTGCCTCTCCTATTACCTCCTCTACTTCTTCCTACCACTCTCTCCCTGTTCTCTGCTGTAGCTACACTGTTTCTCTTTGTTATTTCTCAAAAACAGGAAGCAAGAGAAGCTTTCTTTTCCGAGGCCTTTGAACTTGTTGACCCTTCTGCCTGGCTGCCCTTTCTCTAGGGAGGTGCACGATTCTCTCCTCACCTTCTTCATCTTTGATTGAATGTCACCTTCTTGGTGAAGTGAATACTCTTTAGGCACCCCATGCCTCATCCCAGCTCTCCGAATCCCCCTTCATTGTTTTTTATTCCGTAGCACTATCACCTTCTAAAATACATTTTCTTATTTATTTTGTTTCTTGTCTGTCTCTCCCCACCAGCATGTAAACTTCCTGAGAAAAGTGGGATGTTTTCTTAGTTTGTTCACTGCTGTGTCACCAGTGCCCAGAACGGTGCCTGATACATAGCTGGTGCTCAATAAATATTTGTTGAATTAAAGAATGGATGAGTAATTAACCTGCTGATTTATTTCTCATTGGAGTAATACAACTTAATCGATACACAAGATTATGTAGATGTTTTAGGATAAAAAGCATACCTAATAGCATTCCTCCTTATAAAAAGATTATAAGTAAAATAAATTATTCTAACAGACTCATTTTAATACACCATGCAGAATCTGGACTTTCTACAACAGTTCTGAACAAATATGCAATCGTATATGACAAATTATAAAGGACAATATGAACGGTACAAATAGTAAAAACTGGGCCAGGCACGGTGGCTTATGCCTGTAATCCCAGCACTTTGGGAGGCCCAGGTGAGCAGATCGCATGAGGTCAGGAGTTCAAGACCAGCCCGGTCAACATGGTGAAACTCCGTCTCTACTAAAAATACAAAAATTAGCCGGGCGTGGTGGCATGTGCCTGTAGTCCCAGCTACTCAGGTGGCTGAGGCATGATGATTGCTTGAACCTGGAAAGTAGAGGTTGCAGTGAGCGGAGATCATGCCACTGCACTCCAGCCTGGGTGACAGAGCAAGACTCCGTCTCAGAAAAAAAAAAAGTAAAAACTATAAAAATTAGGAAGGAGAGGTGGCCAGAGAAGGTACCACAGAGAATTGGCACTTTAGCTTGTCTCAAAGGATGAGTTGAGCTTGGATAGGCAGTGGGGAGAACACAAGGCAGTCCAGGCAGGTGGAACATAAGCGAAAGGGCAGTGTGCCCACCAGGCCAAAGCAAAGGGCACATACTGTCCTGAAATAGGCCACAGAGATGAGGGGAAATAAAAAGCCGTCTCAAGGAGATCTTGAAAGCCAGGGTGAGAAGCCTGGAGTTTGCCCCTCCAGGATCCTGGCTCTCAATCTGGATAAGAGTGAGGGGAAGGGAAGTGGAGGTGGGGAGGAGGGCAGTGGGGGTGGGGAGGGCCAGGAACTGCTGACTGGGAAGATTATTTTCTTTGTGTATTGCTTAGGTTTCGTTTTACTTATTTGTTTTCTTGCAGCTTTAACAAACATCAGCGCTGCATGTGGAAACTTGGAAAAGAAAAAAAAAGCTTTAACAAACAAAAACACACATACCTGAGATGCACACGGCAACCTACTAGCTCATGGCAAACAGGCCTATATGTTGATAACCTCTGCATTGCTTAGGAAATAAAACACTGCAGATTCTTGAGCAAGGGGAAGTGCTTCTATCTTTGTTCTTCCTTTTTCTCCTAGTACATATAACATCTTTACTCTGGTCTCAGAATGTTTCTTCCAAACCTTAATGGCTCTCCCCTTCTTTTTCCTTAATTTCTTCATTCCACCCCTGGAATAACGTTCTAGTCCAGACTAGAAATACAACGTAAATAAAGACTCAATCAATGCCAACAGTAGGAGGAGGATTACCACCCAGCTGTTGCCTGTCATGCCCCATTAACACAACCAACTGTCAAGTCTGCCTTTAAAAAACCCAGCTTGACATTTGCTTCATCATATTCAGACCCCCCAGCTAGCTCATATAATGTATGTACTTGAAAACATATTAATTGTTTACCAATCTTTCTCCTAAAAATAAAGCTTCACTAACAAAAAATGATTAATCTTCTTAATGGACACATTCTTTTCAAATATAATCAAACTTCCACAATTTTAACTGTACTAATTTGATATCTGTGGATAATTCTTACCTTTACCTTCCTTGAAAATAAAAATATTTTAAAAATAAGTTAATATGGCAAATAGAAAAACAGAAGAGTAGTGCTTTAAGTAACCCTTGACACTTTACATCAATTTACACATAGACAATAAATATGATCACTATTATACATATTTATCTAGGGTGGGTAGCGTGGAACTGTGAAAAGAGCAATAGCTTTGAACCATGAAGACCAACGTTCAAATCCCGGCTCTCCTTTTTTCTCATTGGGTCATTTTGGGGAAACTACTTAATAGTTAAGTATAGGAAGACAGTCAGAAGACTGGGATCTGGGCAGGATACTAAGAAGGTTGCAACTGTATCTGTAATGGTAACTTTTGTTTTTTCACCTGAGGAAAATAAACTAAAAATAATGTTTTCTAACATTTAGATATTCAACACATGGACAAGTGTTTAATTATTCTTTGTATATTCCTGTTGTTTGTAAAACAGCTTATAATTTTTAAAACTATTTTAAAGGGAATGAAAGTAGGAATTACAGGGAGACAGTTATCAATTAGATATAAGGATGAATTCTCTAGTAGAGTTAGATGTAATAAAGATATTGCCACACTCTATCCATATGTTTATACATCAAATTTTTACTGAGTACATACATCATGAGACAAAATAAACTTCCTGTCACAAAAGGTGCTTGACCAAAACTCAAGAATCGCCTTTCAGGGATACTGTTAAAAGTTTTCCCACATCAGCTAGGAGTTAGCTCTAGAGGGCTTTTAAGATCTTTGGCCATCCCGAAATTCTATGCTTGAAACACATTTTCTCATAGAAACGCTCCTACCAAAGGCCAGTGAGAGAACTATCACTTTGCGAAGAATTTCAGAATGCCCACTAGCTCTCCTGTAGCCCTAAAAGGTAATGAGAGTCTACCTGCTCAGACTGAGAGCTCCGGCTGCCTTGTGCTACAGAAGCAGTAAGTGCATGTAAAGGACGCCATATTTCTAAGACAAAAGCAGTAACAATGACTCAAGGATGATGCCCAATAGACGATTTAACCTATAACTTTGCTAATTGTCATATTTTCAAAACAGCCCTATGGGAAGGGTACACAAATGTCTGGGGAGTATTTCCTGCTTTTTAGCACCCAGGGAACTACAACCAGGAGCCCAGCTTATTTTGGATTGGGGATGGGGATAGACAAGAAGAGATGGGGCAGGAAGAAGAGACGGCTGGTTTATTTTACATACACATATTTTATTTATAATACATCTCTGTGTCTAGGCGTCTCTATGCTGTTCTCATAAAATCTGAATTATACAAATAAAAAGTTTAATTCCTGGCTGTTTTGAATGACTTGGGCCTGTATTACAAAATTAATCAGATACAATTATACTATCTTCACAACAACAATCATCTACATTGGTTTTGACAATGTACAAAGTACTTCCATGTGTATTATTTCGTTTATCTTTACCACAACCTTTGAAGTAGGAAGACATGATGATCCCCATTTTACTGCCTAGGACAGAGAGACATCAGGAGGTTAACTGACTTGTTCACTGAGAAAGCGGAGGAGCACAGACTATAACTCCAACAGTTCGACCCCATACTGCATACGCATCAGGGCCTTAATCATGAGACTGTATGACCCTTCTGAGCCTGGGATTCACTTGCAACTGGGTATTCCCTCTTCTAACTCAGGCCCCCTATACCTTTTCAAAAAGTGTCCTTCACTGTAAATAATCTTCCTGGTGGTGACCCTAAAGGATCTGACAACCTGGATCTATGTAAAAAAAAAAAAAAAAAAAAATTGTTTTCTTCATTTTCAAGATGAATAAACTAAAGTTGGCTCTCAAAGGGTTAAACAAAGAGTTACCATGTGGCCTAGCAATTCCTTTCCTAGTTATATACCCAAGAAAATTGAAAACATATGGCCACGTGAAATCTTATATACAAATGTTCATAGCAGCATTACTCATAATAGCCAAAATTGGAAGTATTTCAAATGTCCTTCAACTGATGAATGGATAAACAAAATTTAGCATATCCAAATCATAGAATATTACTCAGCCATAAAAAGGAATGAAGTACTGATACATGCTACAACATAAATGACCTTGACAACATTATACGATAATGTGAAAGAAGCCAGACACAAAAGGTCACATACTGTATAATTCCATTTATATGAAATGTCCAGAATAGGCAAATCCAGGCAGAAAGTAGATTAGTGGTTTCCAGGAACCAGGGAGAGGGAAACTGGGAAGTGAGTGTTAATGAGTATGAGGTTTCCTATTGGAGTGAGAAACACGTACTGGAATTAGACAGTGTGATGGTTGCACAACTCTGTGAATACACTAAAATCATAGAATTGTAAGATTTCAGAAGATGAGCTGTACAGCGTGTTAATCGTTTGAATAAAGCTTTGTTTTTAAAAGAAGACAAAGAAATAAACCAAAGCTGAGAGAAGTAACTAACCCAATCCTTTATCTTTTATAAGAGTTTTTTTAATGATAAAGACTCAGTTAAAGTCCAATTTGATTCAGTTCAGTTAAAGCTAAATGGCTTAGAATGAATCATGTCTAAATATTCTGTATACCAATCCTACCTATATTATAGGGCCCTAAAAGAAGGGTCAGACGAAGTATGCTCTAAGTGGCTCTCAGTACTGAATATTCACAGATTAAGTTTTACAAAAAGGTAAAGTTTTGTGATAACCCTCAGATAAAACAGAAACACATGACCTATGTTTTGACATAAAACATACGTATTTGGCCTGTTCTGAAAAATATGTATAATTTTCACACACCATATTCTACCAAGGAAAATGTCAACCAGAGCCAACCAACTTGGTGTTCCACTCATCAACTCTTTTATGCCAACATGGTGTTTCTGCCCTTGTCTCAGAAGCCAACTACTGATACCTGCTTCAGAAAACTGACTATGAATTCCACAAAGTCCTGCTTTTTTCTTTTGGATTGTACAATCAACAAACAAGTCACCCTTCTAAAACTCTGTTTCTGAAATTTTAACATAATTCCTGAAGTTCCAGAGTCTCTTAAATGCTAAAATATTAACAATACCATTCCATTTTTTCCCCTAACACTCAGAAGCATACTGATACCCATCCTGTACACAGCCTTTTCTTGCCTGATAACAAGAGCACTAATGACAGAGCTATTGCATCAGGTTGATTAATAAACCCCGTCTTAGGCAGCCTCATCATGTGGATAAAGAAAAGGAGTTAAGATGATGTTCCTGCTGCCTTCCCCAACATAGAAACACACCCACAACACCCCCAATCCTGGAATAACCAGATGTTAGCTTCATCATCACACTAGAGCACTGTAAACCACATCAAAACAAAATGAAACAAATAACAACTTCCCTGGCCACCAAAAATAGATGGCCCAGCCAGAAACAGTGCTGCCAGAGGCAGTTAAATGAGCTGCAAGGCAGGAATGACAGTTGAGCTGCAGTGATGCTGGGGCCTCCCAAGGATTACCAGACTCCAAACTAGATTCTCCATCACTTTGGTCCAATCAACATCAGCAGGACTTGGTATTTGTTCACAATTGGTCCAACTCAGATTATTTGCTGAGCTTCTGGAATTCAGAGAGAGTGACTTATGGGCTCACCTTTTTCTCTAGATTTTAAATAATCCTTTCTCCATTTTTTTCTAGGAGTGAAGGCAATTTTGAAGGCATGACTACGACCTGCTCTGGCCACAAGAGCTAAGAGTTGCCAGGTGTGGTGGCTCAAACACTTTGAGATGCCAATCCCAACACTTTGAGAGGCCAAGGCAGGAGGATTGCTTGAGGCTAGGAGCTTGAAACCAGCCTGGGCAACACAGTGAGACCCCATCTCTACAAAAAATAAAAAAACAGGCCAGGCGCAGTGGCACTTAGGGAGGCCAAGGTGGGTGGATCACCTGAGGTCAGGAGTTCGAGACCAGCCTGACCAACATGGAGAAACCCCGTCTCTACAAAAAATACAAAGTTTGCCAGTGTGGTGGCACATGCCTGTTATCCCAGCTACTCAGGAGGCTGAGGCAGGAGAATCGCTTGAACCCGAAAGGCAGAGGTTGCAGTGAGTGGAGATCACGCCATTGCACTCCAGCCTGCGCAACAAGAGTGAAACTCCATCTCAAATAAATAAATAAAATAAAGTTTTAAAAAGTCAAAATTATCCAGGCGTGATGGTATGTTCTTGTAGTCCCAGCTACTCAGGAAGCTGAGGTGGGGGATCACTTGAATCCGGGAGGTCGAGGCTGCAGTGAGCCAAGATTGTGCCACTGCACTCAAGTCTGGATGACAGAGCAAGACCATGTCTAAAAAAAAAAAAATAATAAACAAAACCAAAAACCAAGAGTCCACAGTGATACCATGAATGCCCATGGCTGCAACAATAATGCCTTGACCAGAAGTAGGGGGATAAGGGAAAAGATAGAGCCAACATGAACCCCGATTGACCCTCCCTTGCTCCATCCATGACAGAAAGCCTCCTATTTCTGAATTCACCAGGCTCATGCTGCCTCCAGGACTTTGCATGGGTAGCAGCATTAGCCTAGAATTTCACTTCTCTTTAATTCCCACCCATCTCTCACTTAACTAATCCCAACTCACCCATAAGGATCTAAGTCAGATATTACCTACTAAAAGAAACCTATCTGGCCCTAATGCCTGGGCAAGGGCTTCTCCTGAATGCTTCCACAGCACTGCGGACCTACTCTTATTGTGGCCCATTTCACAGTATATTGGGATTATCTGTTTGACTCTCTCCCCAGTAGATCTGGAGTTCCTTAACAACAGGAAGAATCTTCTTTACTTTTCTTCCAAAAACAGAAATCGCTTTACTGTTTTTTGTTTGTGTTGCTGTTGCTTCAATGGTCATAAAAGTACTACATGTGCCTGTTCCAGTTGTTCTCTTTCTCAGTGGAGGGCATAACCTAGTAGTTGACCAAGCAAGAAAACTTGACATCATTTATTCGTTCAAAACAAACAAAAAAGAAGAAAAGAAAAGGGCATGCCTACTATGTACCAGGCATTATGCTAATCACTGTATCTAGAAGTGAAAAGACAACCACTGTCCCTGCTATAGTGAGCTCATGTTCTAACAGAAAAGGCAGACTTTGAACAAATAACTCACGTTATTGAAGAGAGAGGTGAAGGTAGTCTGGAAGTTTACGACAAGGTGACAGTGGGTAGGATGTGAGTGAAGAGATGAATTGGTGATCAGTCATCTTTGGGTTTCTTCAGCCTCACTGGTTCTACATCCAGTCAATGGCTTAGCTCTATCAATTCTGCCTCTGAAATTTCTTTCACCTGTCCATTTCTCTAATTTTTATACTGGCATCTCCAGCAACCTTTGCCTGGAATACTGCAACTGTTTTCTCTGCCTCTAGACTACTCCTCCTATGCAGAGGCCATAAGGAAGCCAAAAGGATCTTTCTAAGAGGAAAATCTGATCATGTCACCTCTCTGTCTAAAAGCTTTCAGCAGTTCCCTTGAGCTCAGATAAAATTTAAAAGCCTTTACATAACTTGCAAGACTCTGTATGATGACTCCTCTCTCTTTTCTCTGGTTTCAGTTCTCTGCATTCCTTACATCCCATTCTCTAGGAATACTGACTATGGTTCTTTCTCTCATCGGGATCTTGATTCAAGCTATTTCCTATGCATGGAACATTCTTCATTCTCACACTACCACCCCCTTATTAGTGGCTACTTCTTATTCCTTCTTCAGGACCCTGGTTAGATGCAGTTTCCTCTAGGAAACTTTCCCTGAATCCCCCAATCTCTTCAGATTGAGTAAGTGCCCAGTTATATATTCCATAGCACTCTTTACTTCTATTACAATAATAATTACATTCTGTTGGAATTTGCTAATCTGTAGACTCTATGAAGGCAGGAACCATGTTTGCCTATTCAATATTGTATCTGCAATGCTTAAGGTATGCTGCACATAGTAAACACACTAGAATATTTTTTCAATGAATAGATAATTAAAATAAATATAATACTCAGTTATAAAGAAGGCAATAGGCTAATTCCATCATCCAGACATAATCAATATCAATGTTTTGGTATGTATCCTTCCAGACATTTCCATCTTTTCTCCCTCAAAAATGAGATCTTATTTTTTGTAATATTCAGTCAAATTGTTGTTGCCGTTGTTTTGTTTAATCTTAAATTTGTTATAATGGACATCCTCCCAAGTCAGTACATTGCTCTATAATGTTCTATTGTATATATATTCCACACTTGAAATAATCCTCACCTTGAGTACTAATATTGTATTGGTATAGAGAATACTGAAATATAAACACTCATCCTTGAACATACATTTTCTTTTTTTTGTTTTTTTTGAGACGGAGTCTAGCTCTGTCACCCAGGCTGGAGTACAGTGGCAATCTCGGCTCAGTGCAACCTCTGCCTCCTGGGTTCAAGCGATTCTCCTGCCTCAGCCTCCTGAGTAGCTGGGATTACAGGTGTGCACCACCACACCTGGCTAATTTTTGTATTTTTAGGAGAGACAGGGTTTTACCATGTTGGCCAGGCTGGTCTCGAACTCCTGACCTCAGGTGATCCGCCTGCCTCAGCCTCCTAAAGTGCTGGAATTACAGGTGTGAGCCACCACGCCCGGCCGAAAATACATATTTTCATACATTCATTCTTGATCATTGTGCAACTAACAGCTAGAACATGGCCTGGCACACACGATGCACTCATAAATGGATGAGTGGATTAACAAACAAATGAATAAGGGGGTCAGCTATCAGTAAGCATAATAAAATTGTGGCTAAGAGTTTAGGCACTAGAACCAGTACACTTATGTCCAAATCCCAGCTCCAGCACTTGCCATCAATTACTAGTGTTTTCCTAGCTTCAGTGTCTCTCTACAAACAAAGACAATGGTTGTACCAACCTCAAAAGACTATTAGGAGAACTGAATAAGATAATAAGGTCAAGCGCATTCTCAGAACTTGGCACACTGTAAGCACTTACAAATATTAATTGGTATCATGATCTTTGTTGCTATTTTTTAAATTTAGTATTGGAATGGAAATTATCATTAGAATGGAAACTTTGCAAAGTCCACAGAAAGAAAGATAAGGCTTCTCTTCGAACAACGGGAGAAGAGAAGAAAACAAGTTTTAATGAGGAGACAGAAAGGAGATAATTTAAAATTACGAAAAGAATTATTCTAATTCAAGTGCTACATTCTCTGTGAAAGTGGTTGCTCTCTTTTCTGTGTTGGTAATCATACCTTTCAGAATGTTCAGGGTTGTCCAACTTTTGTAATTTCATTCTTTTTGATAAAGTTTCTTTATTAATTGCATGACCAAATGTAAGCTAATATTTACAACTTTGAAAAGTTTACACACGCACACACGCGTGCACAAATTAGAAAAAATGTTCTATCCCAGTATTTAAGATTTATTTATTTATTTGAGGCAGAGTCTCGCTTTGTCGCCCAGGCTGGAGTGCAGTGGCTCGATCTCGGCTTACTGCAACCTCTGACCTCTGGGTTCAAGCGCTTCTCCTCCCTCAGCCTCCTGAGTAACTGGGATTACAGGCGTGTGCCACCATGCCTAGCTAATTTTTGTATTTTTAATGGAGATGGGGTTTCACCATGTTAGCCAGGCTAGTCTCGAACTCCTGACCTCAGGTGATTCGCTCACCTCAGCCTCCCAAAGTGCTGCAATTACAGGCATGATCACCACACCTCGCCATATTTAAGTTTTAAAAACATACATTAGTTTGGCAAGTACTCCCATCTTGAAATATCTCTTTCAATATTGCCTTAGATGTTATTTAAATTAAATCTTGTATAATTTAAATTTTTTTATGCCCCAATCAGATTGTACATTCTTTGAGAATGGAATCTCATGTCCATCTTTGTATATTCTACAGCACTCAGAAGCATTCCTTTTACTCTGTAGTTCTATAAGAAAAAAAGTAATTGATTTGATTCATATCTTTGGTAATGTTGCTTAGGAAAGAAAACTTTGCATGGAAAGTCTGTGGAATGCCTGTGTGTGGAAGCCTTCTGTTTCCCTTTTTAAACATGAGATTGAAAAGGGAAAACAAACTGCACTTGTGATTGCTGAAAGTTTAATATTTACCCCCTGCCTCCTAGTAACTTTTTGAATGTCTTAAGATACCAGTGAAAACAAAACCAGTATGTTTGGGACACTGTGGTTTGGAAGAATGAATGCATTTTTTTAAAATAAAAATGCACTTCACTAGTAGTATTCATTTTCCAAGGCTGTAATTAGAGAGAAACACTCGAGAAGCACCAAAATTGTGGAACATAAAGAGGGCAGTGACAGGACCCCAATTAACCTAAATTAGCACAGGTTACCCAGACTGTGATAACTCAGAGCTCCAGAAACTCCCCAAAATGAAAAAGCCTTCTGCTTTTAGCACTTTTTTTCTTCTTTTTTCTCCCCAAAGACTTCAAGATTCAAGTGGAAAAGTTCACCAGGATGGGTGGGACCTGAACAGGCTGACTCACTGCGGTTAGATTCAGACTGCCAAGGAAAGCTGCAGAGTACAGTTAGGCATACACTATAGCTGGTTTTGATGATATTTTCTTGTTAAAGACAACATTATTAGAAAAATGTGTAAACAGGACAGGGCAGTGGAGGCCCCCTCTTGATTTTATAGCCAAAGACTCCCACCCTTCCGTGGCTTTTCTGTACCGTCTGCCATGTTGATTCTATGTAAAAAACCCAAATGCAGGCATTCCACCAATGTAATGCTCTCCTTCTCTGAGAGTCCTTTCATTTCCCCAAGAGCTTTGGAATCATTGGAGTTACAGTGGTTCCGTTACTTTATTCTTATATAACTTTGGGCAAGTTATTTGAACCTTGATCTCTTCACTAGTATAATGGTTGTAAAAATAATATCTATCTCATAAGTTAGGAAAATGAACTGAAAATACACTAAATTAAATATGTCAAATATCTAGAAAAGTACCTGGTGCATAATGAGCACTCAAATAGTATTTATTGTTATTAGCTACTATTGTGATCTTCTTAATAAATCCTGTCAAATATTATTTCAAAAAGACTCTTTCTCTCCCGTCCTTTTCATTTTTAGTTTTATCGTTCCATTTAAAGTGGAAAAGAGGCCAGGCGCGTAGTTCGCGCCTGAAATTCCAGCACTTTGGGAGGCCAAGGAGGGTGGACCACTTGAGGCCAGGATTTGGAGACCAGCCTGACCAACATAGCGGAACTCCATCTCTACTAAAAATGCAAAACATTAGCCGGGTGTGGTGGCGGGAGCCTGTAGTCCCAGCTACTCAGGCAGGAGAACTGCTTGAATCCAGGAGGCAGAGGCTGCAGTGAGCTGAGATTGCACCACTGCACTCCAGCCTGGGTGACACAGCAAGACTCCTTCTCAAAAAAAATGAACAATAAAAAAATAAAGTGGAAAAGAAATGTACATTTCTTGACTTCCTAGTTTCCCATCCTACCCAATCAATTAACACACCAATACCCTCCTTAAAACTGTTCAACTTATTGTGAATACCAGGTAGAGGCAGAAGAGATACAAATCCAATAGGATATCTAATTTTTAATACTTTTCAGCTAGTTTAGTTGATGAATATTTACTGAGCACTTACTATGTACTACATCATGCTATATTCTAGAGACTAGAAAAGAATGGGCAAGAGGTGTTTTCTGCCCTCAAGGAGCTTAGAGTCTTGGTATATATTCTGGGATTAGAGAGTAAGAGAAGGCATCCTAAAATTAAAAAATAAATAAATTTAAAAAGGCACCTGAGCTGAATCTTGAAGGATGAGTAAACTTTAACCAAATAAACAATAGGAGAGAAAAGGTTTTCAAGGCAGAGGGAACAGCAGGTACAAATAAATGAAAGTATGAAACAGCTTTGAATTGCAAGCAGTTCAGAATTAATAGAGTAAAAATCATGTAATAGAGAATATTGGAAGACAAAAGTGGATTTACAGTTTACCTAGAGAGGCAGGAATCTGGTAGAATTTCAATCTGCATCAATCTAAATAGGAGGAACTAGTGATTCCATTTCCAAATAAGCCAACACCTTCATTAGCACCAAACTTTCACCAGCTGAGTTCCCCAACATAGGACATGCCCACTATCTTTAGGTCACAAAGACATCAGGTGTTTTCAGGCTCAATCATGAGTTATTGGGCAAGTTCCTTTGTTATTCTTTTTGCCATTAGTTCATCATTTGTAAACTGGAATAATAATCATGGCTTTTCTTTTTTTTATTATATTTGAAGTTCTGGGATACATGTGCAGAACGTGCAGGTTTGTTGCACAGTATACGTGTGCCATGTTGGTTTGCCGCACCCATCAACCCGTCATCTATATTAGGTATTTCTCCTAATATTATCCCTCACCTTGCCCCACAGCCCCTGACAGGCCCCTGTGCGTGATGATCCCCTCCCTGTGTCCATGTGTTCTCATTAGTCAACTCCCATTTATGTGTGAGAACATAGGGTGTTTGGTTTTCTGTTCCTGTGTTAGTTTGCTGAGAATGATGGTTTTCAGCTTCATCCACGTCCCTGCAAAGGACATGAACTCATTCTTTTTTTATGGCTGCATAGTATTCCATGGCGTATATGTGCCACATTTTCTTTATCCATTCTAACATTAATGGGCATTTGGGTTGGTTCCAAGTCTTTGCCATTGTTAATAGTGCTGCAATAAACATACGTGTGCATGTGTCTTTATAGTAGAATGATTTATAATCCTTTGGGTATATACCCAGTAATGGGATTGCTGGGTCAAATGGTATTTCTAGTTCTAGATCCTTGAAGAATTGTCACACTGTCTTTTATAATGGTTGAACTAATTTACACTCCCACCAGCAGTGTAAAAGCGTTCCTATGTCTCCACATCCTCTCCAGCACCTGTTGTTTCCTGATTTTTAATGATCGCCATTCTAACTGGTGAACATGCCTTTTCACAAGGTTGTTGTAAATGAGATCATGCTGTCACATACTTAGAGCAATATCTGCCACATAGAAAGTGATCATCAAATGCTAGCCAGTATTAAGTATGTGCTGCTGAAGTCTTGCTCATTCCAGAGATGCTGCAGCTGGGTGCTGTGATCAGTGAGAAAGCATAGGGCAAGGGATTTTTCTCAACACATCATTGTGACCATTTGTAGGTAAAATTTATTTCTGATCCAATAATGTGTTCAGATTTGTGATCATGGTACATAAACTTATGGCCCTGAAAAAGTCACAATTTCCGTGAGTCCTGGTTCCCTCACTTAAAAAATGGGGAGAGTGATGCTTGTTCTGTGTCTTATAAAGACAAAATAAAACAACTTATGAGATACACTTAACCCACTGCTCAATACACTAAACCCACTGCTCAATACACTAAACCCACTGCTCAATACACTAAACCCACAGAGAATCCCTTCATCAGTGGATTCTCTGAGTGGGGAAAAGCGCCTACATAACGAAGTTGGTAAGGTTGGGAAATTAATTAAATCACTCACTCATTCAAAAATACAAATGAAGCATATATGCTAAGCAATGCCCTCCTTTCATCATGGAGTGTAATACCTATTGACCTCAACCTGACAAACATACAATTGGAGTTTGTATACACATACAACCATGCTGTTGGTTGTGGGTGGAGAATGAAAGAAAAGAAACACTGTTGTATGTTGGAAATGTTGCTTTCTTTGTCCCTTTTTTCTACACCAACATAAATGATAATTGTCATTTTCGCTTGTTAATTGACTAATTATGTTTTGGTTCCATAATGTGCCAGTATTTGCATTTTTAGTCTGTTATCTCTTTCCCTGTAATCAAAGGGCCTTTTTTCTCTAGAATTTCCTACATCAGCAAACATTTTAGAGGTAACTGCATTACTGAACAATTATAATTACTTTTGACAGATTGAGTACTTTTAATATTACTTCTCTCCTGTTCTAACTCTCTTTTTCTTACCTCTCTATAGTCCAGTCTCTTATTTGAACATATCTCTCTTTCTTCCCCCAAATCTCCCCTCTGTCTGGAATATTATACTCTACTTCTCTGACTAGTAAAATCTAACTCAGCTTTGGAGACCCTGCTCAACGTGAAGCCCCCAGGAGAAATGTCCTCTGGTAAGAGGCCTTTCCCTACTCCTTTAATAAAAGTAGACATTTTCTCTCAAGATCTCAGAGTGTACTGTCCTTATCTCTATGAAAGCACTTGCCATGCTATATTGTATTTAATGCAATGTCTGTACTTCCAAATAGACTATAACTATCTAAGGGCAGGAACTAAAGTATCTCATTTAATGTGATCATGTGTTTGTTGCATGGATAAATGAAATAAGAAGGGATTCCTGGCTGCTTCTTCCAGGCCTGTATCCCTTTGTCTTTAAGCCCTGGAGGAGTCGACCCTACTTTGGCAAAAAACATTTAGCATGTCCCTTCCTCTCTCTGAGTACTGCTACCTATCCTATATCCCAAGGCTATCGAATGCATATTTTAAACTTTACAGAAAATACCATGTTATTTAGTATTTTACCATTTTTAGGGTAGGGCATAGGAATGTGTTCCTATCTCTCCTATATTTTTTCTAACCAATGTTTTCTCTAATTTTTAAACCCTTTCATGGAGGCGTTTTGTATTTTAGGTGCTGTCATTCAGAGTCCACAGGATGGATGAATGGATATGAAAATGAACAAACGTGTGACACAACACTGCATGATTTACCGGCAATGACTTTCTGATCAAGCCTGAAGTGGGTTGTAGCCTCTTTATTTACTTTTTATTTGACACATAGCAGAGAGAGATTTAAACTATCTCTTATTGGCCTTTTCCCTGCGTCTTAGCTTGGTTTCTGTCAGTGTTTCCCAGCATCGAGAAATAAGGACTAATCTGTCATATTAGATCTAAACTCTAAAAGAAAAGGACTTTGGGCCTTATATCTGCCACCCATTCTTTCAATGGAGGTGACACCCCTCATTTCTATATTTCCAGTCATCTCTCAATGAAAAGGAACATGCAGGCTGGCTCGCCTTTGGAGAGCACCCCACACAGTTTTGAGGAGCTCTGCAGCTCTGCTTGCCCTTTCTGCATCACAGCAGATCCAAAAGGTGAAAAAAAAAACAAAAAAAGGAAGGGGTTGAGGTGTTAGCATCCTTGCTTCCCCCACCAGCACCACACAGCTGTTTGGAGGTTTAGTCTTCAAAAGCCTCTTGATTACCATGCAAACTCTCCATGTCTTAAAAAAAACATACACACAGTATACATGAGAATGCTAAGCATAAAATTTGAAGAATAGGCTGTTAATTCTTAGGCACATGTTATATGGTGCATATCCTTTGCCCACAGAAATATCTGGTAGGATGTACAGAAAGTATTGGTGAAATATTTCTACTTACAAATTGAGGGAAGATGGGGTAAACCCATGTCAACACAAAATTTTTTGAGATTAGAATTTTACTTTTTTTTTTCTGTCAAAAGTTATCAATTCCAATTCCAGAATGAGAGAAACCCCAGTATCTCACAGACTATTTACACATTATTTATGTGGGACCTGCTTGCTGGGTATCCCTGAGGGGGCACCAAAGAGCTATTTCTTTCTTCCTTTTTTTTTTTTTTTTTAGAGCACAAGCGTGTAAGAAATTCCGGCTGCCTGTTTCTGGGCTATTTAAATCCCAGTAGACATGCTCTCTTGTACAGACTTCCTGGGCTCAACCCAGCTCACAGGGAGCTGGGGAATCTGTATTACATTATCAGTTATTGTTTTTGGTCAAATCTAAGGACAAACATATGAAGAAGCAGAGCATGCAGCACTGGTTCAGGAGGTTCAAGCAACATTATCAGATTCTTGTTGAGAAACAAATGGTTGTTACTGTGCCACCGCACACTGCAGACAATTCCTAGATATCGAGAGAGGTCCAAGCTAGCAACAGAGAATTTAATACTAGCTGCTGGACCGGGACTCCTGGGCTCACTATGTTGCAGCTACAGATTCTCAGAATGCCATTTAAACTTCCTGAGTTTATCTGAGAAGTAAACCAAGGGTGTAGGTGATGAGGCAGCATTTACTGGTACAGTTAGTCCCCCCTTATCCACAGTTTTGCTTTCCATGGTGTCAGTTACCCACAGTCAACCACAGTCTGAAAATGTTAAATAGAAAATTCTAGAAATGAACAACTCATAAATTTTAAATTGCACATTGTTCTGAGCAGCATGATGAAATCTCGTGCCATCCACTCTATCTCACCCTTGAATCATCCCTTTGTCCAGCACATCCAGGCTGTATATATCGCCCACCAGTTAGTCACTCAGTACTGTCTGGGTTATCAGATTGTTGCAGTATCACAGCGCTTGTGTTCAAGTAACTCCTATTTTACTTAACAATGTAAAAGTGCAAGAGTAGTAATGCTGGTATATTGTTATAATTGTTCTATGTTATTATTAACTACTGTTAGCCTCATTAACATTTAATTTATAAATTAAACTTTATCCTAAGTATGTATGTATAGAAAAAGACATAGTAAATATAGGGTTCAGTACTATGCAGTTTGAGGCATCCAAAGGAGGGACTGCTGTACAGGCAAGGGTCCATAACCACACCCCCCAGCACACAGCTGACAGAGCATATGTTTATTGGGACATGCTCTTGAAAGAGACACCATAATGATAATACCATCCATAATCCGGACCAATCCATGGGTCATATTTTTATCAGGCATCACTATTCCATAGTACTGCTTCTAATTGGGATAACAATTATCCACTCACATGACTTACCTTCTCAAAGTCTCGAATAGCCTGGGTCTGTACCTGAGGGGGTTTCTCAAATGCTCTCAAGGAATATGTCTGCACAAACGGGACCTTTTCACCACTTCTCCAGATCTGTGACTGCACTGGAGGGCCTCGATCTTTAGTGTCACTAAGAAAAGCTGTCAATGAAACAGAACAACAACAAAAAAGGTTTATATAATAACAGCACTAGGATCATTCTAACTGGCACATTCCAGCAGAATTCAGTTTCTGCAAAATACAAACTCAATCTAGGCCACATAGAAACAGTTTACTTAAAGTAGTCTGTGGTAGATCATATTAATAGCCATCCCCAGTGAATCAAACTAGTTTGGGTCCATAGGCCTTTGCAATGTGATACTCCTGCCATTAAGAAGTAGAGCCTATTTCCCCAACTCTTGAATCTGGGTTGGCAAAGTGGCTTGCCTTGACTGGCAGAATATGATATAAATGCTACTGTATGAGTTCCAGAGACTAGCTTTGAGAGGCCTTGCATTTCTGCTCTTGCCTTATTAGCATCCCAAGACAACCATGCTGTGAAGAAGTCAGTCTACCCCACTGGAGAAGGAAAGGCTGTTCAGGGAAGTGAAGATGCCCCAGCTGACAGTCACCACCTGCCAGACATGTGAGCAAGGCTGTCTGAGACCTTCAGTCTCAGTCAAGTCATCAGAAAGTTGCAGCCAGTTGAGTGATCCCAAGTGAGACCAGCAGCGATAATGCCCAGTTTGCCAAAACAGAATTGTGAGAAATAATAAATCATTGTTGTTTTAAGCCAGGTGTGGGCAGACATTTTCTTAAAGGACCAGACAGTGTTTTAGGCTTGTGGGTCATATCATCTCTGGCACAGGTACTCAACTCTACCCTGTAACACAGAGGAGACACAGACCATGTGTAAATGAATGAGTGTCACTGTGTGGCTATAAATCTTTACTTATAAAAACTGACTGTTGGCTCATGGGCTGTAGTTTGCTGCTGACCCCTGTTTTAAGTCACTAAGTTTTGGGATGGTTTGTCACATAACAAAAGGTAACCAAAACAGTCTAAAGGAAAGAACCAAGCTGCTAGCAAACTATCTCTACCGATAATTTTTCAGGTTACTATTTAGTAATAGTAACAATTATAACAGCCAACATATTTAAAGGGCATTACATGTTACAAAATAGTTTCACATGAATTATTTCATTTATGAAGTCGCTGCAATCAGTGAAATAGACATAAGTGATTATTAAGTCCATTTTACTGATGAATAAGTAAAGATTCAGAAAGTTTGCTTGACCAAGATCACATTGCTAAAAAGTGGCAGAACCAATGCCATATTTTCTCCATCTGTCTTTCTTAGCAGTATGCTACTACTGTGTTATTTTAGCAATTAAAGGGATTGCAATAGGTCTGAGAGTGGGGAAAACAGGTAAAGAGGCAGAGACTCAATCACTCCATTAACCAATGGAAGCATTGCTTTGGGAGAACCTAGTGGAATCTAAGCTGTAATTAACCCTATGCTTGCTTTTGAGAAGTAACATTGTTAAAGAATGAGAAATCAACCCTGCCTCATGTTGGGGCAGGGTTGGAGTTACAGACAGGTAGAAAACATAGAAAGCTACATACTTTCTTGGCTGACAGAAGGAAATAATGAACTTTTATTATGGAACTATTTTTTAAATAAGAAGACAGTCATGGCAAAGCATTAAGCGCTACAGACAGTGTCAGGGCAAGTAAGAGCAAAACAGGTACTGGGTGACTGCCTGGCTGAGGAAAAGTTAACTAGACACTTGGGGAAAGGAGATCCAAGGGAGTAAGAGGCAAAATGCCTTTGCATGCTTTTCTTCCGATCTCTTTTTCTTTCTCTCCTTCTCACTCTCTCCCTTCCTTCCTTTCTTCCTTTCTCTTTCTTTTTTTTTTCTCTTTTCCCCCACCTCTCTGCCTGCCTCCTTCCTTCCCTCCCCTCCCCTCCCTTCCCCCTCCCTCCCTCCCTCCCTTCCTCCCTCCCTCCCTCCCTTCCTTCCTTCCTTCCTTCCTCCCCTCCCTCCTCTCTCCCTCCTTCCCTGCCTTCTTTCCTTCGTTCTGCCAACTTGCCAGAAGGAGCCCAAGAAAAAGCACCCAGATGCTTCAGTCAACTTCTTAGAATTCTTCTTTTTTTTATGTTCAGAAAAGATGGAAATTCATTTCTGCTAAAGAGAAAGAAAAAATTTGAAGACAGGGTGAAGGTGAACAGGCCCATTATAAGAAAGAAACAAAAATCTATATTCTGTCTACAAGGAAACGAGAGAGAGAAAGAGAGAGAAGAAAGAAGTTCCAGGATTCTAATGTACCAAAGGGATCTCCTTTTTCTTGTTTTGTTCTGAAAATTTCACCAAAAGAGCACAGGAGAACATCTTGGCTAATTCATTGGCGATGATGTAAGAAAACTGAGAGAAATGAAAGAAATGAAGAATTACTGCTGCAGATAATATACAGCCTCGAGGAAAGAAAGGCTTTTAAGATTATAGATATAAAGGCTATTGCTGTATTCTGGGATAAAAGAAAGTCTGATGCAGGGAAAGGGGAAGTTGGAAAAACTGGAAAAAGAAAAAAGAAGAAAAGAAAAAAAGGACTGGAAAGACATTGGTGAATAGAAAGATGAAAAGGGTGAAGAAAAAAATGATGATAGTCAATAGGATGGTTTTAAAAGAGGCTTTTGTTTTATTAATTTGTTTTTGTGTGAGTGTGTGTGTATGTGTTTGTTTTTTGCCTAAAAGTATTTAACTCCCCATTACACCACTGATTTCAAAGAAAAAAAGCTGAAATGTAAGATCATATGATTTGTTTTTAAACTGAACACTGTATACTGTCTTTTTATTTTTGCAAAATTAATGTAGTATCCAGTGTGTCTTTAGATAACCCTGTCCTTAATGATATTTTCAATAGCCACTAACCTTGCCTGGTACTGTTTCGGGGTTTAAACTAGAACAGAAATCTAAGGCAGGCTTTATTAATGCATAGTACAAATCAATTACATATATATGGAGATATTATTTTTCCCTCTTCAATTGTTTTTCATGCAGCTTACCCAATATAATTGTTCTGTTAGTTGTACACTACTCTGTGATAGCAAATAATAATAATAAAATAATTATGATGATATTGCCCCTGTTTTGGTGATATTCTGAATGTTTATACGTAAATGCAAAATTTTTAATTAAAAGTAATTAGAGGCTGGGCATGGTGGCTCACACCTGTAATCCCAGTTTTTTGGGTGGTTGAGGCAGGTGGATCACTTGAGGTTAGGAGCTCAAGACCAGCCTGGCCAACATGGCGAAACCCCATCTCTACCAAAACTACAAAAATTAGCCAGGCGTGGTGGCAAGCGCATGTAATCCCAGCTACTCGGGAGGCTGAGGCAGGAGAATTGCTTGAACCTGGGAGGTGGAGGTTGCAGTGAGCCGAGACGGCACCACTGCACTCCAGCCTGGGTGACAGAGCAAGACTCTGTCTCAAAAATAAACAAATAAATAAATGTAATTAGAAAAAATGATTTCTTCCACATTTAGGTGAAATTAAATATACTACTAAGGGGAAGATAATCTGATAAAACAGAATAACAATACATTACAGTTAGATTGGTGGATATGATAGAAAGAGCAATGCCTTGAGGCTTGGATTTGAATCCTGACCACTTGCTAATTGTGGGAATTTAGGCAAATCTCTTAATTTTGCTGATATATTGCCTCTGTAAAACAGGGGTAATAATATCTGCTTTATAGAACTGTTCTATGGATTAAATAAAATAATAAAAGCACCTTGCCACATGTATTATATGTAGTAAGCATTTTATCCATTCCCCTCACATTTTTGCCCTAGTCCTTCAATTTTTGCCTCAAAATGTAGAATATTGACATTTAAAATGTTGAGCACAGTAACCCTTGGAATTTGTGGATTTAACACACATTTCAAATACTAATTTTAAGTGACTCTGAAATTCTTAACTTATTCAAATTAAAAACTTTTTTCCAAATTGTGCATATAAACAATCTGTGCTTCCAGGCTGTTATGAAAAAGGCAAAGAACTTAGCAAGGAAGTAAAACCCTCAGGTCGAGAACAAGTTTTGTGGAAAATAGACCCCAAAAGAATATTATCTTCCCTTTGGTTTTGCAATTCAGGTAGATCTCTGGCTAATGTTAGTGTAGTAATAATTGTGCTGTTGTTAGGAATACATTAATAGTAACAATAGATAAGATACAGAGTGCTTATTCCTTGATAGCCTCTGTACTAAAAGCTTTTCTCAATCTCACCTATGAGATTAACATTATTATTGTACCCATTTTATTTATTTATTATTTTATTATTATTTTATTTTTTTTGAGACTGAGTCTGCTCTATCACCCAGGCTGGAGTACAGTGCCACGATCTCAGCTCACTGCAACCTCTGCCTTCTGGGTTCAAGAGATTCTCCTGCCTCAGCCTCCTGTGTAGCTGGGATTACAGGCGTGGGCCACCATGCCTAGCTAATTTTTGTATTTTTGGTAGAGATGGGGTTTCACCATGTTGGCTAGCCTGGTCTTGAACTCCTGACCTCAGGTGATACGCCCGCCTCAGCCTCCTAAAGTGCTGGGATTACAGGCGTGAGACACCATGCCCGGCCTATTATACCCATTTTAATGGTGTATTAAGATAAAGATTTCATTTTAGTAACATAATTTATTTTAATCATTGTACAAGTGAGTTTAGCCTTGCAATTACAGAATCGTTAAAAGTATGAAGAATTCACATAAGTATCTGTAATGATTTACTGTACTATGCTGCTTCTCAGTACATAGAATTATAGCTAGCTGATAATTCTCGTGTGAAATTGCTACAGTAGTATGTGCTAATTTGGAAATTCACAAAAGTTTGAAGATATTGCCATGATGAATTTAAAGAGGCCATAATTCAAGAGAATTAAGATCAATAGAAAACCAAGAATTGGCCAAGTGCCAATTTCTCTCACACACTTTGGAAAGCTGGAGTGGGTGTATTGCTTCAGGTCAGACATTCAAAACCAGCCTGAGCAATATAGCAAGACTCCCACCTCTAAAAAAAAATATTAAAAATTAGGCATATGTCTATAGTCCCAGCTACTCGGGAGGCTGAGGTGAAAGGATAGCTTGACCCCAGGAGTTTGAGGTTGCAGTGAGCTATGATCACACCACTGCACTACATCCATAGTGAGAGAGTGAGACCCTGTCTCAAAAGAAAACCAAATGAATAAACAAAAGAAACAAAGAATTTAACAAGGCAAGGCCCACAGCATCCTTACCTGCTGTGTGACTCGTTCTGGGTACCATCTCCCCATCATCCTCTGCAAAATAATCTCTGTGGAGGCAAACACATCATTAATTAATGAGATACTACCCCACAAGGCTCCCATCCCAGGGATCGAGGAGAAGACACCTACCTATTTGTCATTTCTATTTATCTCTCTGCAAGTATTTACTAAGCTTCTATTATGTATCAGGGACCGTGTCAAGTGCTAGGGATACAAAGGCAAACACCACAGAAGAGTTCCTATTCTCAATAAGTACATGAGAGCCAGCCATTAAATAATTTCACAAGAATTAACTACTATTGTAGTAAATGTTGTGAAGGAAAATGCAGAGGGAACTTAACTAGCACAGGGACTCAGAGAAACTCAGGGAAAGGAACATTTAAACGTAGATGGGAGGATGTCAACCAGGTGTAGAATGGGAGAATGGGAGTGGAAGAGTGTTCCATCATGAGAGAACAGCAAAGGCCCTGAGTCAGAAAGGACTCTGGCCTGTTAGAGGAACAAAGAAAGCCAATGTTGCAACCAGGCCACGCAGGACCTTGTGGTATGGGGTAAGGCCACTGAGTCTAATGTGAAAAGCTATGGGAAATCAATGAAGGATTTTAAATTAAGGAAAGAATGGTAATGATCAGATTTATATTTTAGATAGGTCATTCCAGCTGCATTCTGGCTCTACACAGTGAGACTGTGGAGGGGCAAAAATGGATGGTGAGAATCTATATTCCAAATAGGAAGTTGTGATGGTTTAACAAAGGGGAAATTTTAAAAATTTGAGATATGTTTAGAAAGTAGAATTGACACAGAAACCTTGAAAAACAGACAAAGTTTATGAGTGGAAATGTTAATAACACCATGATTCAGTAGCAAGAGGTGTATCTGTTCAGCATAGTAAATACCACCATCCCTAGCAGAGAGGGGACAGTATCTCAAAATGTATTCAACAAATACTTCTCAAGCCCATGCTTGACAAGTGCTTTTAGGCACTGTTGTAAGCTCCACAAATGTAGCAGTGAGCAAAACAGACAAAAATCCCTGCACTCATGGAATTTTTACAGTAAGGGGAGACAAATAAATAAATTGTATAGTAGCAGTTGGGAACAAGTGCTATAAAAAAAAGTAAAGTGGGGAATGTGGATAGGGAGAGCTGGAGGTAGGAGGAGGTAGAGGGGATTGCAATTTTCAGTAGACAAGGCTGCTCTATGAAGCCATAAGGACAGGCATGGGGGTCTCTAGGGAAAGAGTCTTCTAAGCAGAGAACATAAAATGCAAAGGCCCATAAGAGGGAGCATGCTAGTTAGTGGCTGGGTGCAGTGAGCACGTGGTGAGCAGTAGGAGGTGAGGTCAGGGAAGTAATGGGAAGACTGGGCAGGGGGCGCAGACTGTTTGAAGCCTTTCAAGACATGGAGAGGCATTTAGCCACTAGAGTCTTGTGAATCAAAAAGAAAGACGGACTCAGTGACTAATGTTTTAAAGGGGGACTGTCTACTGTCTTGACAACTGACTGTCTGATGGGGATGTCAGAAACAGATGATTTCAATAACCCTACAGAAAGATGCTTTCAATAGGTAGCTTATTCTTTAAACTCTTGGGGGCTCCCAAGAATTCTGTAAACAGAGATGTAGAGGACTTCTCTCTTTCTCTCTTTTTTTTTTTTTTTTTGAGACAGAGTTTTGCTTTTGTTGCCCAGGCTGGAGTGCATGGCACGATCTCGGCTCACCACAACCTCCGCCTCCCAGGTTCAAGCGATTCTCCTGCCCCAGCCTCCCCAGTAGCTGGGATTACAGGTGCCTGCCACCATGCCCGGCTAATTTTGTATTTTTAGTAGAGGCGGGGTTTCTCCGTGTTGGTCAGGCTGGTCTCGAACTCCTGACCTCAGGTGATCCGCCCGCCTCGGCCTCCCAAAGTGCAGAGGTTACAGGCATGAGCCACTGCGCCCAGCCTACAGGACTTCTCTTTTTAAAAGCCAGAAGATATTCACAGGGAGGCAGAGGAGGACCTGGCATTTGCTTGGAAATTGGTGGTTTTTTCTTCCCTGCCTCAGGGCTGGATCTTGGCAGAAATCTTCACTTTGTTAAGTCCCAGATGGACATGAAAATACCAGACAGGGCACATCGGGCTACACATGCCACCTGACAATTATTTCGTATCCAAAAGTAGATCACCAGCTTGTGATTCTTCCAGGCCCCCTGCCTCTTTCCCTTCTCCTCCTTAAAAGCTTTCCCTGAGAGTAAACAATGCCAAAGAGGAATGTACTACGTATGCACTCCCCTCTGTGGAGGTAAAATAGGAGAAGGATGTCAAAACCATCAACCAGAACAATGTCTTAAAAAAATCTGTGGGGAAAAAATTTATACTTAGCTGCTGCTATTCACTGAGCATTTCTGCCTAGTCCACAGACAAAGGTGGCTGCATCTGCTGTCAGGAGCAAGGTCAACCCTCGGGCCAAATTCAGCCCATCCGACATGTTTTATTTAGCCCACACAAGTTTGACCCACTTCTAACTGCTCTTGGGAAATGAGTGGGTCTGCCAACACTGGGCCTGCCTTCCCACACAGCGGGAGAACTTGCCCCCTTTACACAGGACAGGGATGTGTTTTCCAGTTTGCCACAGTCCCTGCCACTCCCTGTCCTTGTCGTCCCTCATTCACTTAATTATGATACTTGCCTGGCATCTTGCAGGTTTCTGATGCTGTTACCCCAGTATAGACCAAGTGCAGACAGAATTTCATTTCTGCTTTATTAAGACACAGTCTTGAGAAACCCATTGGCTTCACACACAATTAATTAATTTGTGGCAACAAGCTACTATATTGGCTTGCATGTCACTTTCACCTCTCTGGGCATTAGTTTTCTCTAATATTTATAAAAGAAGGACATGACTTTCTAAGGTTCCTTGCAGTAATTATGCAACTCTATTCTAATAGATGCTTAAACATAAAACCCATTTTAATACTGTCCAAGGATCCAGGATACCTTCCAGACATGATCTCACTCAATCTTCTCTGCTCTGCAGATTGCACATTATAGGTCAAGAGCAAGCTACAACACAGCAATACATATCAGCCCTACCAGACACCTCACCCTTCCCGCATCACCCACACCCACTCTGAGCACACTGCCTGCCTGATATGAATCAATAACTGGAAGGATAGAGAGGTCACTTTAGATGGGTACTGAGTTAATAAGCATACTCGCAGTGTCTCAGGAGATTTTTAAGAAATCACTTTAGCTCTATTAACAGCTCAAGTTCCCTCTCTTATTGCCAGAGAAAGGGGCTCACTCAGCTGCTCCACAAGTTACAAAGGAATCTGACGCTCCCCAAGGGAAGGGGCTCAGAGTGAGGAAACACAGAGTATAAGTCTAAGGGGTTGCAATTTGTGACAACATTTGATAAACCAAAGTGCAAGGAGAATTGGGGTATGGTAGAGACAGACTCCAAGCATGGACACACACACACACACACACACATACACACACACACACACAAAGTGGTAATATATGTTGGTACATTCTTTCGTATTACCCAAGTTCAGAAAAAAATTTTATATCCTTGTCCTAGTTTCTCAAATTCAAGTGTCTCTAGCTTTTTAAAATATCAATCCATGAATGACTCATGCTCAGCTAATATGTGGTTCACCAGGCCACTTTTAGCTCTCCTGCATTTCCATATATAATCTTTCTCCCATGATGCTTTCACTTAAAATTTTGCTTTTTCTGTATAAATGAACTATATTTTTCCTCAGTGTCTTACCTTGTCTTTCTCCCTACGTCATCAATCTGCTAATGACAATACCAATTCCACTAAAACCACATATATTAATATTCTCACCAGGACATTATTTTGCTTTTGGAAGTACCAAGCATTTTCCAAGTACAACCTACTCACAAGCTGTTCACCTGCTTGATTTCTGCATGGTATATCACTCATATTTTCTTGAGTTGCTGATAAGTAGCTATTAAGATATTAGACTCAAATAATACATCAACATTCAATATCCCATATTACTTGGTTTTTCTATGGCTTTCCAGGGTGATTATGTTGAGAATGATCAGGAAATAATTGCTTCTCTGAAGGCCATCTGCCACCCCCTGATATTCTGACATTCTCAAACTGTCCTGTGATGATTTCTTCCAGTAATTTTCTAAGAATGGTAGTTTCATTTATGGCCAGGGTTATCCAAAACACTCAGTTTTGCTTTACTTGAAACTGGCCACTGATATAGCTCCTTTCAAGATTCAAGCATCTCATTGGTCCCACTAGTCTAGTTTCTCATAACATTGTGGGGAGGGGTAGACACTTGGGTTTCTTCTTGCTTAGGAGCCTGCAGAGAGAGATATTTTCTATAAGGCAGGTATAGACCTTCCTCCGTAAACTGTTATTTCTGGTATTATTTTCTTGTATTTTAGTCTGTCTAATTTGTGGACTGAGAGGAACAACAGATCATATGAATGAATCATCTCATTCAAAAGCAATGACAAGATGGTAATCATCATTACAAAGCAGGTTCTATGAGTCTTTGAACAGTATGAGATATTTGTATTCTAGGACCAAAATCACCACTAAAACTATTTCTAAGGTACTGATGCCTGTCTAGGCTCCATACTTTCTTCTCTCCAGTCTCACCTACTAAAATAATTAACCTAAGGTTATTTATTCCCATATGAGTGTCTAAACTCCCAAAGGAATGGTGATTTTCAGGCCCTCTCTTCAGGCCAATCACATGTATTTAGTTTGTTCTGAGAACCACATAGTCTGGCCCTCCTACTTCATCACTAACCACCACCCTTGCTTAACATTTCTAAGCCTGAAGACCAGGGCCATCTCCCAGAGGCATTTTCTAGCTTTCAAGCTTCTTTATATATATATATATATATTTTATTATTATGAACAAAAATTCAGAAGGAGAAAAAACAATCTGCTATAGCAATACCTAGAGCGAAAACCTGGGCCTTCATTGCTATTTTTAGGGTTTTTATAATTCCATTTTGTAAACATTTATTGAGAAGTTGCTTTTATGCCAGGTACTGGAAATACAAAGGTGAAAAAGTATATATACCCTGTGGTTAAAGTACTCAGAATCTATTGAGGGAAGCAGGCACATGATTCAGAGAGATAATTATTAGAAAAATTAGATTTAACAGAGATTTCAGAACATAAATAAGATAGCAATTAATTTTGTCCTGGTGGGGAGTGGGCTGGGACAGGGTGGTTGGCGGAGGGGTCTAGGACATTTACAGAAAACAGATAACACTGAATCTAGGTCTTAAAGGATGGGTGTAAATACACAAGGAAACATAACAAAGACCCAATTATAGGAAAATGAACGGTGTGTTCAGGGGGCTTTCATTTTGTTTTCCCCTTCCCAACCACCCCGCTCCATCTTCCCCCCACCCTGAGGAGCCCTAAACTGCCTCCTAGGACATCTTCCAACTTCCTGTTTACCTTTCCCCCTCCTCAAGCCTTCCTCCCCAAGCGCTCACCCTCAGGTGGGAATATGAAGGGAAGCCAAGGGTGAAAATGTTTCTTCATTTGCACCTCCCTCCTCAAACACTATAGCTTAGAAGCCCCCAAAATGATTTAAAATAATGTCAGCAAGAAAGGGGCTAAGATTTGCACTATTGTGAAAATACCCATAGAAACAAACTAGAAAAGAACCCAGAGAAATGAAAAGTCTGGAGGTTTAGAGTGGCGGAAAATATACTGAGCATCCTCCCCCTTTTTTTCTTACTATTTTTGCCAAAAGGCTAATTCTTATTTTTAAAAAGTTTGAATAATCTATTTTTATTGAATTTACATTGCTCTTCCTAATTAATGACCTTGATAAAAGATGAACTATGGAAAGGATTCGGCTCGGTGTGGCCTCTCAAACAGTGAGGGGCATGTGGCATGACAGCAAGACTGCTGAAGTTTGCTCTTTCTTGGGGTCCTCACAGGAGTAGGCATTGAACCAAATGCAGATTCTGTTCCAATTCCCATATTCTTGGAGCTCATTTAACATGAGTTGCTGGTTTCTGTTTCAAATGAAATAAATTTTTCAAACGTTCCAAGATGCATCTTTCCTATTTTTAATTTACAGCTATATTCAACTGTGGCAAACACAAAAGGGTCAGAATGAGAAGAACTGTGGCCTATTTTTTAATATGGGAAGCTCTGGCCCTGACAGTTTATAAATGGTAAGATTTTAGAAATAGTGTCAACTTAAAAACAAAGACATCTACAGTTAACAATTTCTGGACTGCTGGTGCATAATTTTATAATTCCACAGGTTTTCTTGCACTGGAATTTTCCTCAATACTAATCTTGTATTAAATGAACATATTATTATCATGGACAACCATCACCACTCACCACCAATGCTGCCTCTGCAATTTACTGAATGCCTGATACTTTCTAGGCATCAGTTCATTCAGTCATCATAGAATCCTGTGAAGTACGTCATACAATCCCTGTTTACAGATGAGGAAACAAGGGGCCTGGAAGGATAAAGTAATTTGCCCAAGATCGCACAGCTAGTTGGTGTCAGAGCCTGAACTTGAAAACTGTCTATTTGACTCCAAACTTTTACTCTTCCCAATATGCCCTATTTCTAACCACACATTTACAGGGAACCTCCTTTGTACCTGCCTTGACTCCAGGGAACTCACCCCTGAGAAGCTGAGGCGAAAGGAAGGGTGGACGGTTTGCTGTGCTAATGAGATGGGAATTTTGTCTCAAACCCTGACACAAATTTGTTTCTTAGACTATCAACTTATCCCTGATGGGCACAGCTTACACTTGAGTATTTGAGTACTGGTGTAACAGATGCCATGTGACAAAATAATTAAAATCCCAAAACGGAAGTGGCTAGTGTGACTTTTTATATAGGTCCTATCGTGAAAAGTGAGTCATCCATCATTTTATACTTCTCTATCTCTAACCCACTTTTTTCAGAATATTTACATCTTTCTCCAACCCCTCCCGTGATAACACTTGGCATTGTCCCTACCCAAGGGAATAAACTGAAACGCGGGAAAGGTGGTGGAAACAGAAACAATCAAAGTGGAAAAGGCATTAGTGAACAAGCTCTGAGACTTCTCAGATGTTTTTTTTTCCTCTTGCCAAGGAGAGACACTGGTTATATTTTCTATGTTCCAAATGTTGCCAAATACCCTCCCACAATGTGGCACCCGAATTGTAAAAACACATATTCAAATGCAAATAGGGTAAAAGCCCCAGATGCAGAACGTTAAGACTATTATATAATACAGTGAAATTATCATTTTTTCTCATCTCAAGATCTGTCATTATAACCTCTGCAAGTGAGGATGCTTAATTGGCAAAGCTCCCAGAGGAGAGAGAGCATCACGGTGAGCCTCCTTCTGCATGCTGACTAAGTGTGGGCCGACTTGGCACCGATACAGAAACATCCACTTTATTCCAGTATAGGCTGCAATTACACCCTTCACTCAAAGTCTATTCACTGACAGTGACCATCACTCTGAGAGGCTGTTTTCTGGAGTGCTAAGTCCCCAATAGCTACAGTGAGCTACAAAATCATCGTGCATCCACAACAATTTCTTTAAGTTTCGGGATCTTTGTTTTGTTTTGTTTTTGGTCCAGCACTAAGTCTTCATCCTAAAGAAAATAAGGAAACTAACATTACTTTCTTGATGCTATCATCAAGGTTCAGAGAAACCCCTTAATAAGTAAGTAGTTATTTTTCCTCACTTTACCTTCTGAGGTCATCACATATCCAAATATCTAATAAATTTTCCTCTACCTCCCCTGCATCAGCCAAGACATAGGTATCACTCTTTCAAAAGAAGACATGAAAATAACCTGCTTTGGATTCAGTCACATTACCCCAGGGATGGTGTATGGTCTCTCCACCCACCTCTGAAACTTACCTTTTGCATTTTGCTTTTGGTCCTGGCAATGCACCCTACAATCCTCAGTTTTCATTAACAACTAATATCCACAATGCACTGGAGTATATTGCAGTTGGCTCAATCTTTCTAGAGCCCTAGACTGAATGTTAAGAAACAGGTGATTTTTTCCCCTTTCCACCTACTTTTATATTCACATAATCTTTCAGTTTCTTTTCTTTACAATGTCTATTTTTGATGATTTTAAAAGAAGTACATGCCTCGTAGAAATTTTGGAAAAGAGAAAAGTGTACAGAGAAACATAAAAATAATTTTTAAAATTCTACCACCTGAAGGCAACATTGATAAAGATTTTTATGTATTTAGTTGTTCTTCAGTTTATTTGCCTGTGTGAATTCTGCAAATGGAAATAATATTGAATATAACAGTTCTGCATCTTGCTTTTATTTACACTACGGAAATCAAAGGTTGTGAGGAATATATTTTTAGAGGAAGAGAAAGAGTCAGGGAAGGAGGAGCAGGAGAAAGAGGCAGGTGGGAGGAGGAGGAGAATTTCTCAGCAGCATTATAGACCTGTTGAGGATTAGCAAGAATGAATCTAGAGTCTTTCTTCTCAGTGCGGTTTTATAACATACTAAAACAACACTCATAGAATCCTCTAGGATTTTAAAATAAAATTGACTAAGGGTTACCAAGCCGGGAGATGGTTAAGGCAGTTAGAGATTCTAAAGCAGCGTTGAGAACACGATTCAAAGAGCTGACTCTGACGTCTAGGTTCAGTATGGAGGTGAATAAACAGCAGATGGCCTGGAAGATACAGAGAGTTGAGGAACTGGAATACATGACGCAGTAAACAACATTCAGAAAGAACGAGGAAGTGGGGGACTTGACCTGTGGTCAAGAAGTATAATTTCAGCATTAAGGATCCTAAGGGTGGAAAATCTGGAAGAAAGATGAGCTACAAAAGATGGCTGTGCTGATAGCATACTGAAGTGAATTCGAGTTAAGGCTATGTCAGGTCAAGGTATAACAGTGATGTATGTCCATGCCTAGTGACCCCTCTAGAATGTCAGTCTCTGGAAGGGAGGGTTTTTAGATCATTCACTATCGTCTGTCCAGCATTAAAGAAGTCTAGATCATAGGAATTTGATGCGTATTTCTTTTTTTTTCTTTTCCCGTAACTGAGGAAACAAGACACATATTTCTTAAACAATGATAAATACAATCTGAATGTATAATGGTGTCAAGTTTGATAACCTGTTGTATCCATTCTACAATAAGGAGACACCCACCAAACAGATATTCCCATCGGCCTTTTGGGGAATGTTCTCTGGAAAGCTCTTAATAGATGACCTTCTAAGTGCTAGAGGCAATGTTAGATGCTGAAGACTTATAGACAAAAACGTTTCATTCTGCCGATAAACTTGGAGTATGGAAAATATCAAGTTAACCAACTAGCTACATGCTACAACAGAGTAGGCAGAGCGTGTTCTGGCTACACCCAGATCTAGGTTCTAAAAATAATTCCTAAAGGAGGTACTTCTGAATCTAACCTCTGAAGGGTATACAAATTTATCCCAGCAAAGGCAAGGCTAGATGTGTAGGTGGGAACAACTGGTATATTAAGGCCCACTCATAATAATTTTAGCTCAGGGTAAATTAAGTCGCAATGACTCTCCAACCAGCTCCCCGGGTCTGCTGGCAATAATGCTGCTCCTGTGGTGCCAATAACCTGAAAATCTCCAAGTAATACAAGAAAGTTATACACAGAAAACCTCCAAGTGATACACAGAAAAACCTAAAACCAACTCAATTCCAAACTTTACATGTTGTCATTTGGTAGACACAAATGTGAACTTCTTCCTGCAATAAAAACCTATGTTGACTTAGTTTAAAAGCAGCATATAAAGGATGTTGCCCATAATCCCCTAACCAAACACGGCATCTATTTTCTCTTTTCTCTGTCCTTGTAATAGACATCCTAATAGGTATACATAGTTTTGATGTAATTTACACCTATCTTTTACTTTCTTATGTTAAAATTTTCTGTTTATTATCATTTCAGGAAACGTTTCAGGATAGTAATAGAGATTAACAGCAACAGTGAAGCATTTTACCCCAGAGAAGGGTAAAAGTTGGAAATGTTGCTATTGATTCACCTAGGTTATGCCACTTTAATGTCAGTGTGCCTCAGTTTTCCCCTTTACAATACAGGGATTCAGGTCTTGAAAAAGATATTTAAATTGAATGCAATATCCTTCTTATGGGACTATAACTTTAAGTAATTTGCAGTGTACTTTCAAGAACTGGAAATGTTGACGTAGTTATTCTACTTCTGAACATCTCTCATTCAAAAAATAATGCTGTGGAAGAAGATGCTTTATGCACCTAGACATTTATCAAGTATTATTTATAATAGTTAAAAATTGGAAGTCTACATCCTTTGGGTTAGGCGTAATGATTTAAAAGACACTGTAAATCCACAGCATGTTATTCTACATTATGAATGATAATATACCACATTATGAAGTGGAAAATAAATTCATTCTTAAATTGTGTGAAATGCTAGAAATTATTCAATTTTCTTTGTGAGTCAATGCTTTCTAGTTTTTTTGTTTTTTTTGTTTTTTTTTTTTTTTTCCGACAGAGTCTTGCTCTGTCACCCAGGCTGGAGTGCAGTGGTGTGATCTCGGCTCACTGCAACCTCCACTTCCTGGGTTCAAGCAATTCTCATTCCTCGGCCTCCCGATTAGCTGGGATTACAGGCACCCCCCACCATGCCCACTAATTTTTGTATCTTTAGTAGAGATGGGGTTTCAACATGTTGGCCAGGCTGGTCTCGAACTCCTGACCTCAAGTGATCCTCCTGCCTTGGCCTCCCAAAGTGCTGGGATTACAGGCGAGAGCCACTGTGCCTGGCCAGTGAATGCTTTCTGTATGTCAGAAGTTATTGCTTCTTTCCACCCTTTCCACCATGACCATGATAAGAAGACACTAGTTGCAAGTTACCTCTTCCCTCACTGGCCTTGGAAAAGACAAGAAAGAAAGACGTTTCTGTGGAATGTAACAAGCAGAAAAGGACTGAAGATAATGAGACAGATTAAGGAAAGATGAATCACAGGCTGTGAAACTGCTATGAAAATAAAACAGTATTATTATACAATTCATTATAAATAGTCTATGACTAATTTAGCACTTTAGCCATAAGCATTCAGAAAAAAGAAATTCAGATCATGCTTGTCTTGCTGGCCACAGAACTCAGAAAATGCTCTGAGGCAGAGGAAAACAAGTCCTCAGTGCATTTGAGTGTTTTAAAATAGAATCACATAGAGCCACCTTGGGTCAATATGACATCTCTTGTATTCTGGACTTTCTTCTAACTTTAAATGCTATTTGAATTTTTGCCAGAGACAACTTGTGGAATGTTCTGAGCCCAGTTTGGAATTTTATTTACAAAATGGGGTAGATTTCAATAGAAGTAGTGTCCTGGGGCATCCACTGAATGGATGGATGCTCCACTTAGCCTTGAAAATATGATCCCTCAGCCACAGTCAGGCGAGCCCCCCAGGATGGGGAGGGCACCATGAGGTGTTACTTATCCTTTCTGAGACAAAAACAACCCCTTCCCAGTCTTTAGGTATTTTAAACATAGTCTTAGCATGTAGCTGAAAAAATGGGGGTTGGGGGAGTCAGGTCCAGACTGATCTAGTATGTGGAAAATAAGCAAGTAGGAGTGAAAGCATTGATTCTGGCAAATTCCCCAAGCCGAAATCCAAGTATAGGCCCATTTAAAAGTAGACTGGAGTTGCCAAGGCAGAATTTCCTTCTTAAAATTCAGATAATTAGTTGCTAGCAGTGCTGAATATTAAACAGGAAATTCAACTTCCAAAGATGTTTCAATAATAGAATTCTGAAAACAAGCATTTTCCTAATATGAAGTGTTACATGCAAAGCACCAGCACCATAATAAGTAAAGGTATTGGAATTAACTAGGCCTTCATACAACACATACTAGTTGTGTGAATGCCAGCAAATCATTTAACCACTTTAACCTCAGTGGCCATATATCTCTGGTTGTAACTATGTCTTTGTAAACAGGACTCTCTACTAACTCACCATAAATTCAGAGAAAAATAAATGTCCCTGATTCCTCTAGGCTAAACATTTATATAGAGAAAAACAAATTCAAATAAGCTATCAATGGAGATCTGTTAAGTACAATATAGCTGTGGTAAATGGACACCTTGTCTTGCTTGAAGGCTGTACTCCAGAAAAGAAACAAAGTCAAAAAAATTCTTAAATTTTGAAACCAGATCATTAATTTTCTTGAATGTTACTTCCATTTTCCAAATTTTCACAGATACAGCAAGCAAATTAAATCAAATTGCAGGGGAATAGAAAACAAAACAAAACAGACTAATTTGCTTTCCTTTTTTAACCTTCAGTCTTATAGTTTGCCCTTAAACATTTCTAGTTCACTCTTTTCTTGAGTTATGTGTTCGGGGAAGTTGTATAAGGTTCATATATGATTCACCTGATGTTTACTCAGCTTTCTCATATGCTAGAAACCAGAACATTTCCACTGAAATGGGGAAGATAATTAGTAATGACTTTTTCAGCATTGAACGATGTGGTAGGCTAAAATAATGGCCTTATAAGAATGTCCACATTCCTAATCCCCAGATCCTGTGTATATGCCACTTTCCATAGCAAGAGAGGGCTTTGCAGATGTGACTAAAGATTTTGAGATGAGGAGATTATCCTGGATTATCTGGTTGGGTCCAGTGTAATCATAAGGGTCCTAGTAAGAGGGACACTGGAGGGTCAGAATGATCAAAGGAGATGTGATGATAGAAGCAGAGGCCAGTGATGGCATTGCTGGAAGGGGCTATGAACCCAGAATGTGGGCAGTCTCTAGAAGCCATGAAGGGCAAGGAACAAATTCTCCTTTAGAGCCTCTAGAAGGAGCACAGTCCTGCTGATACCTTGGTTTTAACCTAGAAGACCAAATTTCAGACTTCTGACCTCCAGAACTTTAAGGCAATACATTTGTACTGTTTTAAGCCACTAAGTTTGTGGTGATTTGGCTGGGTGCAGTGGCTCACATCTGTAATCCCAGCATTTTGGGAGGCCAAGGCAGGTGGATCACTTGAGGTCAGGAGTTTGAGACCAGCCAGGCCAACATGGTGAAACCCCGTCTCTACTAAAAATACAAAAATTAGCTGAGTGTGGTGCCATGTGCCTGTAATCCCAGCTACTTGGGAGGCTGAGGCAGGAGAATCCCTTGAAACTGGGAGGCGGAGGTTGCAGTGAGCCAAGATTGCACCACTGCACGCTAGCCTGGGCAACAGAGTGAGACTCCATCTCAAAAAAAAAAAAAAAAAATGTTTGTGGTGATTTGTTACACCAGCAATAGGAAATTAATACAAACAGTAATCCTGAAGTACTGATAATCTTTAAAGCAGAAGGTGTAGGGAGTTGCTAGTCCAGACAGGTGGATGTTAAAAATTTAGAGCAGTAGAAGCTGTTTGCCTGGTTGACACTGGACCTGCCGGGTGAGAAAACCTCCCCTCATCATCAAGTTCTTCATCAGCTCCATGAGCTTATTCTTTTGACAACTCTCGCCCTGTTCACGGAAATAAATCTGAAAGCTGGTGACCAAATCAGCTTTTTGTAATGCCAGTATATTCATAGAAAATTTGCTATTCCAGAGCCAACCATGCTCTGTCCAAATGATTTAACCAGTGAGTTTGGCAACAGTCAGGTAACAGCCCCAGCGGGTAGGGGGAACCTTTCCATTGAGCTGTAGAGGGGCAGATGATGTGTAGCTGGGAGTAGAGCATATCTAACTTTGAGAACTAAAATATCAAGCACCTTGTCCTTTGTGGGTAAATTGAGCAAGTAGCTAGCTTCAGAAACAAGTCATAAACTGAGTCACCTACAAAACTCTACTAAAATAAAGTAAAAGCATAGATTTTGGAATTAAACGGTTCAAGGCTATATTTCTTTCTCAGCTGTGTGTGTCACTCTGGGAAAATTATTTAATCTTTCTGAAGCTCAATTTCCTTTTCTTAAAAATGAGTATAACATTTACTTCATAGGGTTGTAAGGATTAGGTGAATTAAGTATTCAAAGAGATTAGCACACAATTAAAGCTTAATAAATGTTATCAATTATGGTTAATTTTTATTCTTTCAATCCCCTATCCACTGTGTACCCAGAGCAGCCACTGCGTATCTCTGCCTTAGTGTCTCTCTATTAAAATTAGAGATGATGAGAATGTAAAGCCATTAAAGGCAGAGACCCAGTCTCATTCATTGCATTCATTGTTTTATTCTTACCATCTAGCACAGCGTCTGACCTGTTTGGGGCTCTCAAAATTTATTTATTTATTTATTTATTTTTGAGACAGAGTCTCACTGTGTCACCCAGGCTGGAGTGCAGTGGTATAATCTCAGCTCACTGCAACATCCGCCTCCCGGGTTCAAGGGATTCTCCTGCCTCAGGCTCCTAAGTAGCTGGGACTACAGGTGCAGGCACCACACCTGGCTAATTTTTGTATTTTTAGTGGAGATGGGGTTTCAGCACGTTGGCCAGACTGGTCTCGAACTTCTGACCTCAAGTCATCCACCTGCCTTGGCCTCTCAAACTGTTGAGACTACAGGCGTGAGCCATTTCATCCGGCCCTCAAAGTTTTAATAAGTGTTTATGAACAAATCTGATCTGTGAGTTAGGAAGGATCTGAGATGTCAGCCATAATCTGTGATTATAGGATTTTTCCAACTGTGACCCATTAGGTGGAGAAATAAATTCAGTGAATCAGAGCCAACATTTTATTTTTAAATAAAAAGAATAGAATAGCAAATATCAGAGTGCAAAACACATAGTAAAGTTAAGTATTGTTACAAGAAACTTTGTTACATATGTAAGTGTACTTGGTGGCAATGTAAATATATTACTTATTGTGAGTAGTGGTTAAAAAATATGTGAACATTCTGAATGTTCCACCTTGCCAGCATTTGCTACTTTCTATCTTTTTAATTTCAGCCATTCTGATATGTATATAGCAGCATGGTGTTGTGGTTCTAATTTGCATTTCCCTGATAACTAGTGATGTGGAGCACCTTTTCACTATGTTCTTCCCTTTGGATACCCTCTTTTTTTTTTTTTTTTTTTTTTTTTTTTTTGAGATGTAGGCTCGCTCTGTCACCCAGGCTGGAGTGCAGTGGCGCGATCTCGGCTCACTGCAAGCTCCGCCTCTCAGGTTCAGGCCATTCTCCTGCCTCAGCCTCCCGAGTAGCTGGGACTACAGGTGCCTGCAACCACGCCCGGCTAATTTTTTGTATTTTTAGTAGAGACGGGGTTTCACCGTGTTAGCCAGGACTATCTCGATCTCCTGACCCCGTGATCCGCCCGCCTCGGCCTCCCAAAGTGCTGGGATTACAGGCGTGAGCCACCGCGCCTGGCCTGGATACCCGCTTTAGAAATCTCTTTTGTAATCTGTTTAAAAAAAAAACAATCTGGCAGTATTTACTAAATCTGAACATGCATTTCCTATTACGCAGAAATCATACTTCTACTTATTTACTCAACAGAAATGTGTACATATGTTCACCAAAAGACCTGTACAGAAATGTTCATAGCAACACTGTTTATAATAGCTCCAAACTGGAAATTGCCCAAGTGCCTATTAAGAATACAATGGACAAATAAATTTGATATATTTATACACTATAGAAGCCTATTTAAAAGCAAGAATAAATGGACTACAGTACCATATAACAGTATAGAACTCCAAAAGCAAAAGATTGAGTGAAAGGAGCCACGTACGAAAGAGTACATGGTGTATAATTTCATTTACATAAAGTTCAAAACTAGGCAAAATTATTCTATGGTGTTAAAAATTAGGATAATGATTATCCTTGAAGTCATCAGGAGGGCTTCAGGGATGCTGGTAATGTTCCCTTTCTCTATCTGAATGCCCATCCCATGAGTATACTCAGTTTGTCAAATTAATTGGACTGTAAATATATAATTTGCGATTTTTCCAAATCATTTCTGAATTTGTCTGAAATTGTTACATGTAAATATAAAATTTTTAAAACTTAATAAATAATACTTTTTTCTTCAAGTGTGAAAAACACTGGCAGAGAGCAAAAGGCCCTGATACACTCACTCCCATCACCATCAAGTGGTCATCTAGCCTTTGCCTGAGTAACTCCAGGGTCAACAATCTCTTTACTGCCCATACTGCCCAGGCAGCTAACTTGTTAGAAAGCTTTTTTTTAATTTTTTTTTGAGACGGAGTCTCGCTCTGTAGCCCAGGCTGGAGTGCAGTGGCGCGATCTCGGCTCACTGCAAGCTCCGCTTCCCGGGTTCACGCCATTCTCCTATCTCAGCCTCCCAAGTAGCTGGGACTACAGGTGCCCGCCACCACGCCCGGCTAATTTTTTTTGTGTTTTTAGTAGAGACGGGGCTTCACTGTGTTAGCCAGGATGGTCTCAATCTCCTGACCTCGTAATCCGCCCCCCTCAGCCTCCCAAAGTACTGCGATTACAGGCATGAGCCACCTCGCCCGGTCTTTTTTTTTTTTTTTTGAGGCGGAGTTTCGCTTTTGTTGCCCAGGCTGGAGTGCAATGGCGTGATCTCGGCTCACCACAAACTTCTCCTCCCGGGTTCAAGCGATTCTCCTGCCTCAGCCTCCGGAGTAGCTGGGATTACAGGCATGTGCGACCACGCCCGGCTAATTTTGTATTTTAGTAGAGATGGGGTTTCTCCATGTTGGTCAGTCTGGTCTTGAACTCCCGACCTCAGGTGATCCGCCTGCCTCAGCCTCCCAAAGTGCTGGGATTACAGGCATGAGCCACTGCACCTGGCCAGAAAGCTTTTTCTTTACACTGAGCCATAACTCGCCTCCCAACAACTCGCTTGCATCGGTTGTTCTGTCCTCCTAAGAGATTCTAATGTGATTCAATCCCTCTACCACCAATAGCTCTTCGGAAATTTGAAGGAAGCTACCACATCCTCCCCACTCCCAGTCGTCATTTCTCCGGACTCAGGAGTCCCAGGTCCTTCCTTTGGCCATCCCTCAAGGCATGGCTTTGAGTTCCCTCCTGTCTCTTGATTGTACTTATTTTATCTAATGATGCCCAGAACTAAGCACAGCCCTCTCGGAGAGGCCCAAGAGGAGCAGAAAGGAGCCAAAAGTAAAATCATCACTTTTGATCTAAACAGAATCTAGACAGCCTACTTCTTCTGTCAACAAACCCTAAGCTTCAATTTGCTCCTTCTTTAATATTCACATTATACCATTCACTCCTGTTGAGCTTAGCAATCAACTAAAAGCACCCAAGTCTTTTGCATAAGCCCCAAATTTACCTTCTGTGTTTGTACGGTCTTCACTCTCTCAGGAGTCAGAGCGCTCATTTGGCCCCACCCCAATTCTCCAAAGCTAAATCCCACAGATGGAAGCGTATCTGTTATAGAGACACCGCTGGAATAGTCTCCCTACCCTCCCACCCACTAAAAAACAGAAACGAAGTCTTTGTCTCAATACATGGTCTCTTATCCTTACCCTTTCCTTGAATGGGGCTTCATTTTAAAGTGTGTTTGGGGGAAGGACTGGAAGAAAACGCAGTTTCACAGGCCATCTCCAAAATCTGACCTAAAAGCCAACTGTTGCCTGGCCTCAATAAAGCCTGAGCAGTGTGGTGCCCTGATCTCTTTCCTTCTCCATTCCTCCCCCAAGTGGGCTCCAACTGGAGGTTGTGGAGATGAGTGCTGCTGGGCTCTGCTCACTCAGTCCCTTTGCCTTTGTGTGAGTAGTGACAGATGAGGCTGAGAAGGAAAACGTGGCAGGGTGAGAATAAACCTGATATTGTTCAAAGCATCTGACATCAAACATATCTCTCAAGAAGACCTACTGGAATCCCTCTAGCCACACGAACAAGGAAACGACAGAGAACCATTTCTACAGAAAGTTCCAGGCGGCCTCCCTGGGTATTTTTAACATCAGGACTCGGTGGAGGGGAGAGTCATTAAGCAAGGGAAACCCCGTAAAACAGAACATGTGAAAATGACCAAGAGAGGTGGGCTGGGAACCAGGCAGGGCGAGGCTACAGAAAAGGGAAGCTGTCACGGGACCCTGGTGGTGAGGGGCGACCTCTCTCTCCCTAAGGGCGCTGGGGGAGGGGAGGGAGGAGGACCACCAAGTCTGGAGTGCGGCGAGAAGGAAACAGCCCACCTACCTCGTCCAGGTCTGCTCCATTTTCCAGGCTCTTTCCTTAGTCTTAGGACGCTCCTCACCCGGGAGGGGAAGCAGCCTGGGAAAATGAGAAGCCTTGCCCACGAATCTCCAGCGCAAAAGGCAGCAGCTTTTTCCTCCCCAGCTCCTTTCTGCGTCGGCGGCGAAGAGAGAGCTCTGCTCCCTGCTTTTTTAGAAAATGGATTTGACGTGGCCGAACCTGCGGCTAGCCGTGCGACCCGCACAAGGGAGGGACTGTTCTCAGTAGGAGGCTGGACTCGGAGCGGCGCGGCGCCCGGGGCTGTTTCGTGAGCTGGAGCCAGCGGCTGCCCGGGCGGCGGTGCGCGCACTCTCCAGGCTGAGACACGACTGGCTGGCACGAGTTGCTCGGCACCAGCTGAGCTGTCAACCGCGAGCGGAGGCGGGGCTCCCGACAACCAGTGTGCTGGGGCACAATCGGCCCAGGTTGCACGCCCCCTGAACCACCCTCGCGTCTCCCCGACCCCTCTCTCGCTGGCTCAGATGAATGATGACGGCAGAGGGCAGAGAGCTTAGAGGACGCCGTACCAAGCCCCGTCCCTCGCCCATCCCAACGAAGGTCTTAGAATACAATCAACCAACTACAGGAAGAATTTGTAGAGGAGGTTTTCTTGTGTGTCTGCATCGCCCCACCCACAGGTAACCCCAGAGCCAGAGATGGAGTCTAGGAAGGTTTAGGAGCAATCCCGGCTGAATGCAGACGTATACCCTACGTGGTCATGGAACACGATGTTGTCTTCCTAGAGATGTGACATGCCAGTTTCACCATTAATCCAGGGACAGGACCCTTCATCAGGAAGGGAAGCATCCCAACAAAACCTTACAGCCCTATTAGCTGCCTGTATCCCAGACATCTCCTGTTTTAGGGTATTCTACCTCCTCGTTTTTCAGTTTCGCCAGCAACTGGGCTCTACCAATAGCTTCAAGGAGGGAGAAGCTTCCTGACTCCCAGAACACTAGAAAAGCCTCAAGACAGTAGCCATCAGGACCTAGACACTCCCTTGTGACTGTTTTAAGATCATGGAAAAGGCCTCTTTGGAGATGGCATTGCCTCAGGCCCTGTACCATGTACTTATGTATCAAGATTTAAACAAGGCAGACATACTATAATTAGAGTGCTTGCCACCCTGAAGCTCCTTTTTAGCTTTCAAATAAGACCGTTTTATTAAATGACATAATCACTGTTATTATTAGCACTATCACTGACCTTTTTTTTATTTGAAAAAGGCTTTATAGTGCCCACATGTGGCAATGTTAATTTCGTTGTACTTGTTTCAGAGATGATAAATTTGAGACCCCAAAAGGCCCAAAGTCTCTGCTAAGGTTCTGATACAGGCTGTGTTCTCCATTGGGTGGCCCCAGAGATATGTTCCCTGAATTTCTAAAGCTACAACCCACAAGACTTCTCCAGGATGAATTTATTCTTTCAGGCCTCCTAGGCATTTAACTCAGGAAGAACCTGGCATGCCTGGGTATTGGTGAGACTGTGGGGAGTCTGTGTTCTTGGGGGAACCTGTCATCTGTCTGTTATCTCTTGGATTGGTTCCCCTACATACTAGTACAAAGTAGGGGTGGGGAGGGGAGGATAACAAAACATTTGAAGGTTTAGCAGAACTATCTAAAAAGCCCCTAGTCTAGACTCCTCCAACACTTGATTTATTGGTAGGACCACACTGCTCCAGAGCTCAAAATGTTACCAGGAAAAATTTCAAGGTCCAGTTTGATCTTAGACAAGGCTCACAGGCCACCTGTCTTGAAAAGAATATCCTGTTGCCTCTGATGGGGGGGAAGAAAAGGCAGGGAGAGTCAGATTCCCATCCTTCATACCAAAGTTGGGGCTATATTTAGCTTTGTCTCAAATCAAATGATGGGCTACCGAGTTGTGGAGAGGAACTCTGTCTACAGGCAGCTCACTGGATTCAAGAAATGATAGCACTAACTAGGTGAGCTGTGGGGTCTCAGAAGTGACGCTAGAAAATACGTTCATGTATTTTTAAAATAACTTTTTTCAAAAGTTTATAGCACATTCATTGTAAAAACATTTGAAAAATACAGAGTTATATAGATTACTCAGAATACCCAGGGATCTTCAATATTAAAAATGTGTTGCATTTTTTCCCACTCTTTAAAAAATGCATCTTTTAATCCAAACACCAACTCTTTCTTACACACATGGGTATATTCTTGAGAAGAGAAATTTCCTTGTTGTTTTAAAAATTATACTTATTGTCAAAAGAACAATTTTTTTGCGTTAGATTTCAGAAGAAAAATATTCACCCATATAACCACTGCTACAGCACAAATGTTTAAATTTCTCCAAATTCCCTTTAGTCGTTATCTATATATATTAAATATCTATTTACATAATTACGATTACAGCTTAGGTATATGTTTATATTCTCCTTCTTTCACTTAGTAAATATTTGTCCATGTTTTTAGGGAAAGTTCATAGTTATTATTCTAATGAGTGTACAATATTTTATAATATTAGTAGGACCATAGATTACTTAAAATATTCTACTATTGCATAGTTATGCTGTTTCTGATATTAGACTGTTATAAATAATGCCTTAATGAAGAGCTTTCTGCCTTTATCATTCTCCTTTTTTGAATTATGCTATGGTTGAATGTATGTATGCCTTCAAAATTCATACATTGGTACTTAATACCGAGTGTTATAGTACTACAGGGTGGGGCCTTTTAGGAATATGTCTTAGGAAGTGATAAGGCATGAACACTCCACTCTCATGAATGGGATTAGTGCTCTTAAAAAAGAGGTTGAAAGGATTGCTCTGGTCCCTTTTGTCCTCTGTCCCTCCAGCCATGTGAGGACACAGCATCTGTGGCAACAAGGAGCCATCTTGGGAGCAGAGAGCAAGCTCTTCCAGACACTGAATCTGCCAGCACCTTGATCTTGGTCCAGCCTTCAGAACTGTGAGAAATAAATTTCTATTATTTACAAATTACCCAGTCTAAGCTATTTTGCTATAGCAGCAGGAATGGCGATTTTCCTGGGATAAAAGGACTTTCTAATTTTATTATCTTAGCCTCAAAAGCACTAGAAATTCTCCTTTTATTTTTTTCTTATTTAATTTGTAAATAATTGGATAGTTATATTTTAGTTCTATATCTAGCTAGTATACAAATAATGTAACACCATCTCATTTTGCTTTACATTTCTTAGAATACTAGCTAGTAAGGTCTTATTTCATATCCTTTCTTGGAAACCATATGTGTAGTAGCCAGTCTCATGAAATCCTTGTGTTGAGTCACTGTATTAGTCATCTTTTTGCTGAAACAATGCTGCTCAACAAAGAACTCCCCAATCTCAGTATTATACAACACACATCCATTTCTCCCTCAAGGATCTATAGTTTAGGTATGGATTGGTTTAAGTCTGTCGTTTTCATGGCAGAGTGCAGGAGTGCAAGAGAGTTGGCAGAGACTCATGATGACTGGTCTCTGCTCAGAACTGGCACAGTCTCGCTTCTGCCATTTTCCGTTCACCAAAGTAAGTAACATGGCCAAGTCCAAAGTCATTGGTGCAGAAAAGTACAGTCTGCCCACAGAGTGCAGGAGGGGAGAGTAATATTTGTGGAACAATAATGCAATCCACCAGTCACTGTATGTGCTGCTTTCTTGCTTTTTGTTAAGCTTTTCTCCTTGTAGATACATGGTAACTTTATTCTTCCTCATCCCATTTTAACTTAGCTATGACTTTTGAACAGTGAAATGTAACTTGTTTCGTTGGCTGAAACGTGAGAGGAAGTCTCATGTGGTCACTTCTGGGAAGAACGCAGACATTTTTAAGAGCTAGTACATAATTGGCCCTTTTCAGTTTCTGCTGTTTTATTGATCCTTGAAGATCAATAAGATGAAGCTTTCATCAACCTAAGTCCCTGAGTTACTGTGATGGTCAGAGCCTTCCTGCTAACCCTAATTGAACATGTAGAATGAGCAAGAAATTCATTTTTGTTGTATTAAGTTACTGAGATTTGGAGATTATTTATTACTGGAGCATAATCTAGCCTATCCTAACACATTGCTTTTTATTTCCATTTGGCAACCAAGTATTGTTATGTGTGTGTCTGCTCTCAGTTTTCTGGCTTAGAACTCAAATAACCGGCCGGGCGCGGTGGCTCACGCCTGTAATCCCAGCACTTTGGGAGGCCGAGGCGGGCGGATCACGAGGTCAGCAGATCGAGACCATCCTGGCTAACACGGTGAAACCCCGTCTCTACTAAAAATACAAAAAATTAGCCGGGCGAGGTGGCGGGCGCCTATAGTCCCAACTACACGGGAGGTTGAGGCAGGAGAATGGCGTGAACCTGGGAGGCGGAGCCTGCAGCAAGCCGAGATCGCGCCACTGCACTCCAACCTGGGCGACAGCGAGATTCCGTCTCAAAAAAAAAATAAATAAATAAAAAGAACTCAAATAACCTGGGTAAATGATGTTGATAAATTAAACTATTCATTTTATTCTTTCCTGAGGGCACTGCTCTTAGTTTGGTCAACTGATTGTGCTTCAGGGAATACCTGAATTGATGATAAGGGACAAAAAATCGGAAGGTGTCACAGTCTTTACAGTCAGCTCCAAATATTCCAATGATACTTTTACCTTTCATTCAGTTTTTAAAATTCATTTTCCTTTTCTTCTCTCCAACTTGTTTCTGGGTAAAAAGGATTATTGATGTTGATATAGTTTACTGCATAATCTATACATCAATAATAAAAATAGCTATGTCTAATATATTTTTGCCAGATCCTCCTCTAACAATTGTGTGTGTACTAACTCTTTTCATCCTCGCAGCAGTCTTTTGAGGTAGGCTCTAGTTAATGCCCACTTTACAAATGACTAATGTGGAGCACAGGGAGGTAAATTATACTGCCCACATTCACAAAGCTGATTGATGGCAAAGCTGAGATTTGAAACCAATCAGTTTTGTTTCAGAATGGCCTGCCTAACCATTTTGCGTACTGCTTCCCTAATTTTGACACGTAACATTGGCTGGGACTTAGATAGGAGGACAATATGTCTGCAACATCTGTCACTTCAGTGATCCCTGTGATCACCTGGTTAGTCAGAACATGATGTCTTCTTGATCCATCACAGCTCCATGTCTGTCTCTCTAACCTTGGGCTTAAAAAACAAATGCCCTTTCCAGACAAAGAGGCATCATTCTGAGATCAAGGATACAGTGTCTGTAGTAGATTAAAGATGACCACAAATTACTTGCTACTTCTCCCATTGAGAGGTGGAATCTAATTCTCCTCCCTTTAATATGGGCTACCCTTAGAGACTTACTTGACTAATAGAATACAGCAGAAGAGATGTCTGACTGGCCAGGCTAGGTAAGTAAGAAGCCTTGTAGCTTCCATGTGAGACTCTTGGGACATGTCTTCTAAGGCCTAAGCTGCTGGATAAGTCAAACTACCATGCTAGATAAACCACGTGCAGAGGCCATGAGACCACATGACAAGGGGAGGGGCCTAGCTGAGCACAACGACCAGCAGTTCCCATCAGGGTGCCAGGCATTATGTGTGAAGCAGTCTTCCATCAGCTGGACACAACTGAGCAACCCTAACTGTGGCCACTATGGAATAAATTTGCCCTGCTGAACCATGCTAGAATTATTGATTACCAAAATGATGAGATACAATAAATTGCTTATTGTGCTAAGTTTTGGAGTAGTTTACTAAGTAACAATAGATAACTGGAACTAAATTTGGTATCTGAAAGTGGACTTTCACTATAACAAAAACTGAAAACAAATGGCAATGACTTTGAACCTGGTTGCCACAGAAGTTAGAAAGGCCTCGAGAAAAATGTTAGTGAATACTGGAAGGACATCGAGGAGACTGCTGGAGAGACTGAAGGACAGTAAAGAAAATACTATGGGGGGTGGCTGAAGAAATGACCTGTGTTATGTAATGGCAGAAAGTTTTCGTCTTTGATAATGTGGGAAAATAGAAAAGGTGCCCAATGAATGGGAGGATCTGGCTAAGGAGATTTTCAGCAGAATTTCAAAACTACAAAGAGGTTTATTTTAGCCACATTATTATAAGATATTGATTAAAAAAAAAAAAGAAAAAAAGTGGGCTAAAAAAGGAGCCATTTGGTTTTTAAGCAGAATTTAGAGGAATTATAAAGAGGCAGGACTTGCTGGGTTCAGAAGAGATCGGGTGCATTCAGGGTGGCATGGCCGTAGACTTTGCTGGGTTCAAACATCAAACTACTTCTCATCCTCAATCTCTCTAGACAGGGAAAGTTTTCAAAATAAGAAATGGCTTCAGGGCAAAAATAAATTCCAAGATGTGACAGCTAGACCCATGATTAAGACCTCAATTAAGGTGGTGCCTCATATATCCTTTCAGTTAAACAAAAAGCCTTCTACAATCTTAGGCAATGCACCTCTCCATTGGACAAAAGAGTTTCTAAGAATTTTAAGGTTCTGTTATCCCATGTCAGACTCACCGTTAGTCCAAGCAAGGTGAAAAAGCTGGCTTCAGAATGAAATGTGGGTGTGGCTTTTGCCTAGTAAAGTTCATTATCAATTAGTATATAAGATGCCTTAACATTTTTAAGTGAATTATACCAGCATGGACTGACTGAAAAGGATGAAGAGAGTACAAAGTGAAAAGATGCCTTTGGACCCTCAACCTGCCTCAGAGAAGCAGGCTGAGAAAGTTACCCAGCCAAAAACAAGGATTACTTCTTAGGGAAAAAGAAGAACGGCTCAAAGAATGGAACCAAGAGCCCAGAGGACTGATGGATAGCCAGAGGGAATCATTCCCAGGAGCAGGACTGGGCCCTAATCAAGGAACTGGTAATATGTACTCAGCTAGATTTCAAAATTGCTGTGGACTACTGACCACTGTATGCCTCTGTTCTCTGACTCTTCGAATGGGAGTGCCTATTATGGTTATCCTATCTCTGTCCCATTGTTTCTTGGGTGTGAGAGCCCCAGTGACTTCAGATCAAGGGGAACTATACTCAAGGAGCTGAGTGCCAGGAGCCTCATCATCACCTGAATTTGAGTTAGATGGTGAGAAAGTGGACTTCTAGGCTGATGCAGTAAATGTCAGGAAACTTTTGAGGGCTTTAGGAGAGTGTGAGTTTATTTTGCTTGTGGTAATAATGTCTGTGGTCAGAGGAAAAGGAATGTGGTTGATTCAAGATGGCTACAAATTTTTTTGCTACTTCTCTTATTCAGAGGTAGAGTCTAATTCCCCTCCCTTGGATCTAAGCTGGTCTTCATGACTTGCTTGACCAATAGAATGCAGTTCTAGGCCACAAACTCCTGAACCTGGGCAATAAGAAACCTTGCAGTTTCCAGTAGGCCTCTTGATATACTGAGCTGCCATGAAAGAAATCCGACTACCTTGCTGGAGCTATAGAGAGGAGAGGTCTTGAGGCCACCAGCAGTCCTCAAAGGCATCAGGCACACAATATAAGTGAAGTTACCTGGGACCTCCAGAGCAGCCCTGCCTTCCACTGAATACCAGCAAGTGACCCAGTCAATACTGCATGGGGAAAACAAATTGCTCAGCTGAGACCTGTCCAAATTACTGACCCACAAAATCATAAGATACAATAAAATGGTTGTTTTGAGCTACTGAATTGTGGGGTAGATTGTTTATGCAGGAATAGACAACTGAGATCATGCCTTAAAATGGACACAGTATTTCTGATGCATTATCTCATTCATTCATCCAATAAATAATTACTGTGAACCATTATGTGTCAGGCACTACTCTTTATTGTAGAGACACAGTAGTTTAAAAAAAGGCCAGCAAAGACCCTGTTTTCATGGAGCTTACAATCTACTGGTTTAGATAGATAATAAGTAAAGGAATAACTACAATATGCCAGATGGTGATAAGGGCGATAAAGATAAGTGAAGCATGTCAAGGGAGCATCCCAGCAAGACAACCCTCTTTTTATAGAAGAGAAAACAGAGTCTTAGAAAGATTAAATAATAGGCAGTAAGAGAGGCAAGTTCCTAGGTACAATGAAACTGGAGTTTCACTTGATGAAACACTGTTCAATAGAATTTATAAATTCAAATTGTTGTTTAGCACAACAGAGGAACCTAATAGGCAGAAGTGTGGCTTGGATGGATGTTCCTGACTACCCAGGCTGTCCAAGTAAACTGTTGTATATACAAGAATGAAAAGATCTGAGGTGGAGCCAAGGTGGCCAAATAGGAACAGCTCCAGTCTAGAGCTCCCAGCGTGAGCGATGCAGAAGACGGGTGATTTCTGCCTTGCCAACTGAGGTACTGGGGAGTGTCAGAAAGTGGGTGCAGGGCAGTGGGTGCACTGCACCCAGCATGAGCCAAAGGAGGGCGAAGCATCACCTCACCCGGGAGGCACAAGAGGTCAGGGAATTCCCTTTCCTAGTCAAAGAAAGGGGTGACAGATGGCACCTGGAAAATCGGGTCACTCCCACCCTAATAATGCACTTTTCCAACAGTCTTAGCAAACGACACACCAGGAGATTATATCCCGTGCTTGGCTTGGGGGGTCCTACGCCCATAGAGCCTCCCTCATTGCTGGCACAGCAGACTGAGATCGAACTGCAAGGCGGCAGCGAGGCTGGGGGAGGGGCGCCTGCCATTGCCGAGGCTGGAGTAGGTAAACAAAGCAGCCTGGAAGCTCGAACTGGGTGGAGCCCACTGCAGCTCAAGGAGGCCTGCCTGCCTCTGTAGACTGCACCTCTGGGGGCAGGGAATAGTCAAACAAAAGGCAGCAGAATCCTCTGCAGACTTAAATGTCCCTGTCTGACAGCTTTGAAGAGAGTAGTGGTTCTCCCAGCACACAGCTTGAGATCTGAGAATGGACAGACTGCCTCCTTAGGTTGGTCCCTGACTCCCAAGTAGCCTAACTGGGAGGCCCCCCCCCCCCAGTAGGGGCAGACAGACACCTCACATGGCCGGGAACTCTTCTGAGACAAAACTTCCAGAGGAACGATCAGGCAGCAACATTTGCTGCTCACCAGTATCTGCTGTTCTGCAGCCTCCGCTGCTGATACCCTGGCAAACAGAGTCTGGAGTGACCTCAAGCAAACTCCAACAGACCTGCAGCTGAGGGTCCTGACTGTTAGAAGGAAAACTAACAGACAGAAAGGACATCCACACCAAAACCCCATCTGTACATCACCATCATCAAAGACCAAAGGTAGATAAAACCACAAAGATGGGGAAAAATAGAGCAGAAAAACTGGAAACTCTAAAAATCAGAGTGCCTTTCCTCCTCCAAAGGAATGCAGCTCCTCGCCAGCAATGGAACAAAGCTGGATGGAGAATGACTTTGACAAGTTGAGAGAAGAAGGCTTCAGATGATCAAACTACTCTGAGCTAAAGGAGGAAGTTCGAACCCATGGCAAAGAAGTTAAAAACCTTGAAAAAAAATTAGACGAATGGCTAACTAGAATAACCAATACAGAGAAGTCCTTAAAGGACCTGATGGAGCTGAAAACCAAGGCACGAGAACTACGTGACAAATGCACAAGCCTCAGTAGCCGATTCGATCAACTGGAAGAAAGGGTATCAGTGATGGAAGATGAAATGAATGAAATGAAGCAAGAAGAGAAGTTTAAAGAAAAAAGAATAAAACGAAATGAACAAAGCCTTCAAGAAATATGGGGCTATGTGAAAAGACCAAATCTACGTCTGATTGGTGTACCTGAAAGTGACGGGGAGAATGGAACCAAGTTGGAAAACACTCGGCAGGATAATATCCAGGAGAACCTCCCCAATCTAGCAAGGCAGGCCAACATTCAAATTCAGGAAATACAGAGAATGCCACAAAGATACTCCTTGAGAAGAGCAACTCCAAGACAAATAATTGTCAGATTCACCGAAGTTGAAATGAAGGAAAAAATGTTAAGGGCAGCCAGAGAGAAAGGTCGGGTTACCCTCAAAGGGAAGCCCATCAGACTAACATCGGATCTCTTGGCAGAAACTCTACAAGCCAGAAGAGAGTGGGGGCTAATATTCAACATTCTTAAAGAAAAGAATTTTCAACCAGAATTTCATATCCAGCCAAATGAAGCTTCATAAGTGAAGGAGAAATAAAATACTTTACAGACAAGCAAATGCGGAGAGATTTTGTCACCACCAGGCCTGCCCTAAAAGAGCTCCTGAAGGAAGCACTAAACATGGAAAGGAACAACCGGTACCAGCCACTGCAAAAACATGCCAAATTGTAAAGACCATCAAGGCTAGGAAGAAACTGCAGCAACTAACAAGCAAAATAACCAGCTAACATCATAATGACAGGATCAAATTCAAACATAACAATATTCACCTTAAATGTAAGTGGGCTAAATGCTCCAAGTAAAAGACACAGAATGGCAAATTGGATAAAGAGTCAAGACCCATCAGTGTGCTGTATTCAAGAAACCCATCTCACATGCAGAGACACACATAGGCTCAAAATAAAGGGATGGAGGAAGATCTACCAAGAAAATGGAAAACAAAAAAATGCAGGGGTTGCAATCCTAGTCTCTGATAAAACAGACTTTAAACCAACAAAGATCAAAAGAGACAAAGAAGGCCATTACATAATGGTAAAGGGATCAATTCAACAAGAAGAGCTAACTATCCTAAATATATATGCACCCAATACAGGAGCACCCAGATTGATAAAGCAAGTCCTTAGAGACCTAGAAAGAGACTTAGACTCCCACACAATAATAATGGGAGACTTTAACACCCCACTGTCAACAGTAGACAGATCAACGAGACAGAAACTCAACAAGGATATCCAGGAATTGAACTCAGCTCTGCACCAAGTGGACCTAATAGACATCTACAGAACTCTCCACCACAAATCAACAGAATATACATTCTTCTCAGCACCACACCGCACTTATTCCAAAATTGACCACATAGTTGGAAGTAAAGCACTCCTCAGCAAATGTAAAAGAACAGAAATTATAATAAACTGTCTCTCAGACCACAGTGCAATCAAACTAGAACTCAGGATTAAGAAACTCACTCAAAACCGCTCAACTACATGGAAACTGAATAACCTGCTCCTGAATGACTACTGGGTACATAATGAAATGAAGACAGAAATGAAGATGTTCTTTGAAACCAACGAGAACAAAGACACAATGTACCAGAATCTCTGGGACACATTCAAAGCAGTGTGTAGAGGAAAATTTATAGCACTAAATGCCCACAAGAGAAAGCAGGAAAGATCTAAAATTGACACCCTAACATCACAATTAAAAGAACTAGAGAAGCAAGAGCAAACACATTCAAAAGCTAGCAGAAGGCAAGAAATAACTAAGATCAGAGCAGAACTGAAGGAAATAGAGACACAAAAACCCTTCAAAAAATCAATGAATCCAGGAGCTGGTTTTTTGAAAAGATCAACAAAATTGATAGACAGCTAGCAAGACTAATACAGAAGAAAAGAGAGAAGAATCAAATAGATGCAATAAAAAATGATAAAGGGGATATCACCACCGATCCCACAGAAATACAAACTAACATCAGAGAATACTATAAACACCTCTACGCAAATAAACTAGAAAATCTAGAAGAAATGGATAAATTCCTCGACACATGAACCCTCCCAAGACTAAACTAGGAAGAAGTTGAATCTCTGAATATACCAATAACAGGCTCTGAAATTGAGGCAATAATTAACAGCTTACCAACCAAAAAAAGTCCAGGAACAGATGGATTCACAGCCGAATTCTATCAGAGGTACAAGGAAGAGCTGGTACCATTCCTTCTGAAACTATTCCAATCAATAGAAAAAGAGGGAATCCTCTCTAACTTATTTTATGAGGCCAGCATCATCCTGATACCAAAGCCTGGCAGAGATACAACAAAAAAAAAGAGAATTTTAGACCAATATCCCTGATGAACATCGATGCAAAAATCCTCAATAAAATACTGGCAAACCGAATCCAGCAGCACATCAAAAAGCTTATCCACCATGATCAAGTGGGCTTCATCCCTGGGATGCAAAGGCTGGTTCAACATATGCAAATCAATAAACGTAATCAGCATATAAACAGAACCAGTGACAAAAACCATATGATTATCTCAATAGATGCAGAAAGGCCTTTGACAAAATTCAACAACGCTTCATGCTAAAAACATCAATAAATTAGGTATGGATGAGACATATCTCAAAATAATAAGAGCTATCTATGACAAACCCACAGGCAATATCATACTGAATGGGCAAAAACTGGAAGCATTCTCTTTGAAAACTGGCACAAGACAGGGATGCCCTCTCTCACCACTCCCATTCAACATAGTGTTGGAAGTTCTGGCCAGGGCAATCAGGCAGGAGAAGGAAATAAAGGGCATTTAATTAGGAAAAGAGGAAGTCAAATTGTCCGTTTGCAGATGACATGATTGTATATCTAGAAAACCCCATCATCTCAGCCCAAAATCTCCTTAAGCTGATTGGCAACTTCAGCAAAGTCTCATGATACAAAATCAATGTGCAAAAATCACAAGCATTCTTATACACCAGTAAAAGACAAACAGCCAAATCATGAGTGAACTCCCATTCACAATTGCTTCAAAGAGAATAAAATACCTAGGAATCCAACTTACAAGGGATGTGAAGGACCTCTTCAAGGAGAACTGCAAACCACTGCTCAATGAAATAAAAGAGGATACAAAGAAATGGAAGAACATTCCATGCTCATGGACAGGAAGAATCAATATCGTGAAAATGGCCATGCTGCCCAAGGTACTTTATAGATTCAATGCCATCCCCATGAAGCTACCAGTGACTTTCTTCACAGAATTGGAAAAAACTACTTTAAAGTTCATATGGAACCAAAAAAGAACCCGCATTGCCAAGTCAATCCTAAGCCAAAAGAACAAAGCTGGAGGCATCACGCTACCTGACTTCAAACTATACTACAAGGCTACAGTAACCAAAACAGCATGGTACTGGTACCAAAACAGAGATTTTTGGTAAACAAAACAGACCAATGGAACAGAACAGAGCCCTCAGAAATAATGCCACATATCTATAACCATCTGATCTTTGACAAACCTGATAAAAACAAGCAATGGGGAAATGATTCCCTATTTAATACACGGTGCTGGGAAAACTGGCTAGCCATATGTAGAAAGCTGAAACTAGATCCCTTCCTTACACCTTATACAAGAATTAATTCGAGATGTATTAAAGACTTAAATGTTAGACCTGAAACCATAAAAACCCGAGAAGAAAACCTAGGCAATACCATTCAGGACATAGGCATGGGCAAGGACTTCATGTCTAAAACACCAAAAGCAATGGCAAGGAAAGCCAAAATTGACAAATGGGATCTAATTAAACTAAAGAGCTTCTGCACAGCAAAGAAAACTACCATCAGAGTGAACAGGCAACCTACAGAATGGGAGAACATTTTTGCAATCTACTTATCTGACAAAGGGCTAATATCCAGAATCTACAATGAACTCAAAGAAATTTACAAGAAAAAAACAAACAACCCCATCAACAAGTGGGCGAAGGATATGAGCAGACACTTCTCAAAAGAAGACATTTATGCAGCCAACAGACACAGGAAAAAAGGCTCATCATCACCGGCCATCAGAGAAATGCAAATCAAAACCACAATGAGATACCATCTCACACCAGTTAGAATGGCGATCATTAAAAAGTCAGGAAAAAACAGGTGCTGGAGAGAATGTGGAGAAATAGGAACACCTTTACATTGTTGGGACTGTAAACTAGTTCAACCATTGTGGAAGTCAGTGTGGTGATTCCTCAGGGATCTAGAACTAGAAATACCATTTGACCCAGCAATCCCATTACTGGGTATATACCCAAAGGATTATAAATCGTGCTGCTATAAAGACACATGCACACGTATGTTTATTGCGGGACTATTCACAATAGCAAAGACTTGGAACCAAGCCAAATGTCCATCAATAATAGACTGGATTAAGAAAATGTGGCACATATACACCATGGAATACTAGGCAGCCATAAAAAATGATAAGTTCATGTCCTTTGTAGGGACATGGATGAAGCTGGAAACCATCATTCTCAGCAAACTATCACAAGGACAAAAAAACCAAATACCGCATGTTCTCACTCATAGGTGGGAATTGAACAATGAGAACACATAGACACAGGAAGGGGAACATCACACACTGGGGCCTGTTGTGGGGTGGGGGGGCCGGGGAGGGATAGCATTAGGAGATATACCTAATGTAAATAACGAGTTAATGGGTGCAGCTCACCAGCATGGCACATGTATACATATGTAACTAACCTGCATGTTGTGCACATGTACCCTGGAACTTAAAGTATAAAAAAAAAAAAAAAAAGAATGAAAAGATCTGCCCTTCAGTAGCTGGAGTGGAATGGGGCAGGAGGGTTTGGAGGAGGATGTGTGGCTCTGAAGACTATACATAGTAGGCAAAGTGCCAGCTGTGACTCGGAACAACCAAAATCAGGACCAGGAGCAGTTTAGAAGAGAAAACAATTCTTGGAAAAAGCAGAAGTATTTGTGGGGTACAGGGGAATTTGTAAGGGACTTAATTTCCTAAGTGAACAGGTAGGAGTTCAGAGGCAGCTAATGCTCACGGGACATAATTTTATTTCCACAGTTGGTAAAACTCAAGGACAGTGTGGTTACCTGTCCTTCATTTAATTAAACAAACACAGAGCATGTGCTAGGCATTGCTAAAATCTAGTGTAGAAATCCAGTGTTAAAATCTAGTGTGGAAAGCCAGGCAAGCATTCATCAAACCATAATACAAACCAGATCGGGTAAAGTGCTACACAAGCAGAACATGAAGGAGGGAGTGATTAATTAAATTCCACCAGAGAAGTTTTTCTAAAGAAGGTAGTATCTGAGTAGAGTACTGAAGTATCTAGCAATATAAAATTTTATCATACATTGGGATTGCAAAATACAGTGCTTTTATTTAAAATTAAAAAATATTATTAGCTTGTTTTCATCATTCCACAGTATATGCATATATCAAAACATTGTACCCCATAAATATATGCAATTACTATTTGTCAATTAAAAAATTAACTTAAAAACAGTATTGATGAAAACAATTTTATTTTTCTCTGGTAGAAGGAAAAATATTCCCGGTCTCCTGTGAGTGAGTGCCTAGGGTCCCATTCATCTGAAAGAGCGGTGCAGTGCAGCTGAGGTTGCTGGCAGGCATTACAACAGAGCAGTTAAGATTACTGGCTCTACAGTCAGGGACATGGGTTCCAATCCTCCTCCTCTGTCAATTTCCAACCATGCAATTTTGGACATGACTTAAACTCTGTGCTTTAGCTTCCTCATTTGTAAAACAAGGTTAATGATAATAACTACCTAATAGGGCCACTGTAAGAACAAAATGAGCTAATATATGAAAAGTTTTTAATTCATTGTCTAGCACATTTTAAGCATTCTATAAATCATAGCTATTTTTCATTAATGTTTGCATACCAGGCAGGACTCCAATACTGTGTAGAAGTCATGAATTTTAATTTCAGTTCTGCTCCAAAGTGCTCCCTAGGGCTAGGCCAGTGACCCAGATTTTCCATTTCTCATCTTTCTGATTTATCATGTGAGACCAAAGCATTGGCAAGGAAGCTGAATAATTGGATTTCCTCACTTGCTGGCTGGAGGTCTAGGGAGCAGAAAAGGTGGACATTTCCCCCATCTTGTATCTGTCTTGAGGAAGTGTGTGTGTGAGTGTGTGTGTGTGTGTGTGTGTGTTTATGCAGGAATAGACAACTGGGACAATGCCTTAAAATGTACACAGTATTTCTGATGCATTATCTCATTCATTCGTTCATTCATTCATTCATTCAATAAATAATTACTGTCAACCGTGTGTGTGTGTTTATTCAGATCCATCCCTTTCAATGGTTAGCCTTGTCTGTCAGCCATAACAAAAACCTCAAACCTCAAGGAAAGAAATTACAACCAAGCCTTCAGACAGCTGGTGGTAATTTACTCACACAATCCCCTTTATCCTTTCAACACCCACTATTTATCTGTATCTGACGTTGGGAGAGGGGAAATCATGCAAGAAATATGGTATGTAAATTTCTGGAAAGGGGGTTGGAATAGTGAGGGAAGACTTGTGTGAATTACATGAATAATTCTCCTTGATTTGAACATAGATATCAGATCTCAAAAATTGAAGGGACTGATGTTGGGGTCAATAAATACATTTCTGGGACCAGAAACAATACTGGAATAAATTCATAAATAGCTTTCAAGGCATTCATGACAATCACACCATCGCTAAAATCCGAGTCATTTTCCAGGATGGGGCAAGTAGTTCCAGTACAAGTCAAAGGAGCATGTGTCAATCAATCCAGACTGCTTTAAAAATCCATAGTGATAACAATAACTAAATGGAATGCATGATCCTAGTTCAGATCTTGGATTGGATTCTGAATTAGAAAAAAAAAATATTGCTGCCACGTTCAGTGGCTCATGCCTATAATTTCAACACTTCAGGAGGCTGAGGCAGGAGGATCACTTAAGGCCAGGAGTTCGAAACCAGCCTGTGCAACATAGCGAGATCTTGTCTCTACAAAAAAAAATTTAAAAATTATCTAGGGATGGTAGTGCAAACCACTAGTTCCAGCTACTCTGGAGGCTGAGGTGGGAGGATCACTTGAGCCCAGGAGTTGAGCCTACAGTGAACTGTAATCACACCACTGCACTCCAGCCTGGGTGACAGTGAGCAAGACCCTGTCTCTTAAAAAAAAGAAAAAATACCTCTAAGGACAAGATAGCCATATATATCCATGGTCCTTGCCTTTGTTTCTTGTATCATGCCATCTACTAGCTGGTCCCTGAAGCCATATATAATAACTTTCACTCATACACACATATGAGTGAAAAGTAACACTGATTTTTTTAACTTTCCAGCTTGAAAAATTTAAAATTTTCAACATATAGTAAAGTTGTAAAACTAGCACAATAAAGTCCTGTAAATCTTTCAATTGCTTCATAGATCGTTCACATTTTGCCACATTTGTTTTCTCTCTTTACACACACACACACACACACACAAGCACACAGACACAAACATTAGTATTATTTTGATGAACTATTTGAGAGTAAGATGTAGATTCTTCACCCCTAAATATTTAATGTGTATCTCCGAAGAATATTTAAAATCGTTGCATAACTGTATTATGTAAAAGAATATAACACCCTTGGCCGGGCATGGTGGCTCACGCCTATAATCCCAGCACTTTGGGAGGCCAAGGCGGGGGGATCACAAGGTCAGGAGATCGAGACCATCCTGGCTAACACGGTGAAACCCCATCTCTACTAGAAATACAAAAAATTAGCTGGACGTGGTGGCGGGTGCCTGTGGTCCCAGCTACTCGGGAGGCTGAGGCAGGAGAATGGCGTGAATCCGGGAGGCAGAGCTTGCAGTGAGCTGAGATCGTCCCATTGCACTCCAGCCTGGGTGACAGAGTGAGACTCTGTCTCAAAAAAAAAAAAAAAAAAAAAGAATATAACACCCTTTTCAGGTCAGCTTTTATCACTATTAAGCAGAAGAACACTTTACATCATAATCTGAAGTCTCAGCAGTGAATTACTTAACTAAAATCAGGAGCTACCCTCTGCTAGATATTTGGCTCACATCTGTACAACCAAAAGTGCTGATCAAAATAATCACTCCCAGGACAAAGGCAAAATATACAACAAAGACAAATTCCCTCTTCTATGCACCAGCCAATTTCTTGGCAGTTTAGAACAGCTGTTTTGTCCTTTCTTCCAGCTGGCAAAGGTTCAAAAATATCAAGATACAGCCTCAGAAAGCTTCACACGAGGAAGAAATTTTAATGAGAAAAATCTCACGTTCTGTATTCGCTTTTGTTTTCATTTTTATTTTAGCATATAAAATGTCAAAATACTGAGCTGTTGAGTACCGTATCAAACATCTGGCAATTCTGGACAAAAGGTGAGCAAAACTCAACAGTCCTTTATCTTTGCAAAGTTCAAGTGGCTTTAGGAGTTAATGCCATAGGGGTAGGGTGCCACGCCTCATGCCTGTAATCCCAGCACTGTCGGAGGTGAGGCAGGCAGATGGCTTGAGCACAGTAGTTCGAGACCAGCCTGGGCAACATGTGAAACCCATCTCTACAAAAAATACAACAAAAATTAGCCAGGCGTGCTGGTGCACATCTGTAGTCCCAGCTACTCAGGAGGCTGAGGTAGGAAAGTGGCTTGAGCCTGGGAGGCAGAGGTCACAGTGAGTGGAGACTGTGCCACTGCGCTCCAGCCTGGGTGAAAGAGCCAGACGCCGTCTCAAAAACCAAAACAAAACATTATATCAGTTTGGTAAAAGAACAAGCACATCCAACATTAACCATCACAATTCCTTTCGACCAGAATAATCTTTTATTCAGATAAAAGTATCCCAGTTTTAGGCTATGCGTGTGATATAATAATAACAGACAGAGAGGTACAGAAATACCCAAGCTGGCCCAGGCTCAGAGCTTGTGGTATACAGAAGAGAATTATTGCATCCTTTATTTGCTGGCTTCGGTACATTCTTAGGAGATAGAGGGAGGGAAAAAAAAATCCAAACCAGAAGGGTCTGGTGCTGATGGACCAGATCAATTGGTTCAAACTTTGATTCAACTGTTAAGGTATTCAGGGCTGGAACTAGGATGAGAGGAGCAAGGCACTCACCTGAGGTGCGAAGTTTAAAGCGTGCCAAAATCTCGGTAATCAAGATAAATCATATTTTAATGCAATATTTTAGAAAAATAGTAATGCAAAACAAATCCACAATGAACAAAATATCAAAACTTTAAATAAAGACAGGATCTGACCCTGCATTTTCATGATTCAGGGAGTGTCTTACTTGCTTCGTCCTAGTCCAGGCCCAACTTGTTCATCCCCAGATGATGTGCCAAAAGCCACATCTTTAGGTGTCTCCTCTGGTGCTCTCTAGTGCTATGTTCTGCTGACCTTGTTGGCAACAGCTCTCTGTCTGTTATGAATGGTTGGACATCAGGTGGCACCTTTAAGATACCACAAGGTAAAAGCAACTCTCTGAGCCAAGGCCAGCTCTTCCAACCTCCTTCCAAACAGTCTTACATCTCAAGGGCAAGTTTCTGTGATGTATAGGGCATCAGGGAGAGGGTAGAATGGGGTAGAAAGGGGAGATAATGGGAGAGGGAAAAAAGAACAGGTGACCTCATGAGTTGGCACTAATGTAACTAGAGTGCAATTTTTCAAGAGTCTATCTTTTTAAAGAAAACCTTGAGCCCCAACTCTTATTTGGAGGCACCTGCTCACTCACCTCCAAAACCAAATCCACCTCACCTCTATTCTTCTTTTCACATTGTGTACGGGTAGTTCTGGAAATCAAAGTGGCCATGCTGCTTCCTCCATGCAGCCTGTAGTGAATTCAAGTAGTGTAGGATACTTCAAACTGGAGCTTCTCTACTGTGAATAGCTGCTCATCCCCAAGTACCAAACCTAATTTTGTGACAATGAAAACCATCTGCAGGTGCCCCCTGCTGGTGGTACTATCCTAGAGACTTGCCTTCACTGATGTATTTTGTTTGGTCAATGGTCCAGAAAGTCACAGTCACAGTCACCAACACTATTCCCTATGCCCTTACACCTAAGCAGGTTCACTTATTTATGCTACCCGCCAGGCACCTGCAGGTGTGTGGCATTTGCATTTTCCTTCTATGGCTTCCTAGTTCCTCATGGTGGGAACCTGGGGCCCGACTTCTTGCCTCTCAAACTATTAATATGTCTGCCTCACAGGGCCAGGCACTTCTCTAGTCTTGAGTCACCCATGTCATTCTTTTAACCTACCCTCGGGTAGGACACTGGAGCCATAGATGTGAACCTTAGCCTTTAAGGCACGCAAGAAGACACTGAAGTCCCCAGGGCCAGTCACTGCCAGCAATGTCTTCCAGCGGTGGTTGAAGGGATGACTGAGGCAAGCAGAGTCTGAGTTTGTTATTGTTCTGAGGATATAGACAAAAATCTTTAATAAGGCTTACATAGCTTGGCATAGTCTTCAGCCTCAGCTCTGGTTATACTCCCCCTTCCCTTTTGTGCTTAGTTTGTACTAGTCTTGTTCCAGAAGAAGAAAGAGAGAACTAATTCTGCTGCTCCTCTGGTGTCCAGGAGCTCAGGTAATGGATGCAGACTGTAATAGGCAGTCTCTAAGTTGGTCCCCAGTGATCCCTGGTCATCAAACCCTTGTGTAATTCCCTCGCCTTGAGTCTGGGATGGATCTAGTACTCATTTGTAATGAATACAGTAGGGCAGCAGTGACGGAATGTTGCTTCCGAGATTAGATTATTTTTTAAAAAGCAAAAACAACTGTGGCTTCCATTTGGAGTATGCATGCTCTCTTTCTTTTAGATCAGTTGTGCTGGGGGAACTAAGCTACCGTGTTATAAGCAGACCTATTGTGTGGACAGGAACTAAAGCCTGCCAAATACCGTGTGCGTGAGTCTGAAAACGGACCTTTCAGCCCCTGTCGAGTCTTGAGATGACAGCAGCCCCAGCTGAGTGCTTGACTGCAACCTCATGAGAGAACTTGAGGCAATTCTAACCAGCTAAGCTGCTCCCAGATTTCTGACCCTCCAAAACTGTGAGTACTAAATACTTGCAGTTTTCAGCCACTGAGGTGATTTGCTATGCAGCAATAGTAATAGTAACAAACACACAGACTTCTGAACCTTTCCCCAATCCAAGGTCATTCTGTGGAGTTAGAGACCCAGCTCTCCCATTCACAAAGAAGCTATTATTCTCTCTACAGTAAAGAAAGACAAAGAAGTCAGAGCAGTTTTTTAACGCTGCACATCAGGAAACTAGATGTATGCTGAAAATTTGAGAGTGATAAGTAGGACCTTTCCCAGTCTGTAGAATATACCACCAAAGCATGCTCACTCGAGAATGTGCTTTTGATTACTACCAAGCACACTTTTTTTTCTTTTTGAAGATATGTGCAAACAATGAAAACCCTTCTTGCTGAAATTACAATACAGCCGTACATTTTGGTTGAAATGTTTATTTGGAGATTTCAAAGTCAAGGTTGATATAGCCAAAAGATAATACAGATTAGACTATCATGGAAACAAAAAGAATCTAAAATTTGATATTGTTTGTACACTAGGGTCACCGCTCATGTTAACATTTCCTTCATTGCATCCACTTTCTCGGAGCTGGTGTTGTAGGGTTAGATGTGAGTGTGAATGAGCATGCGTACAGTGGACAAAATCCCCCCATTCTGTAAATGCATGTGCCTATTATTCTGGGCAGTGAACCCAGCCTGCTTTAAGTCTTTGTTATTTGAATAGTGTCCCAGATTCTCCTTTGAAATGTGCGGTTCACCTATTTTTATTAACCTTAATATGGAGCTTTCTGATGCTTTTTTGATAGATTCTTGGTCGTGCCCAGGTACACTTCCTTTCGTTTTAAACAGGTCATATATTTCTCTGTGCTGGCCTTCAGGTGGTGTGCCATATAAATTAGAAAGCAAATTTTCACAAGGTCAAATTTTAATCATGCAGCTTAGTATTTTTAAACAGATGACATTTTCATACTTGGTATGCTAACTTGAAGACCAGACCATTTTTGCCCAAGTTCTACCAAAGGTTTTCGTTTTATAGTCTTCATTTGTTTTGTTTTGGTTTACTTTTTAACAAAAAGCAAACCTAGGAAAAAATTTTAAAAACATACAAGATGCACAAAAACAATTACTCTAATACACATGAAACAGAAAATCAACACCTGCCAATTAAACACAACTTCTACCATTTCATAACTGTGTGATCTTGTCAAATTACCTAACCTCTCTATAAAACGGGATCACGATAGCATCTTTCTCACAGAATTATAGTGAGAATTAAATAATATTATTCTTATGAAATGTTTAAGATAGGGCCTAGCATTTATCATTTACTCAATAAATATTAATCATGTAATTATATATGTAATTATGGTGATAATGATAATGTTGCTGCCATGAGATGTCAGGTTTCACAATATAAAATCATTACAGAATTCTGTTTGGAACTCCTGTGAGACCTAGTATGAATCACCTATAGTTATGAGGCTGCTCTAGCAAATAAATCTAAGAGAACAGGCAACTTCATGAAGAGGTTAAAGTGTCCTAGGGCAGTGGTCTCCAACCCTTTTGGTACCAGGAACCATTTTCAAGGAAGACAACTTTTCCATGGACAGGGTGGGGGATGGATTTGGAATGATCATCAGGTATTAGATCCTCATAAGAAGCAGGCAACCTAGATCCTTCATATGCCCAGTTCACAATAGGGTTCCCGTTCCTATGAGAATTGAATGCAGCTGCTGGTCTGCTGATCGACAGGAGGTGGAGCTCAGGGGTAATGCTCGCTGGCCTGCCACTCACCTCCTGCTATGCAGCCGGGGTCCTAACAGGCCAGGACCAGTACCAGTCCATGCTCTGGGGGCTGGGGACCCCTGTTCTAGGGAAATACCATCACCATGTCTGCTACCCCTCCCACCGTGGGCGCTACCACCATTTGGTCACCATATGCAACCCTGTGTGAAGATATTCCTAATACTATCCAGGGTCCTTTTCATTTGAGTGACCTCTATCTCTTTGTCCCACCATCTAACTCCCACCCTCATAATGACTGGGGAGAAAACCTCCACCAGGGTGAAGCAAAAAACCTCAAACAGAGGCTTCAAACAAAACTTAATATAAAGACTCCAACCATGAAGTTGTCTTTTTTTATCCCCCAGTTATCTTCTTTGTTGGTTTTGTTTTCGGGATCTGCAGGGTACCAAGTTATCTGCTAGAAGGCTCAGTCCTTCTCTTCTTACCAGCCCCGCTGCTACCGCCATGATGTAAATCGCTATGATCTCACATTGGTGTTACTTACTGCAATAGCCAGCAAAGCAGCTCCCTTCCTTCCACTCTTGGCCTCCTAAGGTCTGTTTTCCAATAGCAAAGTGACTTTTTAATATTTTTCAGATCATATGATGTTCCTGTTTTAAATCTTCATTGGCTTCCCCATGTCCTTAGAATAACATCCACTTCTTACCACGGCCTATGAGGTCTCAGGTGACCTGGCTCAGGTTCACCTCTGCCCCCTCCTCTTATTTATTATGCTCCAGCTGCACTGGCCATTTTCTTCCTCAAACACACTAAGCTTATTTCTACCTTAGGGGTTTTGCAGTTCTTTCACCTCCTGCTTTAATTCCTCTCTAACGAAGTTTTTTTAAAATAAACTTTATTAATATCAGAAATCACTTTATTTGTATATTTATTTATTTGTTTTCTGTCTACGTCCTCACTGAGCCTTTATCCAATAATCTTGTTCCTCATTTTATTCTAGCACCTAGTATTGTGCCTGCCATTCCATATATACCTTTTGGAAAGATCAGTGAACAGACTCCAGCTATACTATTTTTTAAAATAGGATTTACTGGAAGAGGAGACCCACAGAATCAAAGGAACAGTTGAAGACTCAAAAGAACAGGCTCAGAAGGGGCAGGAATAGGGAGCGGCAGGAACAGGGGAAGCAATTAGGATCTAGGTAGCAAGAAGGGGCCGATTGGTTCTGGCCACTTTTTTCTACTCTTATGTTGTTCCACTGATGATGCAATGCTCAAAAAATCAGATCATTGGGAGGCCGAGGCGGGCGGATCACGAGGTCAGGAGATCGAGACCATCCTGGCTAACACGGTGAAACCCCGTCTCTACTAAAAATACGAAAAATTAGCCGGGCGAGGTGTCGGGTGCCTGTAATCCCAGTTAACTCTGGAGGCTGAGTCAAGACAATGGCGTGAACCCCAGGGGGCGGAGCCTGCAGTGAGCCGAGATCGCCCCACTGCACTCCAGCCTGGGCAACAGCGAGACTCCGCCTCAAAAATAAATAAATAAATAAATAAATAAATAAATAAATAAATAAATAAAAAATCAGATCATCCTCGTGTGGGTCTCAAGATTATCATTTAGCTCGGGATACCTTAAACAAACTTCCCACCAAGACTATAAACCATGGCAAAGAAGACAATTCTAGCCACCCCCCCCCCCAAAAAAAAGTAGGGCTATTGTCCAAAGAAGGGAGGAATGGACACACCCACAGTCAAAAACCCAAAACAAAACAAAAGTCTGCAATAATCTCTGACTTGACATTTTGTCATCTAGAAGACAACTACTTTCTTTCTTTTTTTTTTTTTTTTTTTTTTTGAGATGGAGTTTCCAGGCTGGAGTGCAGTGGCGCGATCTGGCTCACTGCAACCTACGCCTCCTGGGTTCAAGTGATTCTCCTGCCTCAGCCTCCTGAGTAGCTGGGATTACAGGCGCCTGCCACCACGCCTGGCTAATTTTTTGTATTTTTAGTAGAGAGGGGGTTTCACCATTTTGGCCAGGCTGGTCTCAAACTCCTGACTTCAGGTGATCTGCCCCGCTAGGCCTCCCAAAGTGCTGGGATTACAGGCGTGAGCAACCGCGCACGGCCAACATCTACTTTCTTGCAGTATTAACTGATGTTTGTTTAAGAGATATAAACAGATTTCGGCCGAGCTCAGTGGCTCACACCTGTAATCCCAGCACTTTGGGAGGCCGAGGCGGGCGGATCACGAGGTCAGGAGATGGAGACCATCCTGGTTAACACGGTGAAACCCCATCTCTACTAAAAAATACAAAAAATTAGCCGGGTGTGGTGGCGGGCGCCTGTAGTCTCAGCTATTCGGGAGGCTGAGGCAGGAGAGTGGCGTGAACCCAGGAGGCGGAGCTTGCAGTGAGCCAGATCGCGCCGCTGCACGCCAGCGTGGGAAACAGAGCAGGACTCCGCCTCAAAAAAAAAAAAAAAAAAAAAGATATAAACAGATTTCAATATTAAGTCAAATAAAAGAAGAAAGATAAATCTGTTCAAAATTATACAGCATACTAAAAAGATATGCTTTTAAATGTCTTCTCTGTCCTATGATTCAGAATAAACTAGAGGTCAGGAGACAGTTCCATGAGATATCTTTTTGGATATCCCAAACTAAATTAATTCTCTCCTTTCCCTGACATCTGCTTCTCATACCATATTATCTATCTCAGTTAATGAAATTACTATTTACTCTCTGACTGGCCTAGGAATTTGTTTAGACAGAGTTTACTTGTCTAGAGTAATAAACTGGAGAATAACATTTGTTTCCACCATCTCCCTCATTTCCCACACTCAATTAATCAAAAAACCCTATCAGTTCTAACTCAAATTCTCCAACCTATCTCTTCCTCGCCATTCCCAATACCAGTGCCTGTGTTCAGGCCCTTATTACCTTTGGCCGTGAACCACTTGCAACAGTTTCTCAGTGATCTTCACTCAATCCACTTAAGCCCATCTCTCACACGATTGCCACACTTACAACTCTAAAACAAAGATCTATGTCTGCCAGACTCTTCTTTAAAAGCTTCTATAATTCCACACTGTCTACAAAAATAAAAGCCAACCGCCTCTGTGTCTTAGCTGAAATGACAGAATACAAAAGTTTCTCAGAATGATCTATAAATGCAACCTTTTCTTTAATATGGAGGTTCTTTAACCCTGGTATACATGAGAAAACTTGTAGTGCATTTAAAGAACACTGATGCTAAGACCTCAATCTGAAAAAGTCTGATTTAATTGGTCTGGAATGAAGCCTTACATCAGCTTTTTAAAGACCTCCCCCAAATAATTCTAATATGTAGTCAGGGTTGAAAACTACTAATTTATAACGTGGCTAGAAAGACACTTCTACTTCCAGACAGCATGCGGTAATAGGGTTGGTATTCATTCCCCTTCACCCCTGACAGAAATTACTAAAAAATAGGACAAGATATATAAAATAATTATTTTCAGACACTGGATATCAGACAACATAGGAAAGTTATCCAAGAGAAGAGAGAAACAAGCAAAGTAAGCCATACAACTGTCCTACTTAACTGCCCCAGAGCTCACAGAGAGGGAATCCAGGCAGAGCCTGGTGATCTGCCTGAGTTGAAGAGATCATGCAGAGATTTGAGAAGGCCAAGGCAGGTAGAGTTCATGGGGAAGAGTACCAGAAAGAATAGAAAATTCCAGAGATCTGTGGAGAGTCTCCTTAAATATTCAGCTGAATACTGATCGGTATATCAGGAAACTACCAAGGTTGGGGTAAGAACCACACAAGAGAATCAGATTAAACAATCCTCTTGGCTCATACAAGGCTGGAAGTAGTTTGTTTCATCATCTACTAAAGTGGGAAAAGCCTCATAATTAACAGGATATTGGCTAGAGTACTTAGAAGGGTATCACCCAAGTAATGGGGAAAATTAATCATCTTTAAAAAGTTGCTTGGGTTCCCCATAATGAAGCTTAAGATCAAGAAGGATCTGTTTCCAACTAACTTAACTGTGACCCAGAATAAAGCTCAATAATGTTTATGGGAATGCAAAACTATCTAACACCCAATATGTAAAATGTTTAATGTGTGGTATCAAATCAAAGTATTGCCAGGTGTGCAAAGAAGCAGGAAACAGTACTTAAAATGAAGAGAAAAATCAATTACCAGAAACATACTCAGAACTGAACAAATGTTAGAATTGTTATTATAGTATTTTAAATGTTCAAGAAAGTAGAACAAAGATTGATAAAATGAAGTAAAATATTAATACATGGGCGGGGCACAGTGCCTCACGCCTGTAATCCCAGCACTTTGGGAGGAGGTGGGCAGATCACCTGAGGTCAGAAGTTTGAGACCACCCTGGCCAACATGGTGAAACCCCATCTCTACTAAAAATACAAAAATTAGCCAGGCGTGGTGGTGGGTGCCTGTAATCCCAGCTACTCAGGAGGCTGAGACAGGAGAATTGCTTGTACCCAGGAGGCAGAGATTGCAGGTTGCAAGGAGCTGAGACCGTAACATTGACAAGAGTGAAACTCCATCTCAAAAAAAAAGAAAAAAAATTAATACATGAAAGTTACAAACTTCTAGAGATGAAAAAGACAATATCTGAGATGAAGAATACACTGGATGGAATTAACAACAGATTAGACACTGTAGAAGAAAAAGTTAGTGAACTTAAAGACATAGCAATGAAAATGATCCAAAAATAAAACAAGGAAAAGAAAACAAAAAGTGAACAGAGCATCAGTGATCAATGGGAAAAATTTAAATGACCTAATATATATGTAACTGAAGTCCCTAAAGGAAAGGAGTTATAGAGGGCAACAAAAATTTTTGAAAAAATAATGGCTGAAAATTGTCCAAGTATAATGAAAACTGTAAACACACAGATCCGGTAAGTGTAACAAATCCAAAGCACGAGAAACATGAAAGTAACCACACCTAGGCACATTTTAATCAAATTGCTTAAGATCAGTGATAAAGAGAAAAATTTATAAGTATTCAGGAGAAAAAAGAACATTATATAGAGAGAAACAAGGATAAGAATGAGAGCATAACTTGAAAATTAAAAGACAACAGAGAAGCCAGGCGCAGTGACTCGTGCCTGTAATTCCAGCACTTTGGGAGGCTGAGGAGGGCAGATCACCTGAGGTCAGCAGTTCGAGACCAGCCTGACCAACATGGAGAAACCCCATCTCTACTAAAAATACAAAATTGGCTGGGCATGGTGACGTATGCCTGTAATCCCAGCTACTCAGGAGGCTGAGGCAGGAGAATCACTTGAACCCGGGAGGTCGAGGTTGCGGTGAGCCGAGATGGCATCATTGCACTCTAGCCTGGGCAACAAGAGCGAAACTCCATCTCAGAAAAAAAAAAAAAGACAACAGAGCAACATCTTTAAAGAGCTGAAGGAAAAAAAGAGCAGTCACCTGGAATTCTACAACCAGCAGAGTAGGTTTCTTGTGCATACAACCCGTGTAGTCACACAGGGCTTTGCACTCAGAAGGACGGGCTTGGTTTAATGCTCTGTTGTTGATGACTTGAAATTCTTAATAATATTTGAACAGAGGGGTCTACATTTTTATTTTGCATTGAGCCCCACAAAGTATGTAGTCAGTCCTGATAACCAGCAAGAATATCTTTCAAACATGAAGGTGAAATAAAGACTTTTTCACATACAAAAGCTGAAAGAATTTTCCCACCAGCAAATCTGCACAAGAATAAGAAGGATTAAAGAAATTCTTTCAGGCAGAAGGAAAATGATACCAGATGAAAATAATGAAGAATATTGGAAATGGTAAATATGTCAGTAAATATGAAACTTTAAAAATATCTTTTACATCACTAATCAGTAAGGAAATGCAAATCAAAACCACAATGATATTTCACTTTATACCCATTAGGATGGCAATTATTTTAAAAAACAAAAACAGAAAATATCAGTGTTCATGAAGATATGGGGAAACTGAAACCCTTGTACACTGTTGATGGAAATGTAAAATGGTGCAGCTGCTGTAGAGAACAGTATGGTCGTTCCAAAAAATTAAATATAAAATTACCATATATGCAAAAATCCCTCTTCTTTTGCAACCCAAAAGCATTGAAAACAGGGACACAAAGAGACATCTGTACATCCATATCTGTTGCAGCATTATTCACAGTGGCAAAAGGTGGAAACAACTGAAATTTCCATTAACAGATGAATGGATTAATAAAATGTTGTATAAACATACAATGGAATATGATTTGGCCTTTTAAAAGGTACATCATTATAAGCCTGAGCAACAAACTGAGACCCCATCTCTACAAAAATATCAAAAAAATTGCTTGTAATCCCAGCCATTTGGGAGGCCAATGTGGGAGGATCGATTGAGCCCAGGAGGTCAAAGCTGCATTGAACCATGATTGTGCCAGTGCACTCCAGCCTGAATGATAGAGTAAGACTATCTCACACACAAAAAAGTACGTAATTACAACACATGCTACAACACGGATGACCCTAAAAGAGATTATGCCAAGTGAAATAGGCTGGAGACAAAACAACAAATATATGATCCCACTTATAAAAGGTGGCTAGAGTAGTCAAATTCATAGAGCCAGAAAGTAGAATAGTGGTTACCAGGAGGTAGGGGAGGGAGAATGGGTAGCTACTGTTTAATGGATACAGAGTTTCAGTTTTGGAAAAAGAGAAAATTTTGGAGATGGATGGTGGTACTTGTTGCACAATAATGTGAATGTACTTAATGCAGCTACTGACCTGTACACTTAAAATGGCTAAACTGGTAAATTTGTGGGGGAAGAAGAGTTTATTTAGTTCTTTTTTTTTTTTTTTTTTTTTTGAGACAGAGTCTCGCTGTGTCACCAGGCTGGAGTGCAGTGGTGTGATCTTGGCTCACTGCAACCTCTGCCTCCCTGGTTCAAGCGATTCTCCTGCCTCAGCCTCCCGAGTAGCTGGGATTACAGGCGCATGCCACCACGCCCAGCTAACTTTTGTATTTTTAACAGAGACAGGGTTTCACCATGTTGGCCAGGATGGTCTCTGTCTCCTGACCTCGTGATCTGCGTGCCTCGGCCTCCAAAAGTGCTGGGATTACAGGCGTGAGCCACTGTGACTGGACTATTTAGTTCTATTTATTCATTTATGCAATGATGGTCTCAGCAGTAGGTAATAAAATATAACCTTATATTTAAAATTCATTTTTCATTTTGAAAGGTTTGGATCTTTGTCTCTTCTTTCTACTTTACTATTTTATTTATTTATTTATTTATTTATTTATTTATTTTTAATGGTGGTGGATCTGAGATCTACCTTACTGTTTTAAATACTTAACTCCAACCAAATAGAAGATAAATAAAAATTGTATTCCCTTACTTTTCTCTAAGGCCATGCTGGTACAACTAGAATTGGCTCTTTAGAATGTAGGTATCATTTATAGTAAGCTGGAGATTTGATCACAGAATGATACATGTAAGAATGTCATAGCACAAAAAAATGCACAGATATTTTTAAAAGGACAAATTTCAGGACACTTTCCATCTGAGTTCATAAGAAAGTCCTCTTGAGTATCCTTCAAAGTTAAAACCCTCTCCCCTTCAGATTAATGAAAATATTAGGATGCATAGAACACAATGGGCACTGGTGATATGGCCCATGGTAGCTGAATTAGATTGAGTATAAATGAAGTCTTCACATAATAGCGAAGAGGCCAACAGAAGAAAGGCCAGAAAGCCACTTGAAACTCATGTCCATGGAAGACCAAATGAAGTTGATTTAACTGTTCTCTTAGAAAGATATTATCCCATTGCTTAGCCCTCAAAGTGCTCATACTGCTACTTTCCTTCTTTATATCACCAGTTCTGGGAGCAAACCTCCTGAAAGAATGGAAGTATAGACTGTAAATACAAGACTGTGGGTACAGCAAAGGGGTTCTGATGCTCTAGTTGTTTGTGTCTAGATACTGTCAAATGTCCCTTGTGATGCACAATTGCCCTTAGCGGAGAACCATTAACCAAAATAAATGAAATAATATGTCATGTTCATGCATCAGAAGACCCAATGTTGTTAAGATATCAATTCTCTATAAGTTGATCTATAGACTCAATGTAACCCCAATCAAATACCCCACTGGCTTTTTGTCTACATTTACAAGTGAATTCTGAAATGTATATGGAAATTCAAAGAACCTAACACAATGAAAACAATTTTGAATAAGAAGAGCAAAGCTCAAGCATTTGACTACGTGATTTCAAAACGTATAAAGCTACTGTAACCAAATCAGTTTGGTATTAGTCTAAAGATGGATAAGGGAGGCTGAGGCAGTAGAATTGCTTGAACCCAGGAGGCGAAGGTTGCCGTGAGCCAAGATCGTGCCACTGCACTCCAGCCTGGGCAACAGAGTTAGACTCCATCTCAAAAAAAGAAAAAGAAAAAAATAAAGGCAGATAAATAAATCAGTCAAACACAATAGAAACCCAGATACAGACGATTATATATGTGGTCAATTGATTTGAACAAAGGTGCTAAGGCAATTAAATGGAAAAAGGATAGTGCTCTTAACAAACAGTGTTAGAACAACTGTACATCTACATGCAAAAAAAAAAAAAAAAGATAAAAAAGAAAAAAAAAACACCTTGATCACCATATACAAAAGTTAACTCAAATGGATCATAGGCCTAAATGTAAAAATGCAAAACTATAAAACTTCTAGAAAAAAATAGAATATTTTTGTAATCTGGATTAAGTAATGATTTCTTAGATATGACATTAAAAGCAGAACCATAAAAGAAAAAACTGATAATGTTTATTTACCACAGCAAAATTTTAAAATGTCTGGTCTTCAAAAGACACTGTTACTAAAATGGAAAGACAATCTGCACAGTGGGAGAAAATATTTGCAAAGAACATATATAATAAAACTTGCATTTAGAATATGAAATGAACCCAATGAACTCAGTGAAACCCAAACAACTCAATGGAAAATGGGCAAAATATTTCAACAGACACTTTACCAAAAATATGTAGATAATAATCAAGCTCATGAAAAAAAAGCTCAATATCATTAATCATTAGGGAAATTTAAGTCAAAAAACCATAATAAGATTTCACACCCACTAGAATGGCTATAATATAAAAGATGTACAGTAACAAGTATTGAGAAGGATGTGGAGAAATGAGAACCTTCATACATTGCTAGTGGGAATGTAAAAGGTACAACCCTTTTGGAAAACGATTTGGCAGTTTCTTTAAAAGCGTGCCTAGTGTTATATACCTCGAGAAATGTGCCCAAGAGAAATGAAAGACATGTGCACAAATAATTATAGCAACTTTATTTGTAATAGCCATAAAACTGGAAACAACTCAACGAATGGTGAATCAATAACGTGTAGCACATTCATACAATGAAATACTACTCAGCAACAAAAGGAAATGAGCTACTGATACCCACAACAGCATAGATAAGTTTCAAAATAATTATGCTGAGTGAAAGAAGCCAGACAACAACAAAGAGTAGATACTGTATGATTCCATTTATATGAAATTCTAGGAAATGCAAAGTAATATATAATGACAAAAGCAGAGGGGCGGGAAGGAGGAATTTAAAAAGGGCAGAAGGAAACTTTTTGGGATCATGGATAAGTTCGTCATCTTGATTGTGGTGATGATTTCACAGGTATATACATACGTTGAAACTTCAAATTGCACACTTTAAATTTGCCCAGTTTATTGTATGTCAGTTATATCTCAATAAAGCTGTAGAACAGCAACAACAAAGAGATGGCTAGACAAGCATATTACAGTAGTTGAAGTTTGATGTTAGAAATTCACTGAATCTTCTCTGAAGTCATTGTCCTCTGACAGTTGTCTGCAGGTTTCAAGCTATCCACCTACACAGAATGTGCAATCTGCTGGGCTTCAAAAGCACACATTGAGGCAGATGGCCAACAGCTGACAATTCACTTAATTTCTCTTTTTAAATAGTTATATACTTGAAAAAGGATCGAGTTTGAATTAAATCCTCACAGAAAATTTCTATCACAGCATGGGATTCACTTCAATAAAGCATCTTCCCACTGTCATAAATCTGCTTGTGTTCTTTTGGCAAAATTTTCTTCCCACTCAACCTGGCTTTGTTATCTTGTCAAGCCAGACAAAAATTCACCTCCTGTATAAAGCCATCTCTGATCATCTGCCTTTTTAAATTTTTTAATTTTTTAATTTTTCTTTTTTGAGATGGAGTCTCACTCTGCCACCCAGGTTGGAGTGCAGTGGTGCAATCTCGGCTCACTGCAACCTCCGCCTCCCTGGTTCAAGTGATCCTCCTTCCTCAGCCTTCTGAGTAGCTGGGATGACAGGCACACCACCACACCCAGCTAATTCTTTGTATTTTCATTAGTGATGGAGTTTTACAATGTCGACCAGACTGATCTCAAACTCCCGACCTCAAGTGATCCACCGGCCTTGGCCTCCCAAAGTGCTGGGATTAACAGGCATGAGCCACCGTGACCGGCCTCATCTGCCTTTTAGCACCATAGAGAGGTGCCATTAACCACCTGGTTTATATTGCCAGCATGTAGGGGCTGTAATATGGTACCCCAGCCCCACCTCCCTACCCCATCATTATTTTTTCTTAAAGAAAATAAGCTTGCCACTTAGAATTTAAACTTTACAATTAAGATAAACTGATTTAGAGAATAAATGTAGACACTTGAAACAGTCACAAGGATCCCCAAACCAGATTATAATCTGACTGAAAATATTAGCATATCAGAGATAGAAAAAGAGATGTACCTAAGAAGGGAGGACAATCATCAGTGGACACTTACTGTCCAGGAAAAAAGAACCTATGTGTACACCTTGATGCTCTGAAGCTATCAAATTATTTGAAATTTAGAATCCACTAATTAATTCCTCTTGCTCTAGATTCAAGTTTCAAAAACAACCTTTTGGCTGTAATTTGGCTCTCAAATGTGGCACATATACCAAGAGATATTTTGCTGGGATCATAAAAGAGAGTCTAGTTCCCTAAGATGTTAAAATTCTCATTATAAATTAGTAATTTGTTATTCTGGGTTTATATAGTAGTCCTGTGATTTATCAGTTTAAGAAGCAGACTTGGCTGGGTGCAGTGGCTCATGCCTATAGTCTCAGCACTTTGGGAGGGTGGGGTGGTAGGATTGCTTGAAGCCAGGAGTTTGAGACCAGCCTAGGCAACATAGCAAGACTCCATCTCTACACAAAATAATTTTTTAAAAGTAGCCGGAAATGGTGGTACACAACTGTGATCTCAGCTACTTGGGAGGCCAAGGCAAGAGGATCCCTTGAGCCCAGGAGTTGGAGACTGCAGGGAGCTATGATTGCACCACTTCACTCCAACCTAGGCAACACAGTGAGACTCCATCTCTGAAAAAAAAAAAAAAAAAGAAAGAAAGAAAAAGAAAAGAAACAGACTTAACAAGTTAAAGACCAGATTTCAACATATTTTCCAAGATAATGCCACTTTCTATGGCCTGTTAGGGAAGTCAGCTTTCCTTGGAGAGATAGAGAGAGAGAGAGAGAGAGAGAGGTCTACAGTTCATCTTTCTGTTACAGCACTTACTCCATACTCCAGTTACTGAAGCATATTATAGAACTACAGATTCTGAGTTACCTGAGGGTAGTTTTGTATCCAGTTTGTGCTGGCCTCCACCATCATTGCTCAATAAGTAACACTGAACTGAACTGAATTTGGATAACGTGCAAAGCTGCTTTTTTACATTTTTTAGTTGATTGAGAGTTAGAAAATCGTACCAAAAACACCACTCCCCAAGTATAACCTCTAATACGCTAACATTCATTAAACCTCTAACACTATAGCTAAAGTTGTTACATTTTTTAAAGTACGCTAAACTGCGGAATTGATTTTTAAATAAAGGGCAAAGTAGTACTAACCTCAGTCAAGTTGCTGTAAGTGTTTCATTTGGGAATTGTGAAATTTTTTAAAAACATTTCAAGACTTATCATTACATCAACGAAGATGAATATAGGTGTAGTTTGTCAGATGAGTAACTATTAAGGAAACCATGAATGTTTGCTATCTACTTTCACAATTAAACCACAATTTAGAGGATCAAATTCTAACCCTACAAACTTTTTTTTAACCAAAGACAGGGAGAAAAATCATACTCTTGTGATAAGGAGTCATAATTCATTTCAAATTCTGCAGGATTAATGCTGCTTTCCAGATAAGAAGAATTCACCCCGTGTGCGTAAAGTGATTAAGGAGCCTTGGAATTATAAATACACATTCAGATTAATTTTTTTGTTCTAAGCTTTAAATAAAATTTCAAAGTATTTTATAAAATAATTAACATCCCATAGATATGCTTTTTTAAAAAAGTAATTATGTCTATAAAAGTAATTTGTATAAGGCAATAAAAATTTTACTTTATAAAAAAATCAAACAATGAATACTTTTTGCTTAATTCTTTCTTAGGAGCAGTAATTTCTTATGGGTTCCTTAGAAGACATGTGATTTATTTAAGCTCTATTAACTGAATGTGAGTCTGTTTTCTGACATAAACAGTGGATAGTGTTATGAAAAAATAAAATTGTCAGTGAATAGGCTAAATTTCATAGTTCACAAATATAGCTATCCTGAACATAGAATACAGATCCAATGAACATTTAGTTTTATAATTAGCACTGTTTTAATCCAAATTCCAATTTTATGCATGGGAAACTGAGGCCTAGAGAAATGAAGTAACTTTTTACAGACCCGTTAGCTCAGAGGCTGGAATCACTAGGCCTGGTAGTTTGATTTATGAGTACTACCTTCCATGAGATAAAAAGCTAAAAATGCTGTGATGAGGACATGTTTATTTCTAAAAAGCCTGCAGCACAATCTATCTCTTCTCCCAAAAATCGTATGTATGACAGATTTTTATGTTACCGCTGCTACACGAAGAAAATTGAGCCTAATATGTTCGGTCTTCCAGGCCAAAGCAAAGGATTGATTTTAGAAGGAACTTGTCCTGCATGGCCTCCATCCAGCCATCAGGCAGGGCTCCAGCTCTGCAGGGGAAAAAGAGATAGCCCAGGAAGAGGGAATCACCACCCACCCCACCCTGCGATCTGTATCTAAGAGAAATAACCCTGAAAAGAAGAGCTATAAGAGATGGCAGTGTGTGCTTTCGTCCGGGTGCACTTCCCGATCCTTCATCTTTCATGCCCATCTCTGATGTTTCCATCCTGGTATAGCCTTCTGAGTCATGTGTTCATCTCTCCTTTGGCTCAACCCAACAGACACAGCCTGCAATCTCACCTCCATCAACACAGCAAATGTCTGTGTCTCAAAGACCTCGAGATAGAGACCGAGCTTCCTATGCTTTAACCCTTCCAGGGGCACACCTTTATTTCTGGGCAACTCAACACTGTCCCTCCTCCTGCCTCCACCACAGGCCCCATTACCTCCCTACCCTTCTCCAAGCAGTAGTCACTCAGCGCCAACCCCTCTCAGGCGTCGGGATCTTCAGTCCCGGGCCCCAGCCCTCCGCGCGGTTCTCCTGCCCAGCGCACCGTGCGTTGCCACCCCCATCGCGTTCCTCAGCCTCCCGGGCTCCAGAGGCAGGAGCTGGCCATGCTCTCACCTCATCCAGGGTGTGGCCGCCGCAGCTGCTTCTTCCTCCTCGGCCGCTGCTGCTCAGCTCCCGGCTGGCTCCGGGCGCCGTCTTTCCCGGCTCGGGGTCTGCCGTGGGGACTGAGGGGTTCGCGTCGCGTCCCCGGACCGGTAAGGCGTGTAGTGAGCCCGGCGGGACGCGCGACAGCAGCAGCCAAAGTCGCATCGGCGGCGGCAGCAGGACCCGCTGTCTGTCCCCTTCATGGATTTCCTGGGCCTGGCCACCCCAGTCCTAGCTACGGTTTCTGCTTGTTTTCCTGGTGTCTTCCGGGACTGCCAGGGCGCATCCTCTGGGCCTGGCTGAGCATCCCCGTCAGTTCCCTGGGCCTCCTCCGCGGCTGCCTCTGCCACCTGCTCCGCCCAGATTGCTTTGGTCCTTCTCCCGCAGACACACTCAGCTGCCCTTCATCCTCTGTCGTCTCCCCATTCTCTCTCCACCCACTGCCTCATTCCCAGATCCCACGCCGTTTCTTCCTTTCTATCCGCTCCAATGTCACCTTCTCTTTATTTCCAACCTCAGATAAGTTTCTCCTTTTCTTTCTGTCTCTCTCAATATTTTCCCCGGTTTCATCCTCCTCCCCGCGCCCCCGTATCAGTCATCCTTTTATAATTTATCCAGTTTTTCGTCTCCTATTAGTTCCTCAGAATCACTACTGCAGGTTGTTGGCTAGCCTCTTTTCTTCCTCTCCCTGTTTCTTTCTCTTTCCTAAAATCTTTTCCTTTCAATTTTCCCTTGAGTTTTTCAATTGTAAAAACTTTCTCCCAAACAGCCTACATTTTCCTTTCAGTTGAGACTGATTGCAGTTTTCCATAAACTCATAGTAAAGCATATATAGCTTGGTATCCACCATAAACCAAGAAAGTGTTTTAACCTTTTTTTAAAGTTGGTCAGTTAAATAAATTATCCCATAAATATTCATTCTGAAAATCCAGTTCTTATATCCTACATATGTCCTTGAAAACAGAGACTAGTTTGCTTTTGTATCCAGCAAAGCAAAATGTTTCTGCAACACTATTGCATATAGCATAAGTTCAGCAGGGGAGGGGGAGCAATGTTTGTCTTTGTAGTTGGGCACTGTGGATCTCAAGGTTCATAGGCAACAGCTATTATTGTTGACTGACTGAATGCAGACAAAGCTGAATTCATCTCAGCTCATCCTTCCAAATCTGTTGCTCAGTTCTGTGTTTTAACCCCAGCCCTATCTACCCAGCTGCTCAATCCCCAAACCTAGAATTTGTCAGGGACCTATTTCTCTTTTACCCATCTCATCCAGTCATTAATTCTACTTTTTTACTCTCTCCCTCTCTCTCTCTCTCTATAGATAGATAGATAGATAGATAGATAGATAGATAGATAGATAGATAGATTTTTTTTTTGAGACGGATTCTCACTCTATCACCCAGCAGGCTGGAGTGCAGTGGCACGATCTTGGCCTACTGCAAGCTCTGCCTCCTGGGTTCAAGCGATTCTCCTGCCTCAATCTCCTGAGCAGCTCGGATTACAGGCACCTGCCACCACGCCTGGCTAATTTTTGTATTTTTAGTAGAGATGGGGTTTCGCCATGTTGGCCAGGCTGGTCTCGAACTGCTGACCTCAAGTGATCCTCCCGTCTCAGCCTCCCAAATTGCTAGGATTACAGGCGTGAGCCACTCACCTGGCCCATTCTTTCTTTTAAGCCTCCTAACTTAAGCTTCATCTTTACCTCTCCTTATCTTTGTCCAATCTGTCTTATCTGGGCTCTTTGTCTAACAACCTCTACCAGAAAATTCTTAATTATCTCTTATTGTTTTGTATCTTCTTCCTCTCCTTTTCCATTAGCTTCATCCCCAGCCCACAAACATGCTTAACTCTCCTCACTCTTAAAACAAAGTCCTTCCGTCTCTACCTATCACCATATCTCTCACTTCCCTTCACATCCAATTTGTTTAATATATTGTGTTCATTTGATGTCCACACTTTCTGACTTCCCAATCATTCTTTACCTCCTAATTTTCTGCAATCAGGCTTCTAATCCTATTGCTTAACTAGAGGTATTCTCCCAGAGGTCCTGGCGAATTTCATGTCAGGCATAGGTAGGCAATGCCAGATCAGTTGCCCCTAGTTTTTCTCCCCGCAACAAACGAATTCAGATCTAAGAAAAAAAAAACAAAAAACCTGTGGTATCAAGGCCACCACATTGCAGAGCACTCAACCGCCATTTAACCTACATAAATAGCACCTTACCCACTGAAGCCTGCACAACTAAAAACAATGGCCTTGAGTGGTAGGGCTAAACTCTTGGGTTCATGCGGTTTATCCAAATGCAGGCTGAAGAGGAATCCCCATTATATGACTCTAGATTGATACATTACCTAGTTTTGATTATGGCCTTAGATTTTAGAGATTCAGACTTTGGTTTTGCCCATAGACACATGGTAGATTTTATCTAACACACAAATTAAAAGGAATAGGGCTCCATAACTTAAAGAGAATAAGCCATCTTTTGTAGTTGTGGCAGATAAACAGTTCAGTGAAGTTACTGCAAACCCACAGCATTCATTACTGCTATGAAGTACTGAGACCTCCAACTCCAGCCAAGATGTAGTAGTATATATCAAACTAAACCTCCCACTTCAGGGGGAAAGTGGGATAAAATATACATAAATATTTACATATTTGTATATATTTATATATGTGTGTGTATATATATATATATATATATAGTCATGCAATGCATAACCAAGTTTTGATCAAAGACAGACTGCATATGCAACTGGTGGTCATATGCAGTTGCATATGACTTGCTATACATTTTCCAAGTTTAGATGTACAAATACCTACCATTAGGTTAAAATTGCCCACAATATTTAGTACAGTACCATGCTGTACAGGTTTCCAGCCAAGGAGCAATAGGCTGGGTGTGTAGTAGGCTATACCATCTAGGTTTGTGTAAATATATTCTGAATGTTCATACAACAATAAAATTGTCTGATGATGCATTACTCAGAATGTATCCCTGTCATTAAGTAATACATGACTTTATACATATACGGATGGTCCCCAACTTACAATAGTTTGACTTAAATTTTTTTGCCTTTATGATGGTGTGAAAGTGATAAACATTCAGTAGAAACTGTACTTTGAATACCCATACAACCACTCTATTTTTCATTTTCACTACAGTATTCAACAAATTACATAATCAACACTTTATTGTAAAATAGGCTTTGCATTAGATAATTTTGCCCAACTGTAGGCTAACATAAGTGTTCTGAGCACATTTAAGGTAAGGTAAGTTAAGCTATGATGTTTGGTAGGTTAGGTGTATTAAGTGCATTTTTGACTTACAATATTTTCAACGTAGGTTTATTGGGATATAACCCCATCATAAGCCTAGGAGTATCTATATATCTATATCTATAATTCTTTGGAGGCATTGAAGAGTAACTAAAGCAGGCGGAACTTAAAGCTATGATCCTGGAGAGAAGGCACATGAGGTGAACTCAGTGTTTACCCTGGAATATTTCTCTTGAGGGAATGCTCAAAACTAAGTGCAAGACAATAAAAGCCAAAAAAAAAAAAAATACAGCAGTTTTTCTGGGCTGAGGAATAAGAGGCTGTATTAGTCTGTTCTCACACTGCCATAAAGAACTACCTGAGATTGGATAATTTATGAAGAAAAGAGATTTAATTGACTCACAGTTCTTCAGGTTTAACAAGAAGAATGACTGGGAGGCCTCAGGAAACTTACAAGCATGGTGGAAGGTGAAGGGGAAGCAAGCACGTTTTACCATGGTGGAGCAGGAAAAAGAGAGTGAGGCGGGAAGTGCCACACACTTTGAAACCATCAGGTCTCATGAGAACTCACTCTCACTATCATGAGAACAGTCTGGGGGAAATCTGCCCCCATGATCCAATCACTTAATACCAGGTCTCTCCCCCAGCAGTGGGAATTACAATACAGCATGAGATTTGGGTGGGAACACAGAGCCAAATCATATCAAAGGCCAAAGTTGAGGGCTACCAAAGTGCCTCTGATTGAGGGCAAACTCCAAGAGGGGAGAATTGCAGAGGAGCTCAACAATCTATGCAAATTGCCATCATGATAGTGATCTAAGTTCCTACACTCAGCATGCACAAAGAAAGATGCCAAAAAAAAAAAAATCAGAAAACAGCAGTTTAGGGTCTAATGAGGTAAGTGAAGATTTCAGCATCCAACAGAAGTTGGACTTCAAGCCTTGATAAGGTACCTAGATACCCAGGGTTTTCAGTTGAGATCTCAGCACATCCTTGGAGTAAGAGCAATATAATACTGAAATAAAATAGATCTAACAAAGCTTGAAACCAAGCCTTTTCAGGATCAAAGTTATCTGCCACTATTCTTTCTACTTTCCAGGAGTAGAAAGTAGAAACTCTATGGAGGTAGGTAACATTATCCAGAGTCTACAATTTTGTCTTATACAATATCTGGGATCCAATACAAAATAATTATGAGCCATGCAAAAGATCAAATCCAAATGACTAAACACTAAGAGAAAAACGTTAATAGAAACAGAACTAGATATTAGAATTGGCCAGGATTTTAAATAACTATAATTAATAGTTTTAAGAAAATAGAAGAAAAGGTGGACAAAGATGAAAGATGGGTAATTTACTTCAGTATAGAATTGGAATCTGTAAAAACAATTATTGGACAAATATTCTAAAACTAAAAATTACAGGCCGGACCCGGTGGCTCACGCCTGTATTCCCAGCACTTTGGGAGACTGAGGCAGGCGGATCATGAGCTCAGGAGTTCGAGACCAGCCTGACCAACATGGTGAAATCCCCATCTCTACTAAAAATACAAAAATTAGCTGGGCGTGGTGGCATGCACCTGTAATCCCAGCTACTCAGGAAGCTGAAGCAGGATAATTGCTTAAATCTGGGAGGCAGATGTTGCAGTGAGCCAAGATCACACCACTGCATTCCAGCATGGGCAACAGACAGAGACTCTGTCTCAAAAAAAAAAAAATTACAATAACTGGAAATAAGAACCCTTTGGGTGTGCTTAACAACAGTCTGAGTACAGCAGAAGTCAGGATTCATGAACTGGGAGACAGGTCTGTAGAAAATATCCAAACTGAAGGACAGAGAAAAAGGAAAAGAACATAACAGACCTCAAAAACACAGTAAAAATGTCTAATAAGTGATTAATTGCAGTCCCTGAAAGAGAGAGGAAAGAGAGGAGCAGTATTTCAGGAGACAAAGCTCAAGAATTTTCTAAAACTGATAAAAGGCATCGACCTCTCAGATGCCAGAAGTTCAGCCAACCCCAAGAAGAACAAAAGACCATTATCGCTCAGAAATATTAGAAGCAGTTTCAATTTAGATATTTGCTGAAGACAATTCTTAAGTTGAAACTAAGGAAGAACTCTTGATTGAGAGGCAGGTTTGATAAGTCTAAGCAGTTCTACAGCACTAGACAGTGGCATGAGTCACGGTGGTATGGGCTTGAAATGTCCACATAGAAAAGAGTGTGAAAATTGCTGGGCGCGGTGGCTCACGCCTGTAATCCCAGCACATTGGGAGGCCGAGGCGGGCGGATCACGAGGTCAGGAGATCGTGACCATCCTGGCTAACACAGTGAAACCCCGTCTCTACTAAAAATACAAAAAATTAGCTGGGCGTGGTGGCGGGCGCCTGTAGTCCTAGCTACTCGGGAGGCTGAGGCAGGAGAATGGAGTGAACCTGGGAGGTGTAGGTTGCAGTGAGCTGAGATCTCGCCACTGCACTCCAGCCTGGGTGACAGAGCGAGATTCCGTCTAAAAAAATAAAATAAAATAAATAAATAAATAAAAAGAAGAGAGTGTGAAAATTATATAATAAACAGAACCCACACTCAAATCAGCCCTTTAGTGCCAGAAAAAAAAGAGGGATTCAAAAGAGAAATGGAAATTAATGGATTTTGATTATCCTGGTGGGAAATCAAAACCAATAATTTCACTAAACCATAGTAACTGGAAACTGAACCTGCCAACCTGTAACTTTCTAAATTTAGTAATGAAGTACCAAGATTTCAAGTGTCGCTCTCTGAGAGAGGAGACCTGTTATTAAGTGATTTCCAACCCCCATTTGCCACATATTAAACACAGTATGATTAACCTCTTCACAGTAAACATTTATCTCAATTGACTTTACGGTTATAGGTCACAGGCTCAGATAATTGGCATATAATGTTTGTCAAACCAGATAGGCTAACACTAAAAGGTTCCCTCTTCTTTGTCTACTTGAGTTTCTGCTGTGAGTTTGGAAGCAACTATGAATCTGAATTGTTCCAAATATTGCACTGGGTTCTGATAATATCATTTTGTTTGGTTAGCTCTAAGACTTTGAAATTGACATTTTAAAAAGTAGACTTTATTTTTTTAAAGCAGTTTTAGGTTCAGGACAAAACTGAACAGATGATAGAGGTTTCATACATACATCTTGCCCCCGAGACACAAACAGCCTCCCCCGCATCAAAATCCAGAGTGTACATTTATACAATCAATGAACCTACATTGACACACATTATCATCCAAGGTCCATAGTTTACATTCAGGTTCACTCTTGGTGTTGTACATTCTATGGATTTTGACAAATATAAAATGGTATGTATCCACAGTTATAGTAACAAATAGAGTAGTTTCATGGCCATGTAAATCCTCCATGTGCCACATGTTCATCCCTCCCTCTTTCCAACCCCTGACAACCACTGATCCTTTTACTGTTTCCACTGTTTTGCCAATTCCATAGTGTCATATAGTCAGAATGATACCATATGCAGCCTTTTCAGATGGGCTTCTTTCACTTAGTAATATGCATTTAAGGTACCTCCATGTCTTTGCATGGCTTGATAGCTCATTTCTTATTAGCACTTTATAATATTCCATTGTGTAGATGTGTCACAGTTTGTTTTTCCATTTACCTGCTAAAAGACATTTTGGTTGCTTCCAAATTTTGGTCATCATGAAAAAAGCTGCCATAAACATTCATGTGCAGGGTTTTGTGTGAATGTAAAATTTCAACTCTGGGGAAATACCAGGAAGCCCCAGTTGCTGGATGGTAAAGTAAGAGTATGTTTAGTGTGTGAGAAATACTCGTCTTCCAGTGTGGCTACCATTTTTGCATTCCCCACCAATAATGAATAAGAATTTCGACTGCTCTGCATTCTTGCCAGCATTTGGTGTTGGTGTTGGCCTTTCTAATAGGTATGTGGTAGTACATTATTATCGTTTTTATTTGCAATTCCCCAATGACGTATGATGTTGAGTATTTTTTCATATGCTTATTTGTCATTTGTATATTTTCTTTTGCAAAATGTCTTTTGGCTATATTTATGTGGGTCTCTTTCTGCACTCTCTACTCTGTTCCATTGATCTATATTTCTATTATTTTGCCAATGTCACACTGTCTTGTTTACTCACATAGTGTCCTCCAACTTTGTTCTTCTACTTCAATACTGTGTTGGCTATTCTGAGTATTTGCTTCTGCATATAAACTTTAGAATCAGTTTATAAAAATCCACAAAATAATTTGCTGGGATTTTTATTAGAATTGCATTGAATATATGGGTCAAGTTGGGAAGAATCGACATCTTGACAATACTGTCTTCTTATCCATGAATATGGAATAGCTCTCCATTTATTTTGTTTATTTATTTGTTTATTTTGAGACAGGGTCTGACTCTGTTACCCAGGTTGGAGTGAAGTGGCACCATCTCGGCCCACTGCAAACCTCCACCTCCTGGGTTCAAGCGATTCTCGTGCCTCAGCTTCCTGAGTAGCTTGGATTACAGGCACCCGCCACCACCCCCAGCTAATTTTTGTATTTTTAGTAGAGACAGGGTTTCACCGTGTTGGCCGGGCTGGTCTCAAACTCCTGACCTCAAGTGATCCGCCTGCCTTGGCCACCCAAAGTGCTGGGATTACAGGTGTGAGTCACCGTCCCCAGCCAGTTCTCCATGTATTTAGCTTGTTTTTTATTCTTTCATCTGTTTTTTTAGTATAGTCACAGAATTGTGCAATCATTATCACTGTGTCATTTCAGAACATTTTTATCACCCTCAAAACAAACTCCATACTCACTTACCCTTTCCATTTCTACCACCGGCTGTTCCTCTCCCCAGCCCCTGGCAACCACTAATCTTTTTATATTTATAAATTTACCTATTCTGGACACTTCATATAGATGGAATCATCTAACATGTAGCACATTATGTCTGGCTTCTTTCAGTTAGTATGGTGTTTTGAGGTCCATCCACTTTACAGCGAATGCCAATATTTCACTCACTTTTTTATTGCTGAAAATATATTATATTGTAAGGAAATATCACATTTAATGTACCTATTTGTCAGTTGATAGACACTTAGGTGGTTTTTGTTTGTTTGTTTTTTGCTATAGTGAATAATGCTGCTGTGAACGCTCATGTACATGTTTTTCTTTGGACATATGTTTTCAATTACTTTGGGTACATACCTACGAGTGGAGTTGCTGGGTTATATGGCAAATCTGTTTAACTTTTTTTAAACTGCCAAAGTGTTTTTACAAATGGCCTCATAATGTTTACATTCCCACCAGTAACTCAATGTTTTTCCACATTCTAACCATTTGTTAGTATGTGTCTTCTTTATTATAGCCATCCTAGTGGGTGTGAAGTGACATTTCACTGTGGTTTTGGTTTGTATTTCCCTAGCTAATAATGTTGAGCATCTTGTCTTGTATTTAGTATTTATTTGTATATCTTCATTGGAGAAACATGTTTTCAAATTTGTTGCCTATTTTTCAATTGGGTTGTTTGTTCTTATTTTATTACTGAGTTGTAAGGGGTGTGTGTGTGTGTGTGTGTGTGTGTGTGTGTGTGTGTGTGTGTGTGTGTGTGTTCTGGATGCAATTCCTTTACCTGATATGATTTGCAAGTATTCTGTCCCACTTTGAGGGTTGTCCTCTCACTTTCTTGTGTTTTTTGAAGAAAATAAGTTTTAAATTTTGGTGAAGTCTTTTTATCTATTTTTTTCTTTTGCAGCTTGTACTTTTGGTGTCATAGCTAGGAAACCATGCTGGATCAAAGGTCACAAAGATTTATTCCTGTGTTTCATTCAAAGAGATATATAGCTTTAGCTCATAGGTTGACAATCCATTTTGAGATAATTTTTATATATAGTGTGATGTAAGAGCCCATCATCATTTTGCATGTGAATATCCAGTTGTCACACATCATTTGTTGAAAATACTCTCCTTTCCTTATTTTTTTTTAATTAGACCATATATGCATGTGTTTATTTTTGGGACTCTCAATTATATTCCATTGACCTGTATGTCTATTCTGATTTCAATACCACACTGTCTTAATTATGTTGCTTGTTATTAAGTTTTGAAATCAGAAGTATGAGTCCTTCTCACACCTTTTTCCTTCTTTTAAAGATGGTTTTAATTATTCTGGGTCCTTTGCTTTTCTACCTGAATTTTAAGAGCAGCTTGTCAATTTCTGCCACAAAAAAAAAAAAAAAAAAAAAAAAGAGAGAGAGAGAGAGAGCCTGCTGGGATTTTGATAGAGATTGCAACAAATCTATAGATCAATTTGGGATTACTGCCATCTTAACTCTGTTAAGTCTTCCAATCCACGAATGTGGAACATGAACATGGAATTCCTTTCCATTTATTTAGGTCTTTTAATATTTCCTTCAACAACATTTTGTGGTTTTTAGTGTACACTTTTTTTGTTAGATTTATTCCTAAACATTTCATTTATTTACTCATTTTAAATTTCAACTTTTAGATACAGAGGGTACATGTACAGCTTTGTTACATATCCATGGAGGTTTTTCTACCCATGTTCCCTCCCTCGGTCCCCTCTCTAGTAGTCCACAGTGTCTATTGTTCCTATGTTTATGTTCATGTGTGCTCAGTGGTTAGCTCCCACTTATAAATGAGAACATGTGGTATTTGGTTTTCTTTTTCTGCATTAATTTGCTAAGGATTTTGACCTCCAACTCTATCCATGTTGCTGTAAAGGACATTATTTCACTTTTTATGGCTGTATAGTATTCTACAGTGTATATGTACCACATTTTCTTTATCCAATTCACCCTTGATGTGCACCTAGGTTGATTCCATGTATTTGCTATTGTAAATTGTGCAGTGATGAACATATAAATGCATGTGTCTTTTTGGTATAATGATTTATTGTCCTCTGGATATATACCCAATCATGGGATTGCTGCATCAAATGGTCGCTTTAAGTTATTTGAGAAATCTCCAAACTACTTTTCACAGCGGCTGAACAAATTTACATTCCGAAAAACAGTGTGTAAGTGTTCCCTATTCCCTGCAGCCACATCAGCATCTGTTGTTTTTTGACTTTTTAATGATAGCCATTTTTGACTTTTTAATAATAGCCATTCTAACTGGTGTGGGGTAATATCTCATTGTAGTTTTGATTTGTATTTCTCTGATAATTAGTGTTGTGGAGCATTTTTTCATATGTTGGTTGGTCACTTATATGTCTTCTTTAAAAAAAGTGTCTGTTCATATCCCTTGACCATTTTTAAGGGGATTATTTGTTTTTGCTTATTGACTGAAGTTCCTTATAAATTCTAGGTATTAGATCTTTGTTGGATGCATAGTTAGTGAATATTTTCTCCCATCCTGTAGGTTATCTATTTACCCTGTTGATTGTTTATTTTGCTATGCAGAAGGTCTTTAGTTTAATTAGGTCCCATTTGTCAATTTTTGGTTTTGTTGCAATTGCTTTTGGGCACTTATCCAAAAACTTTTTGCCAAGGCTGATGTTGGTAAAAGTATCTTCTAGGTTTTCTTCTAAGATTTTTATATTTTGAGGTCTTACATTTAAATTTTTAATTATCTTGAGTTAATTTTTGTATACAGTGAAAGGTAAGGGTCTAGTTTCATTCTTCTGTATATGGCTAGCCAGTTATCCCAGCACAATTTATTGAATAGGGAGTCCTTTCCCCATTGCTTGTTTTTGTCAGCTTTGTTGAAGATCAGATGGTGTAGATGTGCAGCTTTATTTTGATGCCTTGTAAATGGAATTGTGCTCTCACTTTCATTTTTGGATTGTTCATTTCTGGTGCATAGAACTGCAAATTTTTTTGTATATTGATCTTGTACCCTACAATTTGGTGAATTCATTTATTAATTCTTAAATTTTTGTGTGGATTCCTTAGAATTTTCTATATACAAGATAAAGTCATCTACAAATAGAAATAGTGTTACTTATTCCTTTCCAGCTGGGGTGCTTTTATTTCTTTTTCTTGCCTAATTGCCCTCATTAGAACATCAAGTACTATGTTGACTAGAAGTGGTGAGAGTGGACATACTTGTTTTATTCCTCATCTTACAGGAAATGTTTTCAAGTCTTTCCCCTTTAAGTATGGGGTTAGCTGTGGGTTTTTCATAGATACCCTTTATCAGGTTGAAGAAGTTCTCTTCTTTCCTAGTTTGTTCATTGTTTTTTAACAAGATAAGATGCTAGATTTTCTCAAATGCTTTTTCTGCATTTATTGAGATGATCATATGGAGTTTGTCCTTTGTCCTATTAATATGGTGCATTACATTTATTGTTTCATATGTTGAATCAACCTTGCATTCCTAGGATAAATGCCACTTTGTCATGATGTATAATCTTTTTCATATGTTGTCAAATAAAGTTTGTTGAGAACTTTTACATCTATATTTATAAAGGTATACTGGCCTGTCATTTTCCTTTCTTGAAGTCTTAGTTTTGGTGCCAGGGTAATACTGGCCTCATAGAATGAGATGGGAAGTGTTCTTCTTCTCCTTTTTTTCAGGGGGTGAAGAGTCTGTGTCCTATAAACATATTCGGCAGAAGTCACAGATTAAGCTATCTGAACCTGGGCTCCTCTTTGTGGAACATTAAAAAAAATTATTACTACTAATTGAATTGCTTTACTTGTTATAGGGTATTCAGATTTTCTATTGCTTCCTGAATCAGTTTGGGTAGCTTGTTTCTTTCTTGAAATTTGTTCATTTCATCTAGTTTATCTAATTTCCTGGCATATAACTTCTCATAATATTCCTCTATAATATTTTGTATTCCACAGGTTGGTAATAATGTCCCCTCTTTCATTTCTGATTTGATCCATGTGTTTTAAGGAAAAGTTTGTGTCCCCACGAGTATCCCTCCATAAAAAACAAAACCTCCAGAAAATTCTGTCTGAGACTAATTTCAACAGTTACAACGTTACAACAAAGACAAATTTAAAACAAAATGCCTCTGGTGTAATTTGTGGTAAATGATAGCTTGTGTTCAGACTAGACTTGATCATCACTGCTCAAAAAATGTCCTTTAAAAATTATGCAAATTTTGATACATCACCCATCATCCATTACTTCTATTTTCCAAAGTCTTGAAGTATTTTAGAAGTTCAATTAAGGCTTATCTCTTATCAGTATTTTCAAGTTTTCTCAGCAGCAATTCATAGAGCACATTGAACGAAATTAAGCAGCCACACAAAACCTGTCCAAAATCCAAACACAAGTGTAGCAATTTTAGATAAGGTTTTGTCATTTGTGGCAAATAAAACGATAAATACCAATAAAAATGCACATCCTATCCCACAAGTAATATAAAAATCTAGCATTTCTTTTGGTGTGGCAACTGCAATAAACTGGAGTACACAAACACAGTCAGAATAAGGAAATTCATAAGAAAGGCACTGTGTCACATGAAATTCACATAAGTGAGGTCCTCCACAAAAAGTGTATTACAGGGACAAACCCTTTTCCCAGCTAAAGGCTGGGAGAGAGAGAACAGCTGGAAGTCTCTGAGATCACCACCGCCACTGGAGCTGGCCAAGGGACACAAAGGTACTAAGATCATTTCTGCTCTCTGGTAGGAGGTGGGTCCTCCTTTGTGTTGGACTGCACCCTGTTCCCTTCTTCACTGAGAATCTGAGAAGTCTTGTGGTGATAGCTGAACACTTAAGATGCCAGCCTCAGAGTAGGTCATTCTGGTTTGCCCTATGCCATGTGGTAAGAAGCCAGTCAGCCTGCCCATTTGAGAAAGGCCTGCTGTTTCTGGAGTGAAGTCTGCCTAATTCTGGAGTGAAATATTAGCAGGACCTTTGCATCATCACAGATCTAAATGCAAGTTCTCCACTTAGTTTGATCAGTAATTAAAGTACTGTAGCATTATTAATTCTCTGTTTGACTTCTCTATTTCCCAATTTGATCTGAACTTAAAAGAGGAAGAAAGGATTATGTCTTGAGCTCCTAAAACTTCAACTCAAAGCTTTCATTGTAATATTCTCAAGAAGTGACAGTCTGCATAAATAGCAGATTTTTTAAAAAGGAAATTCCTCCTAGAACTTTGAAATTTTGGTTATTATCTGCCCGAGAGCTTGGAGGTAGACCTCCGTAGAGAAATGGCACACAGAGTTTGGGGCCTGACTTCAGATTTCCAGAACCAGAGGATCATGCTCCCTAATAAAAAACAAAGAAAAAGGTCTCATATCAGGTAGTGATGGAGTAAGAGGATGGGCCAGGGATTAGGGGAAGAACCAAGAGGGACTGATTAACAAAAATTACATCTTTGGAAGCTAGAGAATTCACCACAAGCAAACAACAACAACAAGTTAGATTATGACCCACTTTGTCACCTTTAATGTCATATTAGATTTAATTCTTTGGCAGGTAGAGCTGAATGAATTTGCCTAAACTTTTTTCCCAGGAACGATAGCAAAGACTAGTAATAACTGAAAGATCTGGCCAGGTATGGTGGGTCACACCTGTAATCCCAGCACTTTGGGAGGCTGAGGCAGGTGGATCACTTGAGCCCAGGAGTTCAAGATCAGCCTGGGCAACATGGTGAGACCTAATCTCTACAAAAAAAAAAAAAAAAAAAAAATACAAAAATTAGCCGGATGTGGTGATGTGTGCCTGTGGTCCCAGCTACTGGGGAGGCTGAGGTGGGAGGATCGCTTGAGCCCAGGAAGTCAAGGCTGCAGTGGGCCAAGATTATGCCACTGTATTCCAGCCTGGGTGACAGGGAGACCCCATCATAAAAAATTGAAAATAAAATAAAATACTACTACTATTAATAATGAAAACTGAAAGATCCTTAAGATTGTAAAGAAAAGTCAGTCTGAGACGGAAATTTTCACTAATTGCTGAAACACTGAACCACCACTATGAGTAGAGGAGAGATGGTCCAATAAAAGGAGCAGGAGCTGGAGGACTATTAGAGGAGGAAGCCAAGCTACAGCAAAGCTGTTGAGACAGCAGGTAAGATGAGGAAACTATAATGGCCGCTAGGAAAAAACAAATCCATTTAGACTCCACAGAAAGATAATAAAGCTGCAGGTCTGAAGGACAATCTCGTTGTATATTCAGAGTTAAAAAAGTCACCATCCAAAGCTTTTATTGTTGCAGATTGAGAGGTGGGAATGCAATGCGGGTGGAGGTGGGTTGGGGATAATGGAAGAGAGACAGAGCCAGCTAGAATGTAACTGTCAGAGGCATTCAAATCCGAATGACTCCATCTTGAATACAGGCTGGGTAAAATGAGGCTGAGATCTATGGGGCTGCATTCCTAGGAGGTTAGGCATTCTCAGTCACAGGATGAGATGAGAGGTTGGCAGGACTGGTATCACAAGATAAAGGTCATAAAGACCCTGATGATAAAACAGGATGTGGTAAAGAAGCTGGCCAAAACCCACCAAAACCAATATGGCAATGAATATGACCTCTGGCTGTCCTCACTGCTCACTGTATGCTAATTACAATGCATCAGCATGCTAAAAGACACTCCCACCAGCACCATGACAGTTTACAAATGCCATGGCAATGTCAGGAAGTTACCCTATACGGTCTAAAAGAGGGAAATCCCTGCCTCTTTCCCAGAAAACTCATGAATAATCCACCGCTTATTTGGCATATAATCAAGAAATAATCATAAAAATAGCCAACCATCAACTCTTGGTGCTGCTTTGTCTATGGAGTAGCCATTCTTTTGTTTCTTTACTTCTCTAGTAAACTTGCTTTCACTTTACTGTATGGACTTGCCCCCAGTTCTTTCTTGCAGGAGATTCAAGAACCCTCTCTTGGGGTCTGGATAGGGACCCATTTCCAGTAACATATATCATGTTCCTTTTGTTAACCTCTGTATAATTCAGTGCCTGATATTCCTAGCCCATAGTAGTTGAACAATAAATATTTGTTGAATAACTAATTGGAAGAATGAAAGAAATGGGGGTTGGACATGTTTTCACTAAGTACAATACCAACTGTGAATCGTGCTGTATACAACCAATGAGTATCATCTCAACCCATGAGACATGCCATTCATTCAGTCATTTAGTCCATAAACAGTAATTGAGCATTTGCTAGGTTCCAGGTACAGGATACTAGACCCTTGGGAATAACTAACTAGTTTTTCTGTCCTGAAAGAGTTTGGAGATTAGTAGTAGAAGAAATATGTTTTTTAAAAAAATTAAGTTCCATACAATATTTTAGGTGCTATCAAAACTACCCCAATTTTATATGTAAAATGTTTATTTAGAAACAGAATGCTTGTTAATCGGTACTGCAAGGAAAAATTGGCATTCAGACAAAAAGTTTTCTCAGCAAGATAATTTTACTTTCTGCAGAAAGAGTGCTCCTCGCAGATGGAACAATGGCGAGAGCACACCTGAACAATGGAGGGAAGAAATTTTTATCCCTTACGCAGCTTGTCCTTGCTACTGTGTCCTGTCTCCGTTGGCTGGAGCCAGACCGCACAATCTAAACTAAAACCTGACTGGCTAATAATTTAAAACTTTTCTAAATAGGTAAAAGCAATGGAAAGACAAAGGAAAAGAGGAAGTTGCTTATGAAAGGACTTAGAAAAGTAATAATATTCCTGAATAAGGAAGGGGCATAGGCTGTGAGCTGAGACATGCCCGTCAGCACCTCCAGCACAAATATTTTGGTTAAAGTACAAGGACATAGAATGTACTTATTCCTTTATGTCTAATAGCTACATAGGATAGGGCTTAACAGAGAGTTAATAGCACAAAGCAAGGAGGATTGAAGGAAGTTAGTCTTTAAAAGAAACTATTATTTCTAACACTTATGATTTATTCTTTAACAAGAAGGGAAACTCTGAAGAGGAAACTTTTTACTTTCTACACCCAATTATCCTACTCACCGCACACATCCCAAGCTCCAAGGCGTGAACCAGCTGGGCCTGCTCTCTGCTAGGCTTTCCTGACAAAGTAGGGAAACCAGACAGACATGTTGGAAGAAGTATTACGGTTTCATGAAATAGCTTCTTCTAGAAGGCAAGAGATAGCTTTGCTGTGGCTTGATATTTGAAATAGGCTATTTAAAGTCATAATTTTTTTTTTTTTTTTTGAGACGGAGTCTTGCTCTGTCACCCAGGTTAGGGTGCAGTGGCGCGCAATCTCGTCTCACAGCAACCTCCGCCCCCTGGGTTCTAGCAATTCTACTGCCTCAGCCTCCCTAGTGTCTAGGATTACAGGCGCCCACCACCACACCTGGTTAATTTTTGTATTTTTAGTAGAGACGGGGTTTTGTCATTTTGGCCAGGCTGGTCTCGAACTCCTGACCTCAAGTGATCCACCCGCCTCGGCCTTCCGGAGTGCAGGGATTACAGGCGTGAGCCACTGCGCCCGGCCAAAGTCGTAATTATTTTAAACAGAGGCTTTCACGGGACTTCCAAAGCGCACCTTGTTCTTTCCGGCTCATTCCCCCTTCCCCTCTAACCCTTCACTTTCACTTCTCTGACTGGATGCACTGTGCGGAGGACACAGCTAAGGGCTGTGAAAATTCAAGAATAAAGAAAAGTCCTGCCTTCACGCAGCTCGCACTGTGAGGAGGTTTAATCAGGGATGGTAATTCAAAATAACTCGTGTTTAATCACCAGTGCAGATGGTGTCAGTAAACCTGCCTGGGGCGCTGCTTCCCAACCCCCGCCAGGGCCTGCGCCCTGCAGCCCACCGGAGGCGTGGCCGGAGGGCAGGCGCCAGGGCGGAAGGCGGGGGTCGTTCTAATTCCCTGGGGGTAGCTAATGGCCATGCCTGGAGGCGAAGCTTTTCAAAATGACTAACTTGGAAAACCGCCAAAGACAATGGAATCTGGCAGAACTGTGGGGAGCAGGAATCTTAAGCGTTTGCATGTTGTTGGGGTAGCAGGGGCTCAAGAAGGGGATGCTCAGGGCAATAGCTTTTTTACTAATCTGTAAGAAAATGTTCCAGTATTTTAATAGCTGGTACAGCCATACTGATGCATACAGTCCAGATCGATAGATATTGGTCCAGATACAGTGGCTATCTGTTCTTTTGCCTTCCAGGAGCACAGTTTCTCAGAAGAAATGTTTTTTCCATGTATATAATCATGTAATTCAAACAGGAGCTGCAGTTTACTTGCAGACCTCCTAAGTGACAGTGTTTGGTCTGGGGGTAGATACGGGCCACAAGTTGCTGGGACTATTCTTTATTCGTCCTCATTACTTAGCTTAGTGTCTGGTATAGAATTAGGCACTCGATAGAATTGTTTAAGAATGAATGGACACAAACCTTTAACTATTGCTTCGTTTGATCTCACTTGTAAAATTTCTGCAACTGTGTGACTGCTGTAATGGAAAGTCTTATCCTGTTTAGGCAGCTTAATATAAGTTGGTTTAGATATGTGCATTTCACGATTTCTTTGATAAGTTTCAAGAATTTGCTGGCAGCTGTAACTATGACGTTCAAGGCTTATGTTTACTTTTTTTTTTTTTCCTAGTACAACATTTACAAACTCCAAGAATTTTATCCATTTCAGAGGTGGTTGTCAGATTTAGGGCAAAGGACATATGTGGGCTTTATAAATTTTAAAGTTCGGTACAAATGTTTGTTGATACTCTTGTTTAATTAAATGTAAAATAGTTGAGAACCTTCCATGTACTTACTGATCACAGTGTTAACCATTATTACACAGTACTGTATTGCTCCAAGAATCAAAGGGCAGCAGCTCAAAGACAACACTTGGATGTGAATGAGATGAAGCTGATCAAGTCAGAAGGAAAAGGAATTCAGATGCCAGAGCTCCCAAGGTCTGAATAGTGGGCAGTTTCAAGACAACTCTAGTTTTCTCCTGATGGCTGAAATTATTAGCAGCCTAAGATCACTATCCTTTTCCTGGAATCAATGTGTTCGAAGGGTGCCAGAGTCATCTAGTGTGTTTACAAAGGATAAAAGTAAGAGGTGTGAGTATGAATGTTGTTGTTCCAAGAAATAATTGCTCCAGGGTGACTCCATGCTTTTATTAGTTTGCGTGTGTGTGTGTGTGTGTGTGTGTGTGTGTGTTTTGGTTTTTAAGTAACAAACTAACTCAAAGTAGCCTAAGCAGGATAAAGAGGGAATTTGTTATAAAGAAGCAATAGTGTTTGATAGAACCCAATGGCAGGAATGTGTATGGGCCTTGGGAGGAGCCTAGAGTCAGGAACTGAAAAAAGATGTGGATTCTTGCTCCGAATTTGCTTCTCGGCACACACCTGCATTCTTCTCTCTCTGCTTCTCTAATCAACATGGCAGTCTGTATCCTTAGTTAAAATATTTGTAGCATTAATTCCCCATTACTCAAATGACCATCATTTGAGGCTGTGGAGAAGGCATGTCCTTGTTGAGTGGAAGGAAGGGAAATTAGAACAACTTATATCTATGGGCTATTTTAAATGTAAGGTACTATGATTCTACCAACTTAGACTCCCATATACACAAGGATTCACTTCCATTCCACTTTCTGTCTCTGTTAATAGCACAATTTTTTTTGTCTTATTTATTGTAGTCCTTCATCTTTCATGTGGAGTCAATCACTAGGTCTTATTGGGTTTTGGTCTCAAAAGTCTATCATTAAATAATATTACTTTTCTTAGCAGCATAATTCACAATTGCAAAGATGTGGAACCAACCTAAGTGCCTGTCAACTAATGAGTGGATAAAGAAAATGTGATACACACACACACACACACACACACACACACCATGGAATACTACCCAGCCATAAAAAGGAGTGAAATAATGTCTTTTGCAGTAACTTGGATGGAGCTGGAGGCCATTATTCTAAGTGAAGTAACTCAGGAGTGGAAAACCAAAAACCGTATGTTCTCACTTAAGTGTGAGCTAAGCTATGAGTACACAAAGGTATACAGAGTGATATAATGGACTTTAGAGACTTAGAAGGCGGAGGGTGGGAAGGGACCTAGGGTTAAAAAACTACTTATTAAGTAAAATGTACGCAACTCAGGTGATGGGTGCACTAAAATCTCAGCTTTCACCACTATATAATTCATCTATGTAACAAAAACCCACTTGTAACCCAAAAGCTATTGAAATAAGAATCTTTTTAATAAAGAAAATGCCACACAAAAATAATATTGGTTTTCTTCTAATCCTGAAGGCCAATATAAAAGGTAACAAAAGCCTGAGCTCTTTAATTAATGGGTACAAGTTAAGACAGAATCACATCAGGATTTGAAGTTGAACCTGAGCTCAAATCCTGTTCCCATCACTGCTAGCTCTCTGAGGCTTTCCTCTCAACTACAAAGTGGAGATATAATACTAAACAAGCTTACTGGGTTGCTTAACTAATATCTAGAACATACTTAACAGTGTTTCTATTAATGCGAGAACTAACTGTAAGCACTTAGTAAAGAGTAGTCATTATTAAGCAATGATAAATAAAAGCATTTGTATAATTCTTTTTTTAGCTTTTGAAAGCCTTGCACCTAGATTTTCTCATCTAATATTCATTAAAACCCTGAAAGGCCGATCATATCCCCACTTTAGAGATGGGGACACCAAAAAACAAAGAGATGGGAACACCTAGATATATCAGAGATCCTAGTTTTTATTTTATTTATTTATTTATTTATTTTTTTTTTTTGAGACAGAGTGTCGCTCTGTTGCCCAAGCTGGAGTACAGTGACGCAACCTCGGTTCACTGCAAGCTCCGCCTCCCGGGTTCACGCCATTCTGCCTCAGCCTCCCGAGTGAGTAGCTGGGACCACAGGCGTCCGCCACCGCGCCCGGCTAATTTTTTTGTGTTTTTTTAGTAGAGACGGGGTTTCACCATGTTAGCCAGGATGGTCTCGATCTCCTGACCTCGTGATCCGCCCGCCTCGGCCTCCCATAGTGCTTGGATTACAGGCGTGAGCCACCGCGCCCGGCCTGATCCTAGCTTTTTGTAGGTGACTGACCTAGGTGGTACAAGATGTCCTGTACTTGTTCATTTATTCACACATACAACACATATTTATTGACTTCTTACCATAAACTGTTTAAGGAGCCTGGTGGGGATACCGCATAAACAAACAAGCAAAAATAGACAAAAATCTTTGTCTAGAAATATATAAATATAGAACATTTTATAGAATATATGACATAGAAAACAGAAAAAAATAAATATGAAAATAGCCTAATTTTCAGGGTTTTCCTTTTTTTACATACCCTTCATGGTTAACGGTTAGTGGTTAATGGGGATTACCCATTAACTCCCACCCTCCTTCCCAGCTCTCTCCCAAGACTTAGTTTCAGGAACTAGAAAATTCTGATTCAGCTTGGGTGCAATGGCCGCTCAAAGGGCGAGGCTTATTCGAAGCCTCAAATTCAGAAAACCCAGCCAGACCTTGGAAGTTAAGAAGGTGGAAGGCAGATCGCGGAACCAGTGTTCTGATAGTTGTGGTTCTCTGAGGGAAGCCAATTCTGGGGACCGGTAGTGGAAAGCTCTTGCGCTGTTTCCGGCCACCTCAGCGGGAAGCGGAGACGCAAGCAGCTGGATCTCCGGTAACTGAGACATAGGGTATAACTGTTGTCGCGGCGGAGGAAGTGAGGACGGCGCCAAGGGCCTTCCGGGCCAGTGTTGGATCCCTGTAGTTTGTGAAGATGGTGTTGCTAACAATGATCGCCCGAGTGGCGGACGGGCTCCCGCTGGCCGCCTCGATGCAGGAGGACGAACAGGTGAGCTGCTTACTCACGACCCGCGACCCCAAGTCTCTGTCAGCGCGCTTTGCCCTCAGCATCGGATTCCTTCCTAGGACCGGGAGACCTTTGTGACTTCCCGGGCACTCCCGACCTCTCTGAAGTGCGCTTTTATCTTTTGGTGTAGGAGAGACTACCGGCGAAGAGGAAATCTTTCCTGAAGGAGGAGTTAAGTTTTTTGTGTTAGCTGTTTCTCTTTAGAAAAACGCTCTGGAGAAGTGGTAGCTTTGGTTGATTGTGATCACCCAGTGTTCTTTGACTCTTTAGGGACTTTGTTAAAATTCAGGATTTCTAATTTTCTGCTGCTAATAGGACTGCTGATGGATAAATCCTGGGAAAAAATCAGCCAAGTTCTTCAAGTCTATAACGTGGCACCTGATCCTTGACCTAGCTTGCTGACATCTTTTGAAAGTGGGTGAGGTAATATTGCCACATAAAAGCACCTGTTAAATTTCAGTACATCACATTCTTTCAGGATTATCCCCAGTTCCCACCTTCTCCAATACGCCGTACCACATTCCTGCAATACATTGTAACTTATTTTTTTCTTTGTCTTTCAATAACTTGAGTTTCCTAGCGGGCAAACGACGGGTCTTAATCATCTCTTTGTTATCCATACCTTTTACAATAGCTGCTTTATGCTAGTAGGTGCTCAAAAGTATACTGAATTGATTAAAAACAGCACTAACTCCAGATGTCTTAAAAGAAAGATGTTTTGTGTTTTAGAAACACAGTGGAAATTTCTGAAGTAAGACAAGTTTCTGGAGCAAGCTTGGGAGGTTCTGAAGACAAAGCTGAGAATGGAATTTATATAATTTGTTTAAAGTGATCAATTTTATTTTACTTTTCCATACAGTCTAAGTAAAACCTTGAGCCTTAAAAAAAGATGAGATATTGAAAAAATAGTTTGCACATTTCTTCTGTTGGACTTTTCATTCATATATTAATGCAAAAAATTTTTACTGAGCACATCAAATGTGCCAGGCATAGTGTTAATGCAGGGAGTTAGAGTACACAGTCTCTACCTTTGTGGAGCTTACAGTCTAGTGGAAAAATCAGATAACCAACAAACTATTAAAATGTAGTTTAACTGCTAAGGAGAAGGAAGAGGGTTTTGTGCTTGAACATGGAAAATATATCTAAGTTGGTTTTAGGAAATCAGGAAAGTCTTCCCAGAAGGTATGACACTAAGGTAACAGTAGGATCCAGTAGTAAGGAACTATTATTCTATTTGGTTATATGCCTTTTTAGGTTTGATTTGGAAATATAGTTACTTTCACTTTTAGGAGAGTGGTGATACAGATAATAAAGTTGCAGGTCATGCTAAGTGAAATATATTCTATTCATTACATAAAAACAAAGTCTAATCTTTGAAATAAACCGTGAACAATTTAACATACCCCGATTTGCTAATGTGAAATGTTTTTCAGGAATACTCTAGGACCATCCTGCAGAAGGAGTGTAATTGTTCAAATGAACCTAGGAATATGATTTGAACAAAGTAGATAGTGCAGGGGAATATCCTTGAAGGATGTGTAGTTTGACTAAAAAATAGTTTTCCTACAGTGGGTGGCTGTGTGTTGGGGGTAGGGGGGATGGAATCTGGTCAATTTTTAAATTATTGCATTGAATTCCAGTGTTAGCAAAGAATACAAAGTGAACTTGAAAGTCTACTTAATATTAGTGGCCCCTACTCTCTGCCATGATACTTTATTGAAAAATTAATTGATTTATTGTTTTTTAATTATAAATTTGGTATTGGTTTCATATTGGTTTATCAAGATGGGATGCTTTGTTTAATTGACAAGGAAAGAAATTTTACACACAAATATTTTTGTGATTGTAGTGCCATAGTATTTTCCTTTAGGAATTTTGACTTTGAATAATAAAGTTTGCCTAAACTTTTAATGTCTGTAAAGATCTGAATCTTAGGCTTACTTTTACTATTTTAATAGTATACAGAACATTTATAAAAGCGCCTACTACATACCAAACACTGTGCTAAGCCTATTAAGTTCATTTTTTTATTTAATCCTCATACTACCATATTAGAACAGGTACTATTAAAATCTCCAATAATAGATAAGGAAGCTCTGAGGCTTAGAGAGGATAGATCACTTGCCTAAATTCACAGCTAATGAGTGGCATAATGAAATTTTTCATCAGGGTTTTTCCCCTTGGCACTGTTGACATTTGGGGATGGATAATTATTTGTTCTTGGGGACTGTTCTGTATATTGTGTAGGAGGTCCAGCAATATTCCTGGCCTCTACCCTCTAGATGCCAGTAGTACCACTACCCTTCCCCACTTTGTTTGTTTGTATGACGACAAAAATATTTCTAGACATTGCTAAATGTCTCATGGGGGCAAAATCACCCCAATTGAGACCCAGTGGTTTTTATTAAGTTTTTGTCGACTCAGACAAAAACTTAATAACCACTGTACTTTAGTGCCTAACCACTGTACTTTACTGCCTTGTTCTAAGGCCTTTTAATGATGTCTTACCTCTTAGGAGTCCAGGAATAACTTTTTAATAAACAGATATCTCAACCAAACAGTTTTATATTTAATCACCTTAATTGTCCAGGCCAGATAATTCAATGTATTTTCATTTTTGTATGTTTTTGTTTTCTTATCAGTGTACTTTCAGTATTTACACTGATAATAGATATCATATTTTAGGTATTTACTAGGTGCCTGTACAAGCTGCCATATTACCGAAGATGGACAGTTATTCAGATAATACAATAGAGAGTAAAATTTACAAAATAATGTAGACAGAGTATTTTATACAGGGTGTTTCCTCTGTGTTTAACTGAAAATTTAGACTTAGGGCAGGAAGAGAGATGAGCTTTTCTTCTCAAATGTGGACTCCCTAACTGATACCCTGTTTATCTTTTTTCCTCATTCCTTTTATGGCATGTTTCTCCTTTTAGGATTTTTGCAATTTCTTTATCTACCTTTCTGTTCTGCCTCAAAATTATTGTATTTTCTTTCATTTTCCTCTGGCATCGTGAAGGGCAGTCCAGACTTGAAGAAAGTGTTAGATCTCACCAAATAGGCAGCAGGAAGCTCCAAGAAAGCAGATAGATAACATGTTATACAGTTAAATTGTCTCACGCTCCCAATCACTGAGGGTTGATTAATCCACTTACTGTAACTGCTTTTAGAGGAAAGTGGTTGGTTCTTGGTGCTGCTGGTCTTTGACCAGCTGAGTTCAGTGGGTATTGATACCCACTGAACTCAGCTATGAAAATGATAAAGAGCTATGAAGGCAAAAGTTGTTATTGATACAACTAGTTGTTCAGCAGTCTTAGGTGACAGCAACGAAAAGTATTGTGGTTGTGTGTCTAGTTACTACCTTCTATCTTTTGTAATATATAGATCCAAATCCTACATTTGCTGTTGGATAACCTCAAATTTGTTTCACAGTTTTTCCAGTTATTCTGATCCACTGCATTATTGGATTACTAATAGATATCTCATAATTATATCATATACAAATTTCATTAATCTTTTCTAGATGAAGTAGAAAACACAATGAGGATATCTAAATATTTTTAGGTGGACTGGCTAACTGTGGGCCCTTTGTGACTTTGATCTTGAAAGCAAACTAAAGGTCAGTATGTAAAACAGTGGTTAGGTTGTTTTGTGAGATCTAGATCAGAGCTGCCCCATGGTTTCTTGAGCATTTCCAATGAGTTAGAATTACATAGTAAGACTTCACCTAAAAGGTGGATCTACTATTGAAACAATTTCAATTATAGAGTTAGGGTAGCATAATGCTTAGGAGTAGGGGCTCCAGGGCCAGATTGCCTGCATTCAGATCCTAGTTCCTCCCTTTTTAGCTTAGAGGCTAAAAAGTTTGACTTCTCAAGTAAAAAATTGACATAATAATTCTAATCACCTCATGAAGAATAAACGAGTTAAATAATGTAAAGTGTTCAGAACAGTGGCTGGCAGAAAGTGAACACTTAATAATTTCATTTGATCATTTCTGAAGAATCTTTTCTAATTCCATCTTGCCTTTCTTTTTTTTTTTTTTGAGATGGAGTCTCACTCTGTTGCCCAGGCTAGAGTGCAGTGGTGTGATCTCAGCTTACTGCAACCTCCGGTCCCCAGGTTCAAACGATTCTCCTGCTTCAGCCTCCCGAGTAGCTGGGATTACAGGCACCTGCAACCCTACCCGGCTAATTTTTGTATTTTTAGTTGAGATGGGGTTTCAGCATCTTGGCCAGTCTGATCTTGAACTCCTGACCTCATGATCCACCTGCCTTGGCCTCGCAAAGTACTGGGATTACAGGCGTGAACCCCCATACCCAGCCTCATCTTGCCTTTCTTAAAGGTTCACAGATCAGAATTGCACATAATCGATACACTGGATGCAAATATGTAATGAATGAATGATTTTTCACATTACAAAATTAATTTGTGCATATTGTAGAAAGTTCAGTAAATACATAAAAGCAAAATGACCAAAATGTTAACAGTGTTTATTAACTATAATCTGTACTCAAATTATATCCATTTTGGTGGATGACCTTAAACATATGTATGTGTGTATAACATTAAATAATAGGTAATACCGTAAGACTGTTTCACCTAATTTTTTCCACTTAACAGTGTTTAATGAATATTTTCTCATATCATTAAACTCTATACAGCATTGTTTTAATGGCTGCATAGTATTCCATTGTATGAATATGCCAGAAAGATTATTATTTAACCATGAAGATTGTGCTAGCATTGTGTTCTCGAGGATGGTAATGCTAACTGAACCAGCATGGTAAGGTGTTGGTTGGCATACCATAATCCCTATAAATACATCCCCAGTGTTGTATATTGGCAGTCTTTACATTGCTGTTTGCAAATTCCTGAAATTGCAGAATGCTTTTGGCCAGTTTCTTATAGTTGATACAGTTGTTAGTCTTTTTCTCAGGTTACAGTAATGTTTACAGTGCCTCTTGTAAAGTCAAAGGATTTGTACCAATCTGAGTGGCAATTTTTTCCATGTTTCTTCAACTAGTCCTTTTAAGATTCTCACCTGCCTTTAGCAAAGAACATATATTTAACACCTGTGGTTGCAGTTATGTAAAAAATACCGATATCACAGCCCCACCTCCGAGATGCTGACTTAATTGGTTTGGTGGTGGAGACTGGGCATAAGTAGTTTTGTTTTTGAGATTTCCCCAAATGATTCTATTGTGAAGCCAAGGTTGAAAATCACCGATCTATGTTGATATTATTTCTTGGCACTTGAGCCAAGAAATAATAAAAATATTTCTTTTTTTTATTAAAGAATTTTAAATTAAATTAAATTTAATAAATTAATTTTATTAAATTAAAGAAATTTGCATGCTTTTTATCTACTCTTGTGGGTTCAGATCTCTTCAGAATGGCACTGGGGAAACAAAAAGATTGGTAAGTACCATTCAAATTTAGGAAAATAGAATATTGTGCACTAGTTCTTATTGGCTAAAAGCATATGACAGTATTCACTCTTACTGGCTGGCCATATATTAGTAGTACTGTTTAATATGATAATTTTGATATAATTATTATAAAGTACTGTTTAATATATAAAACTGTACATACATACAGACATACATATGTTAATATAGAACTATTTCTCAAATATATAACAAATATATGTCAATAAAACAAATAATTGCCATAACAGTGGTATTAAACAAGATAAATCTACAAACTAATACCTCAACTGGACTCTGCCTATCTCCCCTGGTTCACCTCATGCTTATTCACCTTCTTATTCTTATTGAAATTTCCAGTTCACCATTTTTACATATAGCTTAGAATCTTATTATCCTGTAATTGTACATTTGCTGATCTGCCACTTTATCATTTTATTGTTGCTTCCTTGTTTTTATTATCAGCTTAGCAGTACACTATCTACAATTTTAAGATATCACTTTGTACTTTATCAAAGTTAGACCTCAGATCCTGGGAGACCCTAGCATAAATACTTTTCTACTTAAATATTTAGTTATTAAACATCTGCCAAAGGGAGGCTATTCTTTCTATGTAAAATAAATAATTCCAAAATAGGATTATTTCTTTGCATCACATGGCAGTGTCCTAGTCTGGTTTACTATACAAAATACCATAAATTGGGTGGCTTATAAATGACAGAAATTGATTTTTCTAGTTCTGCAAGGTGAAGATCAAGCACCAGCAGATTTGGTGACTATTGAGGGCCTATTCCTGGTTCATAGATGTCACCTTCTGGCTGTTTCCTCACATGGTGGATGGAGCAAGCTAGCCCTCTGGGGTCTCTTTTATAAAGGTACTAATCACATTCATGAGGGCTCTACCCTCATGACTTAATCACCTCCCAAAGGTCCCACTTCTTAATACCATCACTTTGGGGGGTTAGGATTTCAACATGAATTTTGTGGGGGATACCAGCAAACATTCAGACTATAGCTGGGTAGCTGGCAGAAAGCTCCCCTACCCCACATGTGGATGGAAAAACAATGTCTATTTGCTTCCCATTCTTCAGGCACTTCCTTTCCCTGTTGGATCTAGTAGATTGGAGATGCATGGTTTTCTTCTTTTGAAATGACACTGCTGGTTTTTCCAGTAGATTTGCCCCCTCTTTTTAACAAAAATAATTGTAAAAGCAGTTAGAAATTGTTCAGGAAAATATTACCTGTAATTATAACATGTGAATGCTATTATTTTCATTTTTGTCTGCATATATCCCTCGATATTCAAACTTTTGCTGTCCAAACTTGGGAACCAAATAGATTTCTTCAGTAAAGGGTATCTGACATCCTAATCTTTGTCTCTACCCTTGGTCATTTTTATGTAATTGCAGTCAAAGTGTTCGTAATAATTTGCAGTCACTAGTACACACATTTAGTTTTGTTTAAATGCTAAAAACTGTAACACTTGTGGAAGGTTCTGCTGGATATTCCAACATAAAAATGAAATTCACCAATCTTGTTCCTAGGATATTCCCCTGAGTATAGCACATGCTGTGTAGTTCTGTGCCAATAACTGCAAATGAAATGGGTTAGGAGGAGAGTACTGTCCTAATAGTGGAAAGAACACTGGATTGAAAGTTAAGAGTGCTTAAGTGTATTTGAGGTATATGCTTTTGCTTCTTAGCAAATAACTAATGCGATCATCTTGAAGAAGTAGGGGTTAGGTCTTCCTCTGTACTCTGAAAGTAGGTTGTCTTTCCTCCGTTAAAATGAATCTTACTTACCTGTAAATGAAGGACCTCATTCAGAGTGTCCTCATAATATGATGCTTCTCACTAATTGATACAGCATTTTGTGGAAAATTCTTAAATGAAGATGTCTTCTTTCAGTCTGGCCGGGACCTTCAACAATATCAGAGTCAGGCTAAGCAACTCTTTCGAAAGTTGAATGAACAGTCCCCTACCAGATGTACCTTGGAAGCAGGAGCCATGACTTTTCAGTGAGTGTAATCTTGATTTCTTTATGATCATTTAAGTGAAATACAGTAACAGAATGCCTGATAAAAAATAATAATTTTTAAAAAGTAAAGATTACTTAAAAATGTTGTCTTTTGGGAGGAGCAACTTCTCTGGCTCTAATTCTACAAAATGGACATCTTGTTGGTTTTTTCAGCATGCTTACAGTAATTTAACCTGTTAACATGTGTCTATGCTGTGCCCATCATGCAATAATAGATAACTTCTTGCTTTAGGACTGTCTTGGAGCCAGATATGTGTAGGTTAGTACCCTTGCTCAAACATTTCCTAACAGTGTAACTTTGAACAGCTCACATAACTTCTCTAAGCCTCAGTTTCCTCTATAAAGTAGTGAAAATAAACATAGGAGGTTTGAGAGGATTGTGAGGGAATCTGTGTGTATTACTTAGCATCTTGTCTGACACACATGGGAAGAGTCAATAATTATTAGTTATTATTATTTTGAAAAAAGAAAATTATAAAAGATAAGAGCATCTTAATCAGTGGTTATAAATGATACAGCTGATAGAGGACTCAAAGGAACATTATTGGATTTTAAATTATCTACAAATAATTGGTATTTAATGTTTAATACATGCCAAGTTTGAAGCTGACAAAATAGGAAGGATTAAAAAGGAAAAGAGTACAAGAGCATCAGAGGAAAATAAAAACGGATTAGTTAAATAATCTTTGCCATTTTAGGGACTTAGATAGTAAGATAACTTAGGCCAGGGAGGAAGCTGCTATGTTTACTTTTAAAAAACAAAACAAAAATTCTCTACCTATAAAAGACAAGTAAAAAGTACATCAAAACAAAAATAAAACCCTAGGCAATTGGCTAAGAAAATGTTGGACATTATGTTTTATGATGTATTAATTTTTATAATATCTGAAATATTTTCTAGAACTCTAATTTTCAACACCAAAAATAGTCACTCACTTAATATCTAGTATCCTCATTTTCACCATGGTTTAGAGAACCAAGACCTAGGAAAGTTCTCATGGAATTGAGAAGAGATTTTCTTCTGCCTGATTCCTTTAGGACATTCATAATCTCATATCATCCTTTATTTCCATCCAAGAGCTATTAAGGGTTTATTCTTTGCCAGACCTTATATTGAGTCCTGCATTTAATGTCCATACCTTTTAACACTGTTCTCTTAGTAGAGAGAGAGACATATACTCAAACAAGTATACTATAATATCTTAATTGAAAAGATGTTGTAAATTAGATTTAAATGAAATGTTTTGGGAACAGAGAGAAGGAAGGAACAAATTCCCATTTGTAGGGGGTAAGTTTGAAGAAACGGGACAGAGGAGGGGAGTATATATAAAGAAGTTTCACAGAAAAAATTATGGTAGAATTGAACATATGAAAATGAACAGGATTTCTCCAGGTATTTAAAAGAGCATTAACGGTTAGAAAAAACAATATAAGCAGAAGTCCACAAATATGTAAAGAACCTAGCATGTTGGAGAACAGTCCGCCATTTGGTTTATTAAAATATATGATAGAATGTTGCTTACACTTGTTTTGAAAGGCTGTAAATATAATACCATGGAGTATGATTTTATTTTGTAGGTATTAGGGAACCCTTAGAGTTTGTAAGCAGGGTAATATGGTCATCTGTAGTCTCTGGGAATAAAACTGATGGTATAGAAGATGGTGTAGACTAAAAGCAAAGAGACCAGTTAACTCAGGTGCCCAAGCAAGGAATAAGACAGCTGTATTATTAATATTATTTTAAGGGGCCTGAGAGATCATATAATAGTCTTTATCCTTTATGGAGCCCTAGGATGCCTCAGGAGCCACATAGAAAGGGCAAGGATGGGAGTATATATAATGCTTTGGGCCCCTAAACTCCTCCTTATGTTTTAAATTTTTCCCTTTTATTTTCAGTTGACATGTAATAATTATACATATTTATGGGATACAGAGTGATATTTCAATACATGTATACAATGTGTAATCAAATCAGAGTAATTAGCATATTCATCACCTCAAACATTTATCATTTCTTTGTGTTGTGAACATTCAAAATCTTGTAGCTTTTTGAAAATACGTGGTAAGTTATAGCTAGCCATATTCACCCTACAGTTCTGCAGAACACCAGAACTCATTCTTCCTATCCAGTTGTAATTTTTTATCCATTAACTTGCCTCTGCCCATCCTCCCCTTCTCTCTACCTTTCCCTACTTCTAATACCCACAATTCTACTCTCTACTTCCATGAGCTCAAAAATTTTTTTTGGCTCCTACATATGAATGAGAACATGCCATATTTATCTTTCTGTGCATGACTGATTTTATTTAACTTAATGTCCTCCAGATTTATCCATGTTGCTGCTAATGATAGAAATTCATTCTTTTTTATGGCTGAATAGTATTCCATGGTGTGTGTGTGTGTGTGTGTGTGTGTGTGTGTGTAAAAAACACTTTTAAAATCCATTATTCTCTTGATGGACATTTCTCTTGATTATCTATCCATAGATATTATGAATGGTGCTGCCGTAAACATGGGGGTACAGATAAGTTTTTAACATAATGAGTTTTTTTCCTTTGGAGAAATACCCAGCAGTGGGATTGCTAGATTGTATGGTAGTTCTGTTTTTAGTTTTTTGAGAAACCTCCATACTGTTTTCTATAGTGTATAAAAGTTCTCTTTTCTCTTCATCCTCAACAGCATTTATTGACTTTTGTCTTTTTAATAGACATTTTAACTGGGGTGAAATAATATGTCGTTGTGGTTTTTATTTACATTTACCTGAAGATTAGTGATGTTGAGCATTTTTTCATATACTTGGCCATTCGCATGTCTTTTGAGAAATGTCAATTCTGTTCCTTGCCTACTTTTTAATTGAATTATTTTTGGTTTTGCTGTTGAGTTGTTTGAGTTCCTCGTATGTTCTGGATATTAGTTCCTCATCAGATGAATGAAACTAGATCCCTATCTCATCATATACAAAAATCAACTTAAAGTAGATTAAAGACTTAAGCATAAGACCCTAAACTATAAAACTACTAGAAGAAAACATAGGGGAAATGTTTCAGGACATGAACCTGGGCGAAGACTTTATGGCAAAGACTTCAAAGCACAGGCAACAGAAAAGAAAGTAGACAAATGGGACTGTATTAAACTAAAAGCTTCTGCACAGCAAAGGAAACAACACAGTGAAGAGACAACTTGCACAATGGGAGAAAATATTTGCAAACTCCTACTTAAACTAAAGAACCTCTGATTTTATCTGATATATACATTGGCCTTCTGAATATGTTTTGCTTGTTATATATACATATTCCATATATAAATATATATATTTGCATGTGTGTGTATGTATACTATGGCTAAAAAGAAGTTGGAAAACCACTTAGTAGCCTAACATTTTTCTAAGAATTTCTCAGATGTGTAATCATACAGCCCCTTCCAGAGTGCATGGGCGCTCATCATCACAAAAGAAAGTCAGTTCCATTGTTGATAAGTTTCCAGTTGATTACAGAGTTCTCCTGGACTGTAAATTAAGGAGTCTTATTAGTCTTGTACCCAGTAAACATTATGTCATTAACCTTACATTTCTATCCACAGAAATTTCCAGTTACAGTGTTTTCCTTTGTGGCTGGAAAGAGTTTAAATATGTGTATGCTAGTTTACCATATAGAATCAAAGGGTGGATGGAGTCACAACTCTGAATTTTTCAAGAAAAAGTCTTAAGTATTAAGCAAAAAACAACCCCATTTAAAAAATGGACAAAAGACATGAGCAGATATTTCTCAAAACATACTAGAGGCTAGCAAACTAATGAAAAAATGCACATCACTAATTATTGGAGAAATGCAAATCAAAACCACAATAAGATACCATCTCACAACAGTCACAGGGCTATTATTAAAAAGTCAAAAAACAACAGATGCTGATGAGGCTGTGGAGAAAAAGGAATTGCTTATACACTGTTCGTGGGAATGTAAATTCAGCCACTGTGGAAAGCAGTTTAGAGATTTTTCAAAGAACTTAAAACAGAACTACCATTAGACCCAGCAAACCCATTAATGGGTTTATATCCAAAAGGAAACAAATCTTTCTACCAAAAATCATGCACTTGCATATTCATTGCAGCACTATTCACAATAGCAAAGATATCAACCTAGGTACATGTTAGTGGTGGATTGGATAAAGAAAATGTAGTATATATACAGTATGGAATACTATGCAGTCATAAAAAGAAATGAAATCATGTCCTTTGCAGCAACATGGATGGAGCTGGAAGTCATTACCTAAGTGAATTAATGCAGGAACAGAAAACTAAATACTGTATATTCTCATTTATAAGTTTATAAGCTAAACATTGGGCACTCATGGACATAAATATACTGAGGACTTACTAGAAGAGGAGGGAAGGAGGGGGCAGGGGTTGAAAAACTATTAGGTAGTATGCTTAGTACTTGGGTGACGGGATTGTTTGTACCCCAAACCTCGGCATTATGCAATATACCCAGGTAACAAACCCGCACATATACATCCTCAAGCTAAAATAAAAGTTTAAAATGTTAGTTGAAGAATTGTGTAATGGGCTGGGTCCAGTGGCTTACACCTGTAATCTCAGCACTTTGGGAGACTGAATTGGGTGGATCGATTGAGGTCACGAGTTTCAGACCAGCCTGGCCAAAATGGTGAAACCCCATCTCTACTAAAAATACAAAAATTAGCTGGGTGTGGTGGTGGGTGTCTGTAATCCCAGCTATTTGTGAAGCTGAGGTGTGAGAATCACCTGAACCTGGGAGGTGGAGATTGCTGTAACTGAGATCATGCCACTGCATTCCAGCCTGGGTAATCTGGGTGATGGAAAGAGCCCTGTCTCCAAAAAAAAAAAAAAAAAAAAAAAAGAGAATCTAATGGATGAAAAATTATAATAAATATGTCTAAATACTCCTTTTAGAATATACGGCTAATAGGCTGGGTGCAGTGGCTCACGCCTGTAATCCCAGCACTTTGGGAGGCTGAGGCGGGCGGATCACGAGGTCAAGATATCAAGACCATCCTGGCCAACCAACGTGGTGAAACCCCGTCTCTACTAAAAATACAAAAATTAGCTGGGCATAGTGGCGCACGCCTGTAGTCCCAGCTGCTCGGGAGGCTGAGGCAGGAGAATGGCTTGAACCCGGGAGGCGGAGGTTGCAGTGAGCCGAGATAATGCCACTGCACTCCAGCCCAGGGGACAGAGCGAGACTCCGTCTCAAAAAAAAAAAGAAAAAAAAAAGAATATACATCTAATAATGGGAAGATGTTTGCTTTCTGATTCCAAGGATTTGCGGTTTTAAATTGACTCTCGTTTAGCCAGCCTCAAAGTATTTAGGCTAGATTTTTTAAAAAGTTTGCATGGTACAGAGATTCTGCTTTAAACTGTTGTCAGTGCTATTACTTTACAGATAACTTTGTCTTGCTTTTTATGTCTCACCAGCTACATTATTGAGCAGGGGGTGTGTTATTTGGTTTTATGTGAAGCTGCCTTCCCTAAGAAGTTGGCTTTTGCCTACCTAGAAGATTTGCACTCAGAATTTGATGAACAGCATGGAAAGAAGGTGCCCACTGTGTCCCGACCCTATTCCTTTATTGAATTTGGTAAGTTTTTGCCCCTCACTTCTCTCTATCAAGGGAGCAAACAATATGGAGAAGCTATTTGTTACACTGATATAATATTTATACATTTTTTCTGATGTTTACTTGCTGAAGTTTTAGCTTCTGCATCCTTTTCCATTCCACTTCTTTTTGTCTTTTTGAGTGACTAAGGCTTTGTTCTGAAAAGTAATTTTCTCTAGTCTTTTGATCTTTCCCCCATAGAAATTGTTGCCTTTTGCCCTTTCTGTTATTTGGTTTGATTCTTCTTTAGAGTCACATGTGACAGGAACTGTGCCTAAAGATCTACTTGATTGGCATATAATGGCTGAGTTCTTCTTTACCCCAGTCCACAGACTCACACTCACAATAAGGCTCATTTTATGGAGATCAGAATTGGGAAATCAGAAAGAATGATGTTTTGTTTCTTTTAGTAGAATAAGATCCTCTAATTAAAAAAACAAAACATAACAAAGAAATAGAAGATACCTGGTACTCATGGTATTGGGGTATAATATTTACTACATTCAGGAATAGTGAGCATAGGTGTCTGTATTTGTGCAAGAATTATAGAAAGACTAATTACTAATCAGACCTGGTAAAGTATCTGATGGTAAGGGATCAAAGGAAATGTCCTAAGTACAGTAAGTACAGGGAGTGAGAACAAGTAGGATCAGGCTATATCGCTGAAATTTTTAGTTAAAAGAGAAATTGGTTTTACTGGCTTAGAATTTTTGAAGTGTTTCAAGTTTGCTAGATAAATGGGTCATCTTGCTTTGGAAAAACACTCTAGTGTTTCATAACTATATACTCTCCAAGTGCTGCTTTATATAATGTCCAGTTTTTCAAATTTTATTTTTATAGACAGTAATACTCCCATAAACCTCCCTCAAAAATAAGACAAATGTATCAGGGTCATACAGGAAACAGATGGCACACCCAAATTAGCTTAAGGGATTATATACAAAGATATGACTAGGCTGTAGGAGAATTACAAGGTACAGTAACCTCTGACCAGTAGCATACTGGTTGTTACCATCCCTAGGCCTGAATGTATAAGGGGGAGGAGCAGTTTCTGAAACTGAAAAGGAGAAAATTTCTAGAGAAGGCCAACTTGAGAGGAGCGTAACTTTTGGTAGAGGGATACTTCCAGAAGAAGGTTATTTCCTTCTCTGAAAGAAGCCAGGGGAATAAATACCCGGACATCACTCACTGTCTGTTCTCCTTCTTCCCTACTGTTGGGGCTTCTTCATTGCCTGAACCTAACTGGCACAGAGCAAGGAGTCTTGAGGCGCTTCATCCAAGTCAGCTTCCCAGTGCAGAAAGCAAGGTGCAGGAGGGCAGAGAGGAGATCTAAAGAGGCAAATGAAAGGGGTACAGCACACTTAAATTAAGATTTTTGCCAAAAGTTGAAAATATCTTTAATAATAAGTCATTCTTCCTATAGTTTTGAGAAATACTGATATGAGCAAAAGATGGATGAGACTTCAGTTTTTATTTATTTATTTATTTACTTAGAGACAGAGTCTCGCTCTATTGCCCAGGCTGGGGTGCAGTGGCATGATTTTGGCTAACTGCAACCTCTGCCTCCTAGGTTCAAGTGATTCTTGTGCCTCAGCCTCCTGAATAGCTGGGACTAGAGGTGCACGCTGCCATGACCAGCTAGCTAATTTCGGTATTTTTGGTAGAGATGGGAGTTTTGCCTTGTTGGCCAGGCTGGTCTCGAATTCCTGGCCTCAAGTGATCCACCCATCTTGGCCTCCCAAAATGCTGGGATTTATACGTGTGAGACACAGTGCCTGGCCGAGACTTCAGTTCAGTTTTGTATTGGTATTTTGGAAAACTCCCTATTACATATTTGCTTTACCTGAGGTTTAAGAATGGAATGAAACTGGGAATGTATATTAGAGAAAAGGTAAAGTTTCTCAGCTTTTTAATGATCATGAACCCTTTTGCCATGTTAGGCTGTAATAATGCTAGAGTGTTACCAGCATCCTTTTAAGGAATGTGTAGAGGTAAGTAACACTTAGCCTAAGGGTCCTCAGAATACTGTTTGAAAATTTCTGTTTTCAGGAAAGGCTTACTATAGTGGGTCTTAATTTCTCTAAGGATTCTGATAGCAGCCTTAGATAGCAAATACTTCTAATTCAAAGGTATTCAAAGGACATTTCTCCTGAATGGTCGTCTAATTATACCTTTACATCTTACAAATGAAATAATCAAAGCCTAGATTTTGATATTCAACCAAGAGTTTGGTTAACCATGGACAGTGGCAAATCCAGGAATAAACTCAGAACTGTTTTGGTTTTTTTTTTTTTGTTTTTGAGACAGAGTCTTGCTCTGTCACCCAGGCTAAAGTGTGGTGGTGGTGTGATCTCGGCTCACTGCAACCTCTGCCTCCCAAGTTCAAGTGATTCTCCTGGCTCAGCCTCCTGAGTAGCTGGGATTATAGGCGTGTGCCGCCACGCCTGGCTAACTTTTTATATTTTTAGTAGAGACGGGGTTTCACTGTGTTAGCCAGGATGGTCTCGATTTCCTGACCTCATGATTCACCTGCCTTGGCCTCCCAAAGTGCTGGGATTACAGGTGTGAGCCACCGCGCCTGGCCAACTCAGAACTTTTAATCTCCTACCTCAGTACTTTGATGGCCATGAAAGAAATGGTCAGTTTTCTTCATCATTCTAGATACTTTCATTCAGAAAACCAAGAAGCTCTACATTGACAGTCGTGCTCGAAGAAATCTAGGCTCCATCAACACTGAATTGCAAGATGTGCAGAGGATCATGGTGGCCAATATTGAAGAAGTGTTACAACGAGGAGAAGCACTCTCAGGTATCTAAAAGCAATGAGTCTTATGAAGAAATGGTTCTCATTCCATAGACAAGGATAGCTTATTTTGCAGTGCCTTTTATGCTATTAGATTCTACCTAGAACTGTTAAGAATTTATCTCCCAGAAGTACATTACATTACAATGCTTCCAATATATTTTTTTTCCTAGCATGATTAGTTTTTGTTGAGTTGGAACAGTGTAAAGGACTCATCCATATTAGAAGCAATGATTATTTCTAAGATATTCACAAAATTAATTAAATTATATAACTTGTATAAATTAAGGGAAATGAATGAGAGAAAACTCAATGATGTATTGCAGTGGTTTTTTGAGTAGCCTCTTTGGGAGACTTTACTGCTGCCAGATCAATCTTTATAAAATGCCATTTTCATCAAGGCATTCCTCTGAAAAACTTTTAAATCTGGGACTACAAGATAAGATCCAGTCTGACTTATTTTTCCGTCAGTCAGCCATTGTTATTGAGAGCTTGTTATTTGTAAGGCATTGTGCTCTACATATGGAAAATAAGGAAGATGCAAATGTCTGTCATTCTCTAGTTCACAAACATTCTTCTGTAGCCACACCAGCTTCTTTACTATCCTTAGTGGTCTATTCTGCCTTATGCTGGACCTGTTCTGTAAGACCTCCATAAGAACTGTCTCTTTAAAGAACCTTTCTCTGATCCTTATAGCCTGTATCACATTAATCTCTTCTGTACTTTAAACTCCTAAAGCACTTAATAACATAATGGTTTTAGCACATATTACATGTATGTGTGTTTACCTAATTTACCTTAAATATATTTATTAAATACCTCTTACCATATTAAATATATATTTAATATATATTAAATATATTTCCATATAACATAAGTATATATTTCATATATTTATATTAAAGTAGGCAAACATATTTGGATAATTAAATATTTTTATATAATTTCGTATATTTTTTTGAGACAGAGTCTTGTTCTGTTGCCCAGGCTGGAGTGCAATGGCACGATCTTGGCTCACTGCAACCACCATCTCCTGGGTTCAAGCGATCTTCCCACCTTATCCTCCTGAGTACCTGGGGCTACAGGCATGTGCCACCACGCCTGGCTAATTTTTGTATTTTCTTAGTAGAGATGGGGTTTTGCCATGTTGTTCCGGCTGGTCACAAACTCCAGGGCTCAAGCAATCCACTCACTTCAGCTTCCCAAAGTGCTGGGATTACAGGCATGAGCCACAACACCCAGCCCTTTATATAATTTTAAAAGTGTAGGTAATTAGGTAAAATTAGGTTAAAAGTATATGTATATTTACCTGATATTTAAATATTACCTAAGTGTTTAATGTGGACATGTAAGCTCTTTAAAGATAGTGCTTATGTATTTTATATCTGTTTCACATACTCCTTATATATCCCCCACAGAAATGGTCACAAATAGGTTCCTTAATAAGTATTTTTGAATTCAGCCATGCTATATATTCATTAGTAAGTGAGTTTTCTTTTATTATGAACTACAAACTTTAACCTTTTTTTGAGTAGTGAGCAGTTATTCATTTACCTTCACACTCTTTAAATACCAAATTTTGAGTGAGTGAGTGTGTAAGGTTTTGTCATACAGACTTGCAATTCCTATATGGGATAAAGTAGACTAGCACAGGAATTTTTCTTGTATCACTCATGCAAGACTCTAAATTCCTTAAAGGCAGGGATCATGTATATTTTGATCACTGTTGTATCCTCAGCACTTCACATGGTGCCTGTCACATAAATATTTGTTAAATGACTTCTCCAAGCAATAGCTTTGTCTTTATGTTATCCTGTATTTCAAAACGTTCATATATAAATTCTCTCAACTATGACTTGTTTCATAGGGTCTAATAATTGTTCCTCTGCTGAGTTATTCTCAGCAGATTTAGATTCATTTAGCAAATGTTTATTGAGCACTAACTATATACCAGGCCCTGTTCTGGGCATTCAGGATATAGCAGCAAACACAATAATTTAAAATCCCTGTCCAGTGAAGTGTATATTCTTGTAGGCTCTGTAAAAAGATGCCCTGTGCATTGTCATGGTTGTTTCTCAGTCCCTGACTCTTCTTCCGTGACTAGATGTTTTTCTTACTCATGTGATCAGTTGCTAATTCAGACGTGGCTGTCATGCCTGTGTTATTAAGTAACGCCATGTTTCCCAATCAAAACCAGTCTCTATTAAGCAACTCCAAATATTCCAAAAGCATTCTTTAAGGAAGAAACAACCGGATTGCAAAATAGTTTTTTCTGAAATTTCAAGAAGTGAAAAGTTTGATCAGAATTTATTATGTCAAATGGAGAGTTTGTGTTTATTATTAAAATATGCCTTATATTTTAATATGGTCTAGCTTGTGTCTATCTGGCTATTTCTCTAAGTGTTTAGTTAACTGTTATAAGAAGATAACAACATTACAAATGTCCTTGGGGGTGAAAAAACTTGCCAGAAAATACTAAAAAGCTTAATTTACTTGCGTTTTTTTTTGTAGTACTTATTGTATTTTAGTTACAACTTTCCTATGTCTATTGAAATATAAATCCTGATAGCTTTAACTTCATAGTAGTCTCTACTATGTGGAGAATCTTAGAAATGTTAGCAGTCATCATTGAAGTATAGCTTAAGACTGTGTTTGGTTAATTGAATTTTCTGGTTATCTGAGTTTGTTTTACATGGGTTATCATTATCGTTTTTCAAAATATAAGAGAATATGATTCAGACCATTAGAAGATTATGAAGATAATAATTATTAACATGTAATAATTATTATAATTTATCATGTGCAGGCATTGTTGCTCACTTTACAGGCAATCTCATGTACATACAACTTTATGACATAGTTACTGTTATTATCCCCAATTATAGATGAAGAAACTAGGTTTTAAATAGGTTACATGACTTGACCAATGTCACATAACTTGTACAGGTGATATCTGAACCAAAGAGTCTGAGGCCAGAACCTGCACTTCTAACCACCTTACTATATAGCCTCAAAAATTCAGACATCATCTGATCAGCATCATCAGTTAATTAGTATATGCAATGTTAGCCTTAAAATAAAAATGATGATTTAAGATTCATGGTTGTTGCAGTGCTGCTCATTTTGGTTTGCCTTAATACTTTCGGTAAAATACTTCCAGGGACTAATTAATGTTTTCCTTTTTTCCTCTTTGACAGCATTGGATTCAAAGGCTAACAATTTGTCCAGTCTGTCCAAGAAATACCGCCAGGATGCGAAGTACTTGAACATGCGTTCCACTTATGCCAAACTTGCAGCAGTAGCTGTATTTTTCATCATGTTAATAGTGTATGTCCGATTCTGGTGGCTGTGAAATAATGAATACAGTCACTGGTAAGGGAGAACCTAGAACCCAGTAGGTGTATATTTTCAGGAAACTGAGCTCACAGAGATGTGTATTAGAATCCAAGTGGAACTTCTGCCTCTAAAGACCTTGCAAGAAAAGAGATGCCCTGAAAATGAAAGGTTGCACCTCATTTAATGAAGCTTAACCCTATGTAGAAAGTCTCTTTCGGGGGCAGAGGCTTTCTCTGGGTGCCAAGCCATATATATTAGGGAATAGTAGATTGTTAATTTCGTTTTTTCCCTCCCAGTGCATTTTAAAAACAGCACTGGCTGGGGCATTCTCATTCTCTGATGGAGCCATCAATGAGATTTAACTTAGTCAACCTGTGCTAGCAACATTCTGAAATTCCTTCAAAGAAGGCAGTCCTTTGGGAAGGTGTTTTTTTTTTTTTTTTTTTTTTTGACTCTAATCAACATTCCTTTTGTTGGTGACATTTGTGATTTTCAGTAATCTGAGTTTTTGATGGCCTTTTAAACAAGACTCCAGTATGTGAAGGTTAATTGCTGTGCTCCACAGATCTTGTCTATTGGCCCCTGTAGAAAGTTAACCTTTGTTGTTTTCCTTTTATAATTTGCTTATTGCACAATTGCTTTAGGGTAAGTGAATTATATTAAGATGCCTTGAAATTATAGCACTCCTTGATTAAGAAGCTAAAATGTTTCTCTCATTTACTCCTTAAACAAAAGACTTAAATTAGTTTGGGTCATTATTACTTTTATTTTGCAGCATTTGGTTTGTTATTAGCGTAAGAGCAAGTATAGGATATGGAGAGGCCCCTGGCTTCATGAGAACAAAGGCAGGCCCAGGTTATAATTACAGCTTTCTCCTGCCCCTTCTTTACTTTCTCTACCACAGTTTTCTCCACTGTTTGTTTTCCTCTTGCCACAATTTGCTAACATTTAAAAAATTTTCCTGCACCCAGTAGTTTCATATCCTGTAGACATCCTCTTAGGACATTCTCAAATTTCAAAATAAAAAATATTCATCTATGTAGTTAATTAAAGTTAAAGTTTTTGCAGATCAACTACTCAAACTACTAAATACATTTACCTGAGAAAAAGTCTCTGAGAGCACTTCATTCCTGTTTTAGTTCGTGTAAATTCTCTGAGAATGTTCTGGAGATAGATAACTCATTTACAGTGGTTTCTATTAACTAATTAAAGTACCCATGATTTTTTCCTTTTCTGCTCAGGGATGATGGAGATTTCCTTTTACCTTCTGAGGTAGAATTTTTTAATGGGGAAAATAGGCCTTTTAAATATTATTGCCAGGGTCTGCAATATAACTTAAAATTCCTGTACATACTGCAAATATTTCTTTAAATTGCACAGGAAAATGAGCGAACTTTTTATTTCTTAATATCTTTGGCAAAAAACTTTAACCAGTAAGCAATTTTATAACCCTGAGGGATCATCAAAGATACTATCCTGATTCCTGGTAAGGAAAAATATATTATTTCCTTATAACAAGGCAAGGAGAAATGCTATTTTATTCCTGATAATTTATATAACTAGAATAATTTTTTTCCTTTCTTTTATGGACCTAAATCTGCCAATTGGGAATTTTGTGCATGAAATATGAAGTTACTTTTTATAGATAATCAGTGCTTTTAAGTCCCTAAAAGGCTCCTGCTGAAGTAATGATGATGTTAATAATAAAAGCCTTTGAAAGGCTGAAAACCTACATAGTGGTACCATAGTATTTGGAGCTTCTATAGGAGTGGAGAGGGGCAGCTCATTGTTGAGAGTTGCATGCTGCAACCTAATGGTCAGCAATGAAATAAATACTTGTAGAATGTTCACTTCAGTGTGAAGTTTTGTTATCTAGTTAATTTATATACATATATCCTTTGTAGATACATTTCTATCTAATCTTGTTGGGCTAATTAAGAAATAAGGGGTGGGGTAATTGTCAACAAAGGGAGAAGAAAGTGGTTTAAGATCAGGGCAGCAGAAAAATTAGAGAACAAGAATATCATAATATGGCTCCTGGTTTTCTTTATAAGAGGCAGTGGGAAGATCTGACTAGATGAAATGTATCATCAACCAAACTGGCATCTAAAATAGAATGGGATAAATACTGTATGGGGTTATTGGAGGCATATTAAGAAAGGACACCTAATTTATTTTGGGAAGAAGTATGTTAAGAGAAGACTTTCTAGAGAAGGAGAATGGGGCATTCTAGGAAGAGTCAATGGCATGTGCAAAGGCATGAATAAAGACAGTGAGGCATATTTTGGAAATGTAACAGCTTGATTCAGCTTAGCCCATAGGGTAAGCATAGACAACAGAGGAGACTTGAGGAATGAGAACTAGATGGGTACACTATCATAAAGGGACTTGTCTATCATGCTGAGGAGTTTAGACCATCTTAATGGTAGTGGCCAAGGATGGCATCAGATTTATAGTTTCAAGTGATCATAATATTGGCATAAAAGATATATTAGGGAGGAAGCCTGAAGTAGGGAGATGAAAATAAGGAGCCATCAAAGGCAGAATGAAACTTAGGCAGATTTCAAGTGATTTTCAAAAATGTTGTGATCAGAGGTACCAGATAATAACTATTACATAACACTTTCTTTGTTAGGAGCTTATTTCTCACACTGACCAAAGCTTTTGAAGTAAGTACTCTTTACACCACTATATAAATAAACCTTACAAAGGATTCTGCTTTGAGGCATGAGAGAGTTAAGTCATTTGCCCAAAGTCACAGAGTTAGAAAGTAATAGAGCTAAGATTTGAACCTAGGCAGTTTGGCTCCAGAGTCTGTGCTCTTACGCTATATTACCACCAAGAGGTCAAATAAATACCAAAGAATGTATTTTCGAATTTAACAATGAGGAACTTAATCATACAGGCAGAAGTAATTCCAGAGCACTGGAGACAGAAGCCAGATTGCCATATGGGTTAAAGAGTGTGTAAACCACTAGGAAGTAAAGACATAGAACTACTCTCACAAGTGCTTTTCTGGTTATTGTGACGCTGAACTTCATGGCTTGTTTTAATTAAGACATCTTACAAGTGTCAAAATTTGGAAATATTTGGACACTGTACACTCTGGTTATTTAAATATCTAACAATGGTTCTTGAGCATTTTGAGAAACCTTTGAAAATCTGATGAAAGGTATGTGCCATTACTCTAGAAAAATGTTCCTGTGTACATGCACATCAAGTATCACATACTGTTTCAGGCTGTTCAAAGACTACAAAGTCTGTTCATGACCTAATGGTCCATGTTCCCTCAGTTAAGAGCTCCAGAGATAAAGGATGTGGAACTCAAAGGTAAGTACCCAGAGCCTTGAAAACTCCATCTGTGACTTGGAAGAATTCTACAATTTGAATTAACTTTGTGGAGAGAGATATATTTTTGAAAAATTGTGTGTACCAAAAAAATTTCATATCAAATAATATTTTCCTGTAGTGCATTCAAGGATCTGGTTCCACAGCAAAAAATTGTTTTGGTCTCAGTTCCTCAAAATCACATTTAAGGAGCTTGAGATTTATATTTTCTACTTAATAAGTCTTACAAAAGCAAGTTAAGAAGGAAAATGGACAATCATTTCTGCACATATAGGGTTTAATAAAACATGTATAATAAAATATCTCATATTTTAAATTTCCACCTTATTGGTAGCTTTCATGACAAAGGGCTAGGGTGCTGATGGCCATACAATTAAGGTTTTTGGTTAGTTAGTTAGCAGAACTAACTGACTCCTACCTGGTGGGTTTTTCTTTTGTTTGGTTGGTTGGTTGGTTGGTTTTTTCCCAGATGGCTCAGGAGGAAGGTAAATAGCAGTCATTGTATGTGTGACAGAGTTTGAGATAGAATGAGCATATTGAATCTCACATCCTATTCTTATTACTGTCAGGCAGCGTTGACCTAGCAGTATAAAACTATCTGAAGCAATGTAGTCACTCAGTTCTCATAAAGTTTATTTCAAGTACTGTAACAATTCATGTTTGGATTAGAAAAGTCACTAGAAATTTGACTTCCATATAGTAATCTATACTTTTTTCTCTCATTTCCTTCATTTTTTGAGCCGTAAGTGTAAGGCATTTTGCTGGTATTATTACAATGGTTATGAGGAGTTTCTTTGCTTGCCCAAGGTCACATAGCTAGCAAGTTAAAGTAGATTCAAATCCAGGCCTGCTAGATACCAAATTATTATTTAAGAGTACTTTTCACTACTCCTAAATAATGACACAGATACGTTTGTCTTACACATTTCACTTTATTGTCAAGTTATTAGTATGTTTATTTTCAAAAGTTATTTTTTGCAATTTCTTTTTATTATTCCGTACTTTTTAAATTTACTTCATTATCACGTCTTCCTTTATTCTTTTTAAATAGTTTTTGCTTTTGTTATTTTGTTTTCCCTTTTTTACTCTTGGTTTGTAATACCTCTTTCCTTATTTGCTCCTTTCTCATTTGATCTCAATGTTAATCCAACTGTTTTCCACATCTGATTCACTAAAATTTTAGCCCTTAAAAAAAAAATTCCTGTTTTTCCTATCTCCTTTTGTCCATTCTCTTCTCCTTGCCTCACTTCTTTTATCTTTTTCCATTTTACTTTCATTTTTTGTTTCTCTAGATGTTGTTTTGACATATGAGTTAATGTACTGGTACAATTTTGCATCTGTAAATTAGAGCTTCAGAATCAACTGAGTGTATTTATTCTTTATTTTTAGGCCTAAATTTATCTTACCTTTTATTGATTTTATAATATACTATACTCTTTCATTTTAGTCTGCATATGTTAGCCAAAGAAGATATGCCCCTGTTTTAAGAAATCTCTGTAAAAAATGTCAAGTGTGACAAGAATTCTTCAAGAAACAAGCTCCTCTAGTTTGTCTTCTATATTTAGAGCTTCAACAGTTACCTATATTACTGGTAACTCCCAAATATACCTTCAAACTTGTTTTTTGGGCCCAAGTTTTTTGCTTCATATATATCTGTTTTGAATATCCCATAAATAATTGCATCTAAAGCATACCTCCACTCCATTGTTCTCAAAGATAAAACCAAACCTGTGCTGCTTCTTATATTTCTAGTATTTAAGCGTCACCTGCCACCCCTTTACCTGAGCTACAAGTCACGCATTGCATTAGACTCCTCTGCTTTCTTCTTTCACCTCTAACTAGACTATTAACCAAAAATTTTTTAATATAACTTTCAAAAGGTATTTTATTACATCATTTCCATCCTTTATGTTTGGGTTCAAGCCCTCATTAACTTTAACATGGATTCTTGGAGTACCCTCCTTACTGATTTTGTTACACATGTCCCTCTTTTAGTCAGTACTACCATGATAATACCATGGATAATAATTTTTTCATTTTTATTTTTAGTCTTGCTCTGTCGCCGAGGCTAGAGTGCAGTGGCGCGATCTCAGCTCACTGCAACCTCCACCTCCCGGGTTCAAGTGATTCTCCTGCCTCAGCCTACTGAGTAGCTGGGATTACAGGCACCTGCCACAGCTCCTGGCTAATTTTTGTATTTTTAGTAGAGATGGAGTTTCACCGTCTTGAACTCCTGACCTCATGATCCACCCTCCTCGGCCTCCCAAAGTGCTGGGATTACAGGCATGGGCCACTGCGCCCGGCCAATAATTTTTGTGTGTGTGTGTGCTAATCATACTACATTTTCTTTAGAATAAAAGATCACATACTTGTTTGCCATTCGCAGTCTGGCCCCATTGTGCCATTCTAGACTTACCTCCTGCCACTCCCCACCAGCTTTGTTTTGTCTTAGCCACACAAAATAATCTAGCGTCTCTAACCAGTCAAACATTTTACCTTGTGCCTTGGCTCACTCTGTGCCTTTTCTCCAGAATATCTTTCTGTGTACTTTTCTCCCATCCTTTTACCTTTAAACCTGCTGCTATGGTTTGCATGTTGTTTGGCCCCTCCAAAACTCATGTTGTAGTTCAATTGCCAATGTAATAGTGTTGGGAGATGGTACTTTTAAGAGGTAATTAGGTTGCTAAGATGGATTAACATCTTTCTCTTGACACTGAGACTGGGTTCTCCTGGGAATGGTTAGTTCCCAAGAGAGTGAGTTGTTATAAAACAATGCTGCCTCTTCTATTTTGCGCTTTTTGTTTGCACAAACTCGGTCCCCTTCTGTTTCTCTACGATGTTTTGATGCAGCATGAGGCAGTCATGAGAACCCACCAGATACAGCTGCCTGATCCTGAATTTCCCAGCCAACAGAACCAAGTGCTAAATAAAACTCTTTTTAATAAGTTACCCACTCTCAGGTATTCTATTATCGCAACAGAAAACAGTTTAAGACACCTGCTAGGCTCCTAACCTTGAGGGGCTAGAAAACAAAGCCAGAGGTCCAATACCAGCCTCCTCAGAGTTAGAACACACAGCTCATGAGTGCTGAGCTCAGCCTTGGCCCCTACAGTCTTCCAGAAATGAGGCCACTTGGCTGAGCCCATTATATGCAATATTCAGACCACCAAGGGCATCAAAGAAGACAAAAGCAGAAAAACCTATCCAAGAAACAGCAACTTCAAAGGTTGAAGCAACATCAGACCACACAGGTGAGAACCAGCACAAGAACTCCGGCAACTCAAAAAGCCAGAGTGCCTTCTTACCTTCAAGCAACTGCACTATTTCCTCAACAGTGGTTCTTAACCAGGCTGACATGACAAAAATAGAGTTCTGAATATGGATAACTTTGAGGAACATAGATGCAAAAATCCTCAATGACTCAATTTGCTGGACTAGCAAACCAAGCCCAGCAGCATGTCAAAAACGAATCCACCACAATCAAGCAAGCTTTATCCCTGGGATGCAAGTTTGGTTCAACATATGCAAATCAATAAATGTGATTCATCACATAAACAACTAAAAACAAAAACCACATGGTCATCTCAATAGATGCAGAAAGGGCTTTCAATAAAATTCAACATCCCTTCATGTTAAAAACCCTCAGCAAACTAGGCATTAGAGGAACATACTTCAAAATAAGAGCCATCTATGATAAGCCCACAGCCAACATCATACTGAATGGGCCAAATGCTAGAAATACTCCCTGTGAGAACCAGAATAAGACAAAGATGCCCACTCTCACCAATCCTATTCAACATAGTACTGAGAGTCCTAGTCAGAGATAACCTGTTAGAGAAAGAAATATAAGACATCCAAGGAAAAGAGGAAGTCAAACTATCTCTGCAGACAATATGATTCTGTAGAAAACCCCATAGTCTTTGCCTAAAAGCTCTTTGATCTGATAAACAATTAGCAAAGTTTCAGGATACAAAATTAATGTACAAAAATTAGTGGCATTTCTATACACCAATAGCATTCAATCTGAGGGTCAAAATCAAGAATGCAATCTCATTCACAATAGCCATACACACACAAAAATACCTAGAAATATAGATAACAAGGGAGGTGAAAGATCTCTACAAAAAGAATTACAACACTACTCAAATCAGAGATGACACAAACAAATGGAAAAAGATTCCATGCTCATGGATAGGAAGAATTAGTGTTGTTAAAATGGCTGTACTTCCCAATGCAGTTTATGGATTCAATGCTATTCCTATGAAACTACCAGTGACATACTTCACAGAATTAGAAAAAAAAACTTTTAAAATTCATATGGAACTTAAAAAAGAGCCTGAATAGCCATAACAATCTTAAGCAAAATGAACAAAGCTGAAGGCATTACACTACCCAATTTCAACTATAATACAAGGCTTCGGTAACCAAAACAGCAGGGTACTGGTACAAAAACAGACACATAGACCAATGGAACAGAAAAGAGCCCAGAAATAATGCTGCACACCTATGATCTGATATTTGAAAAAAGTTGACAAAAACAAGCAATGAGAAAAGGACTCCCTATTCAATAAATGGTGCTGAAATAAGTGGCTAGCCATATGCATAAGATTGAAACTGGACCCCTTCCCTTTGCCATATACAAAAATCAACTCATATGAAGTAAAGACTTAGATATAAAACCTAAAACTATAAAAGCCGTGGAAGGTAGCCTGGGAAATACTATTCTGGAATAGGACCTGGCAAAGATTTCATAACAAAGATGCCAAAAACAATTGCAACTAAAACAAAAATTGACAAATGGAATCTAATTAAAGAGCTTTAGCATAGCCAAAAACAAACAAACAAAACAGTGAACACGGTAAACAGATAACCTACAGAATGAGAGAAAATATTTGCAAACTATGCATCCTAGAGAAGTCTAATATCCAGAATTTATAAGGAACTTTATAAGCAAAAAACAACCTCATTAAAAAGTGGGCAAATGACACGAACAGACATTTTTCAAAAAGACATACATGTGGCCAAGAAGCATATGAAAAAATGTTCCACATCACTAATAATTAGAGAAATGCAAATCTAAACCACAATGAGATACCATCTCATACCAATCAGAATGGCTATTAAAAAGTCAAAAAGCAATAGATGCTGGCGTGGTTGCAGAGAAAATGGAACACTTATATACTGCTAATGGGAATGTAAATTAGTTCAGCCGTTGTGCAAAGCACTTTGGTGATTTCTCAAAGAACCTGAAACAATTACCACTCGACCCAGCAATCCCATTATTGGATATATACCTAAAGGAATATAGATTGTTCTGCCATAAAGACACATGCACGCATATGTTCATCGCAGCACTATTCACGATAGCAAAGACATGGAATCAACCTAAATGCCCATCAGTGGTAGTCTGGATAAAGAAAATGTGGTACACGTACACCGTGGAATATACACAGCCATAAAAAAATAAGATTATGTTCTTTGCAGCAACATGGATGGAGCTGGAGGCAATTATCCCAAGCTAAATTATGTAGGAACAGAAAACCAAATACCGCATATTCTCACTTATAAGCGGGAGCTAAACATTGAGTACACATGTACACAAGGGAACAACAGACACCAAGGCCTACTTAACGGTAGAGGGTGGGAGGAGGGAGAGGACAGAAAAACTACCTATTGGGTACTGTGCTTATTACCAGGTAACAAAATAATCTGTACACCAAAACCTTAAAGAAAAGTTTTTTAAAAATGTAAAATAAAGCATATAGCAAAACAAACAAGACACCTGGTAAAGTTCTGCTCTTCCTTCAAAGACCCAGCTCAAATGTCTCTTTCATAAAGCCTTTCTGACATTCTCATACCCCCCTACTCTCTGACCTGGGAGAAGCTGTGTTTTCATTCTCCCACAATAACTTGTTCATATTTCTATTATAAAACCTACAAATTTAAACTAGCTGTCAGTGCATACTTGTTTGTCTCCTTGGCTATGTGCCTTATGAGATGCCTGGGATAGAGATCAATTATTATTCAATTTGAATCCTTGGCATTGGGTACAGTGGCTGACACATTGGAGGTGTGCAACAAATATTCATGGTATAAGTTCACTGAATTACAGAGATGTATGCATAAGTTTTTTGGAACTGGGTTTCATGAATCATAGGTACACACAATTTGAATAAAAGAAGAAAACAAAAGTGGGGCAAAACGGTGTAGGTCTAGTAATGAAATGGGAAAAGAAAGGCACATTGAAAAGTCGCAACAAAAGAGAGAACCAGTACAATTATATCAACATATAGTAAACACATTGGAGAAGGGAAAAAAATACAGCAAGTGAAATTGATTCTTTGGTGGCAGAAACAATTGAAAGGTATGGAGGCAAAGAAGGAGGAGAAATTAAGGCATAGAGATAAATTAGACTTGGGGAGAAAGCACAGAAGTCAAATATAGCAACAAATCTTGGACTGGGAATGTTTCCAATTGACCATTATGCTTACGATTACTTTTATGTTGTGGAGACAATATTTAATGAGCATTTCAGATCTGTTAACTAATTTTTTGAAAAAGTGACTCCAGTTCAGTGATAAATACCTTGACCAATATGCCATATAAAGTAAGAAATATTTTACCATACCCAAGAAACTGGTTTTACCGGCTTAGTTTTGACCAACTGATGGCAATTTGTACCTGCTAAACTCCCAATTTTTTACTTGCTGGTTGTGTAGGTAGGCAGTGAGGTTTGTTGGACTGGGCATGCAGGGACAAGCAGTTAGGCCAATACATGGACTGAAGATTATATCTATTTATCTGCCTTTTGTTTAGCTATTTGCATAAATATACAGAGTGGGTTTATTTGCACACTTAGAGCTTTAGAATAAAAGAACTTTGACTTTCAAATTGGTTTTTCTTGATTTTTAAAAATTTTTATACTCCACTTTTTCTTCCGTCTTTCTCAAACTCATTTTTCCCTAGTAGCAGAGTTGAGACTTAATATTACAAAACTCTGCTTGCTTTAAAGAATCTAAGAAGAAGAAGAAGAAAAAAAGACACTAAAGAACTTCCAAGCAGAAGTTTAAGAAGTTCTGCTATAGCCCATCCACTCGTTTGTGGAATTTAAATATATCCGTTTTTGCCACAATAACAGCGTAGCCTTGCTAGAATCATATACAAAGCAGCAGATTTCTTTCTATAAATTACTGGACACTGTGGTGTAATGTGGACATTGCTGAGGAGGGATGTAACTGCAACAGAAACAAATTACTTACATTGCATGCAGTAGGGAAGTGGGTGAAAAGAGCATTGAACTCTGAGTCGGGAGACGACTTCAAGGCCCAGCTCAGCACTCTAGCAGAACTTTAGGTAAGTTTTTTAGACACTGTGTACTTCAGTTTCCCCATGTGAAAATGAGAATAACGTCTGTTCTGCCTACTTCACTTGAACTATTTGAGGATAAAAGAAGGTAAAATGCAATAATGGTCATGAAGATTTTATAAACCTTGAAGTGATGTACAAGTATACCATACTGTTTCACTTCTATTACTATTATAACTGTTTAAAAAAGCATTTGTGACCAGTACAATCCTGGCTTTTCTCTGGAGACTAACATCCAGTTTCACAGTTATTTTACTTTTGATAGGGAAAAGGGAATTATTCCTGTTATATATTGCAATATTTAGGATCCTCTAGCAATTTCTCAGGCTATGACTTCATGTTCCCAGAAGCGGGCAGCAAAACTCCAAAGGCTCTGCCTTTTCCTCAATTAAAATGTCTAAAGCAGTTTTTCCTTGAGAGGAAAAGAACTATACTGTAAAGAATAGCCCTTTAAAAATGATGGTATTTAGGTGACAAAGCTAATCCTATTACAATAAATATAACATTCATTCCAAATAAGATTTTTCCTTTTCTCTGTCCTGTGAAGAAAATAATTGACTGTTTCTTCAATCTTATGTTAATTATTTGACTTATATTTCCAGAAACTCCTACCCATGTTTTTCCATTTAACTCTAGATTTGTAGATCCTACTTAGCACCAGTTTTTAAATAAATTGTTTTGTATGTGTAAGAGAAAAGGTGTTCAGGCCTGATTTATAGTTTAGGATGCCTACCTAAGTCCAAAGAGTGATCCTCAGCAGTGTCTAAATGTGTTCCTATCATAGAGTATATGTTTGTCATTCAGATAAAATGTTGTCTACATCTAATCTTTCTCATTCTTTCATTATTCAAATATCCCCGTGCCTTTCTATCTTTAGTCAGTGAATTATCTTGTAATGACAAGAGCAACTATCATTTGAACTGTTCTTAACTCACTTAGGCCGGAGGTTGCAATTTTTTTTTTGTCAAAAAATCAGACCTTGGTGATAACTTGAGCAGTAGGCTATAAGTAACTAGTAGGCTAGCCTACTATAAGTAGGCTAGGCATATTAATAGCGTATAAGGTGCTCTCACAGACATGTTTTCCCTTTGATACTCACCATAGCCCTGTGAAGTTGATAGCTACTATCCCCCATTTTACAGATAAATTTTCTAATCTGTAATCAAAATAGCTGCTCTTTGCTTGAAGAAAAAGTCCAGAGGGACACCCTATATGTCAAGAGAGCTCCAGGGGGTGGGTAATTTCTTTCATAATTGCTAGAAGAGCCAATTCTGAATGTGAGGCTTTTTCTGTCTGCTTTATTACAACCAGAGATGGAATAGGAAGGCTTTCAGTTACAGTTTATCAATTCCTTCTGCTTTTGCCAGTTAATCTCTAGCTTTACTCTTTTGAAAAAACTACCTGTTTCCCACTCCACTTCTGCTACCACCACTACCAAGTCAGAGTCCTCTTTCTATTCCAGCCAAACCTCTTCCTGTTCTTGAGAATTGCATCACATTCTTGGCTTAACGTAACCAACACCCCCACATTGGCACCAGGGAGTGTGTAGCCCTTCTTTATTGGCTGAAAGTTCTTGTCTGGTGAGCATGGAATAAGTCACTCACTTCCTGAATTTCAGCCCTGGCTAAATTTGCTTCTGGAAAAACATATATATATTCCTCAGATTTTTGTTTGTTTGTTTGCAAATCTCCTTCACTCCAGCCCTGTCCTGGAATGAGCAAGATTTACCAAATAGGGACAGCGTGAAAGGGAATTTAGAGGGTAGAGGTAGAGGGAAAAGGAGTAGTATGTGTAGCTTGCTGAATGAGATGTCTGCTCTTGCTGTTTCCATTTCTTCACTTCTCAAACAATTTTTAACCCAATCTAAACTGGCATCAGCTCCCATTGTATTGAAAGGGCTTTCACTCAGGACAGTAACGCCCCCCCGCCACCTCCCATATTACTAAATCCAGTGGATACATCAGCCTTGATCTTACTTGGCATCAGGGTAGCATGTGATGCTTTTGGTCACATCCTCTTTGATAGATTCACTCTTCCTTTGCACTATTGTTTTTTCCCTATCTTAGTCATGGGTCTTCAGCATCCTTTGCAAGCTCCTCTTTACTCCTAAAGTACTGGTGTTCCTCAGAACCCTGTTCTACATCAGCCTCTTTTCTCTCTAAACATTTTCTGTGAGAAATATTATCCCTTTCCATGGCATTATTGAGATCTATCTGCCAATTATTTCCAAATCTCTATCTTCCCTGACCTCTTTTGACTGCTTTCTAGAACTTCAATTAGAAATTCCTGAAAGCCTATTAACCAACTCCCTCCCTCAAACCTATTCCTCCAATAATGCTCCTTATCCAAACATATGCCACACCATCTACCCAGTTTTTCTAGGCAGAAATGTAGGATTCATCCTTAATGCCTCTTTTGCTCACCTTCCACATTCAGTCAATAACCAAATTCAGTATAATCTACATATTTGAATCCATCAATTTCTCCCTGTCCCCACTGGCCTAAGTGATCACCATCTATGTGGCATTTTGCACATCCCTTTGCTAGTTTCCTGCCCCCAGGTTTTCTCCCCTTGGATCATTTTCCACTAACCACTAGATGGTTCTTTATGTAAATGCAGTTCTGTAAATTCACCACTTGTGTTTAAAATCCTTTAGTTGCTTCTCACTGTCCTTAGGATGGAGTCCGAACTTCTTATCACGGTTCATAAGCCTCTCATGATCAGTAACTTGCCATCAGTCTGAACTCCACTCACACTGACCTCCAGTGTTTCAAACACACCCTGCTTCCTTTTGCCTCTAGGCCTTCACAGATGCTGTTTCCTCTGCTCGGAGCATTCTACTGTAGGGCCTCTAACATCTGTAGACTAAATTCTAGCCTCAAATTATCAGTTATCTTATTCCTGAATCAGAACTGAACTGGGATTCTTAATATTTTTTTATTAATTCTTGAATTAAAGCCAGGATTTATATTATCCTATATGTTTCTTTGAAAAATGCAAAGATATTTTCTAATGAAACTGTATTTGAACTAATTAACTTAGGGTTCAGTTTTTAAAAATCATAGCCGAATGTAAACTGGAACGTACTTTTTTTCATGGTACTGGAATGTTTTCTTGGTTGTTATTCATCGTGACATTCTAGCTTTGGAATTTTTCATTTCCAGCTGACTTCTAGCAGTCTCCTTTCTTACCTCTCAACCCCTTACCCTCTGGTTGCCCTATACTTGCCCCTAGATGGATCCAGTTTGCATGCAGTGGTAGCTGCTGTGAGGCTGCGGTTAAATAGAGCTGCTCAGACTGCAACAGGAAAGCATTGAATCGAAAGCAAAGGGGAGGAAGCGCAAACCGATACCCACCACAAAGCTGCTGAGTGCCCAGCATGACCCAAGCCGCACCCTCTGATGAGGAGTCTTGTGGAGGAGTAAGAAGCCACAGACTTTAATAAACCATCAGCACAGCCTGTCCTCCACTTCCCTGGTCCAGCCTTCCCGGATCACCATGAGTATCACCGGGTACTGACCTAAGAAGCTGGGTGATGACAGAAAAGTGACCAGAAATGTAGAGTCCAGAGGAAGGTACCCGAAATGAATGACTGTAGACCATTTTATCTCAAACTCCCTACACAGTCAAGCGTGGCGAGCACGAAGGTCCGGGGCATGAGAATGTTTCTGAGGAGCTCCCTGCTTGGGGTGATTCCCAGATGAAGACTCCTAAAAATGTTCCCTAAAAATGCCTTTGCTACCTCCCTGAAAGGCTGCTTCTAGTAGTGGCCAAAACAACTTATAAAAATTTTGTAACTAAAAATAAAGCCCTTGTGAGATACAGTTAAGAGAACTTTAAATATACACTAAGGTATGATGACTATTTTTAGATTCCTGACTTCAATGGAGGGAGGAGAAAGGAAGGAGATGGAGCAGCAAAGACATATGTTACCTACTTGATTTTGCTCATGGCCTAACCTGTTTACATTTGTCCCTTTTGCTATCAAAGGAGATATTAAGGAATTATAGGAAAGGGAATGAAAAGTGTGGAAAAATATATAGGAACTAAGTACAGATTTTAAACACTGGTAAGGTGGAGAACTCCTTGGAAATCTAGAGCTTCACAGTGGCTCTATAATTCACCTGTTCAGGTTCACTACCTCAGAATCTAAGAAGGTGAGATCTGGGCCCTACTTTTGCAGCTGGAAGGTCAGAACACAAAGAATGGAGGTGACTGACTCAGTCTGGAGGAAAGGTTGCTTGGCTTGGCTGGAAGTGGGCACTTGTGTCATCATAGAGTGCCAACCTCACACTTCAGATAACAGAACAGGAAATATTGTTAGTTCAGATGGGAGAGCAGAGGACTGACTGTGTATCCAAGACCATTAAGTTATTCAGTCACCTCTTTGTGTTGTACTTTCTATCCTACAAGGGACCAGAGCTGGCTGTGGGGAGCTTGGGCAATAGATGAAGCAGGCCATCAGGCCAGTCCCTGTTCCTTGCAGCTTTCTTCTCCCTTCTATCATGTTCAGCTTCTTTAATCTGCTCAACCCAGAAAGTCTTCCAAGATTGACATCATTACCAAAGTTTAAATGGAAGAATCTGAGGCATTTTGATAGGAGACAGGGGTGACAATTCTGGAGTAGAGGAACTGTCTCTCACAAGGCCTCTCTACTACAAGTGGTAAAAATTTGTGCTTTATTTTAACAACCACAACAACAGTGAATTGGAAAGGATCTAATAACAGAACAGAATTTGTAGTCAGACAACTTTGTTTTGAAACTATTCTTCCTTTCTTCCCTTCCTCCCTCCCTCCCTTCCTTCTTTCCTTCCTTCCTTTCCTTCAGAAAGGAAAGGACAGGGAGGATAGCCATAGAATGGGAAGCTCCTTAGACCTCAGAGGAATGCCGCAAGCTTCCCAAGTCTGAGTGCCTGCCCAGAGTTTGCCTACTTTCTTCAGTAGTCAAGGATATTCCTCAAGTTGTGTTTAATATCTATACATGAGCCAAACTGCGGTAGGTGGGTGACTGCATTCCCCAGGTGCAATCTTTCAGCATGTGACCTGATGTAGTACATTACATTCCTTAGACAAGGAAAAAATAGCGATATGAATGCAAAGAGGGGGAGGCAGAGAGTGTAAGCTACTCTAAAACACTTAGTTATGAAAGAAGAAAGATTGGCTAGAAAGCATGTGTAATAAGGAATGAATTCCATTTTTTTAATTGAGAGAGGTTCAGGAATGTTTATGTACTTGAGGAAAAAGCATAGTGAGAGATCTTAACAAGTCACTTCATTCCTAAGCTTTGATACCCCCATCCAAGGTGAGGAGGAGAGGAGAGGAGTTTCTATAAAGATTAAAATTGAATTAAAATCATATGCCCAGTAGTGGCTTATATGCCACAAAGCCCTTTACACATGTTAATTTTTATAACTATTATCATCTAGTGACTGTACAGATGAGTAAGCCCTGGTCACAGCTGTTCTATATTTTCTACCCTATATGACAGAGCTGTCAAGAGGAGACAGGCTCTTGAGTAGGCAGGGCTAAGACACATAAATAAGAGGCTAACACTGGTGTGATTTGTATCTTGACATGCTTTGAGCTTTTGGAGGATGGTGTGTGTATGTGTGTGACTTACTAGATGCAATGAGTTACCATTTATTTCAACTTGCCCTGTATTCTTATTTTAAAAATCTTACTTAAAACATGGACACATGTCAAATCCAACATGTCTCTAAAAAGATCTAATGTTTGGAGAAAATTTTAGAAATATTCACAAACTGTGCATCTGATAAAGGTCTATTTAGAATCTATAAGGAACTTAAACAATTCAACAAGCAAAAAATAACCCCATTAACAAGTGGGCAGGCCAGGTGCAGTGGCTCACACCTGTAATCCAAGCACTGTGGAAGGCTAAGGCAGGCAGACTACTTGAGGTCCAGAGTTCAAGACCAGCCTGGCCAAGATGGTGAAACCTCCCCTACTAAAAATACAAAAATTAGCCAGGTGTGGTGGTGCACACTTGTAATCCCAGATACTCGGGAGGTTGAGGCAGGAGAATCGCTTGAACTCGGAAGGTGGAGACTATAGTGAGCCGAGATGGTGCCACTGCGTTCCAGCCTGGGTGACAAAGTAAGACTCCGTCTCAAAAATAAATAAATAAATAAATAAATAAATAGAATACATTTAAAGAGTTGGAAAAGGACATGAACAGATACTTTTCAAAAGAAGTCATACAAACAGACAACAAACGTGGAAAAATACTCAACATCACTAATCATTAGAGAAATGCAAATCAAAACCACGGTGAGATACCATCTCACACCAATCAGAATGGCTATTATTAAAAAGTCAGGCCGGGCTCAGTGCCTCACACCTGTAATCCCAGCACTTTGGGAGGCCGAGGAGGATGGATCACCTAAGGTCAGGAGTCTGAGACCAACTTGGCCAACATGGTGGAACCCTGTTTCTGCTAAAAATACAAAAATTAGCCGGGTATGGTGGCACATGCCTGTAATCCCAGCTACTCAGGAGGCTGAGGCAGGAGAATTTCTTGAACCCGGGTGGCAGAGGTTACATTGAGCCAAGATCGCACCATTGCACTCGAGTCTGGGTGATAGAGCAAGACTCTGTCTCAAAAAAAAAACAACAAATAGTCAAAAGCCACAGTTGCTGGCGAGGCTACCAAGAAAAGGGAATGCTTATCTATTGTCGGTGTGAATGTAAATTAGTTCAGCTACTGTGGAAAAGTAGTTTGGTGATTTCTCAAAGAACTTAAAACAAAATTACCATTCAACCCAGCAATCTTCATTACTGAGTATATATCTAAAGGAAAATAAACCATTCTACCAAAAAGACACATGCACTCACATGTTCATCACAGCGCTATTCACAATAGCAAAGACATGGAATCAATCTAGGTGTTCATCAACAGTGGATTGGATTTTTTAAAATAGGGTATATACATAGCATGGTATAATACACAGTCAAAAAAATGAGTGAAATCATATCCTTTGTAGCAACATGGATGGAGCTAGAGGTCATTATCCTGAGTGAATTAAGGCAGAAACAGAAAACCAAATGTGTTAGTAAGATCTCACAAGTGGGAGTTAAGCATTGGGTACTCATGGACATAAAGATGACAACAATAGGTACTGGGGACTACTAGAGGCAGGAAGGAGGAAGGGGGACAAAGCTTGAAATACTTACCTATTGGTCACTATGCTCATTATCTAGGTGAGGGGATCATTCACACCCCAAACCTCAGTGTTATGCCATATACCCATGTAACAAACCTGCACATGTACTCCTGAGTCTAAAATAAAATTTAAAATTATTTTTTAAAATAAATAAATAGGTCGGGCGTGGTGGCTCACGCCTATAATCCCAGCACTTTGGGAGGCTGAGGCGGGTGGATCACTTGAGGTTAGGAGTTCAAGACCAGCCTGACCAACATGGTGAAACCCCATCTCTGAAAAATACAAAATTAACTGGGCGTGGTGGCATGCCCCTGTAATCCCAGCTACTTGGGAAGCTGAGGCAGGAGAATTGCTCGAACCCGGGAGGCAGAGGTTGCAGTGAGCCGAGATCGAGCCATTGCACTCCAGCCTGGGCAACAAGAGTGAAACTCCATCTCAAAAAAAAAAAAATTAAAATTAAAAAATAAATAAATAAACAAAATTAAAAGTTGCCATGTTGAAAAACACTAATCCATCTTGAGATGCAAGGATCTGTACAAATAAGACTATATACATGAACTTCAGGTTACATAAAGGAGCAGTTTCTGTTTGTAGGTGGGGGGAGTAAACTTTTTGTGTTTCTTTCTGGCTCATTGTAGGATCACATTATAATTTTGCTTTGATACAAATTTGGCAACAGGAATCATAATTCTTTTTCCAACTGACTACAGTGCTTGTATACTTTTAACGAATAATCCCTGTGAGTTGTACAAAGCCTTATATATTCAACAAATCAGTGAAGTTTTTATCCTCTTAATATTTACTTTGTAGCTTTGCTTTGAACCACCTCAGCCCCAGTTCTACACAGTTGGCAGTAAAGATATCTGCAAATTCCACTCCCCCATTTCCTTTCTGTTTTGCCCTTGGTTTTTCAACAGTGAGATGATTGTGCCTTCATTTCTGGGTGCATCCCTTCACTTATTCCTTATTTCCCTTCTCCATCCCTTACTCCTTCCTTCTCTTCCCCAGGCCTTCACAACCTCTAGATTTTATTACTAGCAACTTCTTAGGCCAATCCCATAGCATGCTCCTTCATGCATTACATGAACAAATTTTTTGAGGGTGCTGAACCAAACAATCAGGTGTCTTTTTTCAAGAGTGAACAAGAAGCCACTTTTTAAAAACAGTTTTATTGAGATATAATTTGTATTCTATAAAATTCGCATTTAAAGTGTACAATTCAACGGTTTTCAGTATATTTAGCAGTGCACCCGTCACCATAATTAATTTTAGAATATTTTCATCATCTCCAAAAGAAACCTTATATTCATTAGCAGTCACTCATCAATTCTATTCTCCCATACCCCACCCCTTTATTCCCTCTAGTCCTAGACAAACACTAATCTGCTTTCTGTTTCTATGGATTTGCCTATTCTGGACATTTTATATAAATGAGATCATATAATATGTGGTCTTTTGTGACTGGCTTCCTTCACTTAGCAGAATGTTTTTGAGGTTCATCTATATTGTGGCATCTATCTGTACCTCATTCCTTTTTATTGCCAAATAATATTTCATTGTATGGATATTTCACATTTTGTTTATCTGTTCATCAGTTGATGACAAATGGGTTGTTTCTACTTTTTGGTTATTGTGAGTAAAGTTTCTGTGAACATTTGTGCACAAGTTTTTGTATGGAAATATGTTTTCATTGCTTTTGGGTAGATTCCCAAGATAAAAGAATTGCTGGGTCATATGGTAACTCTATTTTTAGCATTTAGAGGGACTGTCAAACTTTTCCAATGTGGCTACACCATTTTACTTTCCCACTAGCAGTGTATGAGCTTTCCAATTTCTCCACATCCTTACCAACAATTATTATTTTCTGCCTATATTATTATAGCCATTCTAGTGGGTGAAAATTGATATCTCATTGTGCTTTTGATTTATATTTTCCTAGTGACTTTTCATGTGCTTATTTGCATATTTTTCTCTTGAAAAATATCTTGTAATCCTTTGCCCATTCCCAACTTAGATCACTTGTCATTTCTTATTGATTTGTGTTTTTTATATTCTAGTCCCTTAACAGATAGTATAATTTGCAAATATGCTCTCTGATTCTGTGGGGCTGTTCTTTCACTTGTTGGTGTCCTTTGAAGCACAGAAGTTTTTTTATTTTGATTAAGTTCAACTTATCAACTTTTTTCTCTTTTATTATTTGTGCTCTTGATGTTGCATCAAAGAAATTACTGCCTAACTCAAAGTCACAAAGATTTACTGCTTAACTCAGGTCAAAAGAGTTAGTTTTCTTCTAAAAGTTTTATATTTTAGCTTCTACATTTAGGCCTATGATTCACTTTGAGTTAATTATTGTGTACAATCTTAGGGGTCCAAATTAATTCTTTTGCATGTGGATATCCAGTTGCCCAGCACCACTTGTTGAAAAGACCATTTTTTTTCCCCCATTGAATTGTCTTGGCTCTTTCGTTGAAAATCAATTGATTGTAACTGTTAGGGTTTATTTGTGATTCTCAATTCTGTTCCATTGATCTGTATGTTTATCCTTCTGTCAGTAACACACTGTCTTTGTTACTGTAGTTTTGTTGTAAGTTTTGAAATTGGGAAGTGTGAATCCACCAACTTTGTTCTTCATTGTTTTGGCTTTTATGAGTCCCATGCATTTCCATATACATTTTAAGAGCAGCAGAAATTGACAAGTTGATTCTAAAATTCATTAAAAACCCTCACTTCTAAGAAACAATTAAAATATTTTCTTTCCAACCTAGGATGAAATTGGATAAGGAGGACTGAGCAGGTACATTTTTGAGTTGTGGTGATGGGGGATGGGTCATTTGAAAGGGGGACCAACCTGATGGAGGAGGGGAATAAAGGAGCCACAAAGTTTGGTAAACTTCCCACCCTGGTGAGAGGAATGTTTGTTCAGAGGAGGCAGTTTGTTCTAACACCAGGGAATATTATGAAAGATAATTGAAATTGTAAAGTCCATTGATATCTCCGCAGAAGACAAAAAGGTCTCTAAGTAAGCAGTATTGTTAGCTTGTTGATTCTTACAGAAGAAGATTTTCATCCAACTAAGGGAAGCAGCTGGGACTTTCTCAGGGCTGTAAGACAGAAAAAAAATGAAGAAATTCCTCTGTATCTTTTCTTACCTCTCCCTGTGGCCGGCCCTAACTTTTGTCCATTTTTGTTACCCTTCCCTTTTATAAGCTCCCCAAAAAGAGAGAGAGGAGAAAGAGAAAAAGAAGAAAACCATAGTGGGAGAGAGGGTTAGAGATCCTGGGGATGGGGGAGGAATTCTGGAGCATTTCAAATTAAAGATCCCTAAGGTACTATGGGTGGAACCTACTAAGTAATATGACAACTTGTAGCAAGAGTCATAAGGATGATCACATCTTCAACTCAGTGATCCAATTCCTGGGAATTTATGTAAGGAAATAAGACAGGCAAAAAGTGTGAGTGGGAATGTTAATGAAAATATTACCTATAATAGTGCAAACAGGAACAACCTAAATCACCAAAATAGAAGCATGTTTTATGACATCATGGCATGTAAAGATGGCAGATTATAATACTAGCTTCACTGTCAAAATATACTCTGAATTGCATCACTTTTCACTGCATTCTGTATTACTCTGGATCAAGTCACTATTATTCCTCATCTGAATTATTGCAATGGCCTCCCAACTGGCATTTCTGCTTTCACCCTTGTTCCCCACCCCCAGTCTACTCTCAACACAGCACTCTTAGCAGTCCTTTAAAAACTTAAATGTAAAATTCATATGGAATCATAAAAGGGCCTAAATAGCCAAAGCAATCCTAAGCAAAAAGAACAAATCTGGAGGCATCACATTACCCAACTTCAAATTATACTACAAGGTTATAGTAATCGAAACAGCATGGTACTGATATAAAAGTAGATGCATAGACCAGTGGAACAGACTAGAGAACCTGGAAGTAAAGCTAGATACTTAGAACCAACTGATCTTCAACAAAGCATACAAAAACATAAATTGGGAAAAGGACACCCTATTTAGTAAATGGTTCTGTGAAAACTGGAGAGCCACTGGATAGAAGAATGAAACTGGATCCATCTCTCTCACCACATACAAAAATCACCCTAAGATGGAATAAAGACTTAAATATAAGACTTGAAACCATAACAATTCTAGAAGAAAACATAGGAAAAATTCTTCTGGACTTTGGCCTAGGCAAAAAATTATGACTAAGACCCCAAAAGCAAATGCAACAAAAATTTAAACAAATAAACGGAACCTGATTAAACTGAAAGGCTTTTGTGCGGCAAAATATATAATCATCAGAGTAAAGAGAAAACCCACAGAATGGGAGAAGATATTTGCAAGTATCCATCTAAGAAAGGACTAATATCCAGGATCTACAAGGAGCTCAAACAAATCAGCAGGAAAAAAAAAACAAATAATTCCATTAAAAAGTGGGCAATTTACATGAATAGATGCTTCTCAAAAGAAGATACACAAATGGCCAATAAACATGGAAAAAATTTCAACATCACTGAACATCAGGGAAATGCAAATCAAAGCCACAATGAGATACCACTTTACCCCAACCAGAATGGCCATTGTTAAAAATCCAAAAAGCAATAGATGTTGTCACAGATGTGGTGAAAAGGGAACACTTATACACTGCTAGTGGGAATGTAAATTAATATAACATCTATGGAAAACAGTATGACGATTTCTCAAAGAACTAAAAGTAGCAATCCCACTGTTGGGTATCTACCCAAAGGAAAATAAGTCATTATATCAAAAAGGAAAATAAATCATTATATCTGCACATGTATGTTTATCGCAGCACAATTGACAATGGCAAAGGTATAGAACTAACCTAAGAGCCCATCAACCAATTAGTGGATAAAGAAAATGTGGTATATACATGCCATGGAATACTACTCAGCCACAAAAAAGAATGAAATAATGTCTTGCACAACTTGGATGGAGCTGGAGGCCATTATTTTAAGTGAAATAACTCAGGAATGGAAAACCAAATGCCATATGTTCTCACTTATAAGTGGGAGTTAAGTTATGGGTACACAAAGGCTTACAAAGTGGTATAATGGACATTTGAGATTCAGACAGGGGAAGGTTGGGAGGAAGGTGAGGGATAAAAAACTGCATATTGGGTACAATGTATACTACTAGGGTGACAGGGGTACTAAAATATCAGACTTCACCACTATACAGTTCATCCATGTAACCAAACACCACTTATACCCTTAAAGTTATTGAAATAAAAATGTATTTAAAATTTAAAAAAGAAAACCTAAATGTGTCATCCACTACTCAAAAGTTTCCATGGCTCCTTCTCATTTAGTATAAAAGCCAATGTCTTTGATTAGTCCTGGGCCCTACCTCATCTGGCCTCCATCTGTGACTTCATCTGATATTTTTCTTCCTGTAACTCCATTCTGAACATATAGGCCTCCTAACTGTTTCTTGAATATAACAGGCCTCCTCCTGCCCCAGTGACTTTTGACTCTTCCCTCTGCCTCAGAGTCTCTTCTCCCAGATATGCATTAGTTTGTTCCTTCACTGCCTTCAGATCTTTGTTCAAATGTAACCAATGATACTTTCTTTTCCTGACAATCGTATTTAAACTTGCTATCTTCCTCCCATCCCTCAGCCTCTAGCATATCCTGTTCTTCCTTGCTTTATTCTTCCAACGCTTATCATTTTACCTGACTTATTTTTCTGGGCTGTTGTCTATTCCTCCCCCTGTAACCCATGCTCTATGAGAGCAAGGATTTATGTATTTTGCTCACTACTATATCCTCAGTGTCTTGACTATTCCTGGCACAGAGTAGCTGCTTAATAAATAATTTACTGAATGAGTGAATACATCCACAAAAGTAGTGATTATGAAAATTGGGTCATAATTTGAAAAGTGGAAAGTATGTTACTGTAAGCTGTGATGTGCACAGTGGCTGTGGCAATGTGGTGTAGCACAGTCTGGGAGCTGCAGATGAGAGAGATCTGGATTTGAATCCTGAGTCCACTACTTCCTAGTTATGTGAACTTCGGCAAGTGTACCTAACCTCTCAGTTTTATCATCTGTGGAACAGGTAGAATAATACCTCCTTCATAGCATGGTGAAAATTAAATGAGAAGATGTAGGAAAAACCTGGCACATAATAGGTGTTCTATGAACATTAACTCTCTCTCTTCTCCTAAAGAATATATACACAGTGGGTAAGAATTGCAAAATAATTGGGTAAGAATTGCAAAATAATTTCAAAGACAGGGATGATGCACTTTTATAAAAAAATTTTAATACACAAGTCCTCTCTAAGCATGGATATATATATAAAAACAGTGCCAGACTAGGAGTATGGAGACCTGGGTTCTGGGTTCACCTCTGATGCAGGCTGTGTGACATTAAGCAAATCCTAACCTCTTGGGACTGTCTTTTCATCTGCAAAATGAAGAGGTAGAATTTAGTAAGTTTGAGTCCCATCAATGCTTAAAATTCTATAATTCAGAAAGGCAGGCCATTCTACCTAGTTTCATCCCGCTTTAGCTCAGCCTTACTCAGATATGCTGGCCAGATGTTTCTAATCTTACACATAAAAGACTCTGGTATTCAGAGGCCAAAAGAAACTGGACAATTTAAGAAAAGTACTAAGCGGATGAGTTTTCCTTCTGTCTGATTCTTAAACAGCTACATGACTATTATTCAAACTTAAGAAAACAGGAAAAGAAAAGCAAGTATGCATATTTAGGTTTGAATCAACTATGTGAATATTTAGCCATGAAGAAAAGTGTGTTTTTTTGTGTGTGTTTTATTAATTATTATTTGTACAACAACCAAAAAGTAGACGTCAGCAGTTTTCAACTGTAACTATAACCTTGTACCATGTGGCTGTGGGCCGAAGTGCAGGAGGGAGTAGCTGGAAGGGAATCTGGCTAGAGCCTTCCCCTGCTCTGGAAAGCTCGTGGCTTTGTTTTTTTCACATTGCTACACCGAGACGGAGGAGAGGAGGATGTTTGGGTTTACAGGCCACCAGCCACTGTCAGCAAGTTTGTAGCCCCAGCTTCACTTCCCTGAAAGGGCGGGGGAGTTTCAGCTGCCCTGGCCTCCCTCCAGCAACTGAGCCACAGAGGATTCAAATACCCCATCAGTTGCAAGGCCCTGACTTTACCCAGCTGAAAACTGACTATCTCATCTGGGAAGGGTCAGTTAAAAAATGACAGAACTGCCTAAAGTAAACAAAGGGAACAACCACAACAGAAACTTTCTCTGCAGTGTTTCCTTATAATTACCGGCCCATCCCACCAGGGCTCTGGCTTGAGTCCCCATCCACTCTCCCTGTTGCCCCCACAGGACCTTGTTTGAGTAAGCCCTAGCTGACCTGAGGATCGCCTCCCTGTCTACATGCCTCTGTCCCGCCCTCTCCATGGAGGGGAGGGAGACTCCCGATTGCAGGAAGTTTTGAGAATGGAGTTTGAGGATTGTCAGGCAAAAAGACCCTCTAGAGCTCATTCATTAGGACCCCTAATAGATGAGTAAACAGCTTAAATGAAGTGCCTAAAGTTGAGAGCAAGTATGGGACAGAACTGGTTTTCTTCTTGCTAACCAAGTGCTCTTTCCAGTAATCATATACCGTTGTAAGGGACTAAAGATAAGGAAACTAACATTGAAGTTCTTTCTCCACCTTTTCATTCTAACCAAATCCTACTTTGTCGGACTTTTACACTTTATAGATAGGCTGGGCATGGTGGCTCACACCTGTAATCCCAGCACTTTGGGAGGTTGAGGTAAGTGGATGATGATGTCAGGAGTTCAAGACCAGCCTTGCCAATATGGTGAAACCCCATCTCTACTAAAAATAAAAACAAAAAAAAAATTAGCTGGGTGTGGTGGCGGGCGCCTGTAATCCCAGCTACTCAGGAGGCTGAGGCAGAGAATTGCTTGAACCCGGCAGGCGGATGTTGCAGTGAGCTGAGATCATGCCACTGCACTCCAGCCTGGCTGACAGAGCGAGACTCAATCTCAAAAAAACAAAAACAGAAAAACACGCTTTATAGATAAACATATTTTGAATTTAGACTTAAGGACAAGGACTAAATCTTACACTCTGTGTACCTTGTTCGTACTTCAGAGTTCATGAAGTGTGTTCATGGTCAGCAGCCAAGTAGAGTGGGTAGGACATTTGCTTCAGAGTTGAGCAAGCCTCAGAATCCCATCTCTGCACATTCTAGCTGTGTAAACTTGTAGGCAGATTACCTACTCTAAAACTTAGTTTCCACATTTGCAAAAGGGGAACAATAATAGCTCCACCTCATTATTTTGTCATGAGGATTTCATGAGATGATACATGTAATGCACATTGAAAAACTCAACAAATGTTAGAAATTGTAAATAGGTCTGGAAGGCATTTATCATTCCCATTTTACAGATGAGAAAATTAAAGCTCAGAGAGTTTAAGGGCTAGAGTCATACAATTGGTTAGTAAGATAGCTAGGATTTAGCTCAGCCTCCCAGCTCCATATCCACAGTACTTGCTGCCCCACCATTGAGTGTAGACAATTGGGGATGGCTCTAAGCTATGGGCCAAATATGTCTGTCCCTATCATCATGGAATGACATGTTATTTATTAAGCCCATATATGCTTGAGGTGCCAGGAAATGGATGCTTCTGGGGTGAGGTAGGCTCTTCATGTGCAGCCTTCATGTACAGATTCCAGCCAAGGAAATCAAGCCTGGCACTAATCCCTTGTCCAAGCCCAGAGACGCTGTGCCCACGGAGTAGGTCAGAAGTCCTTGAATATCCTCAGCTTTCCTTTCCTCTGGCAATGCTTCCTTGATGCCCTAAGAATATTTTGCTTACCCTGACATTAGAGCCCTCTTCACACTCCCAAGCTTTCTAGTATTTTGGGTGTGCATCTGATTCTCCTGTTGAAACTGGACTCCAAAGTGAAGTGCTCAAAATGGTACATAGAGGTATGAGAAAAACATATGTGAATACTTGCTTCTATTTATTTTTTAATCTAAAATATTAAGAAAATTAGGCTTTACTAATATTAAAATGTCACAGTAGAGTGTATGGAATTTATAGCAAACATGCAATTATTAGGCATGTATGCTGGTTTTCTTTTCTTTCTTTCTTTTTTTTTTGATGGAGTGGTATGAAGAAAAGAGACTAGAGGTAACTGTTCTAGAAAGTAAGCTCCTACAGGCAGAAGATGTGTCTTTTTCTAATGTGTATTCTACCCCTCCCTCATTGGCACTAAATGACTCCTCCCTGATTAAATAAATTTGGTATCTATGTAAACTTGGTGGTCTTTCTTGCTTTTCCCCTCCTTTTGTCATCCATCTGATATAATGTCTTACTCAATATTCTCCCAAGACCTGAACAAATAATAAAGCTGTGTTAGTAAAGAGTGCAAATTGCCATAAAAAGACTGAAAAGTAAGATTCATAGTCCCCAAGGAGATGGTTAATGGTAGTCAATAAGGCATATAGTGGGCAAAAGAAAAGCTAAATGTAAAACTTCATGGAAGAACTCATGGACACAGTCAGGCAGGGAGCCCCAGCACTACAGTCTGAGAAATCAAATGTAATCTGAGCATATGTGTGTTTTCAAACTAACCACTGCCCTCTCTCTCCTCTGAAACTTGCAGAAAGCAATGCAACACAATGCAATGAGCCAGGGTCTTGGAGAAAGAAAGAAATCCCAACTCTGTCACTGTCCTGGTTGGGTGATCTTGGGCAAGGTCCATAATCACCCCCACTCCCAGGAAAAATAGTTCTTCACCTACAAATGAGGTTGAGCTAGATGATTTTGGAGGTTACTTTCATGTTTTGAAGCAGCCCATGTTTTCTTCCTGAGGCAATTTATACTTCAAGTGACACCATGAAGCTCACTGGACCAAAAATATCACCTTACCACCAAGCCTTTCATGGTTTGTGACATCCTCTCCTCAGGCACCATGTCTCCATGCGGTGCTTCCCAACCTAGCAATAACTTACTGGCATGAATCCACTTCAAGTATCAGTTATGTCCATGATGCATGTAGAGTGGGAAAGCAAGATATGAAAGGTTATATATGTGGTATGCGTATGTCTATAAATACCTACAAATATATGTGCATACACATAGAAAAAGAACTGAAAGATACTCAGCATACTTTCAACACTGATTATTCCTAGGGAGTAGGAAAGCAAGATGAAGGTATGAATTTTACCATTTACTTTAAATCCTCCTATATTTTTGTTGTTTTTTAAAAATAAATGATTTTACTATTTACAAATAAAAATTTTAAAAAATAAACATTAAAGTCCTATACAAATGTTTAATAATATTTATAATAAGTAGCACCAGTTTCTTCAAGAAGCCCTACCAGAAGCAAATCTGCATCTTGATACTGCATTAGAGCCTTGGCTGAAGTACTAATAATACCCGAACATTCTATGGAGGATTGGGCCCTGGACTGGGAGAACCTAATCACATAATCAGAAACTCTTATGAGTAATTTTGGGCAACTTGAGTTTTCCCAAACTTTACTTGAGTTTGTTTTTCTCAACTAGAAAACAATGCTTTTGAACTAAATCCTCTATCGGGAACTTTCTACTCTGAAGTCCTGTGATTCTTAACAACAGTACATGCAAAAGACACAGGAAAGTGAGTATGTCATATGGCATCCAGGATACTTTCCCCCAAAGCAAAGTGAAAACTGATGTGAAACTCCTTCTTCCTTCCTTATTTTCCTCTCTCTCTCTCTCTCCACCTCTGTTATCTAAATGCTCTATATTTGAAGCATTCATCACTTTATAGGCCTTGATGGGATACAGAGGACAACCTTTTACTTTAGAAGCTGAAAATGTCAGATACTTCTTTTCCAGCTTCCCTTACAGGTATGCATAGGCATAAGGATCTGCATTGCTTTTTGACTCAGGAGCTAGTGACCTCAAATAGCAAAGACTGCTGAATCTGTTCTGCAGCAGGGAGTGGCATTAGTTGTAATAACAACACTCATTTTTTAGATGCTACAGTGGTGGTGGTTCTGGTGGTTCTAGCAGCAGGGACCAGCATCCAGGCTTGGGGCATTCACCGAGCAGTGGTTTCCATGCAGTGGGGGCATTGATGACTTCATGATATTGTTCTGCAGTACAATTTTAGGTGTTGCTTCTGGCTATGTAGCCTCTAAACCTGGGTTTCTAGTCCTCCTGGAGAGCTTGTGAACTACCTAATATTTTTTAATAAATTCATTTACTGCTTAGATTAACTATAAATTGTTTCTGTTGCTTGCGACCGAAAACATTTACTAATGTACCTATTATTTTTTTAAAAATCATGCACTTGGAGATTATATATATATACACACACATATGTTTTTAAGGGAAAAAAACTCCCCTTCCCTTTGTTGATCCCTTATTTTCCCAGTTTCTTCTCTGGAGGTAGTAATAATGATTTGTTTCTTATGTATTCCTCCAGAGATATCTTGTGTGTACACAAGCACATCTATGTATTTAAGAAAAGTTACTTAAAAAATCACTCAAATAGGATCACTCCATATACACTGTTCCATAATTTGCTTGTAACCTTAAGACTCCATGTTAGAGATAATTCCATAAATATAAAGCTGCCTCATTCTTTTTCTTATTTTTATTTTTAGAGACAGGTCTTGCTCTGTCTCCCACGCTAGAGTGCTGTGGTGTGATTATAGCTCACTGCAACCTCTAACTCCTGAGCTCAGGGGATCCTCCTGCTTCAGCCTCCCAAGTAGTTGGGACAACAGGTACGTGCCACCACTCCTCGCTAATTTTTTATTTTTTGTAGAGTCAGGCCTTGCCATGTTGCCCGGGCTGGTCTCGAACTCCTGGCCTCAACTGATCTTCCCATCTTGGTCTCTCAAAGTGCTGGGATTACAAGTGTGAGTGACTGTGCCTGGCCTGCCTCATTCTTTTTATTGGCTGCTTAATATCCCTCTGAATGAATATACTGTAATTTATGTAGCCAATTTCCTCCTGTAAGCAGTTGGGTTGCTTACAGTTTTTGTGACTACAAATAATGCTGCAGTGAATATCGTTGTAAATATGTATTTTTAAAAAAATATGGAATGCTTCATGCATGTCATCCTTGTGCAGGGGCCATGACAATCTTCTCTGTATCCTTCCAATTTTAGCATATGTGCAGCTGAAGTGAGCAAGTAAATATGTCTTAATGCCCAGTGCAAGCAGATACATGTCTGATAGGGAAGTTGCAGCGTCAAAAGGTAAATGTAACTTTAACATTTTGATAGATAGCACCAAAATGCACTGCAAATTTAGTAACAATTTTTAATCCTACTAAAAATATTTTAGACTCCCCCCCACCAAATCTTTACGTCACCAGTGTATATTATCAGATTTTATAATTTTGCTGTTCTAATAGGTGAAAACTGATTTTCTCATTGTTCTGATTTTCATTCTTTAATTTATGAGTGAGGTTGAACATTTTTCATGTATTTAAAAGCCATTTGTAAGTATTCACCTGTGTAGTATATTCATGTCCTTTGCCTGTTGTTTTCTATTGGATTTTTATCTGTGTTTAATTGCTTTGTAAAAACTTCATCTTTTTTTTTTTTTTTTTTTTGAAATAGGTTCTTGCTTTGTCACCCAGACTGGAGTTGCAGTCTGGCACCCTCCTGACTTGGCCTTTTTTTTTTTTTTTTGAGACAAAGCCTCACTCTGTTGCCTGGGCTGGAGTGCAGTGGCGCAATCTCAGCTCACTTCAACCTTCACCTCCCAGGTTCGAGTGATTCTCCTGCCTCGGTCTCCCAAGTAGCTGGGATTACAGGCATGTGCTACCACTCCCGGCTAATTGTTTTGTATTTTTCGTAGAGATGGGGTTTCACCATGTTGGCCAGACTGGTCTTGAACTCCTGACCTCAAGTGATCTGCCTGCCTCGGCCCCCCACAGCACCCAGCCCTGCCTCAGCCTTTTAAAGTGCTAGGATGACAAGTGTGAGCCACTACACCTGGTCAAAATTCCATATTTTAAAGTAAATTTGCCTTTTGTCATACTTGTTGCAAAATTTTTTCCCAATTTGTTTTTGGTTTTCTGATCTTTTTAAATTTGATTTGATTTTTGGTTTTTGCTTTGCATAAATCTTTAATTTTCACAAAGCCAAATTTGTCTATATTTTTGCTTATGGCTCTGGATTTGTTTGGAATGGCTTTTGGCTGGGTAGCTTCTCATGGTTTCAACATTGAAGCTGCTAATTTAGAAAAACAATACTTGAGACTTCTGGTTAAAGACAGCAGATTAAACACATGCTCCACTCCCTCCTAGAACTCAACCAAAATTTAATGTTTTGATTAAGTGATACATTCACATGGTTTTAAAACCAGAAAAATACAAAGAGGCACAGCCTGAAACGTTTCCCTCATATATGTCTCCCATCAGCTCAGTTTCCACTTTCTCCCTGTCCAGAAATAAGGACTGTTATGCTTTCTTATGCGTGTTTCCAGAGTTTCTTTATGCATATGTAAGCAAGTAAGAATTTTGGTGAGTTTTTTTTAAGGAGAAACCTACAAGGACAAAAGAATATAAAAAGGACAAGAGTAAGAAAGATAATTTTAAAAGCTGGAACATAAGGCCGGGCACAATGGCTCACGCCTATAATCCCAGCACTTTGGGAGGCTGAGGCAGGTGGATCACTTGAGGTCAGGAGTTCAAGACCAGCCTGGCCAACATGGTAAAAACCCATCTCTACTAAAAATACAAAAATTAGCCGGGCATGGTGGCGGGTGCCTGTAGTCTCAGCTACTTGGGAGGCTGAGGCAGGAGAATCACTTGAACTGGGAAGGTCGGGGGTGGGGGTTGCAGTTAGCCGAGATTGCACCACTGTACTCCAGCCTGGGTGACAGAGTGAGACTGCGTCTCAAAAAATAAATAAATAAACAAATAAAAGCTAGAACATAGATGAATGAGTGGTAACTGAATCAAGAGACCTGAGAAAGCTGAATCCTAAGCCTGCAGATGAGAAAGGTAAAGCAACTCACTTTACATTTCAGAATCCCCCAAATGCTCAGCAATTGGTGGCACCAGGTACTTTTGGAAATAAGGGTGAAGTTGTGGCTAAAAACAGTAAGTTGCATTGAAAATCAGTTCAGGAAACAATGAAAGCTCCAGGCCCCCTCTTCCTCTTGCTGTTAGATGGATTGCCCCTTCCCCACGATGTCCAAGAATGGAGGTTTTTCTGGTGGGAGAGTAAGACAAAGAAGGGACAAGGCACTATTGTGTGAAAGGACAACATGCTGGGAAAAAACAGGAGATTATAAACCCATTGCCTTCTGCCATCTTCTCTTACTTAGGAAACCCTGACAGCCAGCCTGAATGTTAGGAAAGCCTTCTCTGAAACCCTGACACACTGGAGAGAAATGCTCCAAAGATAACTCAGAAATGACAGCATCTCTGAAAGAAAAAGAAAACAAGAAGTATTAATAATATCTCCAGAGAAATAAGAGAACTAGTGCATATATGAAATAAGAACAGAATGCTATGTTTTAAAAGGAACATTCAGAGAACAAAAAAAACTTAGAAATTTAAATATGATAGCAAAAATATAAAAAAGCTTAGTAGATTTGGAAAGTAGAAAGGAAAGCAGAAAGATAACAGATGGAAAATAAAAAATATAAGAGCAAAATTAGTTTATTTGGGAGATGACCCCAGTAAACATCTGTACGGGAGTAAAGTAACGAGAAAAGGATCCTACGGAAGTTAATATATCTTGCAAGTTACTGTGAACCAGTGGAACTTGACTCCATCGGGGAACTCTGGGAGACCTGTGTAGAAAGCATGCTTCAGGGTTAAACCCCCTCATGGTTGAGCAAGCTGGGATATTTATCTACTAACTCTCATCAGTCATTGGTTAAGGGTCTCTCCCAGGGAAAAGGGGGTTAATTCCCCAACACTTCCTGAGCAAACTTTCAGTAGCTAGAAAAAGCCCTCAGGCAAACAGACATATGTGCTGGCAGTTTTGAAGGCCTGGATGTTAAGTGCCAAGAGAATTTGGGCAGGGCACTGATGGCAAATGCTATATCTTCCCTGCACTCTCTCTTAGGAAACTACTGAAGAATGTGCTCCACCAAAACAGTGTTGTGAGTCAAGAAAGAGGAAGAGGTGGAATTCAGGAACCAGAGCACTCAACACAGAGGTGAAGAGAGTCCCCAGGATGTGGGTAAAGGGAAGTCCCAAGATGACAGATGCACAGCAGGCCTAGAGGTCAGTTAGCCCAGAGAGGAGCAGATCAGTAGGCTCTGGAAGAGCTCTCTTCCAGATGAAACTGATGGAATACCAAGTTTGTTTGGACATATTGAGAGGAGACTTAAACAACTACAGAGGAGTATGGATTAAATTAGTGGCATATGCATAGAAAAACTAGGCAAATGAAAAATGAGACAATTATTAACTCCAGAGGAAGCAAAATAGTTTTGAAGAAAGTGATCATAATTTATTATGCAACACAGGTGTGAATAGTATTTATTTGATCATAGTAATATAAACACTGAGTGTCAGTTTAATAATGACATAGAAATATAAGCCCATGTGGTATAGGAAGAGGCGAAAACTGAATCCCCATCTTCCACAGTGGAAAGTCAATAGAGAAAACTAAGAAGTAGCTATTTAGAGATACAATGATTTCCCTCCTCCCCCTAAAAAAAGATTTAGTGAAAGCATTGAAAGTGATTTCCTCTGAGGAGTGGGAAATGAAGGGGTGGAGTGGGGGAATGCTGTTTCTTGTAATTAGTAATTTAGAAATATTCGATTCTTTAAACTATGTGCATATTTAACTTTGATGTTTAAAAAAACTAAATAAAACTCAGTAATTTTTTTCCTTTGCTGTATGAAAAAGGGAGGAGGTGAGATGGAAAATGTGCCTCATTCCTAGCTGTTAAGAAAACTGGGCAGGCAAAATGAAACTTGCTTGTTCCATGAGTCCATCAACCCAGCAGGGTCAATGTCTTTTCCATCTTCTTCAGTCAGAAGAAAAGCTATGAGCAACTGGGAAATCAAAACTGAAATTCCTTTGAAAGAGCCATTGATGCCAAACTGACCTGAAATCTGGGGCTACCCTAAGAGGGCTTTGGCCTAAATAAATGGTCCAGGGTAAGTACAAAGAAAGGATTCTATCAAATGCAAAAATGAGACCAGGATTATATTAAGGGAGCTAGTAACAGCACTTGAGTGCAAGTAGAATACATTCTTAATTATGTCTAATATGAATTTCTTTAAATTCTTTAAAAGCCAGTTGTTTTAAAATACAGAAATTAAAAATATTACTATATTGATTTATAGTTTTAATTTTAAAAACCATGGGAGTACTTTGTACAGTCTTTTAATTAACCGTATCTATGACTGAAATTGCACATCGTTTAGGTCTCTGGCCCGATCATGATACCAGAGTCTGTTACTTTCTGATTGCAGGCAAAATAACTACAGGAATGAGGCCTCCTGAAGGCAGAATCAGTTCTCCTTTCTCTTCCTGCCTTCAATCTTTACCTACTAGATCCTTCTCCTCAGCCTAGAAAAATGCCCAAAAAGTTCCAATCTAAAATAAAAATAAAGAAGAAATTCTCACTTAAGCTATCACCCAAACTTTCTCTTTTCCTTCATCATAATACTTCTAAAAAAATATGCTAACTTCCTTTTCTTCCTTTACTTCCTCACCACATACTACTTCTTAACTCCTTGTAATCTAGCTTTCACTTTGACCGTTGCACTGAACCTGCTGTCTCAGAGGTCTCAAAGGACTTCTTACTTGCTAAATTTCGGTCCTGCTTAGCCCTCATCCTCCTCAACCTCTCTGTTTTTGACTTTCAAAATGTCTCACTGTGTCTCTCTCTGTTGCTCTGTCTCTCTCTCTTCTCTCTGTCTCTCTCACCCACCCACCCTCTAGACCCCTTATTCTGTGTTATTCCTCTCTTTTGGTTTTCTCTCCTCCCTTATTATTCTTCCTTTGAGTCTTCTGTCCCACTCATTCTCTTAAGAATAGGCATCCAATGAGATCCCATGACTCCCTGCAATATCTGGGATCTGCCTATGTCTCCAAACTCATATGCACCCTGTTCCCCCTTGTTCATTTCACTCCAGTCACACTGATGTTTCAGTTCCTCTAATGGGCCAATGAGCTCTTTATTACCTTAGGACCTGCTCTCTTTACCTGGGACACTCTTCCCCATGTTCCCCCACACCCAAAGCGCTTCATCTGGCTATTTCCAAATCAACTTTCAGGTCTCAGCTTCATATTACTTCTTCAGAGTGGCTCTCCCTAAGTGCATCCCCTCCCCACCCCTCCAGATTAAATCTGTTTCCCCATTTTTTCTATTTTAGAAATAGTTTTTTTATCAAATTATTATATGGTTTAAAATGAAAGACTACTTGTGTGTTTATTTGCTTAAATCTCTACCTTTCTCTCCAGAGTGTAATTTCCATGAGGACAGGAACCATGTCAGTTTTGTTTAACACTGTATCCTTAGCATTCAACACAGACCTTGAAGCAGCAGACAACAAATATTGGTTGAATAAATGAGTGAACAAAGTGCCAGGCACTACAGTAAGTACTTCTTCCTGCCAGGCGCTATGGCAAGTACTTTACATATATCACCTCGTTTTTATTCTTACCACAACCCTATGCATAGGTACTACTATCAGATGAGGAAATGGAAGCTTACAGAGACAGACCAATATGCCCAAAATCTCACAGAAAAATGAATGTAGCTATCACGACGTGAAAAGATGTAGAGGAACCTTAACTGCAGATTATTAAGTTAAAGAAGCTAATCTAAAAAGCCTTCATACTGTATGATTCCAACTATGTGACATTCTGGAAACAGCAGAACTATAGAGACAGTAGAAAGGTCAATAGTTGCTGGGGGTTGTCCTCGGGAGGGATGAAGAGGCAGAGCACAGAGGATATTTAAGGAACGAAAATACTCTGTATGATATATAATAGTGGATACGTGTCATACATTTGTCCAAACCCATAGAATGCACGATGCCAAGAGTGAATCCTAATTTACACTATGGGCTTGGATGGTGATGATGGGTTGATGTAGGTTCATCAGCTGTAAAAAATGTACCACTCTGTGTGGGGATGTTGATAATGGAGAGGGCCTTTGCATGTGTGGGGACAGGGAGTATATGAGAAATTTCTATTCTTTCTGCTCAATTTTGCTGTGAATCTAAAACTGCTCCAAAAAATAAAATATTTTAAAAATGAGTGTCAGAGGTAGGATTTGAAAACATTTGTTTGACTCTATGTAGGGCTTAATTATAATATTATACTGCTTCCCAGTTGACAAATCTAATACTTTCACCGTCCAAAACTTCCCTCACACTTACTTCCTGTTGTCTGTTTCTATGGTTTCTCTTGAGTCCTCCTTCCAGGATCCATTCCAAGCCAGACAATGGTATGTGGGTGAGAAACTGTGGTCATGGAGGAGACTGGACAGACCGGAAAGCTTTTCTTTTCTAACACATGTTTCTGAGGAGCCCTCAGGAAGCCTGTGAACCAGGAAAACCACGGTGATGGTCAATGCTCTGACAGCTCCCCTGCCCCTTTCTCCATGCTCTTCTCCTGCCGTGCCTTCCCCAAGGCTGTGGGTTGCTCCCCACTGTGCTGCTCCCCTTGGGCCTTCTCTCCCTGCCCACATATGCATGTGCCAGCCCTTTCCCCTGACAAAAATGTCAACATAGAATGGTAAGTAGAAAAAAAATAAGATGCAATATTGTACAAATAGTTGTTATGGGTTGAATTGTGTCCTCCCAAAATTGATATGTTGGAGTCCTAACCCCCGTTACCTCGGAAGGTGACCTTATTTGGAAATAAGGTTGTTGTAGGTATAATCAATCAAGTTAAGATGAGGTCATAATGAAGTAGGAGGGAACTTAATTCAAAATGACTATTATCCTTATTAAAAGAATGCCATGTGGAGAGACAGACATGCACCAAGGATACTGCCATGTGGAGAGGAAGGCAGAGATTGGGGTGATGCAGCAGAAGCTGAGAAACACCAAAGACTTCCAGAAAAACAGCAGAAGACAGGAGAGAGGCCTGGGACATATTCTTTCTCACAGTCATCACTAAGAACCAATTTGCCAACACCTTGATCTCAGACTTCTAACCTCCAGAACTGTGAGACAGCAAATTGCTGTTATTTAAGCCACTCAGTTGTGGTACCTTGTTATGGAAGTACTAGCAAGCTCATAGAAATAACAGAATCCTGATCTTGTAAAGCAAAATAAACTCATGTATTAGGGGTTATCATCTTGCATACGCACATACACATATACATAGATGAACACATAGAAACAATGAAAGGCAATATATTTTAAAAGTTATCAATACTTCTTTGGGGATAATGGATGCTGAGTAATTTTGCTTTGTACTTTTCTCTGCACCTTTGGGTATTTTCTCAGTTATCTTACCTCTACAATATTATGCATTATTACATAGACCAGCGGTCCCCAACCTTTTTGGTACCAGGGACCTGTTTTGTGGAAGACTATTTTTTCCACAGGTGGGGCAGCAGTGGGGATGGTTTCAGGATGAAACTGTTCCACTGCAGATCATCAGGCATTAGATTCTCATAAGGAGCATGCATCCTAGATCCCTTCCATGCACACTTCACAATAGGGTTTGTGCTCCTATGAGAATCTAATGCTTCCACAGATCTGACCAGGAGGTGGAGTTCAGGGGGTATATGGCCTGGTTCTTAACAGGCCATGGACTAGTACCTGTCCATGCCCCGGGGGTTGGGGATCTCCGACACAGACAGATCCCCAGACCTCAGTTTCCTCATCTGTAATTTGAGAATAGTTATACCAATCTTCCAGCATTGTTGTGAGGAATAAAGTGCCTGACACAAATAATAGGTCAGTGGGTCTTCCTAGAATAGGGAGAGCAGCTCCAAAGAAGTAAACCTGGACAGACCTCTGTACCTCTATTCATCATCAGGCTTCAGTGTTGCTGCTAAGCAGGCATGCGGATGCTGCTCAGCACTGGCCTCCCTGTGTGGTAAGTGTGGATGTGCAGAGATGAGATGGCACAGGGGAGCTAGCTGGATGTCTTGGGTTTGGGAAGGTCAGCAAAGAAAGGTAAGAGAGGGTGAAAGTTTGATTGAAGAATGTTGGCTATGTAAGGACAACTTAACCCATTGGGGTAACATTTCTTAGTTTGGGTTGGGGTCCAATGGGGCAACTGAAAAGGAAAAAGGAACCAAGAGAATAGAAAGCATAGCCAAGAAGCCCAACAATCCCCTCCTACAGGAAGAATGCCTTGCCTCCTCATTTCTTCTCTGAAACCCCTCTGGAAATGGGAGTGGACAATGTAACTTACTTATCATTTTCCACAGCCCATGGGAAGGTGTTCTTTCCCCAGGAGGAATGTTTCCCAAACAGCCCTCCTTCTGGCCTTATCTGTGATAAGTTGTTCTTTTCTGGGGACTGTTTGGGTATCCTTGACTCTGACTTACTCAGTAGGGCAGGTTAATTGTCTTGAATCTTAAATTTAGCCATCTGTGACTTCATATTAATCTTTGGTCTCCAAAAACATTGGGCTGTTTTGCCTCTTTCTACTCACTTATGTCTTCTTTATCTTAATTCCAAATCCCAGCAACTCAGAGAAGAATTGGGTCCTGCAAATGATATTCACAATCTATTGCTTTATGGGAGGTCAGTGAAGGCCTTTCCCATTTACTTTGTCAAAATCTATATCTATTTTCATTCCTAATTTTTTATCTGCAAGATTATGTAGCAACATGGGAAACATTTATAATATTAAATAGTGAAAGAAGGGGACACAAAAATTGCATGTAAATTATGATTCTATTTAAAAAAAAGACTGAGCAAATAGACAATCAAAAAGACATACACACATACGAGAAAAATAAAACTGGAAGAAAACAAAGCAAAAAATGAATAATGACTATGGTAAAGTGCTGGAATTGTGGATTTTTTAAATTCTTCTCTATTTACCTAAAAATTTTAAGGTAATAAGAAAATACTTTTATAATTAAGAAACAGACTTACTAAAATAAAGTAGGGGCAGAAATGAGGAACAAAGTTTGCTAAAATAAATAAAACAGGAAAGCTGGTAGATAAGGTTTTATGGAAGTAAATATACGTAGCTCCCAGCTTAGTGTGTGTGAGCTGATGGAGAAACACGACTACAGAGCTCTTATGGAAAGCATTTAACCATTTGTCACCCTTGCAGTCTACTTCAAGAGTGACTAAAAGGAAGAACAACATGAGGAAGACTTCAAATGGGTTGAGGATTTGAGAAGAGGGGCTAGAAGTCCAGGCATGTTAGAGGTTTTGGGGCTGTAGAGAGATACTGTAGAAGTTACTAAATTGGGGGTTTTGTGGGAAGTGCTTCAAGCATGACATTGTGAGGCTATGATACTGTTTATTTTTAGAAGTCCTGTTGAGAGGAGTATCTTTCACCTCTCACTAAATTAGCTATGCTCCTTGGAACCATGGACATCTTTCTGCTGTAGCAGCAATAGGATCAAAGCACGTGTTTAGAAAGAGAAGTGAAAAACACCAGATGTGAGCAAAACCACAAGGGGAATTTCAGACAGGCAGCATGCACCAGATGACCCAATTTGGAATGTGGCCCAGGCCCCAGGACAGGCAGACCCTGTAAGGATCAGGCTGGACAGTCAGAGGTTATTGATCCCGATTTAAGCCAAATGTTGCTAAAACTTGATCTGTGACCTTGCTTAAGCCATTGACCTCCTCTAAACCACTTTCACCATCTGTAAAATGCAAGGACTGTGAATTTCCTCTCAGGAATAGCTAATGGAAACCATGCTAAAAAGTAGAGATAAGAATGAAGCACGATCTTGCGATCTTGAACAATGGTGGTAAATTGTATTTGATTATATAAATACCACAACATACACACACTTACAGTGTATAGATGCGCACACTTTATGAGAAGAATGTGTATAAAAAACATAGAATTGGCCGGGCGTGGTGGCTCATGCCTGTAATCCCAGCACTTTGGGAGGCCGAGGCAGGTGGATATCTTGAGGTTAGGAGTTCCAGATGAGCCTGGCCAACATGGCGAAACCCCGTCTCTCCTGAAAACACAAAAATTATTGGGGCATCCACCTGTAATTCCAGCTACTTGGGAAACTGAGGCATGAGAATCACTTGAACCCAGGAGGCGGAGGTTGCAGTGAGCTGAGATTGCACCACTGCACTCCAGCCTGGGCAACAGAGCAAAACTCCATCTCGAAAAAAAAAAAAACAAAAAAAACCCCATGGATCAAAGATTGTGTTCCATCAATTCACAGAGTAAATAATCTATGTGTTGACAATTGAAGGGGTAGAAAAAATATTTTTTCTCTTACACATAGCTCTTTAAGATTCCTAGGGCCAGATTCAGCATACTGTCTAGCACAGTTAGTGACAAATGAATTCTAGTATAGAATAGAGCTTATGCTTCAAATTTCAACTGTCTTCACCACTTAGTTGCTATGTGGCTTTGGGTAAGGCACTCCATCATTTTGTGCCTTGGTTTCCTAATCTGTTAAATGGGAAAAATACTAGTATCTACCTCATAGACTTGTGAAGATTACGTAAAGTGATATATCTAAAGAGCTTAGATGAGTGCTAGGTGGATAATGTTAGTTATTACTATCTTCTAAAGTCTTCTATGTGGACTTCAAAGCTCTCTGCATTTCTTTATTTCATCTCTGTTTTCTCATTTAAATGTTTCCCACATTCTTGCTCCATTCAAGAATATTTCTTGTTTGTCTTATTCATCTATGTAGGATATTGCTCCCTGTAGACTTTAAACCAGCTTACTCATTCCCCTTCAAAGCCATTACTTTATTCCTATTTACGTCAATTTTGAGTCAGTCTCTAAGTTGACCCCACAACCAGAAATCTATGAAGCGTCACTCAATCCTCTGTTCTCCCACTCCTGGGCTTCTTATATAACAGGATGTCCTCTTAACCACAGGGGATGTTTCACTAAAATTAAAATGTATATCTTTATTTTCTTTAATAGAAGAAGTAATCAGTTATGGCATCACAGTATATAACAGAAAATCAGCTTGGGATCACTGAGCATGGCTGTCTTTAAGAGGATGGGGCAGTGAAAGGAGTCCTGGGTGCAGTGAAAATGCCTTCCACCCTTTGGAGAGATGCTGTCATTGGAGAGAAAGAGGGATGCAGTACTGGGTCCAGGAAGGGAAGATGTTGGAATTCATCTTAGGTCTCATGTACCAAGGAAGTGACTCTGTATGAGAACAGAGGGGAAAATCAACAACTGATCAGTGATAACTATGGTATTTTGGCCTTAGGGCTATTAGGGGATGATGAGGGCAAAACTGAGAGGAATGTTAGGGAATCACTTTCTCTAAAGTATCAATATAAATTGACTCTACTTTTGGCACTCACGGAAACAGCAGAAAGAGGACATCACAACCCCTACCTGGACAACTTCTGATCCAGTTTCACCAACAACAGCATCACTCCTTTCAAAGAGCACTCTTGTCTTCCACTGTTACCTTGTATGATTATGTGATTGTTATCGTCCTTATCATTATCACTCTCAAATCACTTGAATTTCTCGCATCCCTCCACTATGTTATCTTCTAAAATAATTTTACTATAAGATGATTTAATCCCATGGAAATTTTTGAGCCCCTATTATGAAGGCTAAATCCTAGGGAATACAAAGATGAGTAAAAGAGTCATTGCTCTTAAGGAGCTCATATCACAAGATTTAGGCAGATTGAAATTGCTAACCAACATTTAACCCAGGTCCAGGTGCTCCTAATTATCTTCCCTATTGGTTTGTCTTGTCCTGTTCATTTATTTAACACATATTTATTTATTTCTTTATTTGAGACGGAGTCTCGCTCTGTCGCCCAGGCTGGAGTGCAGTGGCACGATCTCGGCTCACTGTAAGCTTTGCCTCCCCTGGGTTCACGCCATTCTCCTGCCTCAGCCTCCCCAGTAGCTGGGACTACAGGCACCCGCCACCATGCCTAGCTAATTTTTTGTATTTTTAGTAGAGATGGCGTTTCACCGTGTTAGCCAGGATGGTCTCAATCTCCTGACCTTGTGTGAAAGTGCTGGGACTATAGGAGTGAGCCACTGCGCCCGGCCTTAACACATATTTATTGAGCACCTACTATGTGCTAGGCACTGGGCTAGCCTAAGGATGCAATAGCAACTAAAATAAGCATCATATTTACTTTTAGAGAATATAACTGCAATGTGAAGAATTAGGCTCAATGATATACCTGGTTGACTACAGAAGAAATATTAAGTATTCCTGTCTCTCCTCCACAGAGTGGGGTGCACTCCAGTGCACTCCTCTTCCAACCATTATGTAGTGAAGTTATAGCTGAGACATATTTAGTTCTTATGTGAGTCCAACTTGAGAGGCACCTGACAATAAGAGGACAAATCTCCACTGTAATGCTGAATAGCTGGTAGTCTCATGTCCAGTATTCCTGTGCAAACACCCTTGCAGGAACCAAGTACCCTTCATATTATGCCCTGATTCTATATGGGTTAGACATACACATCAAATAATTTTGGTTTGTCAATAAACAATCTAAATAATAGAAGGTAAAGTCAATTATGTAAAGTTTCCAAAGAAGGATAGGGGAAGAGTTTCCAAGAAAAGTTTTTTCTTATTGGAAGAAGCATATCAGATGAAGGCAAGCATTACTTTATGTATATATGTATGTATGTATGTATTTTAAGGCAGGGTCTGGCACTGTCACTCAGGCCAGAGTGCAGTGGCATGGATCTTGGCTCACTGCAACCTCAGTCTGCTGGGCTCAAGTGATGCTCCCACCTCAGCCTCCCAAGTAGCTGGGACTACAAGCATGCACCACCACATCCAGCTAATTTCTGTATTTTTTTGTAGAGATGGGGTCTTACCATGTTGCCCAGGATGGTCTCGAACTCTTGGCTCAAGTGATCCTCCTGCCTCGGCCTCACATAGTTCTGGGATTACAGATGTGAGCCACCACACCTGGTGGCTCACTAATTTTCACTAATGGCAATAAAACCACTACTTACAATATCAGAGTGTACAACTAATGTATTAGCTGACTAAATAAGGGATGTAGTAAATTTAGTCAGGGCTTCTGCCTATATAGAGTAAGACCCCAAGGCATGGAAGAATGACTCACTGTAATAAACTAAGCCAACTAAATATTGATGAGTGGTGCTCACATAACAGCATAATATTAGAACAGAAAAGAAAATTATAGATTGTACTGGATAACTCATTCAAGCATAAAATTTGGAATCTGATGGTCCTAGGTTCAAAGTCCAACTCAGCTTCCTCTTTGCCACCTCTGTGGCCTTGGGCAACTTGAGCATTTTTAAATTTGAATACTACAGATCTATATTCCTAGCTAGTAGAGTTCTTTCTCTTATGGATTAAATAAAGTAATACAATTGATGTCACATGGTGCACAGTAAGCACTTCATAAATACTCTAGTCTTCTTTTCATTGTACAGAAAAGGAACAAAAGCCTGGAGGACTGATCTAACTTTCCTGAAGGCCCACAGTTAACCAATGTCAGATCCAGATGAGAGCCCCTGGCTTCCTGACTCCTGGTCCAGCTGGCTGTCTATGATTTCCAAAACAGGGCTGTGCCAAAGACAACTGAAAATACATTTACCTCTGTTTTTTTAAAGCTGAAGAGAATGAAGTAAAAAGAGAGGAGGAGGCTGATGTGGGGTGAGAGGTATAAGAAGCAGATTTACTTTCCTGGTTTTGCATTACCTTCCTGAGTTTACACTGCCTGAGCACACACCCACTAACGGTGGGGGGAAGTGGCAGAGCGTAGCCAACATGGGATTAAAAATTGTGTTACATCAACCCACAAAGTAAATAATCTACCTGCCCACAATTGAAGGGGGTGTAACAGGGTATTGTGTTTTTTCTCACACATAGTTCTTTGGGTCTGCTAGGGTCATTCCAGATCTAATTTTCCAGAAGATCCTATATACGCCTTTCCATTGGAGTTTTGAGCTTGCTAATGTGTGGATTTGGCAGACAAATGCAAATTAAAGAAGATATATATGAAAAATCACTTGTAGCCTAAACATGATTTCTGTGTGGGACTGGTGCTCCACATGGATAAAAAAGCCATGGGCCAGAGACAGGATGCTTGACTCCTTCCCTGCACTGCTGTTAACACTCGGGGGGACCCAAGAAAGGAGATTAACTTCTCTGGGCATCTATTTTGTCACCTATAAAATACCATCAAGTAGTCATTTGAATGCAAGACGTTTGTCACATTTTATTTTTCTGTATCCTTTTAAGAGCTTCATGGGGGCAGATTGTACTCCCACATTACAAGTAAAGAAATAAGGGCTTAGAGATATTGTGACTTGTCCAACGTCATTTAGCTGGTAAGTGGTAGAATCTGACAGAACCTGGATTTGAACCCAGAATCTGCTTTCAACCTCCAAGCTACACTACTTAATATTGTGAGGGAGGGAAAGGATGTTAACCTTCAAAGTACTTTACATCAGTTTAAACAAATGTTCAATACAATCATTTATTAGGGGTATAATTCCTAGGAGGTGCCTGTACTTAAGTCATTTTCAGCTCATTGACTTTCTCATTCATTGCCTCTCATCTGACCTGTGAGCCTCAAACCACAGTTATCCTATTTCATTTCCTTTGTTTTTGGTGTCAGTACTCCTCCCACATTGGCTGATTTCAGGGGGAGCCGGTACCACTTCTCTTCAAGTAGGGGAGTGTAAGTGTAGGAAGCCACTCATACACACACACATAAATATGCGCGTGCACGCACACACACACACACATTCATATTAGTTTGTGATACACATACGTGGTTTCAGAAATTGACAATTTAAGAATATGTCATTATTATGACAGTGCATATATCATGTATAAATAATTCCCCAGAATTGGGGTTGGGTGAAAAAAACGCTGTGATAAGGTGATAGAAAGTGAAGAGACATGTACTAAGGAGAATACTAAGAGACTTAGAACCTTCTGGCTTCAGCCCCCACCTTGAATTTTAAAAGAAGTTCATGAATTTTTTCCTGCTCATTCGGTCTCCTGAAAGATCCTTACCCTTGGTAGGAAATGAGCTTGATACAACCCAGTGTTGTATCAACTGATACTGAGCTTTCACTCTGTTATCTGTATCTGCATTCCAGGTAGTGGTGGTCATCAGACTGTAAACTTTGGAGGCTCAGGGTCACATCTGTGGAATTCTCTCTTCTGTGGTCCGGCATGGCATACAATTAGCAAATTGGTGATGACAACGTTTTTCATTCCTTCTATTGCTTTTTATTTGGTTTGTTCAGGAGACAGACACAAAATATTTTGAGACTCATTTAATTATAGCCCACAACTGTCATGGCATTCAACAAATGCAGTTATTCATTAAATATGTACTTGTTGAACATCATGGTACTATTATTGAACATCACAATAATATTTCATTTTTTGCATTAACCCTTAATGGTTACAAAGTGCATCTATAATTAGTGTCACACCTAGGCTTCCTAAGAATCCTTTGAGAAGGGAGAAAGGGATAAAAGCATTACCTACCTTATGAGGATTTGTGAGAATCATACAATAAAAGACAAAAGTGCTTAGCACTGGAAGCTGATGCAGTGTAAACAATCATGAAATGTTACTACTAGCACAGTTATTAGCCCATATTACTGATGATATACCTCACTTCCTCAAGTTTGCACAGTGAAGTAGTAGAATTCAGCTAAGAATCTGTTTCCAGACCCCAAATCTGTCTTAGGAAACTATCAGTTGAGATCGCAATTATGGAAGGCAAAAAAACAGAGCCTTAAAGGGAGAGCAAACATGACAGGTTTTATGGTGGGTGAGTAGGCAGAAGTGTTTAGGGACCTTATGTGCATTGTCAAGTGCTCAGGGGAGAGGGTGAGGCCCAGGCTATGTACCACAGGCAGCTGTACAATTCATTTTTGGTTCCTCAAATGTTCTATCTTCCCTCAGCACCTTCACATAGAATGTGTTCCTTCTCCCCTGTCTTATTCTCTGTCTTCACCTCTCTTCCCAACACTTCACCCAACATTCACGCTTCCAGGCTCAACCCAAACATCTCTTCTTCCAGGATGCTCTCCCTGAGCCCCTGTCTGCACCTACTGACAGGCACTCACAGCACTCTGCATGCCTCCTTTAGAGAATAGTTGTCCAATATTTGTCTTCCCAGCTAGGAGGTAAGCACTGAGAAGTCTGCAACTTTCCCTTGCTTGCCGGCTGATGTCTCCCCAGCAGCAGTGTCCAGCACGTTTGTCAAGTGCGGAGCAGCTGCTGGCCACCTTAAAGATGGAAAGGAACGAGACTGAAAAAAGGGTGGGAAGTCATGAAAACAAATTTAAAATGCTTTACTATTTTGCCCTAGAACCACTCGGGGTGGTGCTATTGGGAAGAGCTAGGCAGTGAGAAAACATAAAGGAGGCAACAGAAAGGAGCGAGAAAAAAGACACAAGAAAGGCATGGAGAAGTCACTTGATGCAAAGAGTAGCAGACATAGGTGCTCATCCTGAAGAAGGCTGGGCCATGGATGCCAAGCCTTCCGCAGACATATGAAAGGTTGCTGAGAATTAGCCGTTTCTCTTTCTTTCAAACTTCCCCTTGTTTATGTCTGCCGTCTTTTGTCAGAAAGAGATGCAGGGGCCCTGCTCTCTCCAGAAGACTAACCCCTGCAGCAGTCCATGGAATCCAGGGCTAAATCTGCTGAGGGGAGAGGGAGGGAGGGAGAGTTTCCACCAGGATGACATATTTCTGACTCTGCCCTCTGACAACAAAGGGTGCCGGTGGTGGGACTTTTGGCAGGAAGCACCCACCTTTGGGGGAGTCAGAATCATGTTGCGGGGTGACAGTGACTGAGGCGGACCCTGGAGCCCTGGCCGTCTTCCCTGCGCGGCCCTAGGCAGCGGTGCCTGGATGATCTCCTGGGCGCCTCCTCCGAGGTTCAGGCAGGGCTGAGGGAGGATGCGATGCCCGAGCTCCGGCAGGGCCCATTTTGTTTATGTTCCCACTCCTTCGCCCTGGGAAGCCCCGAGTTCCCACACTCACTGAGGCAGGAAGGTCACCACGGACACCTCATCTGTCTGGGCCGTTGACTAACTACAGATAAGCAGCAGCTGCCACATCCATGTTGGGGTCACCTCCCAGTCTGCCCACCCTGGAACCAGGGGAGAAGCCCCCATCCCCGCCCACTTGCACATGGTGCCTCCCCAGCAAGGTCAGCTGCCCCTGAGGCCAGGATGGCGACATGGGGCCACAGAAAAACTTGCTTTTGCGGGAGAAGCAAGACATGACTAAGGGATTGAAAGGTCTTAGACATGACTACCCGAGAGCCCAGGCTTATATTTCCACCTTACCTTTTTTTTTTTTTTTAGATGGAGTTTCTCTCTGTCGCCCAGGCTGGAGTGCAGTGGTGCGAACTCTGCTCACTGCAACCTCCGTCTCCCAGGTTCAAGCAATTCTCCTGACTCAGCCTCCCGAGTAGGGATTACAGGCACGCACCCCCACGCCCGGCTAATTTTTGTATTTTTAGTGGAAATTGGGTTTTACCATGTTGGCCTGGCTGATCTGGAACTCCTGACCTCAAGTGATTCGCCCGCCTCGGCTTCCCAAAGTGCTGGGATTAAAGGCGTGAACCAGGGCACCCAGCCTACCTCACATTTGCTGAGCACTTTAGAGTTTCACAGCGCTCTACTGCCTGCATCTTTTCACATGACTCTGACCACCACCCGTGAAGATCGCAGAGCAGGTGTTTTTGTGTCCATTTTGCAGATGAGTAAACAGCCCCAGGATGTTCGAGACGCTTGCCAAATTCACACAGATAGTGGTAAAAGTCATGTTCACGGGGGCTTTGTGCTACCCCATGCAAACACACCACACCAGCTGAACAATCCCAATTTTTATCCCTAAAAGAGGACTCTTTCTCCCAGGTTTAACCTGTTTTCCACCCAAGCCTGCCGTGTAGTGAGAAACATGGCAGTTTTGGAGTTTGAATCTGATTCCTCTTCTTGTTAACCAAGTGATTTAGCAGTTGTGTATTTGGGACTTGATTTCCCTGAATATTTGCTTCCACATGTATAAAATGCAGATAATGCTGCCTAACTTGAACGGTTGTTGTAAGGTTTAAGAATAACAAGAAACATCTATTCTCTGTTTTCCATACCCTAAGCTTGGTTCTAAGCACCTTATGTTCATTGACTTATTAAATTCTCACAACATGCCTGTATGATTTCATGCATGCTATCATTATTTCATTGTACAGTTGAGGAACAATGGCAGAGAGGTAAAGAAACATACCCCAGGTTACACAGAGAGCAGATGGCAGAGCCAGGATTGCAACCCAGACTACAGAGCCGAGTGTTTAATCTCCAAGCTATATTGACTATGCAAATTATGTTTACTGTCCACAATCGGCACTCAATCAACAGCTATTACTAAGAATTGGGGAAGGGTTTGTTTGAATTACAAGAAAAATGATCAGCTAACTACCTGAACTAATTAGATGAATCAATAGTCCTGTCTACTCAAAAATATTTTCTATGTAGTATTCTGGTTTCTAATTTCTTCCCACTAGATTCATAGCTTTAGAGCACGAAGTCACCCAAGGGACTTTTGGCAATGTCTAGAGACATTTTTGGTTGTCACAAATGTGGGGTGCTACTGGCATCTAACGGGTTAGGCCAGGGATACTGCTAAACATCCTACACAGAAGAGTTCCTCAAAAAAGAATTATCTGGCCCGGAATGTCAATATGCTGAAGTTTAGAAACTACTTTAAAATTGAGTATTTAGAGTTGAGTCATGATTACTTAAGTTTTGAAGTGCCCTGCTGGATCCAAATTTGACACATATACTAATTTGTTTATTCAAATTGGACACATATACCAGTAAAGTAATGCCCTGTTTAATATCTAGTGATACATTAACATGGTTCCTTATATGTGATCATTTGTCATTACTTATTGTTGCTGCTGCTATTGTTACCAAGCAAAGCAGATGTGTGCCCTAGAAATGGTCAGGCTGATTTGGGGTTTGTGGTAGAGTTAGAAAATTGAAGCTGTTTTTCTGTTAAATTACGTTACCAACCTCCAAATTGCTGACATTTCTTCCAATATATTGAAGTAGGTCATAAATAAACTCACAGAAATGCCATTTCCTTTCAGCATACAACTCTATGAATCCCTGGTATCTTTCAGTGCAGTCAGCTCTTGTTTTGTGTGTTATGTACACACCAAACAGATTTTTAAAGTTTAATTTTGTTGGCCCCTTTTGAAAACTCCTGTAGCTAATGACATTTTCAAAATGATAAAAGTTTTATTTTGTCAAACAGAACTTTGACGAACAGAACACCCTTGGTACCCGATGCACGTGTGGCGCATCTGTGATGCCTGGCAGCATACTGAACTTTCTTACTTTGTTGGAAAACACTGCGTGTCACATCATCAACACTGATTTTCATATCATCATGCATTAGCTTCAAAGACTGTGTTTATAATCCTCAAAGGAGTTGTATCAGTCAGTTTTAGCCGGGTTGTGATACAGTAATGGATAATCCCCATATCCTAATAACAAAATAGATTTGTATTTGTTCATGTTACATGTACACCGTAAATTGGCCACTGATTACTTCATGTCTTTTGCATTCTTAATCTAGACTGAAGGAGCTGGCCCTATTTGGGATATGGTAGCATCATAGCAAGGGAAATGAGAAAGATGAAACCACATGATGGGTCTTAATAGTTTCTGCTCAGCATATATGACATATGTTTGCCTTCTATTGGTCAATGCAAGTCCATGGCCAAATTCCTTCCATAGGCCCCATAGGCAGGGGCAGCAAATATTTTAAACAATAAGATAATCTGCTATAAGAGTCTGTTTTTGCCACCAAAGTCACAAACTTCTAAAAAGCCAGGGACTCAGCCTTGAATCATTGCTTTCTAAAGATGTTTTTATCAAGAAATGGGGAGAGAATGTAAAATGAAAAAGTTGAAGAAGTAAAATTATCAGATTCTAATGGTTAATTTGATAAGGAGCAGAGTTGGGTGGCAATGCCAAGGAAAAGACAGAAATGAAAAATAATTTCTAAGATTCCAGCTTGGGTGACTGATAAATGATAGTGTCAACAAGTGAGGTAGAGAAGAGAGAAGAAAAAGAGGTTTAGAAGGAGACAAAACAAGTTTCATTTTTGATGCAATGAATATAAGGTGTCTTTGGAACATCCGTGTAGAAATATGCAGTGGACAGCTGGATATACGAGTGTGGCTCCTGAGAGAGTACTAAGCTGGAAACAAAGCTCTGAGATGCAAGACCATGTAAATAATAATAATCACTATTAGGGTTGCATTTATTGACTATTTGCTATGTGTCAGGCACTATGCTAAGAATTTTCATACAATTTGCGTATGTTGTATTATTTAATGTTCATGTAACCATATAAGCTGGGTATATATATATATATATATATATATATATATATATATATATATAGTCGATGTTATTTATACTCATTTGGCTGATGAGTTTAAAAGAGGGAAGCTTAGGGCCGGGCGCGGTGGCCCACATCTGTAATCCCAGCACTCTGGGAGGCCGAGTCCGGCGGATCATGAGGTCAGGAGATTGAGACCAACCTGGCTAACACGGTGAAACCCTGTCTCTACTAAAAATACAAAAAGTAGCCGGGCGTGGTGGCGGGCACCTGTAGTCCCAGCTACTCGGGAGGCTGAGTCAGGAGAATGGCATGAACTTGGGAGGCGGATGTTGCAGTGAGCCAAGATTGCGCCACTGCACTCCAGCCTGGGTGACAGAGCGAGACTCCATCTCGAAAAAAAAAAAAAAAAGAGGGAAGCCTAAAAGTTGATATAATTTAGCCTAGGTCTCACAGCTAGGAAGTTGCAAAAAAGATGCAAGTGTTTAATCTGTGTAACTGACATTTTAGCCAGGTACAGTCTCAGTTGGAACCATGACGGCAAATGAGAACATCCAGAAACCAAAGATAGAAAGAAAAGAGAAGAGCAGTGGGCTAAGGGCAGGACCCTAAGGAATATGAACACTTAAGGAGCAGGAAGAAAAAGAGACCTTGGAGAAGACAGAGAAGGAGCAGCTAGAGGGAGACTTGAAGAGCACAGTCTCAGAAGCCAAGTGTGCAGAGAGTGACAACGAAAGGGAGGGTCTAACAAAGTCAGGGATAACAGAGTAGCTGAAGAGCAGACCTTGGAAATGTTCCTTGGTGTTGAGAGTTAGGTCTGCCCCCTGACAGCATCCCTAATCTCAGGGAAGCATCTGTAACCAGCCTATTCCCCACCCACAACTCAGGAATAATAATAAAAAAACACAGGTGGCTAGTCACACACTGACTTTGGAAACATCAACCTGTTGCTGGTTCACTCTCTGAACTTTGTTTCTCAAGAATGCCTTGAATTTTTTACCTGTCTGGATAGATCTTTGTTTCTGGGTCTTAGTGACCTGGCTTTCAGTCTCTACCTATGTACACTTCTCTGAGGTTCTGGACTGTTCTCTCAGCTTAGGAAACCCAGCGTTACACCACATCCTTATTTTTGGTTACTACCCACTCCCACCTACAGTCAGTGAGGTTGGGCACTGACCCTCAATCCACAGGGCTGTATCTCCAGCTGATTCTCTGAAACTCAGCCTCCATACGGGAAATGAGTTGTGGTCTCAGCTGGTGGTTGCTGTATCTGTTCTGTAGATGTAGCAAATGTCTGACAACAGGGCTGCTGCCTTTGAGATCACAGGTTGCTGGTCAGATTTGCCAAGTCTTGCACTGCCTGTTGCCAGAGCAAGCTGTCTGTCTTCAGGTGAGCCTTCCCAGTTGCCATGTTATTTTTTGTCACAGCTCCACTAGTTTATGGAGATAGAAGGCTTATATTTGGGGAAGAGGATACTTATGTAAATGGGACTTCTCATGTCTTCTGGATAGTGGCCTGGCTATAGTCTGGAAGCCCACACTGTGTGGACACCACTGGGACTTTCTCATAGCCCTGATTGATTGGCAAGAGTCCTTGAAATCTGTAGAGTAGGCAACTACAGCATCAGAGTTGGGTAAGTGTCCAGACCTGCCTCACTCTCAGAGATTTGAACCGAATGAGCCAGTATTATGAAGAAAAGCAAAAAGCATCTCCTCGAAAGTCCTGCAAGAAGAGTCCCCTCTGATGTGAGGGCACCAGAAACCTGTAGCATCTCTATTATTTTTGTTTAGTTGGAGGCTGCACCCATCCATCAGCCTTCCCTGACCATATCCCTCAGTGAGGGTTACCAGACTTAGAAGATGAAAATACAGGATACCCAGTTAAATTTGAACTTCAGATAACAAATACATATTTGGTATAAGTATATGCCACACAATATTTGGGATAGATATATATTAAGACATTATTCATCATTTATTTGAAATTCAAATTTAATTGGTGTTCTGAATTTTATCTGGCCTCCCTGTGGCCACCACAACACCCATAACTTGAGACTCGGTAGGAATTCATAGGCCTTGAAATCCACTGGGGCCCTATCTCTCCCAAGAAGGCAGTGGAGAACTTTGTGAGGAAGAAAAGCAGATGACTGGGCCCTCTGCTAGGATTACTGGGATCCTAATACTGTCTGGTTCCCTCTCTCCTGGGCCAGCTCAGAAGGACCATAAAATTAGATCTTCTGAGTGCCTAGCACCTTGTCTGCCTTCCATCGTTGCATTTGGATGACAGAGAGTTTGCAGAGAACACAATGCCTCTTGACCTATGGCAGCAGCATGATCAGTATCCTGCAGGACTTTCAAGGGGATGCTTTTTGCTCTTCTTGGAAAATGTCCTAATATATCCTGAAACATCCACATGCAACCTGACTAGCTATGCTTCATACAATACTCTGGCCCCAACAGTTCTGAGTTACCTGAAACATCAGCACCTTCAAAACAGCACAGAAATGTGTGACATTTCTGAACCAAGTTCAGTGTAGCCAGTTATCTGTGATTCTGGAGTGAGAGACACCCTGGTCACTGAGGTTACCTAGACATTTTCAAGAGATGTCTAACACCATTTTGTCTTTTTCTGTGCAACTGCCCTAGTAATGACCTCCTAAAATAGAGAAGGAAGTTTCCTGATGTGCTGAGGTTGACACTATGTTTGGCAAGTCAAGACTCGCTGCACCTCTGCTCCAGTACAGCACAAGCAAGCACTGACGATGTGCCAGGCACTGCTGAAAGGGCTTGCCTATATTAACTAATTTAATACTCATGATAACCCTATGAGCTATATGCTATTATTATTGCTGTTTTGCGGATGAGGAAACTGAAACATGGAGTGATAAAGTAACTCCTATAAAGCCATACAGGTAAAAAATTTACTAAGAATAGAAATGAATGCAAGCAACTCAGCTCCACAGTGTGTCCTCTGCACCTGCATGCCAGCTCTACACAGCTGGAACCTAGCTTCATTCAGCATCACACTGTTGAGACTGGTGCTGCCAACACTGTGGAGTGGGCCACCCTGACCCAGGAGAAGCTTTATGCCACACTTCATTATCCCTGCGTGGAAAGGGGAAGGGCCTGTGGTCAAGCATGTTTTCAAGCCCTAGAGGGTCCAATGTGTGATAGGGACTTCAGTCTGCCATAGCCTGAAAGCTCAGCTCATGCTATGCAAGGCAGCTCACCTTATCTGTGCTTGGGTGCTCCATCAGCTGTGTGCCCAGCACTCAGAATCACAGACCAGATTCTCTATCCTGAAAGCCTGAGTACAAGAGGTAACAGAGAGACTCACTCTGGAAGACTATGGCTTGAGTATTTCACAATCATTCTGCTCAAATGATGTATTTTAGACATTTATGCATGGTCTTAATCCTGATACAGGGCCTCTTGGGGCAATATGGATTGATGTTAAATGCCACGAAGGTCTTTATAGGAGTAAGGCAGTGCTCATCCCTGCTAGGAAGGCCAGAATGCAGCCTCAGCACAGCCACTGGCCCTCTCTGAGGTGATATGGTCTGGTACACTACCACAAAAGCACCTGGACCCAAAGCAAAGATACCTCAGGGTTCCTCTAGAGCCGCGGTGACTCCTTCTGATCCACACTCGCATCTGAAACTCCAGTTTTGGGACTTCTATTTGTTGTCTGCCCGCTTCCTGGATTGATTGATTGATTGATTGTTATAGAGACAGGGTCTTGCTATGTTGCCCAGGCTGAACTCAAACTCATGGGCTCAGGTTATCCTCCCACCTCAGCCGCCCAAGTCATTGGGAGGTCTGCCCCTCTTGACCTCTTCCCTGACTCTGCCCTCTTCCCTCCCTGCATTGCTCCTCCACCCATTCCAGTCATTTATACCCTGATAGGTAAAAGAGGGCTTCTACTTTCATGGTCTCTCAAAGCACTGCTTTCCAACCACAGCCCTCAGCTATGCCTCAGTTTGGGCCTATCAGGTCTACATCCACATACCCACCACCCCTAGACAGGTGACAAAAGTAGTGCTTAAGAAATAAATGTGCTTTTTTGCCTCCCCCACACAACTGACTGCTCTGGCTAATATCACTGCTACACACTTTGCTTTCACTAATTATTATTGCCTGCCCTCCAGAACTGTTTTTTTTGCATACAACGGTTTTTGTCCTTAGTGTTTTTTTTACACCTCTTCTTGGTTTTATTATTATTGTTTTTTATTTTTTTATTTTTTGAGACGGAGTCTCGCACTTTGGCCCAGGCTGGAGTGCAGTGGCGCGATCTCTTGACTCACTGCAAGCTCCGCCTCCCGGGTTCACGCCATTCTCCTGCCTCAGCCTCCCGAGTAGCTGGGACTACAGGCGCCCGCCACCATGGCTGGCTAATTTTTTGTATTTTTAGTAGAGACGGGGTTTCACTGTGTTAGCCAGGATGGTCTCGATCTCCTGACCTCATGATCCGCCCGCCTCGGCCTCCCAAAGTGCTGGGATTACAGGCGTGAGCCACCGTGCCTGGCCCTCTTCTTGGTATTATTGATATTCCTGCAGCTAGACAGTACCCGGGAAGGAATGCACCAACTAGAAGGAGCTTTAATGAGCCTACTATGTTATGGCTGGCATCAGCCTTCAGAGAGGTTTGACATAGGATGCCATCTAATTCCCCGCCAGCCCATTCATTCTATCCAACTAATGGGAAAACTAGAGGATTGCTGATAATAATAGCATCAGCAAAAATAGTTACCATTTATCAAGCATTTACTATGGGCCAAGTACTATGCTAAATGCTCTGCATATATTTTCTCACTTAATTCTCAAAAAATGCAATGAGGAGAATGCTATTTTATCTCTAGCTCACAGCTGAGAAAACTGACCTGCCAAAAAAGCCGCTTAATGAATAAGTGATAGAGCAAAATTTTGAATGCAAGTTAATTTAAAGCCTGGGCATTCAGCCACTCTGCTGCCATTATCATACATCATCTGACTTCCTTCATGTCCCATCTCCCAACTTCTGTTTTTTATTTTCTCTTTTCCTGATTCTCCAGTTACCCACCCTAGCAGTGGAGGTGATATATATGAACTGCATGCCAAAGTGGGTGTAGACTCATAATGACAACATAATGACACCAACTGGACCATGGGAAATGGTGAAGGCAAGAGTAGTTATTTTAACTTGGCCCTTTGAAACAGAGACCCTGCCGCAAGTTATGAGGGGTTTAAGTATTTTCCTGTTTCATTTGCCCTTAGATCCCAAACACCTAGAACTGTGCCTAGCTCATAGTAGGAGCCCAAGAAATACCAGCATGGAAACCTGGAAAGCTGGGGTAAATCTGATGAAGAGCACAGGAGCCTTAGTAAATCCGGGTGATCTGAAACTGGCTCTTAGTTGAGCCAGATGATAGGATCTTAATGACAATTGTGCACCACTTCTCATTTCTTGCGACTCTTTGCAGGTTTGCTTCTTGCTGTCTTATTCCAACTAAAAAATTCTGTTTACTTTTCATGTATTTTCTCTACCTCAGAATTGCTGCTTATTCATAAATTCTGCCTTCTTATCACATGGTTCTGCTTCCTCATAGTTTTGGTTTGCTATAATCCTCCATGGCTCCACTCCATTGTATGCCATCCTTTCAGCTTCAGCTCCCATGGCTAACTGCTTCTTTCTATCCATGTTTCCCAATTCAAATCCCAGAAGGAGAGAATCTGATTGATCAAACTTACCTTTTCCATTCAAGCCCTGGTTTTTGGGAAGGCAGCCCCTAATGTCAAGGGCCAATCATTGGTCCAATCAGGAGCCATCCCTGGGCAAAGAACAACCTACCTCTGCTTCTCAAAGCAGGGGGCTGTGGGTGGGGCACTTTCATCTCAAAGAGGAAGTTGGGTGTGGCAGGCACTGTGTTGACATATCCAGTATAGGAGTGCCCTGGGAGCCCATCTCTCATTTCTGAAAGAGATAGCATTGTAGATCTGGACGTTTCATCACATATTCCCAGGAAGGCCCAGCCAAATGCAGCTGGTAAGTTGCTGAATGTGGAATTCCTCTTGGCCTTCCAACTCCTTGCACTCTTCCTTCTGGGACTACTTTGGTTTTTCAGTTTATTACCTGTTTGGAGTTGGCTTGTTTCTGGACTCTCTCTTCTGCTCAGGTGAGCAGACTTCTAACTGGAATACCTGGCTCTTGGACAAGGTGAGTGTTTGGATCCAACTTTGGTTCTGCACCATTCTTTCAACTTGGATGACATTGCCTCACCTCTTGTATCCTTGTCCTCTCCCTTCTACTCAATCCACTCTGCTCTGGGTTATTATTTACCTGAGGGTGCCTTCCCTTCCCAGACCCACCAACATACTCCTGAGGGAAGAACATTCAAAAGCAGCTGGTGGCTTCAGTGAGATCAATTTTTAGAGGAATGATCGGGGCAGAAGCTAGATAGAAGCAAGTTGAGGAAGTGGAAATAGTGAGTGCAAGACACTTTTCTGAGAAGTTTAGATGAAAAGGAGGGGAAGAAAACAGCTATGTGTCAAGAGTTTGGTGTGTGTGTGTGTGTTTTATTTTTTTTGAAAGAATTTGCTTCTTATTATATAACACATGATTTTGTAAAACATTTTGAAAAAAACAAAAATTATAAACAATATGTTTACAATTGCCCATTAAACTACTACGTAAGTAATTACAATAGTTACCAATTTTTGAATACCTACTAAACAGAAGAATTATGCTAGGAACTTCATGAATTATTTTTCTATTTCTTGTGCAATACAATGTCCCAGATGGGTCAGAATTCAGACAGATATGGCTGTGATGCAGAATTAGACAACGTCTCTTCCCTTTAAGCAATGATTGGCATCCATTGATTTATAAGGAGGCTGAGAAGTTTGCTGGGGGCAAAATGGAAATATTTGCCTCAGTAGGGTCTTCAGCATTCATGGGCATGTCTGGAGACAGTTCCAGAGGTAGGCAGAGTGCTGGCAGGAATGGTGGGGCCCCTGGAGAGAGCACCGTTGGTTGAGGAAGGAGTTTGTAATGGTAAGACTGGGCTTTAGACCTGGAAGGTCATGGTAAGTCTGACTGTCACAGGGAAGGGCCTAACCCAGCTTCCTTGCATGTGTCTTCCCAGAAGAAAACAAAGAAGGGCCTCTGAGTCATGGAAAGAGCCATGAAACTCTTTAATGCTCTAGGGCCTATCGCCCAGTAACTGGTAACTCAGTGTTATATTAAGGAAGAGAGCTTTTCTTTTCCCACTTTGAAAGAGGATGCTGACAGACATCACAGGGGCTATCATAGCCCTCAATTTCCCATAAAACCGGCACCACAGTGCCAGCTGTGATTGCAGAAAAAGGTTTTTATCCAAGTTGTGTTAAGGAAATAGTAGTTGATTTCAGTTAATTCAGTCATAACACTTTACCTTGAGCATTAATGCTGAAAAAGTCAACTCTCTTACTTCCTGTTTTTCAAAAGCATTATTGGCTAGGGTAACTGTGCAGGGCTCCACGCTGACACCGTTTGTGGACTTTTAGCTCACAGTGGTGCTGTCAGTGCCAGCATCTTGGTGTCTGGCTAACTATAACAATACACATGATGACAACACTGGCTTAAGAACACAGGTAAGATCTGTCCACCAATGACACCCAAATGTCTTTGTACAAAAACACCTACTCGATGAGGCCCTCCCTGACCACCTTATGTAAAACCGAGCAACCCCTCTGCCTTCCTACCCTCTGCCTACCCCGACTTTCTTTCCATAGCACTTATCATCATCTCATGTTTTGTCATTTTTGTTTCTTTTTCTTCTTTTTTAATCATCGTTTTTCCTATCCCAAAAAGCAAATGCCAAGAAAGCAGTGTCCAGGTCTGTCTGTTTATTGTTGTGTCCCCAGAGCCCACATCAGTGACTCACACAGAGTGCTCAATATTTATTGAGTTAATCCATTTCATGAATTTCTCATAAATATTTGGGGAAGGATAAGAACTATTAAGATTTTTAATTAACATGATCACATTTGGATTTATAGCTCAGGAGAACCAAGGATATTTGCTTACATTTATACCACCCTTACAAGGTCCATACTCTAATATGGCCACTTTACAGGTGAGGAAACTGAGGATCAGAGTGAAAGCAACCTGCCTCAGCCCCCATAGATAATAACGATCAGAGCCAATATAAACTGGTGTAGTAAGTAAGAAGACAAAGTAGGTAGTATTGCTATAGGTAAAGCAAGAGCTAAGGAAAGCCTTAGTTGATATGGCAGAAATAGGAACAGAGAGAAAGGGACAGAGAAGGAAGAAACTGTGAAGCCTGATTAGAAATATGGAAGGCAGAATTCAATATACTCCTAGAAGCAGCCCATGAAAATAAAATGAAGAAAGAAGGATTTTTTTTCTAAGAGGAGGGTGGCTTCAATTTCTTTCAGAAAAGATTGGCTAACTGAAAACTAAGAAAGAAACAAACCAAATCCTTGTAGCTTCTAGCACATCTATGATAAAATTCTGTTAATTGGATTTCATACTTGGATTATAACTGCACAACACAAGAGAGTAAAATGCCTTAAGACAAAAAGAGTAAAAATTGAGTCATAATATGGAGACGATACTATTCTGGCAATAGTATTCAAAGAATGGACCAGGGAGCAGTGCACAGCTTTGGGAAGCAGGGATTGTCAACATTAGGACTCAGAGTTGTTAGTGATGAGGTTCCCAGGCAACATAAGAGACCCTTGAAAAAGGCTTTGGCTTAGGGAAAAAGAATTATAGGGGCCAGACGCGGAGGCTCACACCTGTAATCCCAGCACTTTAGGAGGCCGAGGTGGGTGGATCACCTAAGGTCAGGAGTCCAGGACCAGCCTGACCAATATGGTGAAACCCCGTCTCTACTAAAAAATACAAAATTTAGCTAGGCATGGTGGTGTGTGCCTGTAGTCCCAGCTACTCCGGAGGCTGAATGACTTGAACCCGGGAGGCAGAGGTTGCAGTGAGCTGAGATTGGGCGCCACTGCACTGCAGCCTGGGGCAACAGAGTGAGACTTCGTCTCAAAAAAAAAAAAAAAAAAGAATTATAGGACCCAAGTAAGAAGGTCTGGCTCCCTTGGCATTTCTCACCCCCTGGCCCATTAGCTGGTGTTGCAGACTCCACTGTGGTACTCCAAGGGGTTTTAGAGAAAGAACCAGGGCAGATGACCATCCAAATCAGAAGGGCCAGGTAGGATGGTCAGCCACACATGTGAGAGGCAGATAGGGAAACAGAAGATTAATGCATATGGGAAGCCCCAGGAAGCTAAATCCATCCCAGATCACACTGGATACTGGCTCTGTTGAGGCAGGTGGTGGGGGGTCAGCCTGGTGACAGCATATTTGTTCATTCAATCAATATTTACTGAATGCTCTTTATATTCTAGGCACTGTGCCAGACATTGGGCTAGGTGCTGGGAATTGAAATAATAAACTATTTCCTGATTTCTCTTCTCTCTTCTGGAGAAAGAATTGGATTAGAACAAGGTATGGTTCTCACTGGCACGGGGATTGGGCAAGGCTGTCTGCAAGAGGCAGACATCAGCTTGGGCAATGGGGTCAAGTTGGGGATGGCAGGCCCTGGCTGATACAATACTTATATTTTACCTGAAATCTGTGTTTATTTTCTATCTTGAACCTGGTATTGTTTATATTTGATAAGCAAATTTTATGTTTTAAGTAATTCCTAGACATACAGTTAGGACATTTTGCAGGGGAGGGCTTTTGATTTTTAATCCTAAAAGCATTAGTTTGTCTGTATTGCCGGGCTTGACAATCACATAAAATAAGTGTATTTCAAATCACTCAATAGGAGTGGCTGCAAATAGGGGAAAGAACATGATCTATTACTACTTTGGATTACTACTTTTTACTGGCAAACCATAAATCACAGTGGGGAAGCCACAGTGGAGTATAAGGAACTTAAATCATGGCAAGAGTGATTTAAGGTCAGTCAGTGCAGCAGATAATCTGGAGAGATGATCCCACTCATAACCCTTTAAGACATGACACTTGGTAAACTACCTAACTCATAAGGGTGTCCTGGCAGTGAACCTCCACACCTCCTGGTTGGGGTGTGTGCTCCATCTCACCCAGCTTAAGTAGGCCTGAAAGACCACCCTGTTCTCTCAGGCAAGAGTATTCCTCTTCATTACTGGAAGGAAATTAAAAACAAAGCTGGTCTAATCAATAACCACAGGCCCTTGTCTTACTGAGAAGAATAAAAATGAATACGCAATTATTTGCCATTGTGGAATGTGTTTTCCCTAGTATCAATGCTGTATGTAATACTAAGATTTCTACAGCCTATTTAATATAGAATATATACATACATGCACATGCAAACACATACACACAGATATATATATATATATATAGTTGCCTCTTGTATGGTATCCAGTCAAGTGTCTTTACTGTAACTGGAAATCAAAATTACATCAATAGAAAAAAATGCTACACCAGTAGAAAAGGTGGGGGGGGGAGGAATAGGAGAATGAAAAAGAGGAGGAGCAAAAATGAAAATTCACTTTTAAACAAATGTAATTTTGGCTATATGGTTACAGGTATAGGTTCTGGCTGAAAAGATTTCAATGTCTGCTTTAATGTAAATTATAAGTATTCCAGAAGACAGATAATTTTATTTTACTTTTTTTTTTTGAGAGGGGGTCTTGCTCTGGCCCCCAGGTTGGAGTGCAGTGGTGCGATCTCGGCTCACTGCAATCTCTGCCTCCCAGGTTCAAGCAATTCTCCTGTCTCAGCCTCCCAGGTAGCTGGGACTACAGGCACCCGCCACCACATCCGCCTAACTTTTGTATTTTTACTTGAGATGGGGTTTCATCATACTGGTCAGGCTGGTCTCAAACTCCTGACCTAAGGTGATTCACCTGCCTCAGCCTCCCAAAGTGCTGGGATTATAGGTGTGACCCACTGCACCTGGGTGACAAGATAATTTTAGGAGCCACTTTAAAAAGTTTCCGGAACTGTAGTCTATTATTTCAGTCTCAGTCCCATACACCATGAAAAATTTAGGGCATTTCATTGCTAGAAAGAATTTTAAACCAGAATCAATCCATGTAATTAAATCTTAACATTTATTAAGTGCTTATTGTATATCAGGTACTTTTACTTTTCTAATCATTGTACAGTTATTAATTCATTCAAATCTTACAAAAGTCTATGAGTTATTGTTTCCATTTTACAGATGAGGAAATTGAGGCACAAATATTGCCCAAGATCTCACAGTTAGTGATTGACAGTAAGATTCACACTCAGACCATCTGACTCTGGAGGCCACACTTGTCATTCATGTTAATCTTACTTAACATGCTTCATGCTAACTACAGACTTAGTTATCTCCATATGCATCTTTCAAGTAAATGGCTTATCACAACAACAATTAGACCTGTTTACATGTTTGGCGCTTATTTGTTGAATGATTACCTACTACACACTGAAATTGGTTAAGTTTGTTTCTAAAACTGACAAGCTTTGTTTTAAAAACAATTCATCTTCTTCCGCTCTTTTTTTCACAAGAGGTAGTTGTTTGGATAGTAACCTTTTGAGAACCAAAGTAAGTGAAGGAGAGCTACTTTTGTGAGAATGAATGGTGGAGGGCCATTCATTCAAGAACTTGTTTTTACCAGGTACCAGTTGTCAGTATGCAAAAGCAGCGAGGTATGCCAATGTAATTCATGTTCAATAAACATCATAAAATTTATTTATATACGTTAAAATCTTCCTGTGTAACAAAATGCATGTTTTATTTTTATCTGCCACTTTTCTTAAGTCAGTACACAATTCCCTCTTCTTTCTCCCAGGCTTGATATGAGGTTAGCTTTTCACAATTGGTACTTCTGGGGGGGCAAAAAACAGGCAAAATAAGTGAATGGGAAAGCACTCAGACTTATTATTTATTAATTTGTGATATTCTAGCCTTTCAGTGACTCTTTTCATGCTATTTTTTCCAACTTCTGTGGGATGGGGAAAAAACTTATCCGGAGTGACAACATTTCTATTTTCCATTATTATTTCTTGCATAAGATATTCAAAAACAATTGTTTTGGCATCATCTCACTTCGAAGATAAAGAAAGCAATAGTAAATATCAGCCTGCATATTGGAAATTCTTCTAGAGAATATTATTTAGACTTCATGAAACAAAAGAGGAGCTAAAATTATGCTTTGTGTAAATCTCAGATAGTGGTTTTGGCTTAAAATTTGCTATCCCAGCACTTTGGGAGGCTGAGGTGGGCAGATCACGAGGTCAGGAGATCGAGCCCATCCTGGCTAACACGGTGAAACCCCGTCTCTACTAAAAGTACAAAAAAATGAGCTGGGCGTGGTGGCGGGCGCCGGTAGTCCCAGCTACTTGGGAGGCTGAGGCAGGAGAATCGCTTGAACCCAGGAGGCGGAGGTTGCAGTGAGCCGAGATCGGGCCATTGCACTCCAGCCTGGTGACAGAGTGAGACTCCGTCTCAGAAAAAAAAAAAAAAGAACTTTCTGTTGTGTTAAAGTTAACTAGCGAGGAGACTCTTGATTCCTAAGAAATATTAACCTTATATCCCCAAATATATTTCATGTGCAGTTCAACAAATGAAAGTTAGGTGCTCTGAATAGGTTTTGGGGTTAATGAGTCTATTAGAATACAGGCTTTTTGTACAGCAGCCTCGGAGAGCTAGCCCAGCCAGGCCCAGTTGCTGCTGTTTCTCAAGCACAGGAGGCTGAGAGTAGAGAAAAGTGCTCTGTAAGAAGGCTGAGCCCCTCACTGGAGGTGGAACTACTACCCTACATGTTTTGTTTGTTTAGATGATACGCTGAGAACCAAATCTACCCTGTCAGCTTACTCTTCAAGAACAAGCCAAGCAACTGAAAACTGAGTCCACGCTCAGCTAAGTCAAAGCCCAGGGGATTACTGGCATCACCACCCACCCCACCTGGAGCATGACAATGTCTGTGAGAGAATAAGAGATGGGTGGTGTCACCACTATCTTTCTCTTTCTGTTCTCCAAATTATAATAATAACAGTCTCTTTTCCTCCTCTAAACATTTTTTATAAAGGAGGTTGAACTCAGTTAAAATATCTTGAAATTACTGTGGCTGGTTTACAAGCCACTCTGGAAAGTTATGCTCTGGCATAAATTTAGCAGCTATGTTTTACTGTAAAAAGAAACCCAGGGACATAGCTTATTAAGAAAATGTGGTCAAAGTGAGAATTTTCTTTGGTTTTATGAATAAATATAGATATTATATTACAAAATTAGATTTATATCGTTGAGCTTGATACTAGACAGTAAATATTATTTCTTAGGAAAAGGTTAATACCTCATTAAATTTTAAAAGTTGAACACAAAATCTCTAACAAATTAAATTTAAATATTTCCATTTCAATATCATTGCAGACAGTTCATGGTAGTGAAGTACATTGAGAAAACTTGTTCTTTAAGAAAACAAACTTCTGGGTAAAAGATAGTAATATATCAGCAAAAAAAGATTTTTATCAAGAGGGTTGAAGGCTATAGCATCATCAAGATAAAGATCAAATAGCATGGAGGCTAAAATAAACCTGTGCTTTTTTGAGCGGGTGGTCAATAGAAATTGGCTCTGTTGCTGGAGATCCTGAATTTTAAATTCTGGTGATCAGGCCAGTAATGTGCTGATGAAGCAGAAATGTCACAGCATATTTTACCAAGTCAAAGACAGGCAACAGTTATGAGAGGGACATGGAGAACCTGGTAGAGCTCTGTGTACTATGCTGAATTAATAAATAGAGAACTAACTTAAGGTGGACAAAACTGCTGGGTGTCTCTCAGGCTTCTAATGTCTTCAAAATGTATTTGAAAACTTAAAGCCTTATAATAATAAGAAGAAGACTAGTCCAAGTTCTGTTTATTTCCTTTTAAAAGGAGTCAACACTTGAGGAGACAATTCTGTACTCCCACAACAGGAAAAATGCATCCTTTTACCGTGTGAATAATTGAACCAGAGTCATTGCCCACTCTTCAGGAAATAGCTCATGTAAACTTTTGGCCGACCTGTGCTTCACAGTGCACTTACCACTTGACATCCACCTCTGTAAACTTTTATTTGTATTACCAAATATTGACTGCAAACAAAAAAAAAAAGGAAGAAAAAGGAACCTCCCTTATACAATTACAGAACGTTAGAGCAAAAGAGAACTGAAAGATGATCTTGTGCAGGCCACCATTTTATAGATGAAGAAACAAAAGCACAGAGTGACTTGCTAATGCTTCACCAAGCTGGCACAGCCTGGCCTAGAGCTACATTCCCCTGTGTCCCAGACCCACATGCCAGCACCAACATCATGGATCCTCTCTCTCTCTCTCTTTTGAGACAGAGTCTCACTCTGTTGCCCAGGCTGGAGTGTAGTGGTGCAATCTTGGCTTACTGCAGTCTCTGCCTCCTGGGTTCAAGAGATTCTCCCGCCTCAGCTTCTTCAGTAGCTGGGACTACAGGCATACTGCCACCATAGCCTGCTAATTTTTTTGTATTTTTAGTAGAGACGGGATTTCACCATGTTGGCCAGGCTGAAGATCCTCTCTCTTATTGCTTGATGAAAAAATGTATTAGGCACTGGGAGGATAGAAATTAAAGAGCCCCAATACTTGACATCTAGGAGCTCACAACCCAATAAGAAAAGTACACATGTAGACCACCCTCCAATATTTTACTGTACTCTGTACACTGTTGCTAGAATGATCTTTCTGAAAATACAAATTGTAATGTATCTAACCCTGTGTAAAACCATGCAGTGGCTCCTTGTTCCCTATAAGGTAAAGCTTTCTCCTTTTTCTCCAGCCTTCTGTCTAACTGGGTCTATGCTGATGCTCAGGATCCAGCCATAGAGAACCAATTGCTTTTCCCTAAATATAGCAGGCTTTTCCCTAAATATAGCAGGCCCTTTCATCCTGCCAGGCCTTTGTTATGCTGTTCTCTGCCTGGAATGACCTCCTCTCATTACCCTCCAGGAGGGTTATCTCTCTTGTAATAGATTTCCTTAGGTTTCTCTCCTTCCACCTCCAACCCCACAGACAGAATTAACCATTCCTTCCTTTGTTTATTTGTCCTGCCCATATTTCTCCTACAGCACCTATAGTGCTTTGTAACATTGATTTTTTTTTTTTTTTGAGACAGAGTCTTGCTCTGTTGCCCAGGCTGGAGTGCAGTGGCGTGATCTTGGCTCACTGCAAGCTCCGCCTCCCGGGTTCACACCATTCTCCTGCCTCAGCCTCCGGAGTAGCTGGGACTACAGGCGCCCGCCACCATGCCCGGCTAATTTTTTGCATTTTTAGTGGAGACGGGGTTTCACCGTGTTAGCCAGGATGGTCTCGATCTCCTGACCTCGTGATCCGCCTGCCTCAGCCTCCCAAAGTGCTGGGATTACAGGCATGAGCCACCGCGCCCGGCCGATTGTTTTAAAATACATAAATGTACTTGCCATTTACACTTATGTCTTTCTCTACTAATTGAAGATAAGCTCCTTAAGAGCCATCTTTGTAAGGGCCATCTTTATCTTTGTACCCCTAGAATCTAGCTCAGTGCCTGGCTCAGAACAACTCCATTGAATGAATCATCCATAGAGGCCCTTACATCATGCTATGGGAATGCAACAGAAGGAGCAGTGAACTGTGCTTGGAGGAGTTGCCTTGGAAGCTGAAGCATGTATACCAAATAGAGGAACATCAGGGCAGGGCAAGGGTTGGTTCATAGCTGGTCGCCAGAATAGAATGCTCAAAGGTACAGGGGCCTGAGAAGTGGTGGAAAGGTTGGCAGGTTTGGGAAATTTGAGGATACCTGAGAGGATGCACTGTGGGATGTGGTGGTTTGCTGTTATTATTGTTATTGTTAAACCAGAAGAAGAGGCTATGAGTTAGTCAGGGGCTGTGTGTTAAAAGGCCTGGCAATTCATGCTGAGAAAGGAGTTTTGATTATATTACAAAGAGCTAAAGAAAGAAGAGTTTTGAGGGTCAGTATTCAAGAGTAGGGATGATTGGATATGCCTGTCAGAGAGAAAAGACAATGCAGTGACCAGGAGAGGTTGCTCCAGGGAGGAGTGGGACTGCATCTTAGAGTCTGGGTGGGGCACTGCTGATCTGAGGGTTCAGAGAACTGAGAATGGTCCAGGTGAAAACTGATGAGGGCCTGAGGCAAGGCAGTGGAGATGGAGAAAATGAGAATGATTGGAGAAATAAACACAGCAGTGGTGGAATGGTGAGTGGCAATCAGCTGAAGATGGGGAATAAAGGGAAATGAGGAGTCAAAAATGATCCCAAGTGTTTATCTTGAATGTTTAAGCAGATGGCGTTGTCCTGATATGGAATGCAGAAAAATAACATCGAGTTGAGTTTGTGACGCTTTCGAGATACTTAAATGAAAATGTTGAGAAAGCAGTTGAAATTACGTGTCTCATACTCAGGAAAGAGTTGAGGGCATGAGTCTCTCTAGGTAATAACTGATTCCATAGGAGAGGATGAGAGCATCTGAGAGCATGTGAGGGCGAGAGAAGGTCTAGAATGAGGCCCTCGGTTAAGGAGGAGAGAGAGGAGAATGAGACAACAAAGAAATCCAATGTGGAGTCATGAGAGCCATAGAAAAAGAGTTTATTCACAGGGAAGAAAGAGTTTGCAGTGTTAAAAATCAAAGAAAGGATATAGATTGAAAAAAAGGTCCTAAAAGAACTGTAATATAAGGCTACAAACATACTCATTGGGGGCTGGAGGAAGTCCAACATAAGCCAGCCCCAGAGTTGAGCCAGTGAATCGGAGACAAAAGGCTCCTTCTCTTTTTTAGTCCCAGCCAGTTCATAAGCCTGAGGTTGAATTGCAACTATGATTTATGCTAAATAGCTTTATCTAATTAGGGCTGGTAAAATTGAAGTGGTTGGAATACCTCTGGCAAGAACTTGATAAAAATTTGAGAGTCTTTCACGTTAATTTTAATCTTCGTTTGCATGAAATGGGATGGTTAAGGAGAAGTAAAAGAAAAACATGAAAAGGAAGGCACAATAAGAAGCATTCATTCTTTAAAGGAAAATGGTGTACCAAAGAGTCGTCCCAGAGCTCTTCCTTCTCCTGCCTCCACATAGTCTAAGGTCTGTTTACAGGAAAAACATGAGCTAGCATGGCCAATATAGGTTTTAATGGGTGAGCCAAAAAAAAAAAAAAATGCTTTCATGGCAAAAATACCAAAAGCAATTTCAATAAAAGCAAAAATTGACAAATGGGATCTAATTAAACTAATGAGCTTCCGCACAGCAAATGAAACTATCATCAGAGTGAACAGACAATTTACAGAATGGAAGAAAATTTTTGCAATCTATTCATCTGACAAAGGTCTAATATCCAGAGTTTACAAGGAACTTAAACAAATTTACAAGAAAAAAAAACCCCATTGAAAGATGGGCAAAGGACATGAACAGACACTTCTCAAAAGAAGTCATACATGTGGCCAAAAACATATGATAAAAAGCTCAAAATCACTGATCATTAGAGAAATGCAAATCAAAACCACAATGAGATACCATCTCATGCCAGTCAGAATGGCTATTACTAAAAAGTCAAAAAACAACAGATGCTGGTGAGGTTGTGGAGAAAAAGGAATGCTTTTATGCTGTTAGTTGGAGTGTAAATTAGTTCAACCATTGTGGAAGACAGTGTGGCAATTCCTCAAAGAGCTAGAGGCTGAAATAACATTTGACCTAGTAATCCAACTATTGAGTATATACCCAAAGGAATATAAATCATTATATTATAAAGATACATGCATGTTTATGTTCATTGCAGCACATTCACGATAGCAAAGACATGGAATCAACCTAAATTTCCATCAATGACAGACTGGATAAAGAAAATGTACATACATACCATGGAATACTATGCAGCCATAAAAAGGAATAAGATCATATCTTTTGCAGGGACATGGATGGAGCTGGAGGCCATTATCCTCAGCAAACTAACGCAGGGACAGAGAACCAAACACTGCATGTTCTCACTTATAAGTGGGAGATGAATGATGAGAACACATGGACACATAGGGGGAACAACACATGATGGGGTCAGTCAGAGGGGGGTGTGAGGGGAGGGAGAGTGTCGGGAAGAATAGCTAATGGTTACTGGGCTTAATAAGCAGGTGATGGGATGAACTGTACAGCAAGTCACCATGGCACACATTTACCTATGTAAGAAACCCCCACATCCTGCACATATACCCCTGAACTTAAAAGTTGAAGGAAAAAAAAAAGTAAAAAAATGCCATCATGATACAATTAGGCACTTATAAAAAATGTGTTCCAAATCCCTCAAAAGTGTTTTAGTAAGGGGCTTACTAAGTATGGAGATTTCAAATGTGGTATGTGGATGGTGCTAAAATTGAGAGTGAGCATTTAGAAATTTTTAGAGCAAATCGAGAATGCTGTAACATACAAGCACATTGTCAGTGGACTCGTGTCAATGAGCAGGGTATGGACTGGTTTGGGTGTTGTGGAATTCTCATAGTGAGTCACAGGTGGCATGACCTGTGCACTAGTCATACGCAGGAAGACACTTAGACCACAAGCTTGGAAATTAAAAAAAAATTAACCACACAGATAGTTTGAAAATCACTGCTTTAGATCACAACCCATTTGTAAGTTAAGAGGCCCTACAGCTCGTTTGGTGCAAGGAAGTTGACAGAGAGCTTGAGCATACACCAAAAAATTTAGATATAAAGTGACGGGAAATTTGAAGCCATTGTAGAAGATACGAATTGGAGATGGAACTACCCAAAATTACCTTCTATAAGGATCTTCTAGATTAAATGCAAGCTAACTTATTCTTAAAATTGTTTTGTTCATTATGATATGAACAGAGTCTATATCAGAACCTGGAACATGGCAGGCACTAAATAAATATTTTATGAATATTGAATTAGTTGTTCTAACAACATCGTGGAGAATAGCTTGAGAAGGGTAAAGGCTAGAATCAGAAAAAGTGGCTAGGAAGACTTTAAAGACTGTCTAGACATAGGTTGATGGGTGGATTAGCCTAGTGGATACAGAGATTCAGAAAATATGAATCTAAGAAATATTGGGAGGAACTTCCAGTTTTTCCCATGTCAGTAAGCACATGGACATTCACCAAAGTCCAAACCAGAAATGTAGGGTCATCCTTGACTCTTCTCTTTCTCCTTGCTCCTCATATTTGGTCACTCTCTGAATCCTAAATATCGCTACCCTGCCTTCTCCTGCTATTCACACTGCTTTAGTTCAAGCCCCACCACGTCCCTCCAGGACTTTGTTATAGCTTCCTTAAATGGTCTCCCTGCCCTGGGTTCTTCCCCATTAAGCTTTTCTTCCAAAATTGAAAATTCAGTGTTTTTCCTTTTTTGTGTGAAACCATGAAATGGCTCCTGATTTACCTTCTAAGCTTCAGCATACCTAAGCTCCATGGTAGGGCTGCTCCTTACCAGGCCTTGTGTCATCTGGCACTTGCTTTGCATGCCAGTGCATTCTTCTGCTCCTTACTTGGTGGTTCTTAAACCAGACCAACACTAAACAACTGGTAACCCCTGCCCCAAGGGTTTGCCATGCTATTTCATGCCTCTGTGCCTTTGCTTATGCTATTCCTTCTGCCTGAAATGCTCTCACTCCCAACACCCTGGCTGCTTTTCCATCTGTATTCATTTCCTGTTGCTGCTGTAACAAACTATCACAAACTTACTCTTTTTGAGGTCAGAAGTCTGAAATGAGGCTATTTCATGAGGCTAAAATTAAAGCATTGGCAGACCTTCATACCTCCTGGAGCTGGAGGAGAGACACTGTTCTTTGCCTCTTCCAGCTTCTAACCACAGTTTTTGTTTTTTTTGTTTGTTTTTGGTTTTGGCTGATTGTCCCTCATTGTCACATCTCTTTCTCTGACACTCCTGCCTCCTTTTTCTATAAGGACCCCTGTGATTACATCAGGTTCATCTGAATAATCTAATCTTCCCATCTTCCTTAAACGTAGTCATATCTGCAAAGTCCTCATTGACATGTACGGTAACATTTACAAGTTTGGGATGTGGATATCTCTGAGAAGCCATTATTCTGCTTACTGCACCACCCAACCCCAATTAATCTCTTAAAGCTCTGCTATCACTTTTTCTCTGAAACATGTTCTGCTCAGAGCTAATCACTCTCTATTTTGTGTCATATACATACTACCTTCACTGCATGGGTTGGCTTGTATTGCACATAATAACTTTTAAAACACATCTACCTCTCTATTATATTTTGATTTCTTGAGGGGACAGCTTATTTATCTTTGTATTACCAGCAGTAAGCATGTTACATGGTATATAGCAAGTAGTAGGAGCTAAATTATACTTTTTAAAAATGAATGTCCCAGGCAGTGCAATGATCCATTTGAATGTTAACTAGACATGTAGGTTTAAATGGTGACTACAGTTGCGGTGCATTCCTAACTTTGCAGGGTCGTTGCCTACCACTCTCCCTGCCCACGCTTGTCTGCTTCCCCTCCAGTCACATGGCCTTTCTAACCTTCCTTGGTCATGCTGTTCCTGTCCCATCCTCATCTCTCTGTCTGTAATGCCCTTCCTCCAACTTTTCTTTTCATAAATCCCTAATTCATTCTCAAAGCACAAATCAAAACTTTTTCCTTCTGCAATGCCTTTTATTTTTCTCAAGACAGAATTCATCACTTCCTCTTTTGAGTTGCTAAGACATTTTGTACAGATCTGTATTACATATTTCACATTGTGTTTTGCTTGGTTTTATATATATATCTGTTCCATCACAAGAATGCACAAAAGCCATATCTTGTTTATATCAGTACTAGGCATATAGCAAACACTCAATAATGTTTATGACCTTAAAGCGAACATATAAACAGATGAGAATGGAGGGGCAACAGAAAGGAACCAAAAGATTAAAAGAGTGCCTTTGATAAAAGATAAAGGGGAAGGAAGAGACTGAGAAGACCCTCAAAGACAGCATTCAGAAGACCCTAGAGGCAGAGTGTGATGAAGGCTGGAGTTAGAGTGGCTGACCTCTAATTAAAGAGGAGAATGTGAGAGGCAGCACCACATGCAGTGAGCTGCAGGCCTGAGAAAGAGAAAGGCTGTTGGATGTGACCACGAAGAAATCCTAATGGTTTTAGGAAGCATAATGAGAATGCCCAGTCAGGACCCTGGGTCTGCTCCTGTTTTTAGGTTAGGAGAGATTAGGTTAGGTTAGGATCTCCAGAGGATAAATGACTTGAGGAAAAGGAATATCACACCTCATATCCGATCAACCTGCTTGAATGCTTGAGGCCATGAACACCTCAGCACAGCCCCAAGTCAGTTTGGAAGGCTTGGCTCTTTCATCTGATACCACGACTTCAAAGTACTAGGAGATGTAGATGGTTCTCAGGGAATACAGAAGCCAACATAATGTATTCCCCTATAATAATCAGAGATTTTCATCAATAGGGCACAGTTGGCTGGGTGGTCCAGGCTCCTGAGGAACAAAGGCAAAATGTCTAAATCTGGCTTCAGAACTGAGAATAATTTCTCTTTCACGGAACTTTTCTGGATGATGATATTTCTCTATATAAAGCATTCTCTGACCCAGTGGACAAATATTTCTCACATCTCTGCCTGCCTTGAACCTTGCCCTCCTATCTTCCATCAACACTGCTGTCAGCTGTATTCTCCAACCTGTGTCTTGTTTGGCTAACCTGTATGGCCAACTGTCTGTCTTTACCTTTACAAAGCCTGATCTAGACAAACTTCTATGCCGGACATCTGCACTGATTTTTGCCCAAATCAATTGTCTAGCATCTATTTCTGTGATCTGCTTCTGCTGTGTCCTGAATCAGTCTGCTGTGGTCTGATAGGTTGCACATTCTCAATGGGAGTGAGAATTGATCTTGGGGGATAAAAAAACAACTTAATTTTTTAAATGTACAAAGTGCAGATATACATACAATGCATAAACTGATATCACAATATATCTGCGTGTATTAGGGCTCTCCAGAGAAACAGAACTGATAGCATATATTATATATAGATACACAGAAATAGATTTATTACGAGAGATTGGCTCATGCAATTATGGAACCTGTGAAGTCCCATGATCAGCTGTCTGCAAATTGGAAGCCCAGGAAAGTTAGTGGTGTATTATGACTCCAGTCCAAGCCAGAAGGCCTGAGAACCAGGAGAGCCAATCCTGTAAGTCCCAGTCCAAGTCCAAAGGCCCCAAAACCAGAAACACTACTGATATCCAAGGGCAGGAGGAGATGGATGTCCCAGCTCCAGAAGAGAGAGTGAACTTGTGCTTCCTCCACCTCTCTGTTTTATTCAGGCCTTCAAGGGATTGCATGATGCCCACTCACACTGCCAAGGGTGATCTTTTACTCACTCTACCAATTCAAATGCTAACCTTTTCCAAGAACACCCTCCCAGACACACCCACAAATAATGTTTTACCAGTGATCTCAGCAATCCGTAGCCCGCTAAAGTTGACACACAAAATTAACCATCACACTATGGTACCAAAATTTGATAGAGGAGAGCAATTTTTAAAAACATCTGAAAAGCCTCCTTAGGAAGGCAATAATGAAAAGAAAAGGGTTGAGAAATATTGTGATAGGTGATGAGGCTGCAATTCCTGTAACAGAAGGAACATAAGGAGACTGGATTGTGAGGAAATGGAGGTAGTCACAGTTATTTGACTGAGAAGTAGACTACAGAGAGAATTCCGATGAAGCAAACAAATTATGAGCACTTATTATGTGCCATGAACTGTGTGAAACCCTTTCACATTTGTTAGCAAAGAGCTTCTCCTTTAGTAGTAATGTACATATTCCTTGCAGAAAAAACAGCGACATTTTCCATTGAGACAGTAGCGCACCTATCTCTCCTCTGCTTCAGCAGCCTTTATGCTAATTACTGTTTTGGAAGTAACTCCTCATTCACTTTTTGCAACATAAGATAATGAGAAACACAGCCCAGATTTTGTTTGTAGAAGCTCCTTTCATGGCAGCCTTTCAACAGGTTGGGTAATTTAAAAGATGCAGTTGTAATCGTGACTAACTCATTAAGATGCTTGATGAACATCTTAATGAGTTAAAAAACCTGGACATTTTTAACGCACTTTTGGAAAGAGGCAAGAAAAATATAAGAGTGGGAATAATCCAAGGAAAACATTTCAAGTCTTTGAACAATAGACCCTAGAATTTCCTTAGCTTGAGATAGGTTAGGACAAGAAAACAGAATGTTGCTTAAAAGAAGCCCAGTGATCATTTGTGTCTACTTGCACTTCTGGAATATGACTTTTGTTGTTAGTAGGTTCATTTTGACTTAAAAAGTGTTTTTCGGCCAGGTGCGGTGGCTCACACCTGTAATACCAGCACTTTGGGAGGCCGAGGTGGGCAGATCACAAGGTCAGGAGATCGAGACCATCCTGGCTAACATGGTGAAACCCCGCCTCTACTAAAAATACAAAAAATTAGCCAGGTGTGTTGACGGGCGCCTGTAGTCCCAGCTACTCGGGAGGCTGAGGCAGGAGAATGGCATGAACCTGGGAGGCGGAGCTTGCAGTGAGCCGAGATTGCTCCACTGCACTCCAACCTGGGCGACAGGGGGAGACTCTGTCTCAGAAAACAACAACAACAACAACAACAAAACCCACAACATTTTTCTTTGTTCTCTCTCAGTACTCATTAAGAATTTACTACTGCGTCTTTAGATTTTATCTCAGGCAGATCAATGCTATGTATTTGTCCCCTGTACTTGATCCCTGTGCTTTCCTTCTCTCCTACTTTCCTACTCTTGTCATGAGTGCTGAGGCAGGGATGATGTTGGGGTGGAAAGCTGAAGGGCGAAGATGAATGAGCCACAGTGTCCACTTAGAATCTACAGCCAACTCTTGGCAGCTTATCCGTGGTAATTCTTGTTTCAGCTTCTTGTTGACTTTATCACCCACTCAATGTGCTTAACTCTATGATGGATGTTATCACCATCTCTGTTTATTCACAATGCCAAGAACACCAGTGGAACAGGGAAATATTCAGGAAAACCCACTTTATGGTGTCAACTTGACCAGAAAACAAAACACAACTCCATCATTGCTTTATTGAATTTGGCATCGTTCTAGAAATAAACAATCATTTATATTTTGTCAAACAAAAAGAAGAGGAGAAGAGATTTCAAAAGCACTGCTTCTGGGGAGGGTCTGGATCAAAGGTAAATGTGTGACTTTAGGTGACAGAAAAGCATCTCCACTCAGATGCATCCAATTTTGAGGGGGCACTGACTACAGGACAGTAGAGACAAGGGACACTCATGAACAAGCAGCTTTTCCAATTCTGGGTCCTTTTCAAACTGTAGTATCAACATATATTTTTAAGTTTCATAAATTCTTGGAACATTAAACATATCCATTCAAACAGTTCTTTCAATATGGTGGATATTTGTAGGCTGCCCTGGAAATCAGAACACCTTGAATTTAATTCCTGCTATGACATTGGCTGACTCTGTAACTTTCACCTTTTTTAGTTCTCCAAGATGATATAAATAATGGAAAACATACAGGACTCTAAAATGGTTGCAACATAGGTTCAAATCTGACCCCTACCACTTGTTAGCTTGTCAACATTGGATAAGTTATTTGACTTCTTTGAGCATCAGTATCTCTATTTGTTAAATGGAGATAAAGATATCTTTCTTGCAGGAATGTTGTATGGATCTAATGAGATCATGTATGCAAAACACCCAACACATAGTTGTCACTTTATAAATGGCTGTTCTAGTAGCCATTTGCACAGAGATGGGGAAAGGCTAGGTGACAAAAGGCATGGGCATTCTGAGCTCATCAGTTGATAGGGCTTCCTTAACGTCATAGCTTTATTAGAGAAGGAGGAGGATACAGCCCAGCCACATAGGAACTCAGGCCTGTTTTATTTCCGCAGGATCTGGTCACCACAACAATCAGAATGTGCAGGGGTAAGACTAAGGAAGAGAGAGAGAGGAAGAATGGATGGTGGCGGGGGGGGCGGCTCTCTTCTTCCTGGCGGCAGAGAATCCCCCAGTATTCCTTCAGTTGCAGAAACTAAATGGAAGGCAAATGGCTGTCTGCTTGTGGTGCATGCACCAAGACAAACTACTAAAGTGTTTCCTGCCCAGTCCCCACAGGTGTTGCTTCTCAGCTTTGGATAAGTCCTCCAGCAAGTACCTTGTTGAAAGCGAGAAAGGCAGCTGCATAACTCTCCAGTCCACAGAGCTAACAAATCACTGTGTCATCAAAGAAGAGGGAATCATGGGAAATAGCCTGTGGTTCACCCTCTAAGGCAGGGAGTCAGGAGGCTGTGAGGTGGCACATTTGATTCTTGCTCATTAACATAGTTTCTCTTTGTGTCCTCCTCCTCCTCTTTGCCTGCTTGCCTGTTCCACTGGGTAAGCAGCAAGTGCCTACTCAAATCATTATTTATCAAATGTGTACTATGTTCCCAACATTCATTCAATACACCTATATTGAAAGCCTTTTATGAGAATAACAAAAATAACAAGATAGATTCAGAGTAAGATTCAGAGACTGAAGCAAGTCCCCATATAGTAATCACATGTTCAACTAGTTGTTAAGTGGTATATATAATACATAGAAACCAACCGTGGAGGACCTCAGGGAAAGGAGCCAGGAAGCTGAGGAAGGCTTTGGAGAGAAGATGACATTGGAGCTAGGCCTTCACCCAAAATTCCATAGGTGTTGGTCCATTTTGCATTGCTATAAAGGAATACCTGAGACTGGGTAATTTAAGGGGAAAAGGGGTTTATTTTGGCCAGGACTGGTGGCTCACATCTATTATCCCAGAACTTTGGGAGGCTGAAGCGGGTGGATCACTTGAGGTCAGGAGTTTGAGACCAGCCTCCCCAACATGGCAAGAGCCTGTCTCTACTAAACATAGAAAAATTAGCTGGGTGTGGTGGCACAAGCCTGTAATCCCACTTACCCAGGAGGCTGAGGGATGAGAATTGTTTGAACCTGGGAGGCAGAGGTTGCAGTGAGCGGAGCTTGCACCAGGGCACTCCAGACTGGGAAACAGAGCAAGAATTTGTCACGAAAAAAAAGAAAAAAAGAAAAAAAGAGGTATGTTTGGCTCACAGTTCTGCAGGCTGTAGATGAAGCAGAGTGCTGGCATCTGCTTCTGGTGAGGGCCTTGGGAAGCTTACATTCATGCTGGAAGGCAAAGGGGAGCCAGTGTGTCATATGGCAAGAGACGGAGCAAGAGGGGGGGGGTGTCAGGCTCCTTGTAAACAACCAGGTCTACTGTGAACTAAAAGAGTGAGAACTTGCTTATCACCAAGGGGATGGCGCTAAGCCATCCATGAGGGATCTGCCCTCAAGATCCAACACCTCCCATTGGGCCCCACCTCCAACATTGGGGATCACATTTCAACATGAGATTTGGAGGGGACACACATCCAAACCATATATCACTATGGGTCCACTATATCACTATGGATCCAGGGGAGGATGGGATAGGGGAGGGGAGGCAGCAAGGGCATTATAGGCAAAGGGAAGTGCACATATGAAGGTGAAGAGGACATGAGCCCCCAGCATGTCTGGGGACTGGCTGGTAGCTTGATGTGCCTGGAACAAAGGCTATGCAATCCTGGGCAGCAGCAGGGGGAGAGGTAAATGTGGTCAGAATGCCAACGATTTTCCATGCCATCTGTCCAGTTTGGGCTCTAACTGTAGAGAATGGGGAGCCATTGGTGAGTTTTAAGTATGAAGTGATGGGTTTATACTTGTATTTTGGACAATCCTGTGGGCTTCAGAGTACTGAATGGACTAAAAGAGAGGCTAAAAGCTGGGAGACAGTTAAGAGCTCACTGAAATTGCCAATGATGTCAAATGCTGCAAACTCATCAAGGAAAATGAAGACTGAGAATGAGTTCATTGCATTTGACAGTTGGAGATCTTTGGTGACATCTAAAAGTAATTTCACTATAACGACTGAAGCAGAAGCTGGATTACTAAGCCAGTGGTTCTCAAAGTGTGGTCCCTAGATCAGCAGCACTGGCATCACTTGAGAATGTTATAAATGTAAATTATCTGGCTCAACCCACATCCCTTTCAAAACTTTGGGAATGAAGCCTAGCAATTGGCATTTTTACAAGTCTTCTGGATGATTCTGATAAATGCTAAAGTTTGAGAACAACTAGCCTAAATGACTCTTCATCTCTTCCCCAGATGTTCCTTACTCTGATGACACCTGAATTATTTGATATTTCCTAAGTAATCATTAATATGGTTTCTCAGTTATCTGCATAAATTGTTCCTGTCAGTCATGTGCAATATATGTACAGTCTCTGCCTGGTAATATTGAACTCATTGTTCAAGGCCTAACTCAAATGTCACCTCCCTAGGAAGTCTCTCCAATTTCCTCCAGGCAGCCCCCCATGGATACTTGTGCACATATTTATGTCATAAAATGTATTTTATTTGTTGTGTTGATTTGGTTTACTATCTTCCCTACTAACTAGAAGCTCTTCGGGAGTAGGGACTGCTTTATCGATCTCTATTTCCATATTGTTTTTACATCTTAAGTGCTCAATAAATGTAAGAAGAGGAAGCTGTAATAAATTGCAGAAATAAAAACAGCAAGGGACAAACCACTGTTTTAAGAGGTTTGGAAGTGAAAGATGAATTTGAAATAGAAATACAATAGAAAATGTGTGTGTGTGTGTGTGTGTGTGTGTGTGTGTGTGTGTGTGTGTGTGTGTGTGTGTCTGGAAGAAAACTGTTGGCTGAGGGATTAAGCCAGTAGAGAGGGAAAGATGAATGATGAGACAGTGGGAATCAGTGGGTATTGAATGCAAAATGGTCCTGGAGAAGGCAGAAGGGAATTAAATCAATGGCCAATGCTGAAGAATTAGCATTGAAAGAAGGAAAGACTCTTTTTTTCTGAGATACAACACAAGGAAGTAAAGGTGGGTACATAAGTGATGAGTTGTGAGGTTGAGATGGGAGATGGTAGGGAGTCCTTAGATGGCCTGTCAGTGTAGAAATGGTGAGGGCTAGGGAAGGTTTTGCAGGGGAGGTGATATTTGAACTAGGAGATGTCTTTAGTGAAGTAGGAAGTGAAGCCTTTTGCTGGGAAGAAAATGGGGAACAGAAAGAAGGAAAGAGGCTACAGCAGAGAGGTGAAGACTTGTAAATGCTAGGGAGGGGATTGGAGAACAACAGCAGGGGATTCTTTTGGGCTGATCCATCTCCCTGATTCAAGACAAAGAAAGAGTCCACTTATTCATCCAATTGTGATTGGCAATAAAAGAAGTATGGAGGGATTGTCCCCAAAGGCTGTCTTTGAAATAAGATGGACAACTTCTGGATACAGATCCCAATACTAATATAGAAAGTATTCTAGCTCTATATATTAATTAAGGCTGGAATATTTTGCAGACAATAACAATGCTATGTATGGCAACTATGTACAACAAAGGAAAATATTTATGGTATATGAATTGCCTAAGAAATCTGGATAAAAACTATATGTATGTCGGCCAGGTATGGTGGCTCATGCCTGTAATCCCAGCACTTTGGGAGGCCAAGGCAGGTGGATCACCTAAGGTCAGGAGTTCGAGACCAGCCTGGTCAACATGGTGAAACCCTGTCTCTACTAAAAATACAAAAATTAGCCAGGCATAGTCACGTGCGCCTGTAATCCCAGCTACTAGGGAGGCTGAGGCAGGAGAGTCACTTGAACCTGGGAGGTGGGGGTTGCAGTGAGCCGAGATCGCACCACTGCACTCCAGCCTGGGCGACAGAGCAAGACTCCATCTTAAAAAAACAAAACAAAACAAAACAAAACTATATGTATGTCTTGATTACAACTCTGTAAGAACATACATATGAAGAACAAATGAATAAAACACATGAAAATGCTATTAGTGGTGGTATTATAGGTCATTTTTCCTTTAAATTTTAAATTGATGTTTTAATGTTTATAATTAGTTGGCAATAAATAGAATTTTTTTTCCTTGCTGGCTTTAAAAAATTTACTAGGAACACTTAGAAGAGAGTATTTCAAAATAAAAAGTTGTAAGGTGAAAACAATCAGTAGAATTGTATGAACACCTCCCATATAAGGGGCAGATGCCAGGAAAAGAAGTCCTTAAGTTGAACCAGAGTTGGAAGCTGACAAGCAAGAGGTTGGATGCCACGATATAGAAGAGCACAAAAGAGGTATATGACCTAGCCCTTGACTCACAGTAAACTTGAGAGACTAGGCTTACAATAAATGATTCGAGGATAACTTATTCAGTTATCTAAACAACGGATGGGACTGGATCACTGAGGCAGTGACCTGTGGGCAGGCGGGACAATGCAGAGGTCAATTATGTGCCATCGGAGTTGATCAGATGGACCTGGGCTTAAATCCCTGTGCCACTGCTTAGCAGCTGTGTGATCTAAGACAACTTACTCAGGTTTCATTTTCTGCACTGTAAAGTAGAAATAATAATACCTACTCATAAGCTGTTGAAGCATTACAAACAATAAAGCAGGTAAAGTGCTTAATACAATGTTTGACACACAAAATTGCCATTATCGTTATTAACGTTTTATTGTTGCATCATCTATGAGTATTTATGATGGAGGAAACTGATTTAGACTAGGGGCACATTGAATTCTTTGGAGGGACTTCAGGGAGGTATCTTAAGAGCCGTGAGAGAGTCTCAGGGGGCAGTGAAGACTCCCTCACTGCTGGAACAATGCTGTGGGCTCACCCTAGGCCTTCAGGAGGGGAGAGAGATGTGCAAGGAGGAACTCCATGGTGGTTCTTCTTTTGCTAGTGTTTGTGCTACTTCCCCACTTCTAAACAGGTGCATAGTACTCCAGAGCACCCTTTCATCTTCCTTTCCCACTCTTCTGTTCTGTTTTTCTTCTCTTCAACTCTTCTTATTTCCCTTTTCTCCTCAAAACCAAGTGGTGGATGGGTAAGGAACTATACTATCTTTTGTGTGTTCTAACTTTGCCGTTTTTTTTTGTTTGTTTTTTTTTTTAATCTTAAAGGTTGTCTTCTAACTTCAGCACTCAGAGTTTACATAAGTAAGCCTGGGTTTACCCTACCCACTTCTTCCCTTATTTTTAAAATATCTATTTCCCCAACCATTGTCTTTAGTAAGTACTCTAAAATGACAGTCATCAGCAGAAACGCAAGGATTCCAGGCCATAAGAGTTTGATCAAGAAAGGATTTTTTGAGGTAGCTATATCTTGCAAAAGAAACAGAGGTGTGAACTGTCTGCAGGGCTCTTCTCGGCAATGAGGTGTTCCTTCTGGATTCAGATATAGATCTTAATGGGGTAAACATTCTAGGTCTTACCACCATCTGTTCTTCTTTTTCTGCTTAGACTGTTAGTACCTGTTATAAGAGGAAAGGAGGCAAAAGTGTGAAAGAGAAATGGTTGGATCAGTGGTCTGAGAAAGAGGATAAAGTAGTCATGTGACATTATTCTTAACAGAGATTAGAATGATTAAAAACAAAAACAAGTTGGTATCCAGGATATTCAGGTACAACCACCCCTCACCTGCTGATTCCAATTTCACATTCCATTCCACATTGATGAATAATAATAATGATGTACTTTTAGCTTTGTCAGAAATCCTATCTGCATATTTATAAGGTCATTATGTTTAGTTGTTGCTGATACCTGGTCTGAGTCCAGCAATTACCACCTCTGTCTCTTTGCACACACTGGTAGACATACACACCACTGATTTGTACTTTCCTATAAAATTACTCTTCCCCTTTTTAATTAGAGTGTTTTCAGAAGCAAACCCTATCGTTAAGGCCATGTATGCTTCCATTATAAATACCTGTTTCCAGCCATTAATTATCTCCCAATGAATTACTTACTTAGAAGGAGATTTTTAATGCATTTTTTTTTTTTTTTTTGGAGACAGGGTCTCACTTTGTCACCCAGACTGGAGTGGTGGAGTGGTGTGATCATGGCTTACTGCAGTCTTGACTTCTCAGGCACAGGTGATTCTTCCACCTCAGACTCCTGAGTGGCTGGGACCATAGGCGTGCACCACCATGCCCAGCTAATTTTTGTATTTTTTGTAGAGTTAGGGTTTCAACATGTTGCCCAGGCTGGTCTTGAACTCCTAGCCTCAAGCAATCCTCCCGTCTTGGCCTCCCAAAGTGCTGGGATTACAGGTGTGAATCATTGTGCCTGGCCTGTGCACACTTTTTATAATGGGATTTCTCTTCCTTACTTTTGATGTCCCCTCTCTCATACTTAGTTAACCATTTTGAATTCCACTTAGTAAGAAAAGTTTCCATTTTCTTTTTCTTCAGGGGACTTAGATATGATCTGCACCTAGATGGTAAGAAGATTTTCCATATTTTGAAGTAGAAACTTTCTGTATGCCTGAATCTTGCTGTCAAGAATGTCTTGGCTAATCATGAAGGAAGAATATAAGAATGTGAGTAAAAACAATTCAACAGTCCCTGAGAACAACGTCAATAAATATTCAAAATTGCATAACCATTTTAGTGACTAAAGCACTGAGACTCATCCAATAATACTGTGGTTTGATAATTACACAGTTGTGAATTTATGATACTGTTAAATTGGGGAGACATCTTGATGCATACAGGTCAACCCTTTCATACATCATTATATACAAAAAGTACACACCTACTTAGGAATTGAAGTGTAATACCTCCTAGCATAAAATGCTTAAAAGAAGATTTTAAGGGAGTGATACAGTGAGCATTCCTATATGAATTTTCCTGCTTATCTGAAGCATAGCAGAAGATGTGAAATTTCTAGGTAAGTTTTTTTTTTTTTTTTTTTGACAGGGTCTTGCTCTGTCACCCGAGCTGAAATGCAGCAGTGGTAACATGGTTCACTGCAGCCTCAACCTCCTGGGATCAAGTGGTCCTCCCACCTCAGCCTCCCAAGTAGCTGGGACTAGAGACATGCATCACCATGCCCAGTTAGTTTTTTAATTTTTTGTAGAGACAGGGTCTCACTTTGTGGCCCAGGCTGGTCTTGAACTCCTGGGCTCAAGCCATCCTTCTGCCTTGGACTCCCAAAGTGTTGGGATTACAGGTGTGGGCCACTGTGTCCTTCCTTAACATCAATAAAATTGAGATAATCACATTCATAAAAGGGCAAAACTATGTCAACAAGCCCACTGTATTAGTCTGTCTTCACAGTGCTGTAAAGAACTGCCCAAGACTGGGTAATTTATAAAGGAAACAGGTTAACTGACTCACAGTTTAGCATGGCTGGGAAGGCCTCAGGAAACTTAACAATCATGGCAGAAGGCAAAGGGGAAGCAAGGTACCTTCTTCATAAGGCAGCATGAAGGAAAATTAATGCAGGAGGAACTGCCAAACACATAAAACCATCAGATCTCATGAACTCACTCATTATCAGGAGAACAGCATGGGAGAAACCGCCCCCATGATTCAATTACCTCCACCTGGTCTCTCCCTTGACACATGGGGATTACAATTCAAAATAAGATATTGGGTGGGGACACAGGCAAACTATATCGCCCATATTACAATTACTTACATTACTGATTCCCTTAATTAGAGCAGAGGTAATTAATTGGGTCTAGGCTCAGTGGAAGGGTCTGGCTGGTTCTTAATTCTCAGAGCTAGTTTGAATCTTGAGGTTAACTTCTTGCCTTCTAGAACTTGTCCTGTGTTTGGCTGAACTCTGTGAACCTTTCAGAAAGTAGGTCTTTATTGAGCACATACTCTGTGCAAGGCAAAGAACCAACTACTGTGGAGTTTACAAACATGAATAAGGGGTAAGAAATGACTCTTGTCACATGGCTTACAGTCCAGCTGTGTGGGCCACCACAGTTCATATCTTTCAGGATGGGGACTGGATGAGAGGAAAGTGGACTCAAAATTAATCCCAGTGCTCTCTACTTTCCCATATCCCTGTGCTTTATCTCTGTTGTAGTTATGTTATTTGTATGTTGGCCTGCCTCACTGCTCTGTGATCTCCAAAGAACAGGGACTGGGTTTTATTTATTTCTGCATTGCCGCAGAGCCTAGTATGTGCTTTGTAGAGAACAGGCTCTCAAAAAAATTTTAAATTAAAAGAATTTATTCACTTGTTTATGTTTCCTAGTTACAGTGGGTCAGCTTGTTCTGTGCTAACATGGAAGTGACAAGAAGCTGGTGTCCCTCTACACAGAGGTCCCCACACTAAATATCATCTTGGATGTGCTTCACATTGTTGCACAAAGGTACAGTGGAGTGAGACTGAGTAAGAGGACAGAAATAGTGGGGGGTTTGTCTCAGCTCACTAATTACTTATTTAACCTTGGGCAAGATACTTAAAGCTCTATCTCAGTTTCTTCATCTGCAAAATGGGTATAATAATGACTGGGGTGCCTATTTCCCACGATTGTTTTGAGGATCAAATGAGATAATATAATTAAAAGTGTTTTTGGAAGGTCTAAATCACTGCGCAACTGCAAGGCATTATTAAAAGAAATCTTCCTTTTAATTCCTGCTTCCACAAACATCTCATCACATATCCTTGGGTTCCTGGGTTACATGGAGAGATTCGTGGTGTAGCTCAATCTATGTGTCATAGCTATCCCACAATCTCTTCTTCAACTTCTCCAACACACCAAGACATTCTTCCAGTCTTGCATTGTTCCCCAGTTTATATAGATATATATGTTCCTCATTCAGCATTTATGTAAAACATATATTATTGAGCACTTATGTGATAGAAACCGAGGCAAAACAGAAAATAAAACAGAGTTTTATTTTGAGAGTTTTTTTTACAGCTTATCGGCTCTGAGAGGACAGACATGAGAACAAATAAGTGCCCAATTCTGCATTTATTTTGGAAGGCAGTTTTATGTGAGTTTAAATCAGTAAAGACATAGATGTATATTTTTAGTTTTGATTAAAACTAAAACAATTGGTAGCCCTTATTCATATTTTTCTATCATTAAAACTTATCTTTAAAAAATGTCTTCAGTCATATTTTTCCCTTACTTCCATTCATATTTACTCTTTACTTCTCTTGTCCTTACCAGAATGTATGCAGTAAGTTTTCATATTGTAACATATTCAACAAAAGTTATATGTGAACATAATAGCTGCTTTCTTTAAAACGGTTACTTTGAGAAACTGCATACCTATTTTTTTTTTTTTTTTTTTTTTGAGACGGAGTTTCACTCTTGTTGTCCAGGCTGGAGTACAGTGGCACGATCTTGGCTCACTGCAATCTCTGCCTCCTGGGTTCAAGTGATTCTACTGCCTCAGTCTCCTGAGTAGCTGGGATTACAGGTGCTCGCCACCATGCCCGGCTAATTTTTGGTATTTTTAGTAGAGACGGGTTTTCAACATGTTGGCCAGGCTGGTCTCAAACTCCTGACCTCAGGTGATCTGCCCACCTCAGCTTCCCAAAGTGCTGGGATTATGACATAAGCCGCCACGCCTGGCCTGCACATTTATTTTAATAATGTTGTCATAGCTACAGTCGCTTCTAGAGTTGCTCTTTGGGGATAACTATCTTATATTCTTCTGAATATATTTTAATAGTGACAAAACTTATCTTTGCAGGTGATTTTTAAAATTTGTATGCAGCCAAGTCACTATGAATTATCTTTAGTGAGTAAAGAGGAAGATCGAACTGGTAACACTGTGGGTAAACAACTGAAAAATAATGTTATCTTTCTCTGAACATACTTGCACAAGACAAATTCCAAAAATATTTTGACTACATTATTTTTGAAAAGGGTTTCCAGTATTTCAATGTGACTACTTTCACTAATGGTACTTGCTTACCTAAAGTGCTTGTTAACATGCAGTTTTGGAACTTCATAGGTCTATGCCCATACTGACTTGTACTTGCTTAGTGTTGTTTCACATTCTAGTTCAACATCTATTATGTGATAGACACTGGGGATTAATAGGCTGTGGTCTTTGCCCATGAGGACCTCAAAACTTAGTTGAGAACACAGAAATACAAAGAGTCCTGTGTGAAAAATAAGTATCGGTGTTAAGATAAAGAAGCGGCAGTGGAAGACAGTGGAGGGACTGTCTGTTAGGGGGAGGAATTTATTGCGGTGTCGGCAAAGCCTTCTTTGGACTGAAGGATGAATTATGATTAGAAGTTCATTAAGAGGAGGAGGGAAGGGGACTACAGGAGTCATTCCAAGCCAAAGGAACAAAAGATACAGGGACAGAAACAGCAAGATATGTTTGGGGGAATCTCAAGTTAGTCAATACTGTTATTGTGTGAAGTTCACAACAGGGGCAGGGAGGACAGGAGATGGGGCCCAATGACGAAAAGGCCTTGTATGTACCATGTTTAGAAGTTTGAATTTTATCCTATAGGAGTCAGGGAGAGGTTCTATGGGTAGGATTTCCCATCCCAACAGGATTGTAAACTCCCACATCCAATTAGTCACACCTCCATTTTTTTTTTCTGTTTCTTTAACATTGTCTCGGATTCATTCCTTCTGAAATCTACCTTATTAGTTCAGGTCTTCTTAAATTTGTGCCTGGACTGTTCACCAACTCTTGACTGGTCCTGGGGCTCCAGTTCACCTCTTGCTCCCCCAACAATCAATTTTCTACAGAATTATCAGAGCAATCTTCCTTTCCATCAATCTCAACTCTGTTCAAAAACTTTCAATAGTTTTATGTGACCTAAGAGGTAGCTGCCTCCCCACCCTTTCAGCTTGCCATTCAAGGCTGCATAATTTGGTCCCAACCCCCTTTCCGTCCTTGACTCCTCTCACTGCTAACAGAGACAGAACTCATTTACTTACTCTTTTGACTGTACCTTTGCTTTCACGAGGGCTCTTTCCTGGAATGATATGTCCATACAACTATTGTTGCTGTTCTTACTTTTAGCTCTTTTCTTAGAAGCCCACTTGTACCCAGGTTTGATCACACCCCCTACTCTCCTGCCCTGGAAGTAACTACTATTCTGGTTATAGTCTCTTAATATCTATATCTATATATATGCATCCACAGATAATGTGTAGTATTGTCTTGAAAAAAATATACATAAATGGTATACTTTGTCTCCCTCTGTGATTAGTTTTTTCACTATCATTTAGTTTTTAAGATTTATCCCTATTGACATAAATAGCTATAGTCTTTTCAATTACTGTGTTGCATTTCATTTTATAAATATACCATACATTATTCATCCATTCCTCTAAGGGTGGGCATTTATGTTGTTTTCAAGGTTTTGCTATTACAGTGTTACAACGAATATCCTTAGCTTAGCTGGTCTCCTTGTCTTATACAAATTTTACTGACCTTTCAAGATCCTGCTTTCATCCCAGCTCCTCTGGGAAAGCCTTCCCTGAATCCCCCAGCCCACAGCGGCAAAGTCTTGGTACTCAAAGTTGCTTGTGCATCTTTGGTATCATCCCACTGCCAAGCACACAGCTACGCAAAGTAAGGCACTTAAGAAATATTCGCTACACGGATGAACAAATGAATGAATGAATGGGGCAGCACCACTCCGTGATGGCTCTATTCCTTTTTAATGGACTTTGGCGCCTTGGCCCACTTTCCTTCTTTGACAGCACTGGTCCTACTCCAGAGCATTCCTCTAGCTAGCAAAGCAGTGTGTGGATGTGTGGGTGTAGGTGGCGATACAGACCTCACTGGATGAGGACCGCCTCTCCCTGCAAGTTCACGATCCCGGCAAACTCCAGTGCTTGAAGTTCAGAGTCCTACCCCACCCCCCTCACCCCCACGCCCCTTCTGCACTGGTCAAGCCAGCGAGCCGCTGCAGCCCTGATCGAGTTAAGGCGCGGCGGCCCCCGGGGCCGCTGGAGAAGGATGCGGACGGGGCCAGTGACTCGTAGTAGATCCCTCCGCGCGGAGCTCGGGCCGGCGCTTCTTCCTGCGGGAAACCCCTGGGTGCCCAAGGCGGCGGGGCCGAGGCCGCGGCGACAGTGGGGCGGGGCTTGCGGTGGGAGGAGGCGGCTGAGGCGGAAGGACACACGAGGCTGCTTCGTTGCACACCCGAGAAAGTTTCAGCCAAACTTCGGGCGGCGGCTGAGGCGGCGGCCGAGGAGCGGCGGACTCGGGGCGCGGGGAGTCGAGGCATTTGCGCCTGGGCTTCGGAGCGTAGCGCCAGGGCCTGAGCCTTTGAAGCAGGAGGAGGGGAGGAGAGAGTGGGGCTCCTCTATCGGGACCCCCTCCCCATGTGGATCTGCCCAGGCGGCGGCGGCGGCGGCGGAGGAGGAGGCGACCGAGAAGATGCCCGCCCTGCGCCCCGCTCTGCTGTGGGCGCTGCTGGCGCTCTGGCTGTGCTGCGCGGCCCCCGCGCATGGTGAGTATCGGGCTGAGGGGCGCTGTCCGCGGCGCCCGGGGCTGCCACCTGGGGCGACCCTTCTCCCCCTCGGTCCTTCTCTGTGTGGGAAGGCCAGGCTCGGCCGCCGGCGCGGAGCGAGGCCACTCGCTGGGTTCCCAAGAGTTTGGACATCGCCGGGGGCCCCTCCCGTGGTGCCCCGCCAACCGCCGGGGTTCCCCGCCGCCTCTGCTCCCCGCGGCCCGGGACCCCTTACACGCCTCCTCGGCAGGAGGGAGGCCGGCAGCAAGTCTCAGAAACTCCTTTTTCGTAGTGCCAGGGTGCAGGGAGGTGGGCAGTTTTGCCCTTCAGGTTCCGCGTTTCTTGGGGTCGAGCGAGAGCCGACGGCGGGCCTCGGAGGGGCTGAGCGAAGGAATGCCAGATTCTGGCGTGGAGAGCGGGGGCAGGGCCGCCAAGCCAAACGGCCTGCACCGTCGCAGCCAGCCTCGCCTTTGCCAGGGGGCGGCACATGGGCCGGGTGTGTGGGCTTGGTTTGGATGGGGACGGGGTTTTGCGGCGCGCCTGAGTTTTGACACTCCAACCCCACCGAAAGTCCGGGGGAGCCGTGTGTGCTGCTCGCGTCTTTGAAAGGTGGAGGCAGGAGAAGTAGGGCAACTGGTGTGGCTGCATGCTGAGGCACATGATTTAAAAATCTCAACTGCTGTTATTCTTTCCGAGGCGCGGAGCTCTGCTGCTGTTTCAGGCTGTGTCCAGACCCAGGAATGTGGTGTGACGATCACCAATTCCTCCAACCTGGCAGCAGCATTTGCTGCTCCTTTGGCATGGCTGGGGGTGGGGCACGGGCGGGTGAGAAAAAGTGGATACGTTAATTCAAAGGGCTTCCTTAGAAAGCTTCTTTATGGTTGGATGTTTCTAACACGGTTGGACCAAGGAAAGGGAATCAAATCATATCTTCCCCATCCCACCCACACTTTTAGATTCTACATTTCTTCAGACCCTTTAGTGGAAATAACTTGGGCTTTGGAGCCCTGCTCTGTAATCCTGGATTCAAATCCAGCTCTGCTATATGAACTCACCAATAAAATGGGAAAGAAATTATCCAGCTAATAGGATTAATTAAAATAATGTATATTAAACGGATGACACTCCAAAGGTGTTCAGAAAGTCCTTTCAGGGCCGAGGCTGTGTTTTACTGCTTCTGAGATTGATGCTCCCAGTGGGATGCTGTCTTGTGCATATTTGTTGAACGGAAAGCAGCCCCTTCTTTTTCTGAGCCTAATCTGAATAAAGATTTTTACCTTCACCAAAAAACTAGTACATGAACTACATCTGTTTTCAAAGAAAAGGTTAGGAAGATGATGAGCTTCAGAAAAATATGGTCTTTGTTCATTGTTAACAGTCAGTCGACATGTCAATCGCAGATGTTTAAAAAGAGAACAAGGTTATTTATCACCCGAAAATAGTACTGGGTTGTTCAGCACCAACTAGATACTTCTTGGAAAGTTCAAATTTCGTACACGTCTAGGTCACTAAGAATTTCAGAAGTGGACCAGGAGGCTTTGTAGTGATGAAGCAGAGCCGTTGTTTCTGAAGCATTTAATAAAGAGCATATATGATGGTGTTTTTGCTTTTCCTTTTTCTTTGAGTGAAAGCTTTAAGTGTAGCTTTAGGATAGAGAGGAGTATGATCAATGAGACAGTCTGAGGGTAATAATCCTTGGTCTATCATTAACTTGTTTTGGTAAATAACTTAATCTTCATGATATGTAGTCTCCTCACCTATGAAGCAGGACTAAAGGAATAACCTGCTTTAGAGAATTGTAGGGAATAATAAATATAATTGTAAAGTGATTTGAAAAATTAAGTATTAAATAATATGATATCAGAAATGGGATTACTCTGACACATAGGGCTTCTTTTATTATAGGATCTCAGTGCATAAAACTATGCCCTCCACCTCTGCTCTGCTGAGGTGCTGCGATTATTAGCTAGCTTTTAGGTAGTCAAGTTGAGTGTTAGTCAAGTTGACTCAAAGGATAGGATTTAGATATTTTGATTTTTAGACAGGTGTTCTTTAGATGCTAAACTAATGCAGTAGAAGAGATTTAGAAGCCGTTTCTCGGTACAAATCTTAAATCTTCTTAGAGTCTACAGTGAAGGCTTCTTGAATCCTCTTAATTTATTATTGTGTTTTGCTAAGGTACCAGTTGCAGCACACCCTTCTAAACTTTTGAGTGTTCCTGTGTTTGGCTTGTGGCCAATTGTTAATTTAAACATCACGGAGTTTCTAAGGCAAGGAGATGTTAGCAGTATGTCTGATTGTCTAAACAGCTATCCAGGACCATCCTCTTGCTCCTTGTTTTCTTTTGCTTTGCAATGGGAAGTGACTCCCTGATTTTGCTGCCTGCTAGATAATTTCTCAGCTGAATTCTTCTCTTGCTTAAACAAAATCGGAGTAATTTTCTTTCAGATGGTGATGAAATTTAACCTAAAACTATTTTTCCTTTCACTTTCTTATTATTCCTTTTTTTTTGGTGTGGTGGAGAGGAGGAGGAGAGTGATTCCTAGTCTCTCTTATTTTTCTGAATGTTTAGATTTAAAAAATATTTACCCATAACTTCTTGGGATCTCTCTGCTCCATTCCCACCCTACTGCCTCTCCTGTAGGCTTCTATGACATAGAGGAGCAACTTTTGGTTCACCTGGATTGTAGTTGCTGACTTCAGGACCTTTAGAGAATGTTTAAATTCAGTGGGATATGCTTGGATGGTTCAGAGCAGCCTTACAATACATCTTAAAAATATCACACCCACAGAAATTCTATTTTGCCCACAAAATTTGCATTGATCTAGTTCCCACTCTGTGTTGCCATTCCTAGTGATCCTCCTCCCTACCTCTCCCATTATGGTAGAAAAAACTCTGTGTCCTGGCTACATCAAAATCTGTTGGGGTGGATCTTGGACTCAGCACCCAGGGATTCTGATAAGGTAAGTTTGAGAATCCATATTTTTTCAAGGTTTACAGGTGATTCTGACAAGTAACTTGGTTGCAACCCACTGATTAAGTACATTTTTTTTTACCTTCAGGTGTGTGTATGAGGTCTTTCTAAATTTAAGAAATTTCCATAACAAATGTAACCTTAGTCATTCCAGTGTTTAACGCTTCTGACTCAAGGAATTTAAAAATTGCTAACGTAAGAGATATAGAATATAATGTCATTTCTTCTATTTATCTGGGTGCAATATGTCTGCATTGACCCTTTAGAAGGGCTTCATATATTTAGATGATATAATAAATTCTCCACCTCTCCTTTTCCCTTTTCTTCTGTTATCTCTTTTTCCTTAAATGTCATTCATACATGTTGTTTTTTGACCCTTTATCTATATACGTCTGCAATGATTTTAGAGTAAAAAACTGCAAGGCGTGATTTGAATAAGGATATAAGAAATTTTACATCATTTTCTTTATATTGTGTTCACAGTCCATAGTTACATGCTTCCTTTCTTGATGTCTCAGTTCGAATGCCTAAATTTGAACTATTGATTTTCCTTCCACCCTTTCCTGATTTTCCTGTTTTTGTTTCTCCCCCTTTCTCTGCAAATGACTTGAAACCAAAAGGTCTTCTTTTCTTTCTTTGTCAGCCTACCGTATGTGTAGTATTTTGGACAGATCACTGAACTAGGAGCCAGAAGACCAGAATTCTTCTCCAGGTCTGTTATTAATTGGTTTGGTGACCTTGTAGGAGAGCCACTGTTTCCGTCCTCCATTTTCTGATGTTCATTGTTCATGGTCACAGAGCCAATTAGAGTTGAGACTAGAATTCCTTTCTTCTGGTGTCCAGTGCCTCATTCACTGTCCTCATTGCTTCCATCTCGTGTACAAATGCGCTTATGTGCACAAAAACTCTTATAACATCCTCAAGTGCTTATTGTTAATGCGTACATGAGGAAGGAATCGTGTATTTTCATTTATGTGTTTATTCTAATGCCCATACCCTACCCCTGTACCTGGCATGATGCCTTGGTATCTAATAGGCACACAATAAATACTTGTTCAGTCGAACAATTATTTTTAGCCATTTTCTTATTTTGGACAACTGTGGTACTCCTAGACATTTTAAAAACAGTATTTGCAGGAGTCATGCTTACCTTACATTTGGGGAAAAACCAAATTTTTCCCTTCCCCAGATGTTTCATTTTAACTTGTAATTTTGAATTTCTTTGTGTGTGGGGTTTCTTTCTTTCTTTTTCTGATCACTTCTGCAATTTATAAAGGTCACTTTGACTTTGGAATCTCACTTCAAAGGCACTGCCATCCACCCCCTGCCTCTCACTCAAGTTTGCTTCCACTGCTTCCTGTATTACTGTATTACTAGGCCAGCAATTTCTGTTATTTTGTCCAGAATAGCCACACCTTATTGTAATTTCATCATTTTGGGGACTAGTCATTTTTGGAATACTATTTTTAAAATTAGAGTTAACTAAGTTTATATTTATTTTGATAATTTTTTTTGAGATTTTTTTCATTGAGTTGGATATTGCAAACTTGTACTGGATTGAGAGAATATGTACATTTAGTAAAGTATATTTGCTTTTTTTTTTTTTTGAACCAAGAGAGTCCCCTGAACACCCTACTGACAAAAACTAAAGATGAAATATGATGAATAAATATTTGAGAGAATCACATGGTGTTGAGTTGTCTCTGCCACATGATTTTGATCCTTGAGGGCCAGGTCTGTGCTACACACATTTCTTCTCTGTACTACAGAACTTGTCTGGCATGTGCCCCAAATTCAGAGTCAACTGAGCAGCAGGTCTTAGTCACAGCATCTATGACTCCTGCTTTCCCACCTTTAGAACATTCTATAGGAGAGGCTGATGGTGAGTTGGAGTGTGTTTCTATGTTCTTTTTTCCTTTGAAGAGATAGGATCAGTTGAAAGCTGACCCCACCCACAGACTTTTTTTGCTATCTCTTTTAATTAATTAAGGAGTGGCTGAAATTTTCCTCTTTGTTGACTTATGCATTGGCGGGAACTTTAAAATTCATCTAGTCTTTCTGTCCATCCCATGCTGGATCTGATGTTTACAACATTCTAGTCAAGAGGTACCATATTTTCTCTCTTCTTGAACATCTCTTGTGGTAGACAGCTCTCCACAGCAGTTTATTCCATCTTTGGCCAGCTCTAATTCTTAGAAAGATCTTCTTATATTCAGCTGTAATCCGTCTCCTCATGACTTGTCCTCATTGACATCTACTCAGAAATTTGTCTCAGAGTCCTGAGACCTGTGCAGGTGATAGGGACCCAAAGAGATGCTTGTCTGTAGACTTTACTGAGCTGACACCCAGCTCTCCATAAAAGGAGTCAAACCCAGTGAGGAGCATGTCTGAGGTGATTGCTCAGGTAAAGCATCTTAGCCCTACTTGTTTCATACCTCCCTGCACAGGTGGGCACTGGTGGGAGAATAACATTTATCAAGCAGTGTTTCCCTAACCTCTCTTATGATAAGAATAGCTCAGGTGTTCTCATGGAGATTCTGATTCAGTGCATCTGGAGTGTCATCTGGGAATTTGTGTGTTCAAGAAATAGCCAGGTGATTCTTACATTAGGAAAGTTTTAGAATCACTGCAGAGTGAATCTGGGAAATCAAAGTGTTTTTGTTTGTTTGTTTTTTGAGAGTATTAGAGACAGGTTGCTTTGGCTAGATCCTGTGGTCATTTTTCCCCCTTGGAAATGCCTCCTACTTGCTGGCCTCACTTAGTACAGAGAAGAAAGCTGCTATGGTATAAGGTTAGTAAAGTTGTTTTGTCTTAAAAGAAATTTGCGAAATCCAGCATTTTCAGACTTCTGTTTGTGTTGTATGACTTTGTTGTAAGCCTCCTTATTCCTCCATTAGAATGTTACCTGAGATGTTAGAATGCATAGGAGTTCCACAGCCTTTTTGGTGTCCACTAAAGAATTCTGTCCTCAGCCGTTGCAAATGGTGCTTCCTTTGAGGATTTCTGCTTCATTAGCTCATGAACACATATTTGGTGTCGGCAGTTTCCCTCAGATGTGTTAGTGTGGAGAGATATAAAGGTCACTCATTTCTGGCAGTCCTGCTTTTGGGGTTTCTGGGCTGCTGCAGCAAATGAAATAAGGAAAGGAAAATAAAGGAGGAATCTAGGGCTTCTTGAGCAGAACAAAACAATCTGCAAGAAGGGGCACAGGATTGCTCCTCTCACAAAGACACTTGATAATACTGTCCTTGATAGGAAGAAGGAAGTGGCTTCAGATCTGAAAGGATATGCTCATAGGCTTGAGACGGGACAAACTGCATCACTGGTAGTGGTAGGAGGTTTGCCGTAGATCTGTTTTTTCTCCTGTCTCTCTTTTTTGAGGAGAATATTATCTGTATGGCAGAACATACGTTGTGGTCTTAAAAAGGAGAGTAAAGCCAAGAAAGGGGGATGATAAAGCCATAGCTTGGAATAAGAAAAGCAAAGGAATTATTGTATTAACTTGTGTATGTAAATACATAGGTTTCCATGTAATTCACTGGTAGGATCACTAGCCCTTGGCACTAACATTTGCTATCTTTGTAGCTCTGCTGTCTTAGTGGTGTATTGGGGGAGCATTGTGGTGTGTTGTCACACTTAATTTGTGTGCTTCCCTTGGCATCATGTGGTAGCAAGTACAGGGTATTCTCCTCTTCTAGATGTGTGGGAATCATTGACCAAGTAGAAAATATGGTCCTGCTCCCAAGGAGCTGACATCATCATGGAGACAAGACAGATAAGCACACAATTAGGAATATGAAATACAGTTATTTTATCATTTATCTATGCTCTCTGAAAGCAGTTTCCTGCAGTCAGGGTGACTCGGAGCTATAGGGTCTTGGGAGTAAACTTCAGGTCTTAATACCACCAGGGAAAGGCGACCTCCAGCTCACCCTTGCTGGGCTTGTCTGCTGTCGTGAGCTGTCTGCCATTTTCCTCTTTCTGTGTTGTAATTTAGAAGTATTAGAACTTGGCTTGGGGAAAAGACAAAAACCCCTTTGTCTGGTGAGGGTGTAAATATAAATTTGGCACATGTTGTGGTGTCTATTATGTCTGTTAGTGGGTTTGCGGCAAGAGAGAGTGCTGTGTTCTTAGTCCCGAATGCCAAGCCTGAACTAGGACAAGTTATGGTGGAGATATCTTCCTTGGAAGATGCAGTTCTCAGTGGCAGTGGCTGAAGGAACTTCTCGTCACAGCCAGGCAGTGACTGAAGTGTGGTGTGGACACACCCAGAGTTGCTGCCTCAGGTGGCATTGATTAATCATACTAATATCTCCCTCACCCTTTTGTACTTGTCTTGGCAAAACCCTGTTCTACTAGCTCCCCAATAGTTTGGCCTTTACTAGGTATGATTGAACAAGCTCTTGGGGGTTCACCTTAGTGTCCCTTGCCCCTCTCGCATTTCCAGCCAGCTACGTCGCTCCAGCCATGGTACCCCGGGTCCTCTGGCCAGGCAGTGAGGGGCTGGGTTTTTCTTCCCATTGGACTGAAGCACCTTTCCCTGGAGGCTTGCCTAGGGCAGTTTCTGGTCTCCGAGTCAGTTCCTTCTGCAGGATACTGGCAGCTGGCAGAACTCTGGGTTATTTGAATACATCAGCCAAACATCTTGCCAAGATGGACTCATTGTTGCATAAAGACAGGTTGGATCTATGGGTGTTGCAGAACCTGTTTCTGGGTTAAGAGTAGCTCTCTCACCCTTATTATATATGTTTATTCATATGATGAATGTATGTGTGTATTTTGTGAAGTAAGGAAAACATGATGATAATATTGTGGTTGGAGTTAGATACCTTATCCTAAATATGTTGTCTTTTTAACAAATAGCATTCCTTTAAAATACAGTTGTGCTTGATGAATAAGGTGTTGTACAAGAAGCTGTGGTTACATTCTAAAATAAACTGCCTTGTTCTGAGGCAGGCACGTTTTAAAATTGTTGTTTGCTTCTTTTTCATCTCTTTTTATTTTCATCTTTTTTTTTGTGAGAAGATTCTGTAAGTTTTTAAGCTTCAAATATTTTCAATAATCTATTTTAACGGGTACCTAGCAGGGAGAGGTTGTTCTATTGGTATACCTAACCAACATTCAAATAAGAATAATTGAATACTGTTTACTCACTAATCTGTTCTGTTGAGTTTCTAAGTATGAATAATCACAAAACTAGATAGTGCTGATATATCAACTTCTCTAAATGGTAAATGTGGTAAGTAGCAAAGACATTTTTGTTTAATTCTCTCCTTACACATGCTTTGGTTCAGACGCTGTCAAGACACATTGAAGTTTGAGGACATGTGTATTTCGATTATTTTATTATATTTTTATTTGCTGTGAATATGGGTTTATTTATTTGCTAGATCTTCTTTAGTTAGAAACATTAAGGGCATTTACTTTATTACAACATTTAAAGTGCATTCTAATCTTCATGAGGAATTTTAGGTAAAAGACCGTATCCTGAGATTCATGCAAGTCTTTGGCATTATGTTACTATTTAAAGTAAGTAATATGTAGTGGCTTCTCTGACATATTCTTTCTAAGAGAGTTAAGGAAAATAGTTGTAACTAAAAACAAACATTGAAACAGTTTAAGGTAGGTTTACGTAGCAACAGAATTATTCGTTATGTTTACAGATAATTAACTCGTATTTATACTTTGCTGATTTTCTCTGGCACCTTTACAAGATTTTTTTATTTTTGTAAAATAAAAAGTAATTATGTTTGAAAAAGTAGTTAAGGATGTTTGAAGAATCTAGAAAAGCATAAATAAAATGTCCACAATCATGCTGCCATTAATTTTTTGGTATACGTCTTTGGTTTTTTTACCCTTAGATTTAGAAAAGCTGTTGATTTATTTTTATATATATATATATATATATTTAGTTTATGAACAGATCTACATATATATATATGCACACACACATAATATACTATTGTCAACACTAGGTTTTATTTTTAAAAATCTTTACCATTTGATAAGTGGTAAATATTACTTAATCTTAATATGCCTCTCTCATTACAGTGATATTGAATGTTTTTTCATATCATCAGTGGCGTTTGTATTGCCTTTTTTTCTACTTCTTTTGGTAAATTGTGTCTTTTACTCATTTAATTATTTTCTTACTGGTTTGAAAAAGCTCTTTAAATATTAAGGGTGTTAGTCTTTTGTCTTAAATATGTCACAATATGTATGGAAATAATTAGCAGTATATAACATAACATCAAATTGCTACCAATGTTGATATAAAAATTGTTCATTTCATAGGTTAATTTTTTTAATCCTTTGGTTTCTAATGATATTGGTTAATTCATTTGTTAACTGCTATTTTCTGTAGCTACTTGAAAGTTCTTATCTGACTGTATCGTAAATCAGCATGCTTTCAGCTGTATATGTCTAGGAAATTGACATTTACTTTAATACTTAATAAAAAAATATGTTGGAGAAAAGCAGTGTATTCTGGAGTCAAATACATGATTTTGGGTGGGTGACGTAATCGGCTACTGTCCTCCTTTTCTAGATAGCCAAGATTTTTGAAGCATTTAACATCCCTGAAAGGCAGGACTAATGCTATGTCTACCATGCACTGCTAATTCTGACACTTTGACCTAATGGATAAATGCCAGTACAGTGGGTCTAGCCAGTTAGCTTGGTCAGAGAACAAGATGACTAAGATTCTCTCCCCCTTTCCTCACCAAATTGATTAGTTGTAGGACAGAACTGACTGAAGCAACCTGTTGTTTTGGCAACCCATGGACACCACCTGTTTCTTCCATTCCTCTGTCCAGCCTCTCACTGCCCTAGTGCAGTGCTGTGTGCACAGTGGGTAGGAGATCAATGTTGTTGCTAAAGAATGTAGCAATAAAGAAGAGTAGATTGCTTTTTTTCCAAGCTTTTGTGTTTTTAAGGCACCCCGCTGGTTTTGACATTCGTTGCTCCAGCTGAACTGCTCTATGCTGAAGCCCTGCAGGTCTCAAGTGTTTGGTTCAGAGTAATTTCAGGCCATATGAATGCTTTCTTAAGTATCATTGGAATTTACTGGGCTGGCTGTCTGCCAGCTATTACCATATTTAGCATGAAGAGACCTGGGGAATGAGGACATTTCTGATCAACCAAGGAAGGAAACCTATTTGAAGGATTACAATATTTTCTTTTTTTTTTTTTTTAATGGTGTAGTTCAGAAAACGCCAGTTAGACCGAGACTCAAATTTATGTCCACTGGTCTTTGTTTCTGTGCCCCATCCCAAAATTAATTTATGAATAGGAAAAGAGATTTGATAGTGAAGTTCTTTCTCACTCTGAAGTCTAATACTGTTTCTGGGAGGAAGTAAGAGAATTATTATGCCCACACTGTGCACTGAGAGGCTTAACCAGCAGGTGAAGCTGTTGATTAAAAACATAGGTTGATGAGTATTCTCATTTTTCTCCTTTGAAGCTTTCAGAAATTTTCTGCTTTGTCCTGGTCTAAATTTATTTTGGCCCAGCCCTTGTCTCCACCCTACATTTCAAACCAGTAGCCTTCCCTCTATGGCTCAACATTTCTCTGCCTCAGTTTTTTCCATTTTAAAGATGAAGATATTGTTTGGAAGGACCAGTAAATACAATTAATATAAAAATTACTTCTGTAGAATCAAACAACCTCCAACATTTCTGTTGGAAATTTATAATTTATAGAGTATTCTTACACAGTGATCTCCTTTAATCCTCACAAACTTGGTGGAAATGGAGCCTCACAGGGGTTAGGTGACTTGTATACATTGTTTACCCCTACATAATAAGTGACAGAGCTGGTACTTAAACTTGTGGCTTGATTTTTCTTTTTTTTTGAGTTGGAGTTTTGCTCTTGTTGCCCAGGCTGGAGTGCAATGGCGCAATCTTGGCTCACCGCAACCTCCACCTCCCGGGTTCAAGTGATTCTCCTGCCTCAGCCTCCCGAGTAGCTGGAATTACAGGCATGCACCACAACGCCTGGCTAATTTTTTGTAGTTTTAGTAGAGACGGGGTTTCTCTATGTTGGGCAGGCTGGTCTCGTACTCCTGACCTCAGGTGATCCGCCCGCCTCAGCCTCCCAAAGTGCTGGGATTACAGGCGTGAGCCACCGTGCCTGGTCCTTGCAGCTTGATTTTTTAAACATCAGATTTTTTTTTCTTTTTTGATTTTTATTATTATGTGTCTATCATTCTGCTAGGGGCTTTGCAAATATTGCTTTATTTAATTCATATGGCTATCCTTTGGAGTAGACAATATTTTTCTACATTATAGGTAAGGAATTTGGAACTTAGGTTCACAGCTTTGGATGTTGGCCTATGGTTAGTGAGGGGTGTAGCCAGGATTCAAACCCCTGTCTGGCTCTAGGGCCGCTGCAATAAATCATGGTGTTTTATGTACATTCATACACTTAACACTTTGCAACAACCCTAAGAGACAGGGGTAGGTATTTAGGGAAACTGGGGCTTCTAACTTGCACAGGATAATGCAGTTAGTAAGTGGCTTAGTCGAGATTCAGAGCTAGATCTGTCTCCATAACCCTCACTCATTCCAGGATACTGCAGATGCCTATTTTTATGATATGTATAAGTAAAAATTAATTTGAAAAACTACCTTCTTTGAAGGGTCAGCCAGTTAGAACTCTTTTGTATCTTCTGAATAAGTAAGAAGTGGATGGACATTAGCTGACCGATACATTGATGGCTTTTAACCTTCTATCAGTTGATTTCCATTACCAGGACAAGCAAATATAATTTGGAGGGAAAAGAGGGGAGTTTCCATTAAGGATGAATCTTTAAGCCGAAAAGGGCCACAGTGATGAACTCTTCAGAGGACTGCTCTCAGGAGCAATGGCCCTTCTCCTCTGGGCTCTGCTTGGGGCATTCCTGTTTGTATTTATGGAGACATCTTTTTGAAAGGCAGATACCAGCTTTGGTGGGGAGAAGGTTGGAAAACATACAAGCCTTGCTCTAAATTTACTAGCCCCGTGTCTTTGGGCTAGTTTCTGAAGCATGGTGTGCCTCAATTTTATTATTTTAAAAATAAAGATAGTAGCAGTATATTTTGGAGTTGTTATGAAGATAATATCAGTTAATAAATGTTAGATTCATTGGACAGTACCAGGCACATAGTTAAAGTGCAGTAAATAGTAGTTATTGTTGGTATTGGTGTTATTTTATGTTGTAGTACAGACTGGCTTCTTGGTGCATTCACTTTTCTTTAATCAAAAGTGGATGAGTGATTGGGAACCTTCATGAGGAAATAGGAACATCATCTTTGCAACCTGTGGATTGTTCACTGGTTTCCTGTGATCTAATAATTATTTAAGGGTTTCATATTTGAGTCTCTTCCCTTAATGAGGTACACTTTCAGTTTGGGGAGATTTTATCTATAGGCATACCTTATTTTATTGTGTGTTCCCTTTTATTGTGCTTCACAGATTTTGTTTTATTTTTTACAAATTGAAAGTTTGTGGCAACCCTATGTCGAGCAAATGTATCAGCACCATTTTTTCCAATAGCATATACTCACTATATGTCCCTGTGTCAGTATTTTTTAGCAATAAAGTATTTTTAAACTCAGGTATATGCATTATGCTTTAGACATAATGCTGTTGCATGCTTAATGGACTAGAGTATACTGTAAACATAACTTTTGTATGCACTGGGGAACCAAAAAATTTCTGACTTGCTTCATTGTACTGTTTGCTTTATTGAGGTGATCTGGAGCTGAAGCCACAATATCACAAAGGTATGCTTGTATTATGCAAATTGCATTGATAGGTGTTAAATCATTTTCCCATTTTTTATTAACCACACATTTGTGATTGGATGTTATGTTTAGTAAAGATATTGTGATTTTCTGAGGTACAGCTTTGAGAACAGTATCAGGTCTAACACTCTTGTTTCCAAATTTCCTATGATATGACAAACATAATCACATGCCATCCAGTGTCACCATGCAGAGTACTAATGTGAAGCCAAAATACTTGGTGTTTTAATTAGCCTTAAAGCAGTTAACGAACTATCTCTGTTAGACATTTTGAAATAATAAAAATATCCCATTGTCTTTTATTACAACCTCAGGGGCTCCTGGAGATTTTGGGATCTTGTGTGGGGAACCACCCATCTAATCCATCCTTGTTTTAAAGAGAGAAAACCAAAGAAGCAAAGTGACTGGCCCAAGTACCTAGAGCTGGGTCAGGGTTGGGGCCAGAATCCAATCTCTTGACTTTTAGTCAAGTGATTTTTCCACTATGCTCAGTACTCAAATTATGTATCAATATGTCGGCCCTTGTTTTTTGAGGTCTGAAAAGGGTTAGTGCCAGTCAACAACAGTAGAGGAGTAGAAAGGGTGTTGGGATGGGAGAGGTGTGGCTATATTTAAAATTTCAATGACAGCAGTGAAAATAATTTGCCTGTGAACCTCTGCCTGTCCCTTTGGACTTCTTTGTAGTAGTTGAGACAACCCGGCAGGTCTGGTGTCATTAGTGATTCAGAATTGGATTAACCTGGACTGGTGGAGTTACTTTCTCAGAAAAGGGCTTTATATTTTAACATTTGTTTCCCTTGACAGTTTGCTTCTTCTCAAGTTTTGGCAGCCTTGAACAAGGGTTGTCAGGTTTTTATTTTGTTTTGTTTTAAGAAAAAATTCCAAATTTTATTTTGCCGATTTAGTAAGTTATCCTCTACCTGCCACTCCCTTCTGCTCCCTCTATAATTATTTCTAAGACTTTATTTTTCCATTGTGGGAACATTATGGAAGGTTTTCTTTTACAGTCTGAGATATTTATAATTACGTGTAAGCACACAGTTTATAGAATATGTAAATGGTCCATATGTTAACTTAAATACCCTTAAAATATTTTCCAATAATTTAAATCTTTCCATAAAAGTAGCTGAAGCTGCTTATAATAAAAGAGAAGTATACACGAAGGATAGCAGAATTTGGATGTAGTTAATATAGATAAATATGAATGTCACTTTGGAGGAACTGGAAGTATTTGCATGAATACTGATCAAGCCATGCCTCCTTGTTAATAGAGTGAACAAAACAGATGAATGTTTCTGTTTTCATGAAGTTTATGTGACTATCAGTAGCTTCCATATTCTGAGGGTTTATTATGTGACAGATGCTTGGGGACAAAATACTTTACTTGTTTCCTTTAGTCCTTAAAATAGATGTTAGGATTCTTGTTTACAGAAAAGTTAAGGAATGTTCATCCAGATCACCTAGCCAGTCAGTGGTAAAGAACAGTCACTGGAACCCCTCTTTCCTGATCCAAAGCCAACATACTTAACCATAATAAATAATACCATTGTCTGGTGGAATCCTGTAGTCCCTTAGATAGTGTAATTTTGTATTTAATGTAAACATTTTGTGCACTAGACTGACTTACATTTTACTTTTTAAAACAATATTTTAATTCTGAATGAACATTTGCATAATAGGAGAATGATCTAAATTGCAAACTTCCATTTTGAAGAGTTGTAGTTCTTTTAAATCTTTTTGTAACTGGGAAGAAGAATGGAATTATGTTTGTTATAATCCAAGGAAAGTTGGTTAGCATTCTTTCCTGTTACTTTTTGATCCCAAAAGAAATTCTTTAGTAGATCAAGACCAGGAATGAATGTGTGGATTTTTTTAAATAAAAAATTGAGAGAGATTGTAACTAGCAATTCAGAGCCAGATTTATGTTCAGAAATGTTTGATGCCAGCCGTTTTAGTTACAAATAACTTTTTCTTGACTGTACAGTTGTGTTCTTATGGTACCATTCTGAAAGTGATGTAAGAGACCATGTAAAATGATTGGAATGCCTCAGCATCTGAACAATGCACATAGCCAATTATTAAAATTACCCAGTACTAACCTGTCTTGGCTTAGGAACTATGGAATTAACTGTGGGTAGCATTTCTACACATATCATTACAGAACAAGCATAAAGACAAGCTTGTTTTTTTCCTTTTCTGTGGATTTGTTTTTTCTTATTACCATATCTTTTGTTACTGAAAACTGGTGGTCATCTGTACTAATAGATAAGAGAAGTGTGTTTGACACCAATACCTAATCTTAGATTATCCCTGCTATTTTAAAACACCGTCCTTCACCTGCATGCTCAGACATGTGGGTTCTTTCAAACATACTGGACTTCCTCCTTAGGTTTTAGTTGTGTTAGTTAATAGTTGAATGTTGAAGGAGAGGATGCCAAGGGATATTAAAGAAGGTAAAAGAGATAAGTGACAGCAAACATTATTTATTTTTAATTATCTCTCAGAATGACTTTTAGATACCCTTCCCTACTACATTTTGATTTTTGCTTTAGCATAGCTGGTGAGTTTTGGAATCAGAGAGACTGGGCTCTGATTTGTACTAGCTAAGAATATTAGACAAGCCACTTAACTTCTTTAAGTCTCAGTACCCGTATTTATATAATGGGAATAATAGTAATATCTAACTTGCAGGATTGTTTGTAAAGATTGAAAGCAACATATTTAATTGTGCTTGCGTGGTTCTGGGCACAGAATAGGCACCCGAGTGTAGGGGCCCCTGAACTTTAAAGTTCATTACTTTCATGGTAATTCCTCCTTTGGAATATATAGCCTGGGAACATTTGTCTCTAGACCTTGTTTCAGTTTCTTTTAATGACTCCTTTTAGGCTCTGCTTCATGGCCAACGCAAGATTATGGATCACCTAAAGAGTAGACTAAAAGTACTATTGTCTAGTAACTTCAAGTTTGTAGGTTAACTCACTGTGAATCAAAAGCTTTTAAAAATCTTTTGCGTGGTCATAGTTTGTAGTGTCTTGTACCTCTCATCTCAGAAGCAATTGATTCATAGAAAAAATTATTTAGGATTTCAGATTAAAGATGAAGAACTCTTCCAATAAGAAGGAACTGATTTGGTTGGATTATTTGTTTCTTTCACCCCTGAGTTTTCATGGAAATCAGGTTTAAAATGTTAGAAGCAGTTGGTTTTCAGCATTGGGAAAGCATATCTGATCAGGCATGCGAAGTGGCCTATGTCGGATTTCTGAGCTAGGAAAGGCTAGGGGAGGTTGAGGAGATTATTGTACTTGTAATTCCTGAGCATGGTTGAGACACAAGGAGAGGATTGTGGAAATTGTTTTTAAAAAATTGTTGAAGTTAATGCATTCTTGGGTGGATTTGCAAAACAGAACAAAACAAAAAGTTGTTGAAGTTAGTTACACTGGTCTAACAACGTATACTTACCACCCCCATTTGGGCTGGAGGAATGGATCTAATAATAATATAGGTGTTTGTGATCTAATTTGAATCATGTAATCATTTATCATTTCTGGGTTAGATGGTAAGGATTTTCTGTTTCACAGATTTTTAGACTGGGAATTGTGCTATTATAAAATAATATTTTACATTAAATAATGCTTTCTAGGTTGTAATCACCTTAATAGACATGATTTATTTGGGCCACAAATGAACTCTGGTAAGAATGGAGGGCTGGTTACATTATTTTAGTTTTACAGATGAAAATAATCAGTCTCAAATAGCTTAAGGGAATTCCTTTAGACCATATGGTTAGTATATGGAAAAGCCAGAGCTAGAACCCAGGTTCTGATTTCCAGAGCAGTTCTTATTTCATGATACCGCATAATTTTATAATGTCCCTAAATCCGAATTTCATTTCTCATGATGTGAAAGGATTCTCTTTATTTCTGTTTGGTTAGCTGCATCAGAGCATGACAGAAATGGAGCAGAATTCGAGTATTCTTTCCCCAGATGGGTCAGTTAGCTTTTCTTAAAGCTATTCTGTGCTTACATTGTTAATCAGTTGTCCCTGGTTCCTAGACAGGATGTTGATCCATGTGAAATAGGCAGGAATATGTGTCTGACTCAGCTTAACTCATCACAACTTTCATATGTCCTGCTAGTGGGTCTATAATGTCACCCTCGTTTACAGGCGTTTTTAATTTTCTGATGTCTATTTCTTAGTATTTTTCCTCAGCCATTTTTAATGTCTCAAGCCATAGTTCTTCCTGAGTGGCCTGAAGTGATTTTGCTGCTCTTTAAAGCTTCCTTAAGGTTTTTCAAGAGCGTACAACATAGGCTGCTTCTAAGTGTATTTTTATTTCCTAGCTCTTAGCATTTCTCACCTTATCATTATAACTTTAAATTTAAACAGAATACAAATTGTGTACACAGATGGGTGTGTCACTATTGCACTGTCACTTATGTAAGTGCAGTTTAGCATTTCTTCTTTCCTTTTAATCAAAATGAGGAAATAGAAAATGTTTTGTTATGGTAGTTTTACACATACACCCACAAGGAAATGTGTATCTAGAGTCTGTGGGAACTGTGACTTGATACATTTCAGGGAATAAAATGTATGATGGCTAAAATTTTAACTCTGCCAAATGTTCACGGGGAAAGAAAAATTAACAAACTCACATTTTACACTTTATTTTAGCCTAGTCTCTGCCTTGTTTACATCTATATGATAATGAAGCTATACTTGTCTTTCCACAACAGTGTATTTTATAAGTTGTACCTTTTGTTTAAGGGAGCCTTCTTAACAAACTTTCTTTCAGTTGTCCAGTGTACAGAAGCTTACTGGAAGGAGTGGCCAACTAGTTAAAGGTTTGACACCTCAATATCAACAAAATGCCAAGTGGATCATTTTGACTCTCACAGCAATCCAACTGGACATTTGACCATGCCCCGTGGTCAGTGGAGAGCTTCTTCTCTGAAGGCCACTTTTATCTAGCACATCAAGGCTATACACCTCTTTCACTAAGAAGAATTTGGCACTTTTATGTTGTGAGAGCTGAGATTCACCATTCTCCACCATCCTGAGAAGAGCTTTGATAGAAGGGCTACTCCTGAGGTACATAGATTATCCAAAATACATACAATTTTTTCATAGAAAATTATATATGTATTATAATTTTTATTCAAGACAGGTTGAAATTAATAGATTTCTTACATTCACTGCATTAAAGGAATATTTATGGCTTTGGTAATATTTTAAATTTCAAATTAAAAAATTTGAATATCTGAATTAAGTATCTCTGATTTAACTCTGTGTGTGTGTGCGTGTGTGTGTGTGTGTGTGTGTGTGTGTGTGTGTGTGTGTGTGTGTTGGGAGGAGGAATAGACCTTGGAATTGTTTTTTCAAAACTTTTTTTATAATAGTGCCTAATCTCAGTTGGCAAGGAATAGCTGTCCAGAATGCTGCATAGATCTAGTGAAAAGATTTAGGGAAGTTGTAACTAGTTTAATAACCATCTGTGGAGTGACATAGATTGACACACCCAATTACACAAGACCTGAGTCTGAGAACTGTTGATGTGCAATCATCCCATCAGCATCTGCTCGTCATTATCAACAACAATAATGGCTCAACTATTTCTTTGAGGCCACATGAAAAGACAGTGTACCCATAGCAAAGGATAAGTCAGACCTGAAAAAAACATAGCCCTCTGCATCCCCTTGTTCCCAAACTTCTTTTTAAACATAACCTTTTGTGAAGTTCTGAAAGAATTCATTTTATGTTTTCTTTTTATTAATTTTTCTTCTTAAATACCATGTCTTTCTGGCTGAAATCCTTGCCAAAACCAGGAAGGGCCAGTGTACTGTGGGTGATTTTTCTAATTCATTTCTTTGTCATTTGAAGCCTTCTGTGGCTTCATGCTGCTTTATGTGTGTGTAAATATTCAGTATCTTTTCTAGTTTACACTTTTGTCACAACTGCTATTAAGCCACCTATGGACACATTCTAATATAAATTATTTTGGCCACTGTGAGTGGGAGGGAAAGAATCAGTTCACAGGGATAAATTTGCATGTTGAGAAGATAATATATAATAGTTTGCAAAACACTTCTATGTACATTGTATCTTTTATAGAGACAAGGCCATGTTTTTATTTGTAGAGACTGAGACAGAGACCCCATGAGATCTAATGCAGAGTCACATGACTCCAAAGCCAGGTCTTCTATCTGCTCTTTGGTATATAACTGGATCATTATTCTATTGACAGAAATAAGGAATCTTCTTATTTTTCAAAGGCACCCTTTTGCCCTTGGAAGGTATATTTAGAAATCCTTTACCAGAGTAGAAAGAAGACAGTTATATTTTCCTGCCTTTTGATAAAAAACAGTGTGTTTTTTCTAAATCTTGTTGTGTTTGACTAGAGTCTGATTAAGGTACCTTTTGGGAAATTAAGGTTCTATAGAAATTACTGGGCTCAATCTAGTGATACAAATATGTGTTGTTTGATTTATCAACACATTACAAACCTTAACTTTGGAGTTTTAATATCTGGTTATCTTTAATATCTGGTTATCTTCTTTCTGAAGTGTATGTACACAAAATTGATGCTAAATAAGGTCTTGTTGTTTTGGCAAATAGTGAAATGCAAGGTATTGGTAGATCAGTACTGTTATAACTTTGGTGCAAAGTTGCTGCATGCAGATTGGCTGTGGGACCTTGTTCATTTTTTGAGAACTAATGTAGAGTTTGAAAAAACACCGTAAGCCTGCATTCCAGAAGTTCTGGTATGGATAGTGTGAGCCCAGGGAATGTGCTTAGATAAAAGATCATTTAACAAATAGGTTTTGCATTTTTTTAGCAATCAGGCTTTGTGCTGAATATTAGAGTGGTTGTTTCAGAGAGTTTGCAGCAATTAGGCTTTATTGGTGCACTAAGGAGAAGCAGAGAGGAGAAGCAATTCTTGGTAACTTCCTTGGAAGTTGCAGCTAACTCTGAAAAGTCTGGGTTGAACTAGGTAAGTAACTAATTCCTAGAATCAATAAACTTTGCAGGAGTCCGTTTGATTGTACATGTAGCTCCCTGGAATTGCTATTGGTCCCTAAATCATCAGTTTGTAATGCTGGTTTTCAAACTTGAGTGCACATCAAGTTTTGGAGGACTTGTTAGAATACAGATTGCTGGGCTCACCCCCAGAGTTTCTGATCTGGTAGGTCTGGAGCGGGACCTGGTAGATTGCATTTCTAAAAAGCGTCCAGGTAATACTGCTGCTGTTTGGGAAAGTACACTTTGAGAGTCACTGGCTTACAACAATCTCAAGGTGTTTGGATTTTTGGGCAGGGGTGCTGTGCAGGCGTTGCTGGGATCTCTTCACAGCACCTCCACTGCATAGAGGTGAGCCTCCAGATGTTTTCATTCATTCAACAAATATATGTACCTATTGTGTGCTGGGCACTGCTTAAGTTGCGAGGGGATATTGTGAAGAAAGTAAGCAAAACCCCTTTGTTTGTAGAATTTCAGTGAGCATAGTCCTGGGTTAACCTGACAACAGTCCTACTGTTTATTGATGCTTATAGGTGAGCCTATTTCTCTTTCTAGCTTTCTTCCACTTAATTTACTTTCTTTTGGAATTCTTGAATTTAATAATAATAATATTGATGTTATTAGTCATCACTATAACTTTTTATTGAGTGTGTATTTTATGTCAGACACAGTGTGGCTAAGTGCTTTACATACATTATCTCATCTAATCCTTAGAAAAAACCCTGGTGTATTAGTCTTAATTTAAAAGATGTACTTTGGAAAGGTTAGTAGTTTACCCAAGATTATGCAGCTAGTTAAAAGTGGTGCTGGGGCTGGGCTTGGTGGCTCACACCTGTAATCGCAGTGCTTTGGGAGTCTGAGGCAGGAGGATCGCTTGACACCAGGAGTTTGAGACTAACCTGGGAAACATAGCAAGACCCCATCTTTACGAAAATAAAAAAATTAGCCAGGAGTGGGGGTGCACACCTGTGGTCCCAGCTACTTGGGAGGCTGAGGCAGGAGGATTGCTTGAGCCCCAGAGGTTGAGGCTGCAGTGAGCCATGATTATGCCACTGCACATCTGTCTGGGTGACAGAGCAAGATCCTGTCTCCAAAAAAAAAAAAAAAAAAAAGTGGTATTGGGCCTGTCTAATTGCCAAGCCACATTCTTTACTGCATGCTTTAGTCCATTGTTTTTTACACTGCAGATCATGACCACGAATGGGTCATGAAACCAATTTGGTAGGTCTCCAACAGCACTTTGGGGGAAAAAAGGGTAGAATAGAGAGTATCACATAGTATGGACAAGCATTGTTTCTTGAAATTTTTGTTTTTGCTATGCACGTATATATGTGAATATTGAGGTCTGGTACAAGATATATTTCTCACTGTAGGTCACAGTAAAACATGTTGGTAAGCTACTATTTTCTTGGCTATGGGACTATATGTCATCTAATCACTTTTTAAAAACAGATTACAAACTGTAGGCCTTAGAAAGGTAAGTAATTTTTCAGCTGGGCATGGTGGCTCATGCCTGTTAATCCCAGAACTTTGGGAGGCCAAGGCAGGCGGATCACGAGATCAGGAGTTCAAGACCAGCCTGGCCAATGTGGCAAAACCCCGTCTCTACGGAAAAAAATGCAAAAATTAGCTGGACATGGTGGCGTGCACCTGTAATCCCAGCTACTCAGGAGGCTGAGGCAGGAGAATCGCTTGAACCTGGGAGGCGGAGGCTGCCATGAGCTGAGATCACGCCATTGCACTCCAACCTGGGCAATAGAGAGAGACTGCATCTCAAAAAAAAAAAAAAAAACCAAGGTAAAGTAATTTTTCAAGAGCACAAAAATAGTCAGTGGCAGTACAAAGACAAGATGACTGACTTTTTTTTTTTTTTTGAGACAGGGCCTCACTCTGTCACCCAGACTGGAGGGCAGTGGTGCGATGTTGGCTTACCACAACCTCCACCTCCCAGGCTCAAGCGATTCTCCTGCCTTAGCCTCCCGAGTAGCCGGGATTACTGGGGTGTGCCACTACCACCCGGCTAATTTTTTTGTATTTTTAGTAGAGACGTGGTTTCACCATGTTGGCCAGGCTGGTTTTGAACTGCTGACCTCAAATGATCCACCTGCCTCAGCCTCCCAGAGTGCTGGGATTACAGGTGTTAGCCACTGTGCCAGGCCAGATGTCTGACTTTTTAGCCCTTGGTCCATTGCTTTATTCTTCACACCATACCACTTCCTTAGAAGTGCACCTGGGAATGCCTGGGAATTGAATTTTATCTTTCCACATGATGGCAGATATGCTATGGAACCTTCAGGGATGTCGATGAAACCTGAAAAGGGAAGTTGAATCTCAGCCTGCTCTGAGTAGGTGAAAATTCTGCCTTGGATCCCCCAAAGTCTGCAGATAAAGATGTGACATTTCTCGTGTTCTGCTGTGCTTGAAGGAAAGAGGGTAATAATCTTAACAGTGCCAAGCTGTAAGCATGTTGCATATATTAACTTGTTTAATTACTAATTATTTTGATACAGCGGCCATGCCTGGGATATGAACTCAGCTGTTTTGAGTGAGAAGGGGCATCCTACCAGTGTGAGTTAACACTTCTCTGTACTCTCCCCGGTTCCTCATTTTGTTCCTGCTGAGTTCAGAGCGATGTTCCTCATAGCCTGGCTTACCTGTGGATGTTCTCAGCCTCATTTTCTTTTGCTAGATCATATATCTTCATTAGGTGGGTGATTTTGGTTTCTGTTACTTTTTCCTTAATATTAGTATATTGCTGATTTGGATCAGGGGCCAGGCTGTAGATTTTCAGCATGGTGAGGTGATAATACATGTTGGTCCCCCATGCAGAATGCTGCCTCTAGCACTTTAGCCAAAGGAGCTCTACAGTCTGTCCAGAAGTACTGGGGGACACTGGTAATAACCTGAGAACACTTACAGAGCCTTCCAGAAAGTGCCCTTTCACATCATATAAACAGATCATGGGAAGCTGAGGGAATGCAAAGTCAAGGCCTCATTGGAGAGCGGAAAGGAGGCTGAGATTGGTGGAGAGGAGTGGCTGTTACATTCTAATTAGAAGAATGACATGTGCAGGGCCATGAAGCAACTAAAGATGGGATGAAAAACTTAACTTGTGAATCGCAAAATTTGAGTAGGAAGGAGCTGGAAAGGCCTGGAAGTGCGAAGTGATTGGCCCTTGGTCAGATGGCTAGAAGATAGAGAGCCAGGCATAGAACCCAGAATCCAGGCCATCATTTTGTGGCCTCTTTTATCCTAATGACATGTTAGCCAGAGGTGTCTTCCAAAGCACCTGATTATAGGGAAGAATGAATGTCACTTACCCTAGAGTGAGTGAAATAGAGATGCCAGGAAGATATACCAGGTTTATCCAGTTTCTTTGCATTTTTCTGGCATACTGTATACTCTTGAGCGCATATGTATCCTACTTTGTGAAATCTGGGGGTAAAGCAGGACCCTTCAAACCCTTAAAAAATGTATACCCCAAGAAAAACATTTTTAAAGCATGAACGCTTCCTCAAGTAAATACATATTTATACATTATATAAATGTCTGGCTATTAAACCATGTATGCATATGTTAACTCTAAGTAAAGCTTATATGTTTTTTAGCCCATAAATATGGAGATGTTTTAAAATTTCTTCCAGTGCCCCAGTGGATGGTCTTACACCTCCCCTGCTTCTGGGGTACACACACCTAATTTTGCAGACCACTGGTCCAGAATGTAAATTGAAGAGTTTAATGTCTAAGATATTTGTTCTTTTGTTTGTAGCTTATCTTTTACTCCCCACGTTTCAAATATCCCTTTGCAAAATAATTTTTGAGTTAAAATTTTCAATTAAAAAACTGTATACTTGAGGTAGAAAAGATAAAGATAGAAGATATATGTGAATTAGGTTGTATCTCTCCTTAAGAGGGAATACTGTTTTTTATCTAAGGAGAACTAACAACCCTCCCTTTCATTGTCTGGGTTGGTATAAGTAAAAATCCTTGTTTGAAGTTATTAAGCCTTCCCACCCATATGATGATTAGTTTGGTTCATAAGCTAGAGTTAGGGCTTGGTAAAGGCTCCTTTTTTTTTTTTTTTTTTAAAGTCTTTCCACCTTAACTAGCAAGTAAGCTAGAAATGACAGAGCAGTAGAAGGGGGAATCTACCAGAGTGTCCTACAGGACCTTGTTGAATGCTACTGCTGCATGCAAGGGTTGTGGATTTGGTGTGGGCCTTCTGCAGTATCACCCAAATTTGAGCAGTACATGTAACTAAAAGTAAGAAAAATAAATTAGACAGTTTATTTCATTTCAGACTTTGGAAGCCCAGGACTGTGGGGATTAGCTATTAGCTAAGACAATGATTCACTGAGCAAATGCAGTGAAAGATTCTTTTGTTACACTGATCATCATTTGTGGAGAGACTCTGAAGAAGGATAAAGCTCTGGCTGCATAGTCAAACCAGACCTACTACTCAAGGACATGCATACTAGATATGTAGGTGTTTCCAAATATTTTTTTCAGTTGTGGCGGTGCAAATCATTTCAATAGTAGAGTAACTCAGTTCATTACTGTTACTGGAAAAACAAGTTTAACCAAGCACATATCCTACTGAGGGTGAGTCAACAGTGTCATTTTAACATAAGAAGGACAGTACATGAAGTGAGTTATTCCAAGTCCTGTGGTTTTCCTACAGCTGAGCAAAGACAGCTGTTCTTTCGGAAGTGGGGCTCTAAAAAGAAGTTGCCCATCTCCTTTCTTTCTTGATTATAGCCTTTTAGTTTTCTTTTGGCCTGAGACATTTCAAAAATTCATTTCCTCCTTAGATTTCTATCACCAAATACCCTGAATTTTGATAATTTATTTATAGAGTATATTATTTATTATAGACTTATTATAGTTTAAAACTTTATTTTAATTTATCTCCCATTTCAAGATCCACATTTGCTATATGTGTCAGATAATAAAAATGCCATAAGGAAAACAGAGGAGTGATCTTTTTTAATATGTCATTATTTTCTATAGTTCTTTAGTGGTATGGACATGGAATAAGGTGGCATTTTGTGGGACAGTATACCAAACTTAGTGATAAAATTTATACTTTTAATTTTGGAGGACAAAAGTCTTGTATTCTCAGCCTTGTGGATAAGACAGTGCTCTGAGCTGTCTGAGGTTTCCTAAATTGGGATTCAACATCATGAAGGGTATGTGTCTGGATAGTTTATTTGTTGGTTTGGGAAGGTGAGTTTTTGTCTTTTTTCCCCCTCTGAGTTGATTTCTTTAGTTGGAGAGAAGCAGACCAGATGAAGAAAATACTTTATCTCTTATGGCATTTTTGGTTTACCACATTAGTTATGACCCGTCTTCTCTGAGCAGCAGGCCATGCTTCTCTGTTCAGTAGTTCAGTTTTCACTAACTTAACTGCAGATGTGTTCTTGGAGGGATTTATTTCTAATCAATTGAATTATGGGTACTTGGATAAAATGATGATGGGTTACCTACTTTTAATAGGGCCTTCATTTTTAAGAGTAAAATCTTGTCAAGATAGGGTATATCATACTTATGATCTGGTTCCATCTCTAACTCCATAATTTCCTTTTGCTCCTGTGTTGCTACTCTATTATTGAGAAGAGATGGTATCTTGTCAGTGTCAATTTTACAAAGAAAAAATTCTAAACAATTTCAGTCATAGGGTAGTTTTTTTTTTTTCCTGGAGAAATAATGCATAGTGTAGTATGTTGAATCCTAGAGTTGGCAAGTTTTCAAAAGTGGGGTTCTTTTGTTGTGTAGGTAGGGGTGATGCTAGTCAATGGGTGTTAGTCATTAGGGCATGTGTATGAGTGGTAGTTCTGAGATACAGCATTGGCAGCCCCTCTTGTCCCTGGTTTTGTTTTTGATAAGCAAGTCCTGGTTTTGTTTTAATAAGCAGGTCATTAGCTGATCTTTCGTGTAAATGTTTTTGATGTGCATAGCTGGTATGTGGGTGGTTACCCACCTGAGAATGTTGTAGTCACAAATGTATATTATGGAAGTTTGCAGATTATGGTGGATATCAGGTTTTTCTAACTGCGTATTTACAGATGTAGTGAGTGAAAGGAATGTTGGGTCAGTAGGTAAAAGACTTGCGCTCTGGTCCTGGTTCAGACATCTTGATTTGTGTGACTTTGGGCAAGGCCCTTATTTCTTTGAGTTGCAGTTTCTTGTGTAAAATGGTGCTAATACCAATTTACATGCCTCATAGTGTTGTTGTGGGGATCAAATGAGATCACTGTTTATGAGCAGCCTTCTCAGGAGTGAGAAATAGAGGGTTGTGAGCTGACTTTCTGATTTGTTTGGCTGAGGTGTTCACACAAGCCATAGAATGCTTTGTAGACTTGGGTGGAGGAATGTAGATGGAAATCAGCTGAAAATCCCTGCCTATTAGAAGCTGAGATGTTAATCCTAAATATATTGTATGGAGTACTATCAGATGCCTTGCTTTTCTTCATGATGCCCTATTAGCTTCATCTTCAGGTAGCATAGGTGCCTGTTACTCTCATTTTACTTGAAGAAACTGACCAGCCAACTGATTTAGGATATGGCTGGCTATCTTCTGGAACTCACATTAGAGTTACTCCTTGAGAGTAAAGTCTTGTATTTTCTGAAGGTTGCTGCTTTTGGGGTATTTTCCGTGGAGGTGGGTGGGCACACACAAAAACTCACTGTGCTCAAATTTATAAACTTGTTCTTCTTAACAATTTTAAAGCCAGATTACATTGGATTGGGGGAGGGGAGGATACTAGATTTATTTAGTGTTTTTTAATGTAAAACTTTGTATTTGAAACTTTATGTGGTAACATATATTTAGGCTCATAGCCAAAGTGATTACAATGCATTGGTTTTAATATTTTCAGTGAGGTAATGTGTGCTTTAGTGGGGAGGAGGAGAAATATTACTTAATCACCAACACTACACTAATAACCACATTTACTAAATCCTTTGTCCCTTTGCTTGAACTGAGGGTTCCTTGCTTTTATACTGGTTTTCCAAAGGACTTCATCTTGTTAATGTGATGAGGTGATGATGGGAAGGACATTCCCACTGGGCCCGAAGTGGTGAAACTGGTAAAACTCCCTTTGTAAGTCCCTCTTGTTCAACATGAGTGTCACTCCCATGTCCCTAAAGTAGAATGGAGTTTTATTGAAGAGAGAATTTTAAGAGTGATAAACAAAAGAGATGGAAATATCTCCTGTGCCAGGTCATTGTTACCATTAAAGACTAGAATAAACTGTAATTTTGCAGATTTTCTTTTTGTCTTATGGGAAATTAAAGACTTGGTTATCCTCTCTCGGAGGAAGATAGAAAACTACTGGGCCTGCTCATTAACAGTTTAGCTTGGCTGACATTTTTCAAGCACTTACCATGGTATTATAGCTGGGCTGAAGCTAGGTGGAGCAGACCTCACTTAGGTGTTGCCTAGCTCCAGAATCTGTCTTCTGGTGGAATTCCCTTAGGCTTCCAGACAGGAGTGGCAACAAAGCAGATGAAATGGAAGGTAGGCCAGGGCATCTGCTCGTTCGCTCGCTCGCTTGCTCTTTCTCTCTTTCCCTTTTCTTTCCTTTCCTTTCCTTTCCTTTCTCTCTCTCCTTTCTTTCTTTTGCTTCCTTCCTCTCTCTTTCCCTTTCCCTTCCTCTCTCTCTTTTCTTTTTTTCTTTCTTTTTTTTCTTTTCTTTTCTTTCTTTTCTCTCTCTCTCTTTCTTTAGCAGTTTATTACTCATTTGTGAGAATCAGGGAAGCACTGGGCTCAAGAAAGCCAATACCCCTTCTAGGGCTTACCCCCCATTTTAAAATTTAATATATTGGAATTTATATTGTTTCTTTTGATCCGAGATCTTCAGGCTGAAGCTGGAGAGAAATCTTTTGACCTCTCTAGAACAAAGAAAGCCTTTATCAAAGACAGTGTAACTTTTTGAGTTTGCCAAATTAGGTGTTGCTGCAAATGGAGAAACCTAGAGTTCTCTTCTGTGCTTAAAGACACAAACATGGAAAGTTTTAAGTTCCAATATGGTCACTTAATATATACAAAATTTTCTGTCTTTGCTGTCTTTGTCATTCCAGCAACAACTGGATGAGCAAATAGAATGATTGTGAGCACTTGCAAACCAAATTGTGACTGTTAGTGTGTTGAGCTGCTTTTTTATTAAAATGACTGCTACAACTCTGCAGAAATCTGAGTAGTCTTGAAGATAAATTCTTGCTTGCATTTACAATAAAGAAAGAATATGAGTAATCAAAAGGCTGATGGAGTTGGAGGACTGGCGTTTTTAAGAGGAACTGATTTGGACATTGAGATTATCAGCTCCTCATCAAATATCATTAAGTACACATTATTATTTTTTTCTGTTGACCAGGAGACCCAAGTTGTGTTGATGTGGGACATAGCTGTATGTCTGAAGAAACAAAGCAAGGGAGAATAAAATAAATAAAAATTGAAGTTCAGGAATATATATATATATATATATTTTTTTTTTTTTTTTTTTTTTTTTTTTTTTGCAGGCAGAGTCTTGCTCTGTCGCCCAGGCTGGAGTGCAGTGGCACAATCTCGGCTCATTGCAAGCTCCGCCTCCCGGGTTCATTCCATTCTCCTGCCTCAGACTCCCTAGTAGCTGGGACTACAGGCACCCGCCACCATGCCCAGCTAATTTTTTTTTTGTATTTTTAGTAGAGATGTGGTTTCACCGTGTTAGCCAGGATGGTCTCGATCTCCTGACCTCGTGATCCGCCCACCTCGGCCTCCCAAAGTGCTGGGATTAAAGACATGAGCCACCGCGCCTGGCCGTTTAGGGCTATATTTTATGTTTTCTTCTCCCTTTGGTATTTAATAAAGATTTGATATTTTTCTATTATCTGCTTTCCTCTGTTCCAAGGTTTTTGGCCTCAGGTGTGTTCTCTGGAAATGGCAATGATAGGCATTTATAATCTCCATATTTAGATATTTCCCTCACAGTGCTAGTTTCTGAGCTTATTAGAACCTAATGTTAAATGACGAGTTAATGGGTGCAGCACACCAACATGGCACATGTATACATATGTAACAAACCTGCACGTTGTGCACATGTACCCTAAAACTTAAAGTATAATAATAAAATAAAAGAAATATCCTGGCTATGAGTCAAGGGTTTAGGACCTTTTGAGGCACTTGGGTTTAGACAATTCTCAGTGATGTGTACAGGAATTTGGGTACAGGAATACTATTCACAGGTGAACAGAGTTTGATTTTGGCTGAAGGCATATTATTTGATCCAGATAATAATATAAAAATAATCCAAATGTTAGGACCTTAGCTTCTGCGAACCCTGACTTGAGAATAGTTAGCCATACATGTAGTTGGACTTTATGTAGGACTAACCAATCTCCTCTGCACTATTTTTGCACAGTACATTGATTATGGTATCCCTGATGACCTCTGTCCCCATCCTTGTGAGTAGCCTTCATTGCTACCACCCAAGGATGTTTTAAAAAGGCTATGAGGAAGGATGCATGTAGGGAAATCTGAGGTTGTTCTTTGGATTTTCCCTGTTTTGTTTTAGGAAGTATCCATGATTTTATATAATAATATGTAGCAATCTTAGGTTTTTCCATTTTCATTTTTAACATAATTTTGTTATTCATTCTGTTTGGGTGTCTACCTCTAAATTAACAAACATGAGAAATTGTGTACTCCATTTAAAAAGTGTCCTGAGCAATTTAAGCTAAAAGAATATGTTGTTTCTTTTGGGTGTATAGCAAGAAGATTATATATATTTATAAATTTTTTTCCAGCAAGTGTACTTAAAAGCGTGTACTTAAAATTAAGGACTTAAAAAAACTAAGCTGTACTTAACAAAATAATCTTTAGAAAGCTTTAAGGCCGGGCGCGGTGGCTCACGCCTGTAATCCCAGCATCACGAGGTCAGGAGATCCAGACCATCCTGGCTAACACGGTGAAACCCTGTCTCTACTAAAAATACAAAAAAAATTAGCCGGATGTGGTGGCGGGCACCTATAGTCCCAGCTACTCGGGAGGCTGAGGCAGGAGAATGGCGTGAACCCAGGAGGAGGAGCTTGCAGTGAGCTGAGATTGCGCCACTGCACTCCAGCCTGGGCGACAGAGCGAGACTCCATCTCAAAAAAAAAAAAAAAAAGCTTTAAAAAGGGAGTTTTCTAAAAGCACAGGAAATTGGTGACAGGCAAAATTTGTCTTGATAATAGTACAAATACAGATAGTGGAACAGAACAGATAATACAAGATATAAGACAAGACATGGAATAACACTTCATATTCACTTTCTTTGACCACTAAGCAGCACACAAATATATAGCAGTTTTTGTAGAGAATAATTAAATTTCTAGATATGATACAGCTTCTTCCTCTCTGTTGGGTTTTATTACACTGAGATCCTGAACCTTTTGGACATGTAAACTGTGATCATGTTGGTCAGTGTCATTTGGATCTCGTTGGTGCTTATTGTTCTGCCGATGTGTATTAGTGAACCTACTCATGGGGAAGATAATACTATACAATGAATTTTCCCATTCAGTTGGAATTTTTTTATTACTCTGTTTTCTGTTTTTCATTTAGATGTAAATTATTTTGGCTTCCATTCAACCTATTTCAGCTAGTTTTTACCATAATACACATGGCTTAAGATTTATAGGAGGCTAAGAGTGGAGAGTGTATCTTCATTCAAACAAATGGTAAGAAAGGAACTTTCAAAACTGTTTCAGTTTTGCAAAGATTAGAAAAGTACAATTCTACTTTCTCAACTTTTCATCCTTGTTAAAGGCCTGGAAATTTGCAGCATTTTGTTCTTTCTTATTTTACTTTTCTAATTTGTTACACAAAGTGAAATTCCACACATAAACATGCAAGCTGAAGGTTGGGTTTATTCTTAGGTTTTGTCTTAATTATAGATATTTAGTTTATTGAATATCTTATTGAGTATTGAGTACCTGCTGTGGTCCAGGCATCTTCTTAGGTCCCAGGTGTACAAAGAGGAGCCAATTGTGGTTACTGCCTCTATGGAATTTGCCTAGAAGTGGGAGAGAGAGAGATGAGTGAGCCAGCACTTATAATACATCTACTTAGGATAAAATGGGAGCACAGAAGAGGAACATCTGTATCAGTGGGTCTCTGAGAGCTTCTTCAGGAAAATAATGCTTTATCTGTGATTTGAAATATAGTAGGAATTTAGCAAGATAGAGAAAAAGGAAAAGGAGGTAAAATATTTTTCAGGTAAAAGAATGTACATGGGTATAGAGGTGATCATTATTAGCAAATTGGCTACATCCTAATTTGTAAGTATTTGTGGATTTTTCAAACCTTATATTTCATGTAGAAGAGCTGAATACATTAGTCTCATCTCCAAGATCCAGGTATTGAAATTTAACCCATGCATAAATTGAATTTTTTTCTGAAGTCTTTAATAAGAGAAAAATAAAAGGAAAAACTACACAGTATATAGTAGATTTCAATATAGCACAGCAAACACTGATGAATTTTTTTTGCAATAAGTTCAATATTATAAAATAGAACAAAATTGGAATTTTTAAAACCAAAAATTATTCTAGATTTATCAGCTAACTGGAATGATTTTTTTATAGTATGAAAAGTCTATTAGTAATACAAAAAATATTCATTTATAAGTTGTTATCATTGATTATATTTTCTTAAGGTATATTTTCAGTTTTTGAAAAGCAGTAATAATTTGCTATGACCCTATAGCCCAGTTCTTAATATCTGGATCTGATACTAGCATCTCTTAGGTAGAAAACACACTTTCTATATGATAATATCTGTAAAGAGCACATAAATCCTTGGAACACTATTAGGAAAACAAAATCGATTTATCTCTTATTGCTTTTTTTTGTTTTTTTTTTTCCTTTTAATCAAGACAAATTTCAAGGAGGAAGACAGATGTTTCTCCACTTCGTTTTTATTTAAATGTACCACTTGGGATTTGAAGCTTCCGCACTTCTTCTGTTTGTTTGGATTTTTTTTTCATGGCTTGATCCCAAAAAATGGAATACAAAATTTAGAGAAAGTTTTGTTTGAAATTGCAGGGCGCTATGAGAATTATTGCAAATCCCTGATGTCTCCTTGTCTGCCCTCAATTCTCCTATTTTTGGTAATAATGCAGGCAGTCATTTTAGAAAACTTTGCTTTGTTCATTTTACTGAGCCTCTTCCAGAGGCCATGTGCCAGAATCAACAGCAGCCAACCACAGCCAAGATCCTAGGGCGTAAACTCAGACTTCATCTCTCAAATATTGCTACTTGAAATTTGCATAAACATTGAAGAAAAAGTTAAAAGAGCCTGTATAACTCCTCTTCATGTATTTTAGGAGCCTCAGACAGTCAAGACGTTAAAATACCTTCCGATTGAGCAGTGGGTCTAAGCACAGATACCACACTGCACATAGGGAGAAGGATATGAAAAAAATCATGTGAGATAGACGACAGAGGCTTATTTGAAGAAGCTACAAAGCAACAAGTAATGCCAGTTTAAAACGATTACATGTTAATGCAACAAGTAAAACACATTGAAGGCTGCTCAGATTACACTGGCTGAAGTACAGACTTAATTACTCATGTTAGAGATTCCTAAAACAAAGGGAGGCTTTTAAGCCAGTGATATGTAGCTGGTATGATAGTGAAAAGCATTGGAAAACTTAGGTAAATGCCTAGAGGAAATTTTAAGGAAGATTCCATCAAGTCTGGATACCTTAGCCTTATCCTTAAATGAATAAATTTCTGAGGCGCTGGAACTGGTTAAAATCAATGGCAGCTTATTCTGTTGTTTGCAGTTTTTATGTACAATTGGGGCTGATAAACCTGAATAAATAAAAGAGCCTTGTCTGGATTGAGTTACAGTTAGTGCTAAACATCAAGGGTTCATATTGTATTTCTTAAAAGTTCTTTTTGGAGTGATTCCAAGATTGGTATTAAGAGGGTATGCCAAGGGTATATATTGGCAATTTTTATTTTGTTTGTATTTATCTTAGAGTCATTTGGGTAGGTCACATTCTCTCTGCCCCTACTCCCAACTTCTCATTAGATTGTAAGGACCATGAGGACAGAGATTGTTTGTTTTATTTGTGCTTAATTTTCATGCAGTGCCTAGTAGGGGACAATGCTGACAGTAGTTTCTCGACAAATATTAGTGGAACTGTATTAAAATTGAGTTTTTGCTCACATATATTGTTTATTTTACCTTTAGTGGATCACTTCTCCTTATGCCTTCAGTGCTATAGTTTTTTAAAAGAAGTATGTTAGTCTGTTTTGCATTGCTCTAAAGGAATACCTGAGGCTGAATAATTTATAAAGAAAAAAGGTTTATTTGGCTAATAGCTTTGCAGATTGTACAAGAAGTTTAGAGCCAACATCTGCTTCTGGTGAGGGCCCAAAAAACTTTCATGGCTGAAGGTGAAGAGGGAGCAGGTATGTAACATGGCAAGAGAGGAGGGAGCAAGAGAGATGTCAGTCTCTTTCAAACAACCAGCTCACATGGTAGCGAGAATTCACTCATTACTGTGGGTGGGCACCAAGCTATTCATGAGAGATCTGCCCCCATAACCTGAACACCTCCCAGTAGGCCCCACCTTCAACATTGGGGATTACGTTTCAACGTGAGATTTGGAAGGGACAAAATAGCCAAACTATATCAAGCACAAAGAAGATACAGAGATAGTCAATGGTGGAGCTAGTATTCAAACCCAGATTTGTCTGATTTCTGCATCCGTGCTTTCAACTGCTTAACTGCATTGCTTCAAATACTCAGAAAAGACGAAATGTTTTCCATATCCCAGGAACTTAAAAGTGAAAAAGCAGAGAGCTAGAAGACCATGTAGTGCTGAATTGAGAGTCATGAGTGTTACAAGGATAGGGGGTGGTGGCCCTGTGAGGACCAGAACCCTCCAGGGGAAGCTTTCTGGGTGAGGCAAGAGGTGAACTGGGCCTTGAAGGAATGGGTAGAATTTAGATAGTAATGAGGAAGGCAGAAATCAGTGGAAGCACAGACATGCATGGAGGAATGGAACTGAGTTCAATGACGATCTGTTCAGTAAAGAGGGCATAAACTGGGCAGAGAATGCAGTGGAAGTGGTGGGGAGTAATACTGGGCAGGTAAGGTAAGCTCTGATCTGGAAGGCCAGCATGGGAGCCTAGACTCGTTAAAGTAAGAAATGGCTTGTCCTTGGAAGAAAAAGTGTCAAACTTGGTACTGTGTGAAGGTACTGCACAGACCTCCCAACTGGTTCTTAAGAGAGCCAAACTGAGGCTAAGTTCTGAGAACTAAGTAAGAACTGACAGCCCTTGTAGGTTAGAAAGTAGTGGGGCAACATGTTACAAGTAGTGCTTCTGGAAGGTTAGATGCGGTTAGAATAAAATCATTGCCATTTTGGGGAGCTGGGAAAATGGATGTCTTCAGTCTAGTCTAAAAAGGGATGACTTGAATAAGCTTATATAAGAAAGAAAAGAAAAACCTTTTTACTCACTGGACCATTTCATAATCTTGACTTTTTTCAAACATAAATCTGTGTCATTTTTCTTATTTAAAACAGCTGAGTAGTTTACTCTCCTACTTAGAGCTGTGATTCTTATCATGGGCTCTTGTGATCTAACCCCAGCCTGCCTCCCTGGCCTCTGTCCTTGCTTAATAACCTCTAGCCATATGAACCTGGAATACCAGTCTAATTCCCACTTCAAGGCTTTTACACTTGTTGTTTCCTCTGCCTGGGGTGCTCTTCCCTCATATCTTCATGACACTTGTTCATTTACATTGTAGCTCAAAGCATACCTCCTCAGGGAGGCCTTTCCTAGACACTATCTGAGGTACACTCCTGCACCCCCAGCCTTCATGATTGCTTTTTATACATTACTGGGTTTTGTTTCCAATGGAACTTATCGCTTATTACTGTCCTAAATTATTTTATTTATTAATTTTTTAGCCACCTTTCTCTTATAGAAATAAGGTTCCTGAGGACAGGGAGTTTATTCTGTATACTACGGTATCCCTGACATCAGGGCTTGTGCCTGCCGATAGTAGATGCTTTCTAAATATGTTCTGAATATTAGATAGCTAGTTCCCAAATGCACTGCACTGAAAGTGTATGAAAATTGGAAATTGGCTTCTAGATTTTTGTATTATATTGCCAAATGATGGAGTGATGAGATTGAAATCTACTACTTCTTTTTGCTTTTTTTTTTTTTTTTTTTTTTGGTGGAGTAGAGGAGGGCCTGCACAAACAGCAGATACACACACAGTAAATAAGATTTATTTCAGCCAGCAAATATTTATTGACATGAAAATTGGGGTTAAATGTGACTCTTTGTGAGTGACTAGTTTCTTGGAGTCTATTAAAGCATCAGTTTAAACATCAATTCTCTATGGTATGATTAATGTTTCTTTTTTTACTTTATAAGCATGAAGCTGCCTTCAATTTTATTGTTAAATTTAAGTGTTTTACATTGGAAAAAAGTAAATTGAATTTTGAAATGAGGTCTGTCCCGGTCTCACTTTCATGGCTTCAGGTTATCAAAGTTTTAATTTCTCTTTGTATGGAAGATAATTATAGTATTCATTTTTGCTCCTGAGTAAAGCCACGAGTCTCAAGATTATTTTTCTTTTTTAAAAATTAGAATTGTCAATTTATAGTTGTATACATTTATAGGGTACAAAGTGATGTTATAATTTGCTAATACAATGTAGAACAATTAAAAGGTAGTTAGTGTATCCTTCATCTCAAATATTTAACATTTTTTGAAATTTACTCTCTTAGCAATTTTGAAATGTACAATACCCTATTATTAACTATATTCACCACTCTATGCAATATATCTCAAACATATACAAAAAAATTCTTCTTGTGTAACTGTAGCTTTTTGTACCCATTGATCATCAGGCCCACAGCTTCCGTAACCACCATTTTCCTCTCTGCTTCTATGATTTTGATGGTTTTCAATTCTACATATAAGTGAGAACATGCTGTATTTGTCTTCCTGTGCCTTATTTCACTTAGCATAATGTTCTCCAATTCTATCCATGTTGTCTCAAATGACAGAATTTATATCTAAAGGTTGAATAGTATTCCATTGTATATATCTACCACAGCTTTTTTTTTTTTTTTTTTTTTTTTTTTTTTTTGAGATGGAGTCTCTCTCTGTCACTCAGGCTGGAGTGCAGTGGAGCAATCTCGGCTCACTGCAACCTCCGCCCCCCAGGTTCAAGTGATTCTCCTGCCTCAGCCTCCTGAGTAGCTGCGATTACTGGCGTGCTGTAATTTTTGTACTTTTAGTAGAGATGGGGTTTCATCATCTTGGCCAGGCTGGTCTTGAACTCCTGACCTCGTGATCCACCCACCTCAGCCGCCCAAAGTGCTGGGATTATAGGCGTGAGCCACTGTGCCCAGCCTATCTACCACCTTTTATTTATCCATTCATCTGTTGATGGACACTTCCATAACTTGGTATGGGTGTACAGACATCATTTCAATAAACTGATTTAAAATATTTGGGGTAAATACGCAGCAGTGGGATTACCAGATCATGTGGTGATTCTATTTTCAGTTTTTTGAGGAACGTCTGCACTGTTTTTCACAATGGTTGTACTAATTTACATTCCCATTAACAGAGTAGAAGGGTTCCATTTCTCCACATCCTGTTTATTCAGACAATATGTTATCATCTAAATCATCTAAGACCTCTATATTATATAGCTTTTGAGTATTTTTAAAAGTGGACACTCAAGCGTTCATATAGTCATAGTCAGTGTGTGGTTCCTCAGACCTGTGGTATCAACATCACCTGGGAATTTGTTAGGAATGCAGATTCCCAGGCTCCCTGCGGACTTAGTCAGAAATTGTGGGGGTCGAGTCTAACACTCTTTTTTAAAAAGCCCTCCAAGTGATTCCAATGCTTACTAAAGTTTGAGAACCGTGGCTCAGTAAATGCTAAAGGTTCAAGGTAGCATGATCCCACACATCAGCCAAGTGGCATTAATTATTAGCCTGGTAAGCCCACCTTCTTTTCAGTCACTGAGTTTGATTGGTTCACTAGGGCTAGGCTGTAAAGTTATTTGCTAGATTGATTGCTACATATTGACTTTGGGTTATTTGTATTTCTCTGAACCTGTCACTGTAATGATTTGTCAGGACACTTAATAGGAACAGGCCGTGATTTTTGCACCCATGGCATTCTGAGTCATGGGTGGCTGGGTCATTATGTACTCCAGGTTTCTTCAGGCACTGGGCATGCCATTCATGTACTTATAAGGAGGGAGCTGTCGCTGGTGGATCACAGGGAACCTTCAGGGACATTTAGTTCGCTCTCAGCTTGGTACAGGTAGGGAAATTGAGCCCCCATGAAGTTGTGCTTTGCTTGCAGTTAGGGGTACAGACAGGATTTCAGGTCTCCTGAGTCCCTCCACTGCACCAGGATTCCTGCAGGGGGACAGAGCTACAGCTTTTTCTGTGCCTACAGGACATTCCTTTCCTACTGTGAGGGTTTTATTTATTTATTATTTTATTTAAAGAAAAAAAGTAAATAGAAAAAACCCCGGAAGTTCTCACTGAAACTAATAAAAGTGTCTAAAGAGAATGAAAAAATCAGTTTGAGAACTTTGGTATGGAGGAAATAACCTGACATTAACTGTTTTAATTATAGTTGTTGCATTGGGCTTATCAGTGTGGGAAGAGGGAGCATTTGAGCCTTACAGGGAAGTGGGATATGGACAACAAGATGACCCTCTTCCTGAATTTGCCTGTTTGGGCCTGCAGCCTGGTGACTCTTTGTGTGATCCCAACAGCTGTCATAGAGATGGGTTGGACTTTTACTGAGACCTGGGTCCTAGGCCCAGCACTGCCACCAGCTAGTGGCGCAATGCCCCATAAAGAGGCCACTTATTCTCTCTGGCCTCTACTATTGGTAAATGGGTATAATAATATCCACGCTGCCAATCCTGAGAAATTTCAGGTAGTGGGAAGCAGTGTATCTTGGTGGTTAAGGGCAGAGTCTCTGGATTCAAATTCTGGCTTTCTAACTCACTGGCATGGCAGTAGGCAGGCCACTTATCCTCCCTGTTTTCTCACCTGAGAGTGGGTATAATGAAATTTACTTCTAAGGGTTGTTGTGAAGATTGAATTAGTTAGCTAATTTATGTAAAGTACTTAGGATAGTGCCTGGTATTTAGTAAGTTCTATGTGTTAGCCTATTATTATTATTACTATTACCATTTAAAAATATTATTTCAAGGATGGGATGCATTTTCTGTAAACATGTTCTCAAATGATTCTACTACTGGATACAATACTGGGCTTTTATGCAGTAATTGTTGTTGGAGGAGTTGTTCTGACATCCAGCTTGCACCTGGGCTACTGGTTTCGTGGCCAGGGATGGCCAGGCCTAGCGTCTCTCTGATCTTGCACAATTTATGCATAGAGTGGTGTGGTTAGAGGAAACTTGGAGAGGGGGAACTTCTCAGTTTTGCTTTCAGGTATTTATACATTAACTATCATAAGAGATGGACATCTTAATAACTTCCAAGAAAGAGTTCATGAGCTTCAATTTGATATTTATTGTTTGACTAGGTTTCTTTCTGTCTTACCTTTCCAGTTGTTAGGGTTCTTGATATGTATTTTGGTGATGAAAATTTCAACTCTAAAAGCTAAACAATCAAGATATTGTAATTATCCAGCAAGTGATTGGCAGATTTCGAGTAGACTTCTTCCATTCTTGGCTGAAATCAATGAAAATGTCTACTATTGCTGTTGTTTTTGTTCTTTTCTCTGAAAAGTCTGTTTTTGGGAGGGCCTCAGATGGTAAAGTGCCTTTTTATTGTCTCTTAAAGGGAATGGGGGAATCAACAGTTTGAGAATTTTTGTTTTATCTGTATGTATAAAATTGCCTTCTCCTTTTATTTCTTTTGATACTCTCTCTGCAGTCTCTATTCATGATCTACTCCCCATCTTTTTATGGGCCCCTTAAAGCTAGAGATTATGTTTATTCGTTTATTTATGTATTCCATTTCTCCTTTTTTCTGGATCCTAATTTTGTGCCTGGTGCATACTAGGCTCTCAATTTTAGTTTGTCGAATTACTGTTATTGCTGTTTCTGATTACTTCTTGAAGCGGTCTGTTTTAAAACTTCACCTGAAGGCTAAGTAATTCATCAGTATAATGGTGATCTATTATTTATCTAGCATTTTCCTAAACACTCATTGATGAATCCTTATAATACTCATCTGAAGTATCTAAATCCCAAGATGATGTGTCATGCCATAGATGGTATGGCTTTAATTTTTAATTGGGAGATGGAGATGTAACAGCTGGAGATACTAAAACACAGAGAAATAAGAGCATCATTCAAGACCACAAACGTGGTTATTGTTGGAAGATAGTTTTGGGATGGGCTTCTGTGCTAGAAGCCAGAACATAAAAAACTGATTAAAACTCTAAAAAGAAACCCAGATTAGGTGGGAATGAATGCTGATCTGGATTGGATTACACTTCTTTGGTGTCTGAGGGTTATGATTAGTGACTTACTTCTAATGTGCATTTGTTTTTATTTTTAGCATTGCAGTGTCGAGATGGCTATGAACCCTGTGTAAATGAAGGAATGTGTGTTACCTACCACAATGGCACAGGATACTGCAAGTAAGTTTTTCTCTTCATATATTTTCTTTTTGCGATAGAACACTGGACAAGATTTGATTCTACTCCTCTATTTTTAATGCTTCTGTGGAATGTTACTGGTTCTTGAGCTTTCCTGGTACAGATTTTGGTTGGGGGTGAGGATGGAAGGATGTGGATGCCAGATAATTGGCTAATAAGAACTTCTTACTATCTTACTGTTATCTTTCTCACTATGAAAAAGACTTTTCAGTGAGTGGCTAGTTAATGTATATGGGGTAGACCAGGCATGGTGGCTCATGCTGGTAATCCCAGCACTTCAGGAGGCTGTGTTGGGCGAATCACGAGGTCAGGAGTTCAAGATCAGCCTGGCCAACATAGTGAAACCCTATCTCTACTAAAAATACAAAAATTAGCCAGGTGTGGTGGCGCATGACTGGAGTCCCAGCTACTCGGGAGGCTGAGGCAGGAGAGTGACTTGAACCCAGGAGGCGGAGGTTGCAGTGAGCTGACACCACATCATTGCACTCTAGCCTGGGTGACAGAGCAAGACTCCATCTCAAAAAGAAATAAAAAAAAATATAAAAAAATATATATTAGATTCCCTTGTGTTTTTCAGATTAAGGCATACTCTTAGAGTCTCCCCTTAACATGTTACCTATTATCTTGTTTTTAAGTAAAACCAAATAGATATCAACTTTAATATTCGGCCCAGTATATGTGAATATTATATTCATATTTTTTTCTAGTGTAAAAAATCTAATTCTGAAAGTGAGACAGTGAGAGAGGAAGATGTGTGCATGTGTGTAGATTGAGGGGGAGCAGGGGCTTTGGGTGTGTATTATTATATGGGGATAAAAGAGTAAGGATGAAGGAAAATGTAGGCTAGTTCTTGGCTTAAGAGCATTTTTTTTTCCTTTTTCTCCAACCATCTACTCTAGCCAAGACGTTTTGTTTGTTTGAGGAAGGCTGTGAGATAATTTCATAATAGCTTTTCTAGGTTTCCTGCAAATAATTTTTTTTTCTTCTGCCTCAATTGAAAATTTTTAAGAGGAATATGTATCCATTCTTTTTATTTCAGGGAAGATGCTGGAGAAATAAAATTTGGTAATATGAAATTTCTCTTCTTTTCCTTCATTTTTGTGAGGAGTAGTTGTTCTTTGCTTTGGTGGAGGTACTTGCTTAGTAAGCATTTTAAGTGAGTTTATCCAACACATTTTTATTTCTTACCAGGAATGTAATTACAACTTTTTTCCAGTGAGATCTGTTCTGACACCAGGATTTAGTTTTTTAATGTTATAAACAAGATTTTTTTTTTCAAGTCAGAAATAATTTTCTTCACTAAAGTGAAAATATTTTAAGCTGTGATGACAGTAAAGCTTAACAATAGGTTGTTTGGATTGGAATAAAGATAACATTGGAAATAAAGGTTTTATGTAGCTTATTATGGGCTGCTCATTTAGTTTTTCTAGCTGGGGGAAAAAAAAACGTGGTGCATTCTCCTCTAAGAATGGAGATACAACTGGAGATAATAAGGGAGGGAACTTAATACCTTAGAGTAGGCCACTGAAATCTTGTTTAGTCTTTTTGTGGCATTTGGTGCCTTAGTTGCTTGCTTTATTCTGTTATGCAACTCTTGTGGTAGTTAACCCCATTGCATTATGGTCATTTGTTGATGTGTTTCTTTTGCTAGAATGTGAGGTCTTAGTCTTATGCATTTTTTGCATAGTTAATGCCTAGTACAGTGCCTGGTGTAGTTATTGTTCAGCAATGTGTTTCTTAAACTAAAAGGTGCTAAGTAGATACCATCATGCACATGTTTCTTATCTATTTATGTTAAATAAGAAGACACTGGTTCTCTCCTTTAAAAATTTCAGTGTGGCGATTCCTCAAGGATCTAGAACCAGAAATACCATTTGGCCCAGCAATCCCATTACTGAGTATATACCCAAAGGATTATAAATCATTCTACTATAAGGACACATGCACATGTGTGTTTACTGCAGCACTATTTACAGTAGGAAAGACTTGGAACCAACCCAAATGCCCAACGGTGATAGACTGGATAAAGAAAATGTGGCATGTATACATGATGGAACACTATACAGCCATAAAAAAGAATGAGTTCATGTCCTTTGCAGGGACATGGATGAAGCTGGAAGCCATCATTCTCAGCAAACTAACACAGGAACAGAAAACCAAACACGGCATGTTCTCACTCATAAGTGGGAGTTGAACAATGAGAACACATGGACAAAGGGAGGGGAACATCACACACTGGGGCCTGTCAGGGGGTGGGGGGAAAGGGGAGGGAGAGCATTAGGATGAATACCTAATGCACGTGGGGCTTAAAACCTGGATGACGGGTTGATAGGTGCAGCAAACCACCATGGCACATGTATACCTATGAAACAAACCTGCACATTCTGCACATGTATCCCAAAACTTAAAAGTAAAATTTAAAAAAAATTTATTTACTTCACATAGCATTCAGGGTGGTAATACCATACAGAGAGGCAAATTGGTTCTATTTGAAGATCATTCAACTTGGTGACTTATATATGGAGAATTTCAAATATGTTCTAAGTGTTCGCCTATATATTTTTGGTCTGACATGGGGAAAGAAGGTTTCTAGGGGAGACTAATCTCTGAGCACTTACCAGGAGAGGACACCTAAGGGTCACTGTTGGGAAGAAGTCCAATAGTTCTTTGTTGGACTGTTGGGCTGCTAGTCTCATACTCTCCAACCAAGGTTGGAGACCATCCTGGCTAACACGGTGAAATCCCATCTCTACTAAAAATGCAAAAAAATTAGCTGGGCGTGGTGGCACGCACCTGTAATCCCAGTTACTCGGGAGGCTGAGGCAGGAGAATGGCCTGAACCCAGGAGGCGGAGCTTGCAGTGAGCCAAGATTGCACCACTGCACTCCAGCCTGAGCGACAGAGCGAGACTGTGTCTCCAAAAAAAAAAAAAAAAAAGAAAATGGAGCTGCCTAAATTCTGTCCCTGGCTACTTGTTAATTGTTGATAGGATGGAATGCTTATGGATACAGTTCTGGGTATGTCCCTCAGATGTCTTTCCTGTTTTGAGGGAAACAAACTCCTTGAGAGAGAGTAAGAAAAAATTTGGTGAGGCCATCCTTTTGGGAGACCAAGATGAACAACAAAACTTGTATAAAGAGAGTGATTCCCTACCTCAGCAAAAGTAATATTAGCATATTTAGGAGTGGCAGGGTCAACATAAGTGGACAAAGAAAAAGCAAGAACAATATCAAGGCAGCCATGTCAATCATTCTACAGTGCTTTGCCAGCCTCCACAGAATTTTAAGCAAAATTTTATGCAAAAATAATGTGTACCTAGCAGAGCTTTCAGTGTATTTTCACCAACCTTACCTTTTTTTCTGTGGAGAAAGAAGATGATCTAGCTTGTTCAGTAAATATTATTTTCACAAAATAGAAAATAAATATTAAAACACTTAGAAGATTTATAAAAATTCTATCAGGCATGCAGGGCATGTGATTATCTTTTTATTCATGCGATTGCTTAGTGGATTAAGAAAAGAAAGTTGAAGCCAAATTCCTTTTACAGGGCCAGCGTAGGGGTGAGTGGTGAGTGGTGGGATGGGAACTGGTAGAAAGTGTTTTAAAATAGAAGGAATCTGACTATCTGTTTAGACAGCATAATGCTACTGATTCAGCTAAAATATAATGATTGTTTATAGAAATTATAAAAATCCTTGATAAGATCACATTGACAGATGAAGATAACTACTTTTGAAGATTAGTTTTGTACTCAGCTCCACTGTTTTTTCTCACTGTTAGGAGCCTAAGTACCCTATCAGTCTGTGATTAGATTTTGATGCCAGATTAGGAGAACGTGTATAATCTTGCATAAAACTCAATTATTGCTGTTAAATAACTACTGTCAAATCTTAATAAAGCTGTCTCACTACAGGGAGATAAGATATTTTATTCTTTCCCTTGTCCTACTGGGAGGTGTAAATATGTAATTAAATTTGATGTCATTAATCACTTTCAAGTTGTTTGCTTCAGACTTTCAAATATAAACCATTCTAAATCCCAATTTGATTAAAGATCATGGACAACTCAAGTTCACTAGGATTCTGGGGGTAGGTTAGGTTATGATTTGTATAATTGACAAAATATGTATTTTAAGGACATTTATTGTAGTTATTTAAAATCTTTGTCTGCTGGTTCTTAACATCTGGGTTGTCTATGGATGTGTTTCTGTTTCTATCAACTGCTCCTTCTTTGGACCATGGGTATGACTTCCCTTTACTTTACACATGTATGGTAGTTTTACATTACTTACTGGACATTGTGGGTGATAGATTTTAAAGTTTATCTCCCACTAAAGAATGTTGAATTTTGTCAAGATTGGCAGATCATCTTGATCCTATGGATGCTAGGTTTTAGGACACGTTAGGGTGGGCCTACTTCTGTTCTGCCCTTAGTCCGATGACACAAATCTTAGTCATGGGATAGGGTTCTTATTCCCAAGATGTGACCCTTCTAGGGGTTCAGTGGTAAGTGTGAGGGGCCTACCAAGCCCTGAGGTGTTCATTAAGCCCCTCTAAGGCAGAACTTGTCCTCCCAGCCCCAGGAGCCTTCTGCTCAGTCTTTTCAGCCGTCCAGCTCTTACTTTCTCTTGGGTTTCTGAATCTTATCTTGCTCATGCATAGTCAGGAATTATTTAAGGATTTGAGCAGAGTTGTATGCATACTTTGAAGCTACCCACTCTGTGGTTCTGTCTTTTCCAGGAATTTTTCTCCTCATATTCTAGCTGCTGTGACAGCTCCAGATACCTCTGACTCCTCAGTATCACAGGACTTCCATTTTCTGCTTGCACACTCTTCCTCTTCTGCTGCATGAACTGGGGTGTACCTTCACGATAAAAAAAAAAACAAAACTGTAAATGTGGGTTTCATATAGTTTGCTTTGCTTTTTCTGAGGCTTATATCCCTTCTAGTTTATGCCTGCTTTCAGTGATTCTCCAGTGCCTTTGATATTTTGTCCAGAGCAAGAGGGCTAGTCTGATATAAGTTACTCTGCAATTATTTTTAATGATGAAAATTGGAAATATAAAGGGGCCTTTCAGAATTTCATACATACCACTTGGTAAATATCTAACGTAGTGTTTGTAAAACAGCAGAAAGTCACTGTGAGTTGTATACATTCCTGTAGATGGGTGCTTGCATTTGAGAATGTCCACTTTTTGCTAAAGTGCTGATCTAAAAACTACACTTTAAGGTAAATTATTATAAATATAAAGTGTTATAAAATATAACTTTGTGTCACATTTTGTCTAAAACTTGTCTGCTAGCTGTAATAAACATTAAACATTAACAGCTAACAATTTTCCTTGCCAGGATTAGGCAGTCATGTTGGTGGTCCAGATTTCCTGAATCCATCCAAGAAAAACTAGAGCCATTGCCTTCTTTGTCTTCTTGGTAAATGTCTGTATAGTAAGTAGAGAGTAGAGACACTCATAATCCCTTAGAACTTAGCTTTTTATGGAGGATGCATTCGCAATGGTTCTGTTGTGGTGCTTCTCCCCCAAAAGGGCGTTTTCAGAAGTCATGGCTGACTCAGCATTTCCCCTTTTCCTTCACCTTCTTGTGAGTGCATTCAGGGAGGCACAGGGGCATTGTCAGATCAAAGAAATAGACAGGGAAAAATATCAACTGTTAAATTACTTTCTCTTTCTTCTCAGCTGAAACTGGTTCTGCCAGCCTAGTTCCTTCAAGTACGGTGCCTATTTAGCTGAACATTGTGTATATAGTTTTTCTGGAAAATGATAGCAGAAGCTTGGCCAGTTTTCCATAGTTCATTTATCTTTTTAACATAAAACAAAGAATGCTGTTTTCTTGGCTCATTAAATACCTCTCATAGAGTAATCTTTTCTTAAAATGTAATGTGTTCAGGTTTTATTAATTCAAGAGTTATTTATTGCATGCTATTTATGAGTACCACATATAACAGATAACTCAAGTCTGTGGTAGTAGTTGCAGTTAATCAATATTGTTATCATATTATTTCACACTTCTTTGGGAAGTCATAAAATAATTACCAGTTCATTAACTTGGGCTTCTTAGAGAGGTTCAGAGTAAAGCCAAGTATGAAAAAAACTGACTATAATGTGGCCTTCTGTACAGGGGCCGCCAGTGAATGGCAGGGCTGGGACCATGGTGAGGCAAGTAAGGCACAGGCCTCTCTTGTGAAATTTAAGAGAGTGCCAAAAAACTCACTAATCAAAATAATGTTTGTATGTAGTTGTTCAAAAAATCAAAATTAATGCAAAATAAGTTGAAAATTATCAAAATTTTAAATAAGGAGATAAGTACTACTGATTTTTTCTTTTGCCTTATGATCTAGTATGGTTCAGCCTGCACTGGTGAGTGGAGTAAGGGTCCTGGAAGATCCTTGACTGGTGACATGAAGAGGACATAGTTTTTTGTTGTTGTTTTTTTTTGAGACAGAGTCTCGCTCTGTGGCCCAGGCTGGAGTGCAGTGGCGCTTTCTTGGCTCACTGTAAGCTCCGCCTCCCGGGTTCTTGCCATTCTCCTGCCTCAGCCTCTCAAGTAGCCGGGACTACAAGCGCCCGCCACCACGCCCGGCTAATTTTTTGTATTTTTAGTAGAGACGGGGTTTCACTGTGTTAGCCAGGATGGTCTCTATCTCCTGACCTCATGATCTGCCCGCCTCGGCCTCCCAAAGTGCTGGGATTACAGGCGTGAGCCACCACACCCAGCTGAGGACATAGGTTTTTTTATGCCAGATAGACTTAAGTTTGAGTCCTGATTCCTATTAACAATTGGATCTTTGGCAAGTTAAAGTCTATAATGCTAGCTAACATTATTGCGTATTAGGGTCTGTTCTCAAGTAGTTTAACATGTATTTACTTTAGTCCCCATGTGAGAGAGAGACTATATGGAAGCTAAGAGAAGTTAAATAATTCACTCAAGATCCCATCACTCTGTAGCTAACCTGAGATATACTCGTGGAAAATGTACTGTCACCTTGAGTCTCAGTTTGCCTGTCAATAAAATGGGACAGAATTACCTGTTTTAAGTTTGTAGTTCAAATGGAACCTTCTGAAAAGGAAGTGTGGAACATTTGAAAGTATACAAAAAGGGGACTTTTCAGATCAGGAATATGATTAAAACACTGCTTTATGTAATTTCTAAATTTAAAGACAGTAGCATTAGGTAGGCCTGAGTACCTCATATCATTCTAGAACACTAAATCTGCATATAGTTACATGAGTGTACATGGGCCAGGTTTGGTGAATACTGCATTTCTGAGAAATGGCCTTTAACATGAAAGCTCAATGTAATAACTGTGGATGAAATAGAAGAAGAGGGCAGTGAAGGTGGGGATAGAGGATATTGTCTATTAAAGTGTGCTTCAGTAGAGAGAACTAATTTGAAACTTCTCCTTTCTTTTTACTAATGGAACAGGAGCAAGTCCAGACAGATTTATGCAGTTGTGAAATTGAGACAGGTTAAATTCAGTGATTTTTGATAAATGTTGTTGCCAGCACAAAAGTCACAAGTTGTTGAATATGGCACCTTACATTTGCATAGTGAGTTACAGATGCATATGAGTATGTCCTGTGAGGCTTTTCCTTGTATTAGGACTTGAGATCTGGACCCTTTAACAGTACCATTCCTAAGTGATTCTTATTAATACTTATGTCCTATTAAAATCCTTTATCAAATATGATGTTTCCCTAAGGGGTCTTTTGTAAAGGAAGTCTTGGTTACTAGCATCTCCATCTGTGGCCCAGGCTTGAGTGCAGTAGAGCAATCATGGATCACTGCAGCCTCCACCTCCTAGGCTCAAGCCATCCATCCTCCTGCCTCAGTCTCCCATTTTTAAAACTTTTTATAGAGACACGGTCTCACATGTTGCTCAGGCTGGTCTCGAATTCCTGGGCTCAAGTGATCCTCCCACTTCTGCCTCCCAAAGGGCTGGAATTACAGGCCTGAACCACTGTGCCTGGCCAGTTAGTAGCTTCTTAACACATAGCAACATAATTTCCATACTATTTTCAACTAATTTTTATTCTTTCAGTTGGGACCTTTATATATTTCAGTGTTCAGTGAAGAAGTAGGAGAATCTGGTTCTTAGGCTCTGCCTATATCCTTTTACCTGTCTTGGGTAACTGCCAAGAAATTAAATCAACAAATTTTGGCCTGCAGTCTGGCATTAATAGATGTGAATTTAGCTAGGTTTCTTTCAACACAGTCTCCAGGTCAATCGTAATCTTATGTGAAGTTTCTTATTCAGGCATGTCTCATTAGCACCATTAATTTCACACAGGAATTCTTTTTTTCTCCCTTTTTTTGTGACTAAGCAAAATGAGAAATATTTCTCTTTCAGGATATGGAGAGGCTTAATTAAATTCTTTAATTTTGTCTACATCTGCCCTTATGAATGATAGCAAAGGAATGGGGGATATCAGAATATGAGAAAAAGTAATCATCTAAAAATTTCCAAGCACTTTAAAATTTGTTAAGCTAGCATAAATATGTGGGTGTGATAGAGGTTTTCATTAGGCCTCCTCTCAACATACAGTAGTTAGGAATGAAGTTTAGTGTCTCTCCGTCCTCCTGTCATATGTGTGTATGCACACATGTGTGCACATGCGACTGTGTTATGCATTTTGTTTTCATATTTCTTTTAGTTGAGTTTTACCTTACAACCCAACGTAAGGTAAATTAAACTTTCTATTGGATTTCCGCACATTTTCTAGATCCTATTTATTCACTGTCAGTGACCTTCACTAGCACTTAGTCCTCTGTGTCCAAAAATGTATTGCCAATTCTTAGACTCCATCAGCCTTCTCCTATGAAAAAGTAATGCAGTTAATTTCTGCTCGAAATGCTCTTCTCCTAAACAGTCTTCTACTTGATCTTTATGAAAAGAGTTTTATGAAAGAAAAGTGAAAATAAAGACTAAGAAAGGCATTATTTAAGTGATGGGTGATATTATTCAGCGAACACATTCAACTAGAGCATTCTATCCAGTTTTTTGCCTTCACGTAAATATGAGGAGAAAGGTAGGTGTTAATAAGAAAATAATCTGATTAGGATTTATGTAGAATGGTAGCATTTAGACTATTAAATCTGTATAGATTCAGGTCATTTTCCTGCAGTCACTGTCTATAATCCTGTGTGCTGAACACTGAAAGTTAGATGGACTCTGAAGCACTATAGAATCCTCACTTTTCAAACAAAAGTTTAATTTTTATCACACTAGTATTTATTGAGCAGGCTACTATAACTGATCACTGTACTGGGTATTGTGAATACCCAGAAAAGCCCAAGAGGCCTGTGTTACCTGACTTCCTTATTCACAAGTATACGTACCCAGAGACTGTCTGACAGTGAATGCAGTTTCTCCTGCATAAGACATGGTGGCAGTCTTCTGAAGTCTTGCTGGGGAGATGAAGCATACAGAGATGTGTAAAATAAAACAGTTTGTAATATCCCAGTGTAGGGGCACAGATAATAACTATGGACACTCAGACAAAGGAACAAGTACTGTGGGACAAAAGAGTAAAATCAGAGGACTTTTGGTGCACTGCTTAGATCCTAAATCTTTGAATATTAGTGGTGCCTTAGAAGACGGATAGGTAGGAGAAGGGTGAGAGGAAGGGAGCTGAGGAGACTAGAAGGGACTGTTATTTCCTGGAATAATCATTACCAATTTCTTCATCACATTTTCTTAATGACACAGTTTCAAACGTTTTCTTCATCTTGATTGCTGTCTTCTGTGTATATGCTGGTTTGTGTGAGGTTTTACTAAACCAGTATGTGGATTAATCTAGTTTCACAGTGACAGGTAAGTGATTTAGAAAATCCTTCCTTTAGCACATGTTAACTTGAACGTTTGGAGGTAGAATGCCTAGAGTGAGGGTGAAGGAGAGGACCTGGGGACAGGAAGAGAGGGCAGCTGGGAGCAATTATGCTCCTTCCCTCAGACCTTTTTGGCCTTGACTCTTGATTCTTGTACTTCTACCAGACAGAGAGGCGGTAGGCTTGTGGCCATGTTTTGCGAGGAAAATCAGAATCTAAGAATCTCTAAGGCAAGAGCAAGAATGGATTGGGATAGGGAAAGTGATAGGAAAACAGAGGCACTAAGAAGAGGGTTGGTTTTCATGTACTGCATAGTTCATTCCCTTAGTTGAGAAATCAGGTATCTCAACCTCAGATATCTTCTGTCCAGCATATCGCTGGCCAGATCTGATTCATATGAGGGATCCAGAGTAAGGAAGCATCTGTTAGCCAAGTCTTTGGTTACCCCAAATTAGCTCAGGTCCTTTACTGCTTGTTTCCTCTGATTATATAGTACATATCCAAACCCTCAATTTTCCAGAATAAACTAGGTCTGCCTATTCTGTGTGGAAAACATTTGATGGTGGTTAAGATTCTCTTGCCTAGACGATGGTAGTGCCTTAGTCGTTTAACTGCCTGTCACTTTAAGATTTTGAAATACTGGTTCTCGTTGTGTAAGCCAGACACATCTTGAGAATATTTTACGGGGCAACTTGCCCTTTCTGAAACCTCAGTCATCCTGAAAAGTAACTCTGTACCTCCTTGACTTTAATTTTTCTGTCTTAATTCTATTTGTATACAATGTTTGTGGTGTCTGATTCTCTGTCTCGTATTGCTGAAACTCATGGCCTTGAATTTCTGGGTCACTCTTAAAAAATAGACATAACTTGATTACTAATGAAAAAGTGACTCATTTTCTTCCAGGCAAAGGCTGACACTGACTGTCACAGTTTGTGACAGAAGCAAACTCTCTAATTAGGAGACATCACCTATTCTTTTCTAAATTTTATAAGAATTGATGATAGCATCATGAGATGGGAAGTGAGTAAGATAAGCGTTTATGCTTGTAGAGAGGATGCATAAAAATGAAATCTGGATAAAGTTCTATCTGAATTTACCATTTTAAGTGGTTGATTCCCTGTGAGCTTAAATTTAGTGCTTCTCTTCCCAGACCGTTGTCTTACATACACACTTCAGTCAGTTTTAGCCTTGTATAACTAATCAGCAGGTCAGATTCCATAGAGGCTGAAATACCTACCACCATTCTATGCTCAAGAAAACAGGCTCTCATGTTGGCCAGTTGTTTGGGATAGAAGATGGTTAGACCTTTCTATCCCTTTTAAACACAAGATTCTTTTTCATTCCCCTTATCTTATTTAAATATATTGTTCCTTCTGTTTGGTTGTTCTTTGCTTTCTTATGCATCTGTGAGGGGCTAGCTGAAAGTGTGAGTTGTGGAACAATTCATTTACATAAGTGTATATTGAATTATCTGTGCACCTAGAGGGTGATGGGCACTGTGAGGGATATTAAAAAAGAGACACAGTACAGTTCTTACCCTAGGATCCCCTGCTTGGAGTGGGACAGTGGTCAAGACATATACAACCACAAACACCCAAACATTAACATCAGCAAGCATCATTACATCCTTGGGTGGTATTGCCAAGGGACTTCAAAGGCCAAGATTATAGAGTCATCACACTTAGGAGGTCAAAGGGACTTTGGAAAGCACCTTTGTCACTCATTTTGTTTTATAAGTGAGGCGGCTGAGGTGTAATACAGCTAAGCGAATTAGCCTTTATTACATAACTCATTAGAATGTAGACTGGGACTAAGAGCTGTTTCTCCAGATCCCATTAGGCAATCTAAAGATTCTGCACTATTTCTTTTTCATTTTTGGTATCCAAATAGGTACAGTTGTTTTTGATCTAGGAAAATCCTTTTAGACTAAACAGTAAGCTTTTTAAATTACTCTGCTTTTAGATATTTTTTGGACTTCAGAACTTTGAAGGTGGTCATCCACCAACATTGGGGAATGGAAAGAAGGCTCCAACACTTTTCTTTCTAGAGATCTTCTTTAATTTTCAATGGCAGTCACTACAGAATCTAGCAGTTCATGCTATTGAGGCCACTTTGTAGGATTTTTTTTTTTCTTAGTCAGGGCTCCAGGTCCCTGGTGGTTTATGTAGTCAGTCTTTTATCAACAACCGATGAAAGACTAATAAAAGTGCAAGAGGGAATGAGGACTGTGTGTGTGTATGTCTGCACATGCACACATGCCTCTCTGTGTGTGTTGGTTAACTTCATATTTGGTAGGTGGGAGGGAAGGTGATTAAAAAATAATCTACTTTGCATGGAGTTGGCCCAATTTGACTGATATAGGGGTGAGTGGGGGTTAAGAAGTAGTCTATATATCAGGAATCTTAATTAGTTTTGAAAATCCTTTAGGTAAATAGCTCAACCCAGTTGTTCCCAAACTTCAAGTGTATTTATAGGGTCTTTTTAAGGGGTAAAGATTCCACAGAGCCCTTCATTTTGACCTTGTGCTTCTGCACTGAATAGTTGAATGCCTTCTATATGCCAGTCATTGTGTTAGGCACTGGGAGTATGAGAATTAATAATTTTAGTCTGTTGACAGATAATCATAATAAGGGCTAATGAGTAACACAGGCTCAGGGTTATAAGAACAGAGGGGGTATCAAGGCTGTTTTTCACAGGAAATAACATTTAAGTTGAGACTTAATGAAATTTTAGGGCTTAGCCATGAGAAAGTGGGGAAAAGCATTTTGGGCTGACTGAACAGCGTGTACAGAGGTCTGGAAGTGAGAAGTAGTGTACTATAGCATTTTCTAGGAGCTGAAAGGCGTTTAGCAAGAGTATAGTGCATAAAGGAGAGAGCTTGAGATGAAACAATTTCTCAGTGTGTTGTTTGAATACAATGTATACTGTCAAAATCTAAGAATTCAAGAATCATTTAATATATCTTTATGTTTTACTAGTCATAAAAGCATATACATATATTTAAATATGGACAAGATACTGTTTAGTAGTTTAGAAAGTGATTTATAAGGATTGCAATCCCTTGCAATAACTCCACAGCCCATACCTTGGGAACAACTGAGCTAACTCATTCAGTTTTGTCCATTACATCGAAGGGTGTTTTTTGTAAACTCATATGTCTAGAATGTGTTTGCCATGTTTTAATCACAAGTAGATATTTTCTCAGGGTCCAGTGCAGTGAAGTATGGTAAGATCCTGATTGTGTTCTGGAACACAGAGGAAAGACCACCTTCTGTTATAGCAACAACACAAGTCTTTTAACACTGTGTGCCCCTTCCCAATCTTTCAAGTGATGATTGAAGAGACTAGGTGCTCAGCTCAGCCTTTGAGTTCTGATAAATGAGCCCAGACTGTAAACTGGAAGATAAGGATGTTTGTAAAGTTCTTGTATAAATAAAGCATGGTTTCTCATTGCAGTGGTTACTGATTTCATAGTCTGAGTGAAGATGAATGATGCTGTGAATCAACAGCTTTAAAGTCCGTATCACTTCAGCTTCTTTTTGGTTTAGGTTTCTTAAAATCAGTGTGTATTTAATGCTTTATTCAGATGAGGGGGTGAAAAACCTAACACATGTAAACTAAGTGAGGTGGGGTTTCAGAGATAATTCCCAGCCTCACAATTCCTCGTGAAGTTCTTTTCCTGTGGGAAACTTTTAATTTGGAAGCATGCAACCTAATGTGGGAACCAAGATTAACATTTTCTGAAATACTTCTACAAGAAAAGCAGAAATGGTCTGTCCAGGAAGCTGAATTTACATAGTAGAAAAATGAGCTGCCCTGCAGTATTTGGTAGTCTTTGTGTATTAGTTGTGATAAAAGTGTGTATGTGTGTGTGTACGTGTGTGAGAGTGAGAGATTGTATACTTGTCTTTGTTTCCTTCACATACAACTAGTAAGGCCCTAGAAAAACTACACTAGAAAGTGTGTTTTACCACAAGCGTCCCAGTTCTGGACACCAATCTATACACAAATACTTTTTTTTAAAGTTCTTTTTGTTTTTCCTTCTTGCTGAGTAAGCTATAGTATTTCCTTTTTTTCTTTCTTTTTTTTTTGAGAGAAGGGGGGGTTGAGAGTAGAGTGGGAATGGCAAGAAGTAGTATGACAGAGCTTCTTCTCTTTTTTTCCCCTCTTTACCAGGAAGTTAACTAGAAGTCCTCATGCATGTTTTTAAAACAAAGTTGGTAATTAGCATAACCTAGTTAGTTACCTTTACACAGAGTGACAGAATTAAAAAGTTGACAAGCCCATCAGACCTCAGCCAGGAGGTACTGAAAGGAGGGAGACCAGTGAGTTTAGACCAATAGGTGGGTTAGGCCTCCTGAATGCCAGCCTAGAAGTTTAGACTTGATTCTATAGGCTCTGGGGTACCTACAAGTTTGTAGTCGGAGCCTTGGGAATTGAATGTTACATAGGAACTTTCACTGGTTCCAGCTAGCCTTGGCTGTTAGCAATTATTTTTATCTACTTTAACAGGGGGGACAGAGTAGGGGGGCAGGAAACTAAGCTGGCATTATGGTCACAGGAAAGAACAGACTGATTTGGAGCCTTTCAAACTGCAGACCTTTGTTACTGACCGATGCTTAATTTGGTTTCTGGGTTTTGTTAGTTTTTTCCCCTGCCCTTACCTCATTTACCTTAACGACAGCTCCCCCCTCTAGAGCTCAGCTAGGGCAGGCTGCCACTGCGGATTGGGGGGCCAAGAGGCCCAGCGCAAGAAGAAAGTGGGTTGAAAGCAGAGTTCTGTTCAAAGAATTTTCTGCTGGAAACTAGCCCAGAGGGAGTAAAGAGGAGCTTTAATGAGGAGCAGCTGCAGTGCCGACGCAACCCACATGAGACTTTTTTTCCCCTTCGTTCCACATTCTGTATAGTTTTTTTAAAAATCATGATTTTGAAATAGCTGTTTTGTAAAGCATGCCTCTCTTTTTCTTCTTGTATGTGGTGGGATTTTGCTTTGTTGTTGTTGTTGTTTTTTTTTGAATGGCCAAATCCTCGTTTTTAAAAAAAAAAAAAAAAAAGCTAAAGACAGAGCTGCAGCAAAGCCCTGGATGCAATTTGGCCTCACCCTGCTGATACAGAACATTCGGTGGAGAAAACAAGGGGAGAGAACACTGGCTTTTATTTGGAAAAGGGGCTTATTTCCTGCTCAGACTTCAGTCATCTTGGAGCTGACACAAGCTGCTACACTGTTTTAAGCTTTTCTGTAGACGAGTGGCTATTCACTTAGGAAACGTGAAAGAACAAATTTTTCTGTCCTGTATTACTAGGGAGACTGATCCTGAACTGCAGCCATTGCCAGATAGATTGGAATTGCTATTCAGATCCCAGCTTCGTTGAAATCTGTAAAGTGGCTACATGTAAACTAATCCAGGCTGCTAGTGAGATGTGAGGGTTGGGGTCTGGTTTTCATCTGCTTAAGTGAGAGGAAACTGTAGGGGTATCCTTCAAATGGAATGTTTTCTAGTTCCATTAGGAGGAATCCCTTGTTTTTCTCTGTTTTCTTCCTTCCTTTGCTTTTCTACATCCAACCCCATGCGTATGTTTGAACAGTAACAATGGAAATGTGGACCTCTCAATGTCAGAAATGACACTTTTTTTTTTTTGAGATGGGGTTCTCACCATGTTGCCCGTGTTGTCTAGGCAGGTCTCGAACTTCTGCTCTAGCAATCTGCTTGCCTTGGCCTCCCACAGTGCTGGGATTACAGGTGTGAGCCACTGTGCCCAGCTGAGACTTTTAAAGAAAAAGTCATAAATACATCTTTATGGACCTGGTAAGTATTCAGATTAGTTTATGGAGTTTAAAATGGAAAAATGCTCCCCAAACCTTTCTCTGTATTCACAACCTCATCTGTGAAGTATGTTCTTTCAGAGTTCAATGCTAGAGAAGAGAGAGTAAGTAAAAGTCACTGAGAGACATTGAAGAGACAGTTATGAAAATAATTAATAAACTCCCTACAGGAGGAAAACATTCATATAGTTTTGCGGATGAAAGGCATCTGTTAGATTTTTGTGGTTATTTTTTAGAATATACACCTTTAGTTCAAGTGGTAGACTATTTTCCAAAATGTGTGCTGGGTAGCTTAATGGAATTATAGATATGTAAGGGTTGTTGGGTGTTTAGCCATGTTTTCACTCTCTAACCAAATTCAACTTTAGCCATCTCAAGAAGACAGCTATTTAAGCCCTTGTTTTCAAGCAGAGAACCTTACTTTCCACCAAGACTAACAGAGTATATTTTCTCCTTATACCACAGTTGAACAGGGATTTGCAAGTTGAAAGATCTCCTGCCTTAGGAAACAAGGGTCTGTTATTTCTGACTGTCTTACCTATTACTCCCCTTTCTTCCCATGTCCATAATGCTGCTTAGCTTCCTGGGGTGTGAAGGATAATTCTGTACCTCAGGATGACTATTAGGTTGATTTGGCCTGTTATTCTACCAGACAGATCACAGAGTAGAGATGGATTTTGTGGAACATTTGGATTGAGAGACTGACTTTATCCATCACATGAAATTTAGCCTGCTTTGGAACCAGCTGCTTAGTGGGGTTTAGGTACTCAGGTATTCAGGGAACCTACACCAAGGGTTCAAGACAGGCTCTTCCCCACAAAAACTATCTAGATGGGAGTTTGAGAAAGGTACAGCAAAGACATAACAGTGGCTTAAATAAAGAAGAACCATACCAGTGGAGACAATGTAGTGCATGACATGGCACTACATCTGCTGTTGGAAGGATCAGAGATAGGTGGGATGATTTGTAGAAGGCTTACTATAGGACAGGTTTACAGCAGATTTTTGAAAAAAGGGTGGAAGAAAGGAACCTAAGTTGGAGATATACCAGAAGGGAAGCATGATGTTTCTCACTGGAAATTAAAAAGATTTTAATATAGGGGACAGTAAACAAGATTGTGGAAATAATATGGAGTGTTCGAGTTATGGATTACTAAAGAGTAAGATGGTTAGATGATTGGAATGGGACAGACAGGCAGATCAGAGATTGTAAAGAACTTGGATTTGAAAGGCTTGGTATTAATACTGTTGCTAGTTTCTGAGCAGAAGAATGACATGAAAATTATGCTTAGGAAAGATTATTCTTTTAGTCATATGCTTAGGTTCAGCAAGGAATTTCCAGACTGTCCTTAGGGAGAGGAGAGGTATGGATAGGATGCTGGTCCATTTAGGATGTTAGAGCTGATTGAATAGGTGCTAGTCTTGGGGCAAGACTTAGTCATACACTTTCAGTTAAGTACTATTTCATTGCAAGGTCTAGGTGAAGATAGGGATATATTTGTAAAACTGGGGAAATTGCTAGATTCACAGATAACCAACTTTGGGCAAATCAGTTAGCTTTGGTGTCCTTTTCAGTGCTATAGGGGTTCAGACCATTTGGTTTCTGAGATCACTGCTGAAATTCTGTGATTGTATGAGTATAATGTAAAAGTTGTCTCAATCAAGGAAACTTGGAGTAAAGACTCAATATGATGGATTTAAAAGGAATGAATGACAGTTCCAATTATTGGGTTCAAAAAACATGTGCTACAAGTATAAGATGAGAAAAATAGGGTACACTAGTAGTTCATGTGAAATAAGGCTCTGAATATTTTAGCTGAGTGTGTATTCCATAGCACATAGTAGTATTTTGTGGCTTCTAAAAAAGTACACATATCCATTGGGTATGAGTCGGAGCATTATTCTTTCTTGAACTGCGCTCTCACGATGCCTCCTCAGTTTAAGAACTTACTCTGAAATAGTAAAAGCATAGTGTCCAGATCAGGAGGTCATGGTTCAGCTCTGTGCTGCACTGGTAAGAACATGTGTTAAGCCTTTTTCCATTTTGAGCCTCACTTTTTAAAGAGGTTTTTGATGAACTGGAGTCATCCAGTGATGGGGAGGCAGGATAGCCTAGTGTTGAAGCACACGCACTCTAGAGTCTACTTGGGTTTGAATCCTGCCTCTTCCATCTACTAGCTGTGAATTTTTTTTTTTTTTTTTTTTTGAGAGGGAGTCTCGCTCTGTCGCCCAGGCTGGAGTGCAGTGGCGCGATCTTGGCTCACTGCAACCTCCAACTTCTGGGTTCATGCCATTCTCCTGCCTCAGCCTCCCGAGTAGCTGGGACTACAGGCGCCCGCCACCACGCCTGGCTAATTTTTTATATTTTTAGTAGAGACAGGGTTTCACTGTGTTAGCCAGGATGGTCTCGATCTCCTGACCTGGTGATCTGCCTGCCTCGGTCTCCCAAAGTGCTGAGATTACAGGTGTGAGCCACCGCGCCCGGCCTAGCTGTAAAATCTTAATCTTTCTAAGCTTCGAGTTCCTCATATATAAAATGGAGATTATAATATAGCACTGGAGCGAGTAATACAAGAGACAATAGCTATCAAATGCTTAGCAAATATACAATACATAGTTAAGTACTTAGAAAATATGTTTTCAGTTACTTCGGGTATATACCTGGGAAGGGAGGCAGAAAATTTTGGTCATTCTGATTATTATGACTACTATTAAGCATAGAAGCACCACTAAAAAGGTGAAGAAACCTGGAAATAACCCTATACTGAGGAATACGCCAAACCATTGAATCCTGGAAAAAAGAAAACAAAAGGCCCACATAACTGTCTTCAGATTCTTGAAGGGCTACGTGTAAGAGAAGCAGAAGGCTTGTTCTTTTTTGTTCTAGAGGGTAGAGATAACCTGGAAATTGTAGAGAGACAAAGTTTGTTCTTTTCAAAGTTAAGACATAATTTATGTATCATAAAATTTACCCTTTTAAAGTGTTTAATTTAGTAGACTTTAGTATTTCCAGAGTTATGAGACCACCACCATTATCTAATTTCGAAACATTTTTATCACCCTGAAAGAAATTCTCTACTGCTTAGTAGTCACTGTCTATTTCCCTTTCTTTACAGCTCCTGGCAACACTAATCTACTTTCTATCTCTACGGTTTTGCATATTCTGGACATTTCATATAAATGGAATTATATAATATGTGGCCTTTTGTGTGTGGCTTCTTTCACTTAGCATGTTTTCAAGGTTCATGCATGTTGTAGCATGTATCAGAATGTCATTCCTTTTCATGGCCACATATTTCATTTATGGATATACCACATTTTATTTATCTGTTCATCAGCTTATAGGCATTTGGGTTGTTTCTACTTTTTAGCTATTATGAATAATGCTGCTATGAACATTTTTATTATCTGGGCATATGTTTTCAGTTATCTCGGGTATATACCTAGGAAGGGAGGCAGAATTTGAAGAATTAAGAAAGAAAGAGCTTTCTCACAGTGGGATCCACCCACATTGAAGACTGTTCTTTTGTTGAAGTAGTCAGCCAGTAATTTCACTTAACAAATGCATAGTGTTTACTATGTGCTGGATAGTGTTCTAAGTGCTTTACCCTTATTTAAAAATCCTATGAAGTAGGCACTGTTATTACATCTCTTTTACAACAGGGAAGTTTAGTACCTTGCCCAAGATTACACATTGAGTAAATGGTGGAGTTGGGATTGAAATCCAGGTGGTCTGGTTCCAGAGTCTGTACTCTTAAGAGCAGAACAATAATAACTCCAAGCATTTATTAAATTCTTAAGATTTATCCGGCACCATGCTACATGCTTGTATTCAAGCAGAGGCTGGTGATCATCTTTTAGAAATATTTTAGAAATGATTACTTAATTGGATAGAAATTAAATTTCTTGAATCTGAAGGTTCTGTTATTCCAAGGATGGCTGGAAATGGAGGAAAAGCCAGCAACAAGATGATGTCTGGCCTGAGGCTTTTAAGATGATCAGAATTTGTATCAAAAAGGAAACTGTGAACACGAATGATAAGTATTATAGGAATTCAGTTAACAAGTCTTGTCAGAATGTGGTAATAAATTATATACAACTTAAAGAGATGAAGTTACTTTAAATTGTGTGTGGAAGCCTTAGAAAAATTGAATAATTAAAGTTTCTTGGGAAGATGATCTCCTCTTACAAATGTTTAGTTTCAAATAGTGGCAGCACATATTAGGATAGAGAGATGACTTCTAGAAAACTGAACATATGGGACTGGAACAGTGTATTTTGGAGTCAGTTACAGGAAGGAAGTTGTTTAAAACCAAGTGAACAACAACAGTAACAAATGCATTTGAGAGAAAGAGCAGTGCAGTCCAGACTTAAACATTAGGGTGGCCATAATAGATGGGGAAGAAGGAGAAATCAGCAATCCAGACTAAGACTTCACTGGGTTTTGAGTTAGACAGAGGGAGTCATAGAAGCCAAGGTAAAATGATTAAAACGGTGCGTGGAGTGGTTAGCAATTCTCCCTATAGGAGAGAGAATTTCCTTATGAAGTTTCAGATGAGACCACTGAACTTGACTAGAGGAAAGTCATTGTTTTTAGAAAACAGTTTCTAAGCAATAATTAGAATTAAAGTTTTGTTGCGGAGGGATAAGTAAGAAGTAGATGGAAAAGAAAGAGAAATATCTGAAATTAGGCTACAGTCATAGAAGGTTAGCTGTGAAACAATAATTTGGAAAGGGAAATGGGACCTCATGAAAGTGTGGGTTAAAAGAGACTTGTATATCTTCTAAGGTAAAAGTAAAGAACTAAGCTGATGTCCAGCCCTCTAAAACATTTTAAATAGAAATCAAACTTTATTAATACAGTAGGTCTAGTTTCACATAAAGCAAATATATGGTTCTGTACATGGGCTTTAGGAGAGTAAGTCTGTTGTACCTCATATGTAAGTATTATCCCATTTAGAGGAAAACCCTAAGTCTTTCTTTACAGTGGCTTAAAGGCCCCAATTGATCCACATCCCAGTTACAGCTCTCATCTATTTTCTGCTGCTCCAGATATTCTTGCTGTTTCTCAGACACGCTAGGGCTGCTCTCTGTGTTATGGCCTTTGCATTTGCTGTTCCCTTTCTCATGAATGTGTTTCCCTAAGATACCTGCATGATTACTCTCACCTTATTTAGGTCTCAACTCAAGTATTGTCAGTGAAGGTCTTCTCTGATTTTCCTATTCTAAACTGAGATACTTCTCTTTGCTCACCCCACACCCTCATCCCCAGCTCCATTCCTTCCTGTTTAATTTTTTTTCACAGCACTTAACTCCATCTATTGTGCATCTTTTACTTAGTAATTTTGTTTTCGTCTTCAGCTATTAGAATGTAAACTCCAAGAGTGTAAGAATTTTTCTAGCACTGGAAAAATGCCTGGCACATAATAGGCATTTACTAATTGTTGTGTGAATGAATGATTATAAGTTTAATATTCTTTGTGGAAACTAATAAGGTTGATTTCCTATCAGAAACCGATCATTATTAATAAGCATATTGGATGGTATTTATAGAATTAGCCTTCATATGTTCTCTACTCAGAAGTTGGCAAACTTTTTCTGTAAAGTGCCAGAGAGTAATTATTTTTGCAGGCTTTGTGGTCTCATTACAGCTACTTGACTCTGTTGTTGTAGTGGAAAATCAGCCATAGACAATCTATAAATGAATGAGCATGGCTGTGTTCCAGTAAGACTATTTATGGACACTGAAATTTGAATTGTATATAATTTTGAAATGTCAGAAAATATCCTTCTTTTGTTCTTTTTTTCTAATCATTTAAAAATGTAAAAAACTATTCACAGGCCAAACAAAAACAGGCAGTGGTCCAAATTAGACTTGCAAACTGTACTTTGTCAATCTCTGGTTTTACTGATTTCTTAAATATATCTTAGGTTAAAACTTATTTTTCCATACTTGATAGGGAGCAACAATGTGAATTAAACTGTAGAAACAAATAATTCAGAAATACATCTGTTTAGCTTTAGAAACTTCCATTTTGCTTCATTTTTGTTTTCCTGGGAACCTTATATTTCCATTATATGTTTATGATGCTACCATTTAAATGACTTTGCATTCTCTTAGCATATGCCACATGATAGTGTTAGGGTGGTGTAATAGTTCAGGAGCAAAGCTGAGCAAAGCCCACCCACGTTTAAAAATTTGCCATTATTTAGAAGGTGCATAATTCCCATATGGGAGAATGAAGAGTCATCTAATAATGCCCAGAGGGCTGCACTGTGAGTGAGAATTGTGTTGCAGTTTTTAACATTCATAACACATTTCTTGAATAAGCTGCAAATGCTTTTAATAATATATCTCAGAGTTAATTTTAGCTATGCTACATTGGCACTTTTTGCTCCTCCACTTCAAAAAACCAACACAAGAAACTATTCTCAAATCAAGCTGTGATTTGGATGGGGCATTGTATTTTCCTCAATAAGCACAAAGAAGACAGAAAAGATGTTTTCACTTGGCAAAACTTTTTTTTTTGAGATGGAATCTCACTCTGTTGCCCAGGCTGGAGTGTAGTGGCACAATCTCGTTGGCTCACTGCAACCTCCGCCTCCCGGGTTCAAGCAATTCTCATGCCTCAGCCTCCCGAGTAGCTGGGATTACAAGCGTGCACCACCACCCTGGCTAATTTTTGTATTTTTAGTAGAGCCAGGGTTTCACCATGTTGGCCGGGCTATTCTCAAACTCCTGACCTCAGATGGTCCTCACACCTCAGCCTCCCAAAGTGCTGGCATTACAGGTGTGAGCCACTGTGCCCAGCCCACTTGCAAAACTTTTTAACATTTATAAGGTTTTTTACATACTTGATTTTGTTCAGTTCTTAGAATAATCTCATGATGTAGGTGACCTTATTAACTATTTACAATGTGAGAAAATGGATAGTCAGTGAAGATAAGTAACTTGTCCAAGGTCACAGCACCAGAACTCCAAACCAGACCTTCTGACCTTCTTGATACAGACTCCTCACAGTCACCTGCATGCCATCTTTGGTTTCAGTGCTATGAACTTTCTTCACTGCCTGTTGGTCTGTAGCTACACCTACTCATGAAGATGCCCAGAGCCTTAGCCGCTCCTTGCTCCGCCATGCTTATCTTATGCAGCTCTGGGAGGGGTGAAGAGGCTGTGGCCAGTTACCTCACTACCACTATAGCTATTCACCACCCTGTTTTCTCCTTTAGCCATTTTAGCTACCGCACAATTCTTCTGGGCATTTTCTGTCTTAGTTCCCTCGTATCTGGCCTTCCTTCTTTTCTCAGTAACTGTGACCCCTGCTAGCTAGCCTTGCCAACCAATGGTTAATGAAAGGTCTTGGATATGACTGTCAAAGACAAAAGCACTCATGACCCCAGTGTTTCAGGTCACAATGATTAGGAAAATCAGGACAACAAGGCTTGGGCACAGAAGAGCTGGTTTTTGAGAGGGGGATTTAGAGTTTGGTTTAAATGTGTAATCTTTGAGGTAATGGTGGAACAGCCTACTAGATTCAGTTTTCTAGTCCCTGAAAACTAAAACGAGGAATAAGTTGAATCACATATTTGGGGCACCAGCCAAATATATAGCAGCATTTATAGTTAGAATCAAAGTGTTTGTGTTTCTTAATTTAAATGCTTCTCAGAGATTCCATTTAAACAACTTCATTATGAAAATGGAGACTTACCATGCCTTTTTGATATTGTTCAGAGAAAATTGTCATAAATAATACACACAGTTTGAAATGGTTGTACATCTTATGAATCAAGGGGTGGCATGTAAAAAGGTTCCTCAGTGCCTCAATGTGGAAAATATCATAGAATGTTATTCTTCAATTGATTCCTTCCTTCACTTTGGTGTTTATATGGTATCTTAGATATTTTATGTTATTTTAATTATATTTTGTGCCTTTTTATTTGGTTAAAAATGCCTACTACTTAAATATTAACAGATTTTTAAATATCCCTTTGAACTCTTCCCCATTCCTGTACCTCCTTTCCCTTTTTCCGTTGTAATGTCAGCCACCTGAACATAACCCAGAAAACTAGGTATCAGCCAATTGATGTTTCAGTGGAAATAAGAGAAAGAAGCGCTTACTATTTCTCAATGCTTAATTGAGGAAAAGCACATGATATCTTACATATTTTAAATTGGAGGGGATAATAGGGTCAAGTTCATGCATTATATTGTGGACATCTTAATCCTATCAAATGGCTTAGTCAAAATGAGAAAGTTAATGAATTTAAGCAGACAAGTACGAACAGTGCTCTAAAAAAGGTGCTGTTACACCATCCCAACCTGTACACACATGAAAAAAAGCTGGGGTGCATTTTGCGTTTGAATAAGGGTCATGTTGACTGGCCATGGCAGACCCTGCTAGACCATACACCTGATACTCTGTCACCTGCCAGGACTCAAAAGGACATGGGAGTATGTGGTTAAGTTCTCTAAGGACTCTTTCTTCTAAAGGGAAGCAGTTTTATAGGTGGTCCTTGTAGGTCTGTTGATTCACAATCTCGTGCTTTCTTGATTGGACTGTATTGTTTTACTGTAATTTTTTGGACTTACAAGAAGTCAGGTGTTTTCATGGACTCTTCTCTTTTCCATACAGATGTCCAGAAGGCTTCTTGGGGGAATATTGTCAACATCGAGACCCCTGTGAGAAGAACCGCTGCCAGAATGGTGGGACTTGTGTGGCCCAGGCCATGCTGGGGAAAGCCACGTGCCGATGTGCCTCAGGGTTTACAGGAGAGGACTGCCAGTACTCAACATCTCATCCATGCTTTGTGTCTCGACCCTGCCTGAATGGCGGCACATGCCATATGCTCAGCCGGGATACCTATGAGTGCACCTGTCAAGTCGGGTTTACAGGTAACTAATGAGACCAAAGCCAGTGGTTTCCTACCTTCAGCAGATACCTTTATTTAGCATCTTTTAGATCATGGTGTCTGGCTCTTAAATGTCCCCCAGCTCTGGTGCACATTTAACATTATGATAAGGAACTGGGATGTTCCAGACAACTATCCCTAACTTCCTTTTAAGAGTTTCAGGGGGCAGAGAAAGAGAAAGAAAAAGTACCAAATACTTTGACTGCTTAAAGTATATATGTCAGGGCCAGGTGCGGTGGTGCACGCTTGCAATCCCAGCACTTTGGCAGGCCAAGGCAGGAGGATCACTTGAGGCTAGAGGTTTGAGACCAGCCTGGGAAACACAGCAAGACCCCATCTCTACAAAAAAACAAGAATAAAAATAAAACAAAATTAGTCATGTGTGGTGGTGTGCACCTGTAGTCCTAACTACTTGGGAGGCTGAAGTGGAAGAATTGCTTGAGCCCAGGAGTTTGAGGCTGCAGTGAGCTATGATCGCACCACTGCATTCTAGCCTGGGTGACAGAGTGAGACCCTGTCTCAAAAAAAAAATATGTACACCAGGATGGGGAATCAGAGTTTACTTCACTAAAAGAAATAAGTACACTGTCACCAGAGGAAAAGTTGCTGAAGTTATTGACTATTTGCTTTTAGAAATCTCCCTCCCTAGACATTCAGGGCACTGGCTTTTCTGGTTTTCTGAACCCTGTTCCTTTTGCTTCTTCATTACCTTGTTCTTATCCATTAAATGTTTGTGCTCCCTGGAGCACTGTTTTTCGCCCTCTTTTGAGCCACATCACAGCTCTCCCTAGGGAATTTCACTGTCTGTATTCGCCTCCACTGCCACTGTCTTCATTAGCTTGCTGATGAATCTCACCATCATTCCCTTAGCTCCACCCAACCCTGACATTCAGGCTCATGTTTCTAGCTATCCTTTGTATGTTCTCCTTGGAGATATTCTACAGGTACTTTCAGCTCACCTTGTTGACAGAAATACGTAGCAACCATGTACATCCCAAATACCCACGCTAGAAACTCCCTGTCCCTTGTTCTGACCTCATTTCAACTCAGTCACCCAAGCCAACCTCTGAGTTGCCTTTCACCTGTCTATTCCTCCCATTTCCTCTGCTACCCTGTAGTTGAGGGCCATGTTATCTCTCACCTGGACTTCTGAAATAGTTTCTGAATACGTTTTCTTGCCTTTATTCTCTCCCCATCTCATTCACCCATGATATTACTACATCTTTGATTATAAATGCAAATATTCTAACAATCTCACCTGCTTACAATGTCTAATATTTTTTCATCATCCGCAGAATAAACTGCAAACTCTTTTACATGACTTCCATAGCTCTCTACAGCCTAGACTTTACATCTTTTTGTAGCCTGGCCTCCCCACAAGCATCTAGGCCTAGTCACACCAAATTCTCCTTATTTCCTGAAAATGTTGTACTTATTATTGCTTCCATACAGTTACACACCCTTTTGCCTGGAATGCCCTTTTCTACAACTGGTGATTGTCCAATGTTATTTAAAACTGTGTCTTAGTGACCCTTTCATGATTCCTTTAGGCAAATGGTCTCTAAGTTTTATTAGTTTTATGTATCACATTTTATTGTAATTTTTTTTTACACATATCTCACCTGAATAGATTGTGGGTTTTTCTAGGTGGGTCTGAGCTTTATTCAAAAGTGTTTATTAAATTAGATGAGAAAAGGAGGAACATTCTTCATTTTTTCTCCTGCTTTAAGCACTAAACCAAGAGTTCTATAAATGCAATAAGCAAAAAAGTGAAAAATGTACTCAGAAAACTATACTGGATCAGTTAGTGTAGAATACTGTTATATTAATTTTTCATTGTATTAGGGTTCTCTAGAGGGATGGAACTAATGGAATATATATGTATGTATATATATTCCAACCCAAAGTGTCTTGGTGGCAATCTTAATATATATATATTGGCAATCTTTATATATATATAAAGGAGAGTTTGTTAAGTATTAATTCACATGATCACAAGGTCCCACAATAGGCTGTCTGCAGGCTGAGGAGCAAGGAGAGCCAGTCTGAGTTCCAAAACCAAAGAACTTGGGGTTCGATATTTGAGGGCAGGAAACATCCAGCACGGGAAAAAGATGTAGGCTGGGAGGCTAGGCCAGTCTCGCTTTTTCATGTTTTTCTGCCTGCTTTATATTTACTGACAGATGATCAAATGGTGTCCATCCAGATTAAGGGTGGGTCTGCCTTCCCCAGCCCACTGACTCAAATGTTAATCTCCTTTGGCAACACCTTCACAGACACACCCAAGATCAATACTTTGTATCCTTCAATTCAATCAAGTTGACACACTCAGTTTTAACCACCACAAATCTACCCCTTGTCAACTTGAACCCATACACATCTCCTGAGATCACACATAATCTTCAAATAAAGACAATAATTAGGTCATAATTACACCTGATGTAGTACAACTATTCTTCATACATCCGGAAACACACCAGTCCCCAGCTGAAACACTCTTACATAAAGTTAACGATACTTAAATGCTGATGTGAAGTCAATAAATCTTATGTCACATGATAAAGGAGAAAGGAAATAAAATGAAGATATTTTCTTAGTACAAGTGTGTGCAAGCACAGACATGTTTTTAATAAAAGAAGGAGGAAATACTGAGGACAATTACAGTCCTCATTTCTGCAGCTGGTCACATGGTAGTAGCTGGTATTGATGACTACCTTCTTCTACCCATTTTGTATTCCTTTTGCCTTCAGCAAACACCTCAGCAGGTTATGTTTTTTTTTTTCCTGATGGAGAGGCCCAAACCTTCATTCATCCAGGTGGGACCATTTGTAGTTCCGCCTGGATTGGGCTGTTGTAGTTGCCCATTGACCTTAATCACAGGGCATGGTAATACTAAGAGACGCCCTAATGGATCTCCTGTATTCCATGAATACTCTTTCTTACCTCCGTTCTGGAGTAGTAGACTGATTTCATCTTGATAGCCTGGGTCTTGATAGCCTTGATGTCCCAGCCAACACTGTAACGCCTTTCTTACCCTGTTTACTTAAAGGTAGGAACCCAAAGTGTCCTGGTGGCAATCTTAACTACCAGTTTAATGGAATTGTTGTTGTGTCTTCTGGTGGCAGCATTCCTCCCTCTGGAACTAAGACCTCTAGGCCAGCAGAACTTAATGTTGCGGGAACAGGAAGCAAACATTTTGCTAGTGGATCACTAGGGGTGATGGTGAGTGGTACCACTTCCATTTCCACCCCTTGATTCCTGGACCTGTGAATCCTGGCTATGGGAGAAGCAGTACCACATATTGGACGCTGATTCAGAGCATACACAGCCTTCTTGAGAACTTTGCCCCAACCCTGCAAAGTATTCTCACCTAGTTGGCATTGTAATTGTGACTGCAAAAGGCCATTCCACCGTTCTGCTTCAGGATGTTGGGGAACATGGTAAGACCAGTGAATTCCATGAGCATGAGCCCACTGCTGCACTTCTTTAGCCATAAAGTGAATGCCTTGGTTAGAGGCAATGCTGTGTGGAATACCATGACAGTGGATAAGGCATTCCATGAGTCCGCGGATGGTAGTCTTGGCAGAACCATTGCATGCAGGATAGGCAAACCCATATCCAGAGTAAGTGTCTATTCCAGTAAGGACAAACATCTGCCCTTTTCACAATGGAAGAAGTCCAACATAATCAACCTGCCACCAAGTAGCTGGCTGATCACCCTGAGGAATAGTGCCATATCAAAGGTGCAGTGTTGGTTTCTGCTGCTGGCAAATTGGGCACTCTGTAGTGGCAGTAGCCAGGTCAGCTTTCCACCGGCCCATCTTGTTTTCTGCACTGGGAAGTTGGGGCATGAGCACAAATGTTAGGACCTGAAAGGTGGTGAACTCTGCCTGGGCAGGGCAAAGCCAGAGGAAACTCTGGTGGAGGTCCGTAGCAGTCCTGATGTGCAAATCGGTCATCCAACCTGGGTGTAGGGGCGAAAGACTAATTGAACCATCTAGTAGCTGGTTCCCTCCAAAGTTTCCCTCGGGATAGTTGGCACTCTGGCAAAAACCCCACTCTTGGTACCAATTTACTGTATTAGTCCATTTTCACGCTGCTGATAAAGATATCCCCGAGACCGGAAAGAAAAGAGGTTTAATTGGACTTACAGTTCCATATGGCTGGGGAGGCCTCCGAATTATGGTGGGAGGCAAAAGGCACTTCTTTCGTGGTGGTGGCAAGAGAAAATTAGGAAGAAGCAAAAGCAGAAACCCTGAGAAACCCATCAGATCTCATGAGACTTATTCACTATCATGAGAATAGCACAGGAAAGACTGGCCCCCATGATACAGTTACCCCACTGGGTCCCTCCCACAACACATGGGAATTCTGGGAGATACAATTCAAGTTGAGATTTGGGTGGGGACACTACCAAACCATATCATTCATCAAAAGGTGTTGGTGGGGTAGAGGGTAGTTAGGATGATCCATTATCTCCATCATGACGATGATGGTATTGATGATGTAAGTCACTGAAAATATTTGGTGTTATAAGAATAATTTCTTCCTGATTGTCAGTTTTGAGTTGTTTTGCTATTAGGAGGCAAAGTAGGGGGGCATATACCCACTTAAAATATTTTAATTCTGGCTAGTGGAAATGACAGTAATGCCTTCTTCATAATTAAAATGTCACTCTGAAATGGTCCCAAATTAAAACTTCTTCCTTTGTTGTTAAGAAGGATCTCTTCTTGGTGTGTTCTGCAAGATTCTGATCACCTTTTTTTTTTTTTTTTTTTTGAGATGGAGTATTGCTTTGTCGTCCAGGCTGGAGTGCAGGGCACAATCTCGGTTCACTGCAAGCTCCACCTCCCGGGTTCACGCCATTCTTCTGCCTCAGCCTCCTGAGTAGCTGGGACTACAGGCACCTACCGCCATGCCCGGCTAATTTTTGTATTTTTAGTAGAGATGGGCTTTCACCTTGTTAGCCACAATGGTCTGGATCGCCTGACCTCATGATCCACCTGCCTCGGCCTCCCAAAGTGCTGGGATTACAGGTGTGAGCCACCACACCCGGCCGATTCTGATCATCTTTTATACATATGCTATTTTTGTCTATCACTTTAGGAATCATCACAGATCAAAGTCATCCTTTTGGTTTTTGTGATAGCACTATACCTCAGTCAGCTTACTAGCTCATCTCCACTCAGAGATGAAGAAGCAGAGGCAGCAAGTTAGTGCCTATACATAATATATATGGAAACCAAATTCAGGGTTGATTCTTTCTTTCTTTCTCCCTTCCTTCCTTCCTTTCTCCCTTCCTTCCTTCCTTCCTTCCTTCCTTCCTTCCTTCCTTTCTTTCTTTCTTTCTTTCTTTCTTTCTTTCTTTCTTTCTTTCTTTCTTTCTTTCTTTCTCTCTCTTTCTCTCTTTCTCTCTCTTTCCCTCTCTCTTTCTGTCTGTCTTTCTTCTCACTCTGTTGCTTAGTACAGTGGCGCAGTCTCGGCTCACTGCAACCTCCACCTCTTGGGTTCGAGTGATTCTTGTGCCTCAGCCTCCCAGGTAGCTGGGATTACAGGCATGCGCCATAAAGCCCGGCTAATTTTTGTATTTTTAGAAAAGATGGCATTTCACCATGTTGGCCAGGCTGGTCTCAAACTCCTAACCACAAGTGATCTGCCCACCTCAGCCTCCCAAAGTGCTGGGATTACAGGCATCAGCCACCACTTCCGGCCCAGGGATCTTTCTGTTTCAGTTGTGGGCATCACTCTGAAAATCACACTTGCTAGAAGTGAGCATTTATATCTCTTCTCCACTGTAAATAAGTGCCTCTTAGTGACATGAGTGGAAAGACAAGAAGAATTGCAGTTCCTTCATTTTCTGTCTTAGCTCCCTGAGATGTATATGCTGTGCCTAAATTTGTGTTATAGTTTTCTCCTTTGATTTGACATTCCTTGATAGGCAGAGAGCACTTTTCTGTGCTCATATGTCACATCTCGCATCTTTTTCCCTTATAGAAAAACTCTTGTGTCTCCCATTTACCTTTCTATGAGGTCAGAGATTTAGATACTTTCCTAGACAATCAACTGGAGTATTAACAAATTCAAGGAGTTCTCGCCATCCCGTTACTGGATATATACCCAAAGAATTATAAATCGTGCTGCTATAAAGACACATGCACACGTATGTTTATTGCGGCACTATTCACAATAGCAAAGACTTGGAACCAACCCAAATGTCCATCAATGATAGACTGGATTAAGAAAATGTGGCACATATACACCATGGAATACTATTCAGCCATAAAAAAGGATGAGTTCATGTCCTTTGTAGGGACATGGATGAAGCTGGAAACCATCATTCTCAGCAAACTATTGCAAGGACAAAAAACCAAACACCGCATGTTCTCACTCATAGGTGGGAATTGAACAATGAGAACACTTGGACACAGGAAGGGGAACATCACAAACCGGGGCCTGTCGTGGGGTGGTGGGACGGGGGAGGGATAGCATTAGGAGATGTACCTAATGTAAATGACGAGTTAATGGGTGCAGCACACCAACATGGCACATATATACATATGTAACAAACCTGCATGTTGTGCACGTGTACCCTAGAACTTAAAGTATAATAATAATAATAATAATAAAAATTCAAGGAGTTCTCATCTCTGTAGTTTAAATAATAAGTGACTTAGACTAATGACAACAAAAAGCCAGCCATGTGAATACCAAATTTACTAGTTCTGTGAGGATATTTTTTTCTCTTTCTCTTTCTGCCTCAAAGAATCTGCTTTGCTTCCCCTGCCATCATGATTTAGTTTTCAACCCGTCAGAGTCTTCCTGCTAGTGCTGGTACTTTCCTACTTGAGAAAGTCCACGGAATACCTTCGAGACCTCTGTCCTCCTGATGGCTTCTATTTCATTTGTTATATAGGGACCCAGAGTTCCTTCATCATTTTCAAACACATCAACAGATATTTATAGCAAGGCCACAATTAATAAAATGTTTCCCAGAATATATGTGTGTGTTACATTTAGAGGAAACAGAAGTAGTATTGACTTGTTTCTATCACCAGAGGTCTATTTAGTAACTATATTTTGTGGAAAATATCGATATATTTTATCCATTCAACAGACATGATTTGAGAGCATACCATGGAGACCCAACCCTGCCAGTGTGGCAGGTGGTATAATAGAAGAAAATAGCAAACTTGGTGTATCTGTGTTTGCGCACATGTATGTATGTGAGGGGCACTAAGGATGACTTTACAGAGGTTGGAACTTTTGAGTACAGTTGCCAAGATAGGGAGAGTTCACTAGGAAAACAGAAGGGAAGTTGATTTTTTTTTTTTTTTTTTTGAAATAGAGTCTTGCTGTGTCGCCCAGGCTGGAGTGCAGTGGTACAATCTCGGCTCACTGCAACCTCCGCCTCCTGGGTTCAAGTGATTCTTCTGCCTCAGCCTTCCAAGTAGCTGGGATCACAGGTGCGCGCCACCATGCCCAGCTAATTTTTGTATTTTTAGTAGAGACAGGGTTTCACCATATTGGCCGGGCTGGTCTTGAACTCCTTACCTCATGATCTGCCTGCCTCGGCCTCCCAAAGTGCTGGAATTACAGGTGTGAGCCACTGCTCCTGGCCCGGAAGTTGATATTCAAACAGGAGCAGCATATGCAAAGACAGTGAGCTCTGAGAGAGTAGATGGATCCAGACTCCTATTGCTGATAGCGTCCTGCAGGATTGGGCTTCAATGTGACTAACCTACAATTGCCTCCAGGTGCTCCACCCACTGAGTCCTTGTGTCTCTGCTGAGGTCCTTGGAGAGTTACTGGAGAGGGCTCTGTGTCAGATTACCTTGAGGAGGCTCTGATTTAGCCTTTTGTAAAATGCAAAGAGTTGAGGTCTTCTCCACGCAAGAGCTCGCTGATGTCAATGAGGTATTGAGGATGGGGCCATCTCCTATTTCTGTGGCCAGTACTGAGTTTTGTTATCCTTCCTTTAGGTAAGGAGTGCCAATGGACGGATGCCTGCCTGTCTCATCCCTGTGCAAATGGAAGTACCTGTACCACTGTGGCCAACCAGTTCTCCTGCAAATGCCTCACAGGCTTCACAGGGCAGAAATGTGAGACTGATGTCAATGAGTGTGACATTCCAGGACACTGCCAGCATGGTGGCACCTGCCTCAACCTGCCTGGTTCCTACCAGTGCCAGTGCCCTCAGGGCTTCACAGGCCAGTACTGTGACAGCCTGTATGTGCCCTGTGCACCCTCACCTTGTGTCAATGGAGGCACCTGTCGGCAGACTGGTGACTTCACTTTTGAGTGCAACTGCCTTCCAGGTAAGGAGCTCCCTAGTGTCCCAGGATTAGGGGACAAACCCCTAGCACAGGAGGTAGTGGGTGTGGCTCAATTGCTGTTTTTAGGAAGCCCAAGGAAAAAGGGAAGTGAGAATTTTGTGTGGGGTGGGTTGCTAGTGAGGGAGGAGTTTTATGGGCCCACTGTGGTCCATAAACTGAGCAGGGGATAATTTAGCATGTCAGGGTTTATGATGATGAGTGGCTAGAAAATTGTTTATTGTCCCTTTTGTAGAAACAGTGAGAAATAAGAGGAACAGAGCTCTGGGAAAGGGACAGGCAAGTCTGGAATGGAAAAGAACACGATGAGAATTAGACACTGGAAAATATGTATGTGTGGTTAATAAAGTGCTTTAAACTGAATTGACATTAACAGTAGGTGATCAACTTTCCTATGTGCTTGTGCTTTTGCTTTTGATGGAGTAATTCATTGTTTTCTTATCCACCTAAATGCACCCAGCTGCCCTTGATTTTCTCTGGGCTACTGGCCTTCACAACCCTCTCCCATGTACCCTCTCTGACTTTGGGGTAACCCTCCCCTAACTTAAAGCTAGAGAATTCTGAAACTGAGGAGGGGATCCTCTGTTAATCAGTGAGCACTTTTTGATGAGCTGATAGATGATATATGAGAGACTATGCGTGGCACAATACTTTGTTACACTCTTCACTGATACAAGTGTTCTAGAGTGCACACACAACCCAAAGATAGAAACAAAAAGAGGAGCAGTGTCGGGGAGCTTGGGGCCTGGTGTTCCATGGAGAGGGAGAAAGGAACAAGCCTGGCCAATTCATTCAACTCCTTATAAAAATGATGAGGAGGCTGAAAACCAAGAATTTTGATTGGGAACAGAATACAAGCAGCTGGAGCAGATGAATTACTAAGCAACAAAGATCCTGTTTTTATACAAATATCCTTAGTACAAAAACAAAAGAAGGAAAACTGTAGGGGGGAGTAATGTGCTAAGTAAGCAGAATTGCCTCAAAAAGAAGTTGTTCTAGTTACTCTTTCAGAGTGGGAATCTTAGATTCTGGTATTGTGGATATGGTTCACATATAATGGGATTGTGTGTTTTATTTTGGAGAGATTAAAGGTCATAGGTTGGTCCTCAGTATAAAATCAACTGGTAATTTATTCATTTCATTTGGTAAAAATGTATTGACTGCCTGCTATGTTCTAGGCACCATGCTATGTATTTGGAATACAGCTATACAAAGCATTGTCACATAATTGAAATGAAAACTTTATATTATTTAAGTCACAAGAACAAGCTATTTAATTATATTACTTTTAGTTTCTCTTTTAATAAAGAATAGATAATGCTATCATTCTAGATACTAAATAAGTGTTTTCTTAACATAATATTACTATTCACTTTATCTTGTAGAAGAAATAACTAAAATACGTCTGTCTTCACTCCTGCATTTGTTTGCATTTTAAGGGTTAAAGACAGAAATAGAAATGTAAACAACTTTATTTTGAAAATATTTCAATATTGCAAATATCTCTGGGTCTGATATTCTAGTAATCTAATTGGCTAGTAATTGATGTTAGTGTGATTTATTGTTGAAGGCTAAATGTGTTTTTCAGTTTCAAGAAAATTGCTTTTAATAATTGCCTAGAACAAGAGGTTGATTTGGCAGCAAGATGTTGACGGGAAGTTAGAGAAGTCAATAAAGGAAGTTTTTAGCTGAGAGAGAGTGATTATTCACTCCCATAGCCTCTGCATTGTTATCCATTAGCCACGATAAGAACCTTAGGGAATTCTGAGAGTGTGTCCAGGAAAGGATCTGTCAAACTAGAATAGTATCTCCTCCTTGAGAAAGGAAATAACCAAGGATTCCGCAGCTGAGAGGCTGCCAGGGCTAGTGAAATAGAGTAAGGAAATCTTGGCTGTCTCTTATTCTCTGGTTGTAGTTTAACGCAAGACACTTATTTACTCACTGATGGTGTGTGTGTATGTGGGAGGGGAGATTAGCATGAGGGGTGGGAATGGGGAGATTTGATGAAGAGAAAACTAACATTTTTTTGGTGACTCAGGAACTGTGCCAGGTACTTCCATGCTTATTAGCTCAATTACACAAAAATCTTGGGACCAGGTATTATTTTTCAAGTCTTCCCACATGAAGTAACTGAAGTTTGGAGATGTTAAGTGATTCACCCAAAGTTGTACAGCTAATATGTGGTTAGGCTGGGTCCTGAAACCGAGGCAGTTTATTTTCAAAGCCTTTGCTTTGTGCATCTTACTGCGCCACATTGCACTGCACATCTGCTTCCTGAAAGCACTTTGTAGGTGTGTAAAACTTTTCGTTAAATGCTTTAAGCTGTTTGGGTTAAAAATATATGTTCATGTTATAAGAAAACCAAGACACTCCTAATTATAATCAAATAGTACTTGTTACATATCAATATGTGTGTGTGTGTGTGTGTGTGTGTGTGTGTGTGTGTGTGTGTATATATATATGGCATTGTGCAGATGTTTAAAAGTAGTTACATAGACTAGTTCTTGCTTTTCAGGGTCCCATAATCTAAACCAGATGACTTCAGCTTTGGATAAATATATAGAAGGAAATTTAAAGAGAATTCAAAACAATAGATGATGCAGTGACACTGTGAATAAATGTTATTTATACAGTTTGTAAGATTTCATGCTCATTGTTCGTATGTCCCAGGTGGAGTTCAGAAAATATTCACTTCATTTCCACAAAGGGAAATAGTGCCTAGAGATGGTTTTCTTTTAAAAAGTCCTTTTCATAATGCAGTGCCCTTCCTTCCATTGCCCTTCATTCCATTGCTTCCCATGCTTGTCAAGAGACTAAAATGTTACTTATAGTAATAGTCACTATCTCAATGTAAATAGCACCCTTATTTGATGAGAATTATTATTTCAGTTCTAAAAATGGGGAAACAAAGTCAGCAGGAGGCAAAGTAGCTTGTTAAAGTATTCTGCAACTTTCAAATGGTTGCTTCCACTGCATTTCACGTCTTGGCACTTCTAATTGAGGGTTACTCTAACCACCCTATTTAAAATTGTAACTGTCCCCCACCCCCTTAATTACTAACCCTGGTCTACTTTTTGTTTTCTTTTTCTGTAACTCTTATCTTCTTACTATATAATTTATACTATATAATTTACTTCATTATGTCTATTGTTTATTGTCTGTCTTTTCCAAATTCTACTGCCTCTTACCCTCTCCAGAATGAAAACTAGTATCTTTGTTTTTGTTTACTGATGTAACCCAAACACCTACAAACAGTGCCCAGTATATACTAGGCCCGCAAATATATATTGGCTGACTGACTGTATGGTTTAGTATCATGTCATAGTATTGAGACTGTAACTTTGGTCTTCTCATTTTCTTCTTTGTATTGTGCGTCCTAGACTTAGTTTGGCCTCTCCTTTTGTCCTTGTATACTCTAATACTGGATAAGAATTTTGGAGTCTTTTTCAACTCTGAGTCAGTGAATGCCACATAACTTAGTGACTATATTTAAATGGTTAATTTACAATTTTTTCCCTGCAAAGGATACTGTAGTCACTGTGAGTATTTTAGTATTATTGTAGGACTCAAGAGGGAATTAAAACTACAAAAATGACTCGTCTTGTATGACACAGAAAGAAATGTTTCTTCACAGAGGGAGGAGAAAAATATCTTCAAGAGAGAACTAATTGAATCAAATCAATGAACCATGTCTCATCTTTTTGGATAAGTAACTGTTAGTAATCCAGACACTTCATGAGCTTTCATTATGTAAAGTCTTTAGCAGAAGCTAAAGGAGGGGCACCAACCACAGTAATTTTAACTTAAGAACAAAATGGAGCATGAAAATAAATTATTAAATCATTTACTCCCACTATTTTTGGGTTAGGGCCAATAATGGGGAGAGAAAGAGGTAGACTAGTTTTGTGTTTGTGGCTATTTTAATAGAGTAGCACAAGTAATCAAAAAACAGTAGGCTGTTTTGAATTTACTGGCTGTCCCTTATGAGTTCACAGTTAGATTGGACTGTCCTCAATGTACTTTCTTTTTTTTCTTTCTTTCCCACATCTCTTTATTTCTCTGATTTTGTTTAAACTTCATAAAGAGCTCTCTGATCTTTCCTTTCCAAACAATGAAGGTTTATCCTTTGTAAACTACCTCTGTACTCCACAGGCTGATGATATATGATATCCCTATATCATTAAAGTAAAGCCTAAGCACATTCTGTGGCTTTTGTGTCTACTCTGTTGTTGCTGAGCTTATGAACTATTAGAAATAATTCCCTCTTGCATTTTCACACATGGGGAATGTGATGTTCTCTTGGGTATTATGCTAATCATATTTTGGCAGGTTTCTCTGAAGCAGATGCAGAAATGATCATACCACTTTCCAGGGTGTATTATTTTAGCTCCTTTGACTTGGGCCCTAAGTCTGTTTTACCTGATGTTCCTGAAAGATGTTCCTGATGTCCCTCACTGTTCTTTCATGCTGGATGTTCTTGCCTATGCTGCCTCCTCAGCTATCACCCTCTCTTCCCCTTTTTAATGTAGAACTCATTCTTAATGATTTGTCAAAGGCACCCTATTTCACTGAAATGCCTTCTATATTCCCTACCCTCCAAGTGGATTGTAGACCTTCTAAGGTCTTTTGACATCTGCATATCTCTAGCACAGCACTTATCACGGTGATTATTTATCTGTTCATCTTTCCAAGTAGACACTCTCATTTTAACTCCCTACCCTAGTCGCCAGCATCCCCAGCATAGTGCCTGTCATAAAATGGTGCCACAATGAAAATTTGAAAAATGAATGAATTGAACGTGATAAACATAGATGAGAATCCTATATTCTACAATTTTTTAAATGTACTGAAATTATTCTTTTTGAATCCTCCTATTTATTTCTGTGACTTCTTTGGTGACAAAGTTAGAAAAAAGTGGAGGTCAGTAGGGAGATATGAAGGGACGCAGGTGGAAGCAGTGAGCCTGGGCGGGTGATGGAGTGGGCGATACGTGGCACAGGGGTCAGTGAGTTAATCTGGGCTCATTCAGAGAATGGAAGTTGTGTGCCAAGAAAACTGGTTGGATAGGGATAGGTCAGGGATTCCCTCTTGCATTCTCACACTTGGGGGCATGCGTCATTTTCTTTTCTTTTCTTTTCTTTTTTTTTTTTTTTTTGAGACGGAGCATCGCTCTTTCTCCCAGGCTGGAGTGCAATGGCGCTATCTCGGCTCACTGCAACCTCCACCTCCCGGGTTCAAGCTATTCTCATGTCTCAGCCTTCCAAGTAGCTGGGACTACAGGTGCCTGCCACCATGCTCAGCTAATTTTTGTATTTTTAGTAGAGATGGGGTTTCACCATGTTGGTCAGGTTGGCCTCGAACTCCTGATCTCAGGTGATCCACCTGCCTCGGCTTCTCAAAGTGCTGGGATTCCAGGCATGAGCCACCATGCCTGGCCGCATGTGTCATTTTCTTGGGTGTTATACTGATCGTATATTTGCAGGTTTGCTTTTGTGACAGACTTCTTCTGGGGGAAAAAAAGTATCCTTCTATCTTTTTACTTTTGTCCAGTTCCAGGTATCCCTGTTTTTTTCTTCACTCTTCCTTCCTTGTTCATGGGAGTTTTTCTTGAGGACTTCAAGCCCAGCTTCGGAGAATCCTGGTTGTGTCATCTCATCTCCTTTCTGCTCTCTTCTCTACCTAGGCTTTCCACCCTCACACCTCCCGGGGTCTGAAAATGGAAAGATAAGGGTGTTTCCCTGAAAGTTGCTCTTCTGTGTGGGGATGACAGGTTCTAAAGACTCTTTTCTGGTCCCTGCCCTCATTGCCATGATTAATCAGTTAAGTGGCCCGAGGTTTTGTAACAGCACAGTCTTAAAATGCTTCTCCCAAGTTTAATTTCTCTCCATTTGACCTTTTAAGGATGTGAATTGGCTTTAAGCAGTAGACTCCCTTTAGTACGGCACTGTGAGCCTCTCAGTGAATCTGCTACATCCATTCCACCCACGGGTCTGGAAACTTGTCTGTTTACCTTTCCCTAAAAACCTAAGATATATTTTTAAGAAGTGCCTTGTAACTTTTCATATAGCCTTTCCCCTACTTTGGGTAGACTGTTTCTTACAGGAATTTGGTAGATCTTTCCAAAGAGAATTCTGTATCTCTATTTTTAAAGCATAAATCCTGTCAACTTTGGAGGAGAACTGATTTGGCTTGAGTCTTCTCAGACATGGGAACTTTTGACCTAAGTTTGTATTTTACATTGTTGAAAGGGAACTCCGGGATCCCAGAAAACATATGGACTGCAATTGGGTAAAGTTTCTGTTTCAGTACTTATTCCTACTTACTAGCCGTTTAATCTTGGTCAAGTCAGCCATGTGGCTCTCAACTTCCTCATCTGTAACATAAAAGGATTAGAGTAGACAATCTCTAACAAGTGCTATAATACCACTGACAAATAATAATATTAGCTAATATGTGTAAGGCACTGTGTTTAGTGCTTTTTCCCTTAATACAATAGCTTTGAGATATAATTTATATACCATACAATTTACTTCTTAAAAAAGTACACAATTCAGTAATTTTAGTAGATAGGAGTAACCATCACCACAGTCAATTCTAGAATATTTTTATACATCAGAAGAAACCCTTTACCCATTATCAATTACTCTCCATTCCTCCTAACTCCCTCCCAGCCCTAGGCAACTACTAGTCTACTTTCTGTCTTTATTTGCCTCTTCTGGACATTTCATACAAATGGAAACATGCAGCATGTAGTAATTTATGACAGCTTCTTTCACTTAGCATGAGGTTTTCAAAGTTCATTGATGTGGTAGCATTTATCAGTACTCTGTGCCTTTTTATGGCTGAATAATATTTTATCATATGGATTTACCACATTTTATCATTTTATTTATCCATCATCAGTTGATTGACATTTGAGTTGCTTCTACTTTTTGAGTATTATCAATAATTCTGTTATGAACATTCTTGTATAATTTTTTGGTAGACATTTATCTTCATATTTCTTGGATATATACCTAGGAGCAGAATTGCTGCGTCAGATGGTAATGCTGTTTAACCTTTTCAGGAACTGTCAGACTGTTCTGAAGTGGGTACATTATTTTACATTCCAACCAGCAGTGTATGAGAATTCCAGTTTCTCCACATCCTCATCAACAGTTGTTATTGTCTGTCTTTTTTATTATATTCGTCTGTAATGTGAAGTGTTTATCTCATTGTGGTTTTGATTTACATTTCCCTGATGGTTGATGATTTTCAACATCTTTTCATATACTTATTAGTCATTATGTATCTTCTTTGGAGAATGTCTGTTCAGATCCTTTACCTACTTTATAATTGGTTTATCTTTTTAATATTGAACTGTAATAGTTTTTAAAAAATATATCCTAAATACAAGTCTCTTATCAGATAATATGATTTGCAGATATTTTCTGTCATTCTATATACTGTCTTTTCACATTCTTGATGATATACTTTTCAGCCCAAATGTTTTTAACTTGATGGAATACAATTTATTTTTTCTTTTGTTGCTTGTGCTTTCAGTCATATTTGTGAAAACTTTGCTTATCCCACATTACAAAGATTTACTATTTCTAAGTGATTTATAATTTTACCACCTACCTTTAGGTCTCCGATCCATTTTGAGTTAATTTTTATGTGCGAGGAGGGAGTCTAACTTGATTCTTTTACATGTGGATATTTAGTTGTCCCAGGACCATTTGTTGAATTAAGTGCTGTTTTTATCTAATTCGTTTAATCTTTACAATAACCATTTAAGGTGGGTCCTGTTAATTCCCCAAGAAAGTTTAAGTATATTGCCCATATTCACTCAGCTATTGCATGGCAATGCTGAGAGTTGAGCCTAGACAGTTTGGCCCCAGAAGCCATGCTTTTAGCTATGAAATAACTGTCTTACCTACCTCCCTTCTTACCTACCTATCTACCTATTGACAGGGAAAAAGTACCTCAACAATAGTCAATCAGTTATAAAAAGAAAACACTTTATTTCTTTTCTGTTGTGGTTCTGCTGAAATGCTTCTGCTTTCTTGTCTGTGGTTGGTGAATTCAGTTAGTTGTAACATTGGCTAATATAAAGTTAGAGTCACAGTTTCTATTCCTTATAGTTGAGCTACAAGGGCTTCGCTACCTCCCTGACACCCTAGTCAACTGTATTTAGTCTTACTCATCAGAGAGATCGAGTTAGGGGAGGATGATCATTGACCTTCTACTACACCACCAGACCTCTCAAGTTTAGCAGTTGTAGGCCAGGGGCCCCATTTTCCCCAACAATCTAAAACTATGTCTTTAAATTTTCCAAAGAATATCTTCATCAAGAGCACCAGACTAGGGGCAAAGACCCTAGTTCTTACTCAAGGACCTAGTAGATCCCATAGATTCTGTAGGGGTGGGCTTCAATGGCTCATCATTTTCTGGCTCATTGGTCTATTTGTAAGACTCATATTTCTGTATGAATAATATGAAATATGAGTAATATGATACATTTTTGAAATTTGAGTAAATTTTCATAGTCTTTTTCAGGCTTCTTCAGTGATTCATCTGCTTGAATGGACTGAGTACCAAATACTTGGAGAAATATAATTTCCTTCAATAAAGCCTTCAGTGATTTCTGTCTTCCATGGAGTGATTTTTGGCTAATGTTTTTGGTCACTCAGTTTATACTTATTTATATGACTGCCATTGTATTTAGAGAAATCAGCCATGTTCCAGTGTAGCAGAGCAGATGTAGAATGCCACAGTAACTTATGGTAAGGAATAAAGCAAAGTGTGATTGATGTGTGTCCCACTCACAAGGCTGTAAATGCCACAAAAGCAGGGACTCACTGCTGTATCACCAGTGCCTAATGTAAGTCCCAGTAAGTATTTTGAGTGAGAGAGAGGAACCTTAAGGGATATTTCGAGGAAGCCAAATATGTAATCATACTATATTTCAAATAGGAGAATGTTTAGAATAGAAGCTGGTAGTCTTCTATTTAATTAGCTCAGGAGTTTGGTAGCAAGGAAAGAGAAAGTAAGAGGCCCAACATATAAACTACAAAGGACCACACTGTGGGCAGTTAGAGTGAAGTTTGGTGTACTAGTTTCATTTTTCATAAAAGAAAAAGTCAAGAGGAAGGAAGCAATGCTGTAAGTTTAGAGAAGAGCCTGATGAATTTGAAGTGCTGGTAAGCTTAGTTAGTAATAATGCCACCCAATTTTCAGATACCTTTTAACATTTGTATAGCACTTTACTCATGATGTGGCACTTATAATTAGAAAGACAGGATAGGCAAGTGGAATTAGCCTCATTTTTTACAGGTGAGGAAGTTGATGCAGAACTTTAGCTTACCATGTACGAATAGCTTGCAGGTGGTGAGATTGGGACTTGATCCATATCTTCATACTTTAAGTTCAATATTTTTCCTATATCCTCCCCCACTCCCTTCCCCACCTGGCTTGGAGGCCGCCTAGCAATCATTCAAAGAAAAAAAATAAAAGGAACTTAAATTTAATTAGGTAATATTTTATCTGTTCTTCCCATTAGTCTGGTATGGAGCTGGGGAAAATCCAATACCCTGTTTTTTTAGAACCCTTGAATATCTCTGTCCCAAGTAGACATTTATCATCCCTGGGATTTTATTTCATGAAAACATTTTGAAATACTTGTGAGGTAACTATGAAGGCATGCCATTGGCACAATGAGTCACTTTCACTGTCTAGCTATGCTTGAGGCCAGAGAAGACAGAGAATTGGGGATTTTTCATATGGTGAGTCCTGGGTGAGCAGCTGTTGAACTGAAGTCATGAAGCGGGTCTATTCTAATAACCATGTTCTGTGGGAACAGAGCAGGTCGTTTCTTCTGTATGAGATTTCATCATTTTCATTTGTTCTTCATTTACCAGGTTTTGAAGGGAGCACCTGTGAGAGGAATATTGATGACTGCCCTAACCACAGGTGTCAGAATGGAGGGGTTTGTGTGGATGGGGTCAACACTTACAACTGCCGCTGTCCCCCACAATGGACAGGTATGTACAGTGTGGAGAATCCACCAGAATGGGATATGGATTGGTAACCAGAGGCAGACTGTTTTTTTAAAATATCAGTAACAAATATCTTAGGCCTGCTCTGGAACCAGTATGTGAACTGAGCAGGATCTCCATGCTAGATCATTGCTTATTGTACTAACCTCATACATTTTCCTATGTTCACTCAAAGACATATTTTCACAGGTATTATTGGGCAGCAACTCTGAACCCAGCACCATGCTAGATGCTGTGGCAGATATGAGAGAAGAGCACTACTGTAAGCTTATTATCTGGGAAAAGCAGGACATTACCTGGAACATAGTAGATGCTTAATAAATATTAAAGAGGAAAAATTTCCTGAAATGCTAAAATAAATTGTACAGGCTACCAGAGTTCAGAGCCTATTTGTTCACGGACAGAGATCTGTCCCATCTTAATGTCATGTTCTATAACTAGGCAAAGTGTTAGGCAGGTACTCTTAATGACATTATTTTTATGATACGCATCCTACATTTGTTTTTTTCTTCTATCCCTTTTTGTACACGAACAAAAATAGTTTTTTCTGCCTCTAACATTAGAAGGGTAGTCTTGCTTAATTTTACAGCCTCTTGGAAGTTTCTCATGTAGTCTTAGGCAGGTTGAGTGATTTACGCAGACATTTGGTTCTAATTTCTCTTTATGTCTGTTTATCTACTGAAAGTAGAGACAATTAAGAACTGATTAAGGGACTAAGAGCTGGGCCTTTTTGAGAGAAATTAATTTAATGTGGAAACCCAACAGGAAGTTAGTATTATAAGAAAAAATTACAGTACCAGTAGTGGGCTATCTCCTACAAAGAATCTTAATGTTGAAGTGCAGCCATTACTACCTGGTATTCTTTAGTGTCTCTGAATTACTTTTCCTTATCTGTAGCATCTAATTATTTACAATACTCTTTAGAGCTGTAGACTATGAATAGAAAAAGATGAAAAGCATTTAAAAACTCAATCACAGGACTTACTGGGGAGGCCAAACATTTCTGCTTTTAATTCCCAAACTGTCCCTTTTAATACTTTCCCACCAGGTTTTCCTAGAATTGGGACTTCTCCTAGAATTTCTTCATGGTGTCTTGATCCTAGAACTTCACTTCTAACCCTCTGTACTTTTTGTGACATTGTCTCTTCTAGTTTTTGCCATTTTTCTATGATAGACTTTTCAGAGGCTATTTTTTCAACTTAAAAAATTACTGTAAAGTTAATTACATGACATATAGTAACTGGAAAAATTTGTGTTTTTTTTCTCTTTTTAATGATCCTTACAGTATTGGACAGGATGAGATACTTGTTAAGAACTTGACCACATTCTGATCTCTCCCTTGCTCTGTGAGACAGTAACTGTGTAGTACTGAGGCTTCTGATGCCAGTGAAGATTAAACAACATTGTAATATTGTTGCTGGTTTTTGTTCGATACTACACTTGGTTTCTTGCTTTGATATTAATTAGGAAGGCCTGCTCTTGGGGAAAACTTCCCCAGTGAAATGATTTTTTTATTCAAATTTCTTATCCCAGGACATTTAATAAATGCCTCTTTTCGCTAGAAGTCTTTATAAGATGTTTCCGTTTTTATATTTTCCAAAAAGGGTGGTGGAGATCATGGATAAGTTTAATGTGGCAGTTTTATTTCTTTTGATTTGCTGTCTGTCATTTAGAGTGACCTTCAGTTTTTTTTTTGTTATTCATCACAGGTTTTCTTCACTCATGCCAATTCTTTGATTCCCAGTGAGAAGCCTTGTTTTTGCCCTGCCCATCATCAACAGGAGAAAGTCTAAGATCCTTCTTCTGTTATATGAAGCCTTTCATGGCTTCAGCTCTGTCTGCTTCCCCAGTCTCCTTCTCATGCATCTAGCAGCATACCCTAGCAGTTCTCTGCTCACAGTTTTCCTGTACATACTGCATAGTGCTTCACATCCTGTGTCTTCATTGACACCATTCCTTTTCTCTAGGGTTTCCTTCTCCACTCCTCCCCCATTTTTCTCATCATTTTTGGCATGCCTGACTCAGATCAAGTGGTTACCTGCTTCAGGAAGGCTTCCCTGATCTTGCTCCAGGCTGAGCTAAATGTTCTACTCTGGACTCCCTTAGTACCCCATGTATTCTCCTGTAATAACACTTACCACGTTTGTATTGATATTATTATATGCTTGATGTGAGGGATGTACCGAGTTATGGGGGCGGTTGGACTATTGATGACAGCAGTTACTAGCACTCCTTACAGACCTTTGTTCTCAGTAGCATGTAGCTGAGCTATTTACCATCCCAGCCCCTATCCTATTGTAAAGAGAAAAACAGAAGGAAAATTTTGTGTCATAGGGCTTCTGTTTCTACTGATATTAGATGTATAAATTCAGATTAGTCTTTTCTGTGTTACACAAATTAAAGAAGTGAATGGAGCAGGAATCTAGTAGGAGTTAACTAATGTTTATTAGCATCCAAATACTGTGCTAATTACAATGTTTTATCTGTGTAATCTTTGCAATAACTGTATTAGAGATAGAGTTTAAATATCCTTTTTTCAGATGATGATGCGTATTCAAAAGGGTTAAATAATTTGCCCAAGACCCGTAGTGGTTGGGTTAGGGTTTGAATCTAGGCTTGTTGAACTCCAAATCTTTGCTCAAATCTGTAGTCTTTTTTCTATATAAAATTGATTTTGTAAATTATCTTGTTTTATTTTAAGAACTTGGGGTGTTTTTTAATAGACTGAAAATTTCATTATCCTGAGATTTGGTGATTTACTCCATGTGTTTTCCCTTTTTAAGAACCTAGCTGGTTATTTTGAGGTTAGAAGTTAACATTATGTGTATGCTTTAGATTCAGTCTGATGCTTTTTCACTATACCTAATAGCCTATTGCAACTTTGTTCAGAATTCCTTTTACAATTTCCACCTGTAGACTTGAAGCATTAACTATTTGGTCTGGCTTTTGACAAAATGAAAAAGGAGGGGTTGGAGTAGTGAGGTGAGAAAATGAAGGAAATGAAGTTGCCAGCTATTTGAAAAAGAATGGATAAGACTATATGGCTGAAAAAAGATAGGCATTAATTTTAAATAAATGGAGATTTGGAAATTTGCCATGCTTTTAATGAGAAGAACCTGATAGTTACGGCTTTGTTTTGTAACTACATATACATAAAAGGCTTGGTGTTTTGTAGCAAGTTCTACACTTCAAGATGAGCATAAATTCCAGCTCTATTCATGGTTTGATTTAGGGTAAATTTGTCAGCCTCCTTTTCTCAGAAGCCTTCATTTGCTATTATCTCTTTCTTGGGATATTGAAACAATCAAAAATGCAATAAAAAGTTTATTTTTTCATTTGTTCTGCCAACAGCTATTATGCTAAACATTCTAAATTCATCCTATTCTATATGGTGGCCCCTGGTTTCATCTTGCTATTGAGCATCTGAAATATGGCTAATGTGAATTGAGATGTGTTGTAATTGTCAAATAACTGATTTTGAAGACTTAGTATGGCCGGGCACAGTGGCTCATGCCTCTAATCCCAGCACTTTGGGAAACTGAGATGAATGGATCTCTTGGGCCCAGGAGTTTGAGAACAGCCTGCGTAACATGGCAAAACCCTGTCTCTACAAAAAATACAAAATTAGCTGGGTGTGGTGGCGTGCACCTGTAGTCCTGGTCACTTGGGAGGCTAATCACGCCACTGCACATTCCACCCTAGGGGACAGAGTGAGACCAAGAACCTGTCTCAAAAAAAAAAAAAGAACTTCATATGGAAAAAAAGATATCTTTTTAATAATGTTTAAATATTGATTAGATGCTGAAATAATACATTTTGGTACATTGAATTAAATATAACATAATATTAAAATTAATTTCCCCTATTCCTTTTTACCATTAAATATTTTAGTAGCCACTGGAAAATTTGAAATTATATCTGTTACTCTCATTATATTTCAGTTGGACAGCATTACTTCAGATGCAAAGATGGTCTGTAGGTATTACCATTGCTGCTGCTTTGTAGAAGCATCTGTTCTAGCCCTGAAGTAGAGGAATAGATGGTTTCCCCATGGCCTGTGGGCAGAACTGTGTTATATACCCCACTACAGGCGTTTTTACCTACTGTGGCTGTCTAATTAGTGTTTGTTTGTGCCTTCAAAAACTACCACTCTTGTGGACTAGCTTAAGCTCAGATGGAAAAAAGAAATTGGTCTTAGGGAGTGGGTGTGGGGAGATGATTTACTTCTTTATAGGGAAGTGTCTTATAGGGATAAGCCTGAATACTGGATATTCCTTTAGGAAATAGAAGTAGACCTGATGGTTGGATGAAGATAGAGCACAAACGTCTTTATTATACTGTATTTGGCCTCAGGCCATCTTATCAGAGAAGTTCTGCTCTGGCAGATATCCATTTAAGGAAAAAAGGGTTTTAAAGGGCCCAAAATTTATTAGAGCAGTGTAGATTAATGTTTTGTCTACATAGACTGTTATTTGAATTTTCTTTTTAAAGGTTCATTTCCTTCAGAATTAAAGTTGACCCTAAGCTCAACTCACAAATTCCTCTCTGTGGCTGCTTTTGACTTTGGGCTCACTTCTGGGGCAGATGTGATTTATTTTCTTGTGCTTGTTATTAATCCAGAAATATAATTTCAGCATGGGCTTGGAATAGTGCTCTGGGACATGAAGCAGAAGTGAACAATGGAAGTTAGGTGGATATGAGTCAAAGAAAACTGACCACACTTTCTCTCAGCTCTCCTTTACAGCATGATGAGCCTCAAGAGCTGGGGGAGGTTTTCATTGCTGTCAGTGCTCCCAATTCAGTAAAAATGTTTGATGTGAGTTGGCAAGTACATTTGCCAGAGGTGGTGCATGAGCTCCTTGTGTCTGGGAATGGAGATTTTCATGATGGTGCTTTTATTTTGAGCTAGATCTTCCTGTCTCAGTCTAGCCTCTAGCTGGTGATGAATTATTCTCTAGAGTAAGGCTTTTCTCACAACCATTTTTCTACTTTTTTTTTTTTAGGACTATAGGGATGGAGGTTTTTTGATTGAGAGAGAATACTACTTAATTATATATGGTATTTCAAAGCTGCTCTCTTTTATATTCTACATGGAGGAATGGGAAAATATGTCTCACATTTCAATTTTTCTGCTGTAAGCCTGATTGTGAGAAGTATAATAAGCCTGTTTTCTGAATTCTACCTCCTCACCCCAAATTCGGTTTCCTATCAGTTGGGCAGACTGCCACAGTGCTAACCTGAAGCACCCTTGCCCCAGATGTCCCAGAGTTGATTAGTGGCGCTGTTGGTGGAAACAAGGACGAGTGGATAGTCTAGCCCCACATGCAGGAGGTGAGACTGCAGGCAGGATCTTTCCTGCCCTGCAGTCCATGACTCAGGGTGTAGCCTTGGCTATGTTACAGGCACGATCCAGTTTAACTTCATGGCTCTCTAAGCCCCCATGGAACGGTTGTTAGTAGGTTCAATAATTTATCTATTGGACCTACTTACAGATATTTATTGAACAACTACTACATGGAATATATTATGCTAGATACTGTAAGAGACACAAAGAAAAAATTCCTATTTTAAGAGTGGTAAAATTGACTAGGAAGACATAAGAAAGTCCACACATAACCACACTAGGAAGCAGAAGGTGTGTGTGAATGTGAATTTGAAAGAAACAATGGTGGGAATGGGGAAGCATCTAAGTACTTGGTGGGGTAAGGAAGGTGATCGAGAAGAGTGAACTTCTGTTTTGAGTCTGAGTAATGGATGGGAACTGTTGACAGAGAAGGAGAAATAGGGTAGAAATGATGGTAAGTTGGAGATGAGTTTTCCAAGTGAAAAACATGCAGCAGTAAGACCCAGGAGCTCAGAATACAGGCAGGGACGAGAGACTCAGGGTTACCATGGAATGTGTCAAGTCTGTGAGGGAAATTGGATGGAGTGATAAGAACAGAGGATTTGGACCCGAAGTATGAGAAACATCCACACTTCAGAAAATTGACGAGGAAGGGGATCCAAAGAAGGAAAGTGAGAAAAGGGGAGGTTTGAGAGGTGGGAAGAGAGCTCGGCCATGATAGCATCCTCAAGTTAAAGGGTACAGCCTTAGAAGCTTGCCCTGAACTCAACTCCACATGCCTTGGTGGCAGCTCCTGTAATATTTTACTTCTCTTACTGCGTTATTTGTTCAGCTTGCCTAAGAGACTATCAGCCTCTGGAAGGCAGGAAACTGCTCTTACTTATTTTGACATTCCCAGAACTGATTTTAACAAACCATGGTTATTAATAACTGACAACCAGGAGACTCAAATATAAATGATAACTGCAAAATATTCATTAGAATATTTGAGTCATTAGAAATTTTCTGAAATACAGTTTTAATACAGACAAGACTAAGAAGCTAGATTGAGGAAGTTAAAGGAAAAAGTAGGCTTTGGGGAGAAGGAAGGGGCAAAATGGGTTTAGATCACTATGTAAGATTTTGCACAACTGAAAAGGAAGAGCGAGGGAGACACAACGCAGGGTTATGGGAGACAGAAACTTTATTCATCTCATTGACCATAGAGCTTGGCTACACTAAGAGTAAGGCAGCTCAAAGGGCGTTGGCTAATGAAGTGGATTATTGGGAGGGGTTTACTCTTACAGTTTTTAGTGGGGAATACTTTAGGTAAGATGTCTGCTGGGAATGGGAAAGGAAGAAGATGGGAAAGTTATAGTCAGAGAGTGGAAGTACCAAGTTTGAGATCTTGGACTAGAACAATGAGTGTCTTGTAACAGAGGTGTAGAATGTGAGCGTGCTTGTGATATGGAATGGATGCGGAGGTCTGTAAGGTTGAGAAAAGTAAGAACTCTTGACTCAGATGACCTTACTGGTCCTCAACCCAGATGTTGATATCATGCGAGACAGGAGAGGAAAGAGCGAGAACATAAGCCACATGCTTGTCATTCTAGGAAGAGGAAATTGGTCCACGAGAACGACAGACCATGGTGTGATAATTTATATTATACTATGTCTTTTTTTTAATTTTTAAAGGACTTCAATTCATCTATCTACTTTTAATGTCAGAAATTAGAATGTATTTATTGATTTCTTTCTCTCGAAGATGAGGAATTAGCATACTTCTCATAGCTTTCACTCACTCACTAGACTTTGTATAAATAATCTGGGTTTCAATATTTATATTATTGTTATCAAATTTATAAACATATACATATTCTTTAAAATTATTCTTGATATTTACAATTTTATAACCCAATTTATAATATTTTCAACTTAGTTGTATGTGCTACTTGTTTTGTGTTAACTACCAGTGCAATTATGTCACAACATTTTCATTTCTGAGTTCCTTATTTTCATTAACATTTTAGCTGAATAAGTATCTTTGAATAATTTTATTTCAGAGGAGTTACATGTTGGACCCATTTGGTTAGTCAAAAAATGTCTTTTGATTTAGTTGCCTTCATACACAAGTTGTATCTTGACTAGATATCAAATTCTTGGGTCACGAATTAATCTCATCAAATTCTTAGACATTGTTCCTTTGTGTCTTCTGGTTACTATTCTAGGGAAATGCAATGCCAGTTGAGTGTTTCTTCTTTTTCATAAGTAACACTGGGCTCCCTGCCTTCTTTTTCATTTGTTGTAGAGTTGTCAGGAAAACCTATTATCTTTGCAATTAGGTCTTCATTCTTTCTTCTGCAAAGCTAAAATCTCTCTTGATTTTTAATCTGTTCATTTTTTGTTTTGTGTTCTGTGAGAGCTCTCTTAAGGTTCTTCTTTATAACACTGACTTATATTTCTTCATTGTCAGGTCAGTCCTTTATAGCTTCTTCTGCCTGCCTCTCAGCCCCTTTGATCAGAGACTAATGTCCTATATTATTTTTTATTTCTTTGTAGAACGTAAACATGTCTAAATGTCTTGAGTGTACAGGAGCAGTTCTTTCTAAAATGTATTAGCTCCTGTAAGTGAATAATTTTCCCAGTGTGCTTTTCATCAATATCTTAAGCATTACATTCTCCATGTTTTATGTTGTAGAATCTTTTAATAGGTGCCATGTTGTTTTTTTCCATTTTACTCATTCTGAGCAGAGTAACTGCCTGCCCATAGACAGGGGAGGTGGGTGTTCCCCTGGATCCCCTCACTCTCAACCTGGCTGCAGCTAGTTTTTCCTCCTGGTGCAGTGAGGGGCTTTTATGTAAACTGGCTCAACAACCCAGCAGCCTAAGGTGGGGAGAGCCAGAGAGTGGGGCCTCCTAGCAGGAGACCAAAGCTTGGCACCACTTTCTTCTCTGTGGCGGGGGTCAGCTTTCTGAATGCCCAGTACTGGCCCAGCCTCCATGGCAATCCACCCAGTGGCTGAGCCTGGATGCTTTTCAGTGCTGCTGCCTCCGGAATCTGCCCCAGATGCACTGCAGTATTTCTCATTGCTATAGTGGCCAATAGTGGCCACAGGAGCCTGGACTCTGCAGTTCTTGAAGTTTTTGTTGACCTGGAGGGGTGAGGTGGAGTTCAGTCCATTCTCCTCACTGCAGCAGAGTGGACTTTCTGAAACATGCATTGGATCGAGTCATTTCTTTGCTGGAAACACTTCAATGGGTCCTCCTTGTCTTTGGATTTAGTCCCAAGGCTGTGCATGTAACTCCCTCTCCAGCCACACCTCTCTTCACTCCCCTAATGCATTTCTTATAATTCAACCACAAGAATTTTTTTTCATTGCCGCAAATGAACCATGCTGTCTCTTCAACTCAAGCCTATGCTTTCTGCCTGAAATACTCCGCACTCCACCCTTTCTCTACACACTCCCTCACACACTTCTCCCCTCTTTCACAACCTGGCACGCTCCTCCCAGGCCTTCTCTTAAAAGTTACATTCTCTAGTTCCTCTCTATTCTCCCTACTCTGTACTCCCAAGGCAATAGGTATCTATGAAAGCACCTGTCACTCTGTGTCATCATTGTTTGTTTGGTTATAAGTCTGCTGTTTGTAAGTTCTGCAGGCAGAAGCCATGGCTGTTTTGTTCACCATTATAATCCCATTGTGTATAGTCAGAGCCTGGCACATTGTGTTTGTGTGCGTGTGTGTGTATGTGTACATATATATATTTTAGATAAACGAATGAATGAATTACAGCATTAAATTTTCCAGTTGTTCCCAGCCCAACCTCATCTCCAAATTCACAGCTCTTCTTACCTTTCTAAGATACTTTAGTATTTTTCTTCAGTGTGTACCGAGTTTGTACTAAATCTGTAAAATTAGACTAATTATATATGAAGACTATAGTTGACAATCAATGTAAAGCACATATCATCTGGAACCTAGAAATAACTCAGTGCATATGTTTTTACTGCTGAGGTTAGTAGTGACGTTGGGGAATAAAAAGAAAACCCGCTCTTTCTCCCCTAGTTTCCTGTCAGTGGCAGTGTTTAGAAGAGGAGGACTGCAGGAGCTCTACCGCAGAGGGCTGACTGGGCTGGTGTGTTTAGGGAAAACTCAGGTTTCAGTCAAAGAAGGAAGTTGTACACCTTAATGTAGAGTTGCCCTTGAGGCGTAGTTGAAGGATTAGTGGGCAAAGGCAAGGTGAATCTGGGTGTGATACAAATGAGATAGAGTTCAGTGACACAGGAAGGGGACTGGGATGAGGGGTTTGCGTGTGAACTGGTGGTGTAGACAAGGGTGACGGACACTTTGGGTAGGAACAGAATAGAGATACTGTTGCTATGAGAAGGGTGAGTTGAAAGATAATTATTATTTTGGGATTAGGATAACTTAAATAAGAGAACCTTAAGCAGATAAACATTCATTTAACGAATATTTATTTAAGCTTGGGATTGTGTTTCATGCTGGGGATTCAGTGATGAGGTAAACAGCTACCCCCCATTTCTTCATGGCACTGACAGTCTAGTGAGAAACACAGGCATAGACAATATAATTCTCCATAAAATTTTGAACTGTACTAAATGCCTTGCAGGAAACATAGAATGTATCTGGAGAGCATATTAATAGGCAGAACTAATTGTGTTTAGTGACAAGCAAGTAAGGTCTCTTTGAGAAAGTAACATTTTCCATATAGACAATGAGTAGGAGTTGGGGAGAGTGAGGATAAGACTATCCCAGGCACAAGGAATAACGTGTGCTAGCCACTGAGGAGGGAAAGAATGTGATCATTTTGAGAAATGAAAAAAGCCCAGAGTGGCTGGAGCTAGTGATATTTCATGGTTAGAGCCTAAAGAGATAGGCAGAAAACACTGGTAGGTGTTAGAATTTTATCCTAAATGCAAAATAATTCATCAAAGGATTTGAACAAGCGAGTGGCGCATTCTACTTTACATGTTAAGATCATCCTGGCGGCTCTTTAGAAAATACATTGGTCATGATGCAGGGAAACCAGGCCTTTGAGAAGTCCTGAAAAAGATGATGCTGTCTAGAATTAGTGGAGGAATTTCTTGCATTTATTCTGTGTATGAATATCCTTTCCACAACTACATTATCCCCTTAGCCACATCTATACTCCCAGACCATCCTCTCAGTAGGCAGGCCCTGTAGACAGCAGTGTTTATACAGAATGTTTCACCCAACTTTATTCCGAGCAGGTGATGGGACACTCAAGCTTGTTCTTTGTTCTTCAGCTCCAACTTCAGCAGCGTGATAGAAAGTCTCCTGTGTATGGAGCTGAGGTTTTGTAGGATAGAAGTCCCAGGAATGATCTGCTCTGACACAGAAAGAGATGAAACTCCAGAACTCAGGGGCTTGGGTGACTGCTGGTTGGAAAGGTATATAGGAGATGGAGCTCTCTTGACTCAGCCATAGAGGAGAAGGTAGCAGACTCAGTGCAAGGGCCAGCCAAGCTCATTTTTTATTTGTTCCTCTTGTGGAGATTGTTGTTGCAATGAGAGTTGACCCTTAACTGGACCAGTAATGTGATCAGACTTTTTCCCACAGACTTCACAGTTGAGAGATGACTGGAAAGGATGAGAGTCGAGGCTCAGCACCTTACTTTTTTCAATTCCTTTCTCTTCTTTTCTTTCTTTCTCTTGTTGTCCCCCTCTATTTTTTACCCATCACTTGTAGCTCCAAATCAGATTAGTGGTTTGTGGGTGGGGCCCTTGCCTTGAGAGAGCCATAATGAGCTGTTTGTGTCCCTGCGTGTTACAGCTCATAAATGCTGACTGTTTCATGGTCTTTGGCTCACTTGGCTGAAGCGTGGTGCTAATGAGGCCCAGGCCATGGTTTCTATTTCAGCACAGACCTCTTAGGTTCACCCTGTTATATTTACTGCCACAGGCTGTGTCCATAATTTTTTTTTTTTTTTTTTTTTGAGATGGAGTCTTGCTCTGTCGCCAGGCTGGAGTGCAGTGGCACGATCTCAGATCACTGCCACCTCCGCCTCCTGGATTCAAGCGATTCTCCTGCCTCAGCCTCCCAAGTAGCTGGGACTACAGGCATGCACCATCATGCCCAGTTAATTTTTGTATTTTTAGTAAAGACGGGGTTTCACCATGTTGGCCAGGATGGTCTCAATCCCTTGACCTCGTGATCCACCTGCCTCAGCCTTCCAAAGTGCTGGAATTATAGGCGTGAGCCACCACGCCTGGCTGACTGTGCCCATAATCTTACTTGTTCAGCCTGAAGCCAGAGGATGGAGCAACAAGAAAAGATCAGCATGGAGGTGACCCTACTCCTGCAAAACCAAAACAGTATACTTCCTTTGCTAATGGTGGCTTGGTAATGCCATGTCATCTTCACTTGTAGCACTCTGAGTTTCTTCCTCTTTCCCTACATCCCTCAACAGTCAGCTCAGATTGGCCTTCTTTATTTTGAAAACTAACTTGATCTGCAGCAATCTCACACCCCAAAGTCTTTATCAGCACTGAGCTATTTTCACTTCTAATTATTTTGCCAACTAACTGTGCAAAGTTGGGCAAGTTGCTATACCTCTCAGGTCCTAGTTTCCTCATCTGTAAAATGAGCATGTTAGATTAGATGCTGTCCAAGGTCAGTTCCACCACTGACACCAAGTGTCTAGTACAGTGGCTGGCATAGATACTGAGGTGAATGGCAGACACAGTCCCTGCCCTCCTGGAGCTTATAGCGAAATGGGGAAGAGACTGTAAAGAGTAAATAAATATGAAATCACAGCTCGTGATACATTCCAGGATGGATTGAATGGAATGATGCAATGGTGGAGAATCATGAGGAGATGTGCATTTGGAGACCTACTCTATTGATAAGACAGGTACCTCGCCATGTGAATAAGCAGGGAAAAAATGTTTCAGGTGGACAGAGCAGCTTATGCAGCAGCACTGAGGCAGGAGAGAACTTAATGTTTGAGGAATCAACAAAAGTTATTGTGGTTAGTATAAACTGTACAAAGGAGAGGTGTAGATTTGAGTATATTTACGAGGCAAAAGTGATCAACCAGAAAATTGTCAGTAGTTACAGGTGGCACTCAGTGTTTAAGGTATCAGCCAAGGATATGCTAGTTTGACATTTCATTTCAGATTATTCCAGAGTCATTGTGGCATTAGAGAGGGTAGTTTTTAAAAACAAGTTATCTTCTTTCTCTTTTGCCCATAGGAAATAAGAGCCTAACTAGTCCACTGCCTCAGTCCTGATGTTAAAAAAATGACAGTAGCCTGCAATATCTGGCAGGTGGAAATTACTGAGAGGGATAATTATTGCTCTTGAAAACTTGCCTAACTGAGCTTTGTGCAACATTTTGGGAGTTCACCAGCAAAGTTTGTGTGTTGACACAGGTGATGATACATGCTGACACTTGTTTGTATTGAAGATTTAGTAGCTTGGTAGGACATGGAAACAATACAGCTCTCCTGTTTCACCAAAGGCTTTTATTTGCTAGGTAGCCTATAACTTAGTGCTCTCTCCTGCTTTCCCTACTAACATAAAGTCATTTGCTTTTAATCCCTTCTATGTTCTATTGGCCAACTTACCTTCAAACACAGTATCGATCATGTCTTTCCTCATCCTCCTTTACTTGTTGTATCAAGTTCCGAATTCATACTCGAAGTCAAAGCCTCAATGACCTCCCACTTTTTCTTCTTCTAAAACCCCAGCCAAAGAATACACTGCAGTTATTTTAATATGTTTAAGACTTAATCCTGTATTCCTCTGTAAATCTTCAACCACCAGCCCAGGCTGGTGCTTTCTTGCACCAGTGGGATAAGCTCAATGACCGTAGAGCATACACGTTAAGACCTCTAGGTGATCGCCAAGAACTTTTCCCACTCAAATATCTAGTGACCTTCTGCCTTTATTCCTTTCTAATACGAGTGTTCCTTAACTGTCTTATGCACCTATGCCTTCTCAGGGTGCTGTAAGACCCTGGGATCAGCGACCTCATCTGTAGATTGTGTTGATCACATCCAGGGCTGAATACTCAACTCTGCTGCAGTCAAAGAGCATCAGATTTGCAGTCAGATCAATCCGGGTTTCAATGCAGCACTCTCACTCACCAACCGTGTGAACTTTGGAAGATTTTATTTCCTTTTTTTTACCTTCCTGAACCTGAAGTTTTTTATTTTTAGTCTTTAGCATTGGTTTTCTCCTGTGCCAGGAGGGTGGTGACGTGAAGGGAGTTGTTATATCATAGCAGATGTTCCACTGGGAATTTTAGAATAAGCAAGTTTTATGGCCACCCTGGTTACTGTTTTTCCTATTCTGAATTTTAGAACCAGTTGATAGAATTTTAATAGGGAGAAAATAATCTGGCAGAAATAGGACTAGGAGGAAATGTGAATTTGTAGAAATGTGCCTGAACCTTAGAGAAGTGTGATCCATCCAGTAGCTAATTACTTATAAGCCACTATCTTCTTGGATCTCTAAATTTCCTGTCCCTAACAAGCACTATCGAACAGATGCATGGTCCAAAGGTGTTCAGTGAAGGCAGCTAATCTTCAAAATTCAGTCTCATTCAAAAATCAGTGGACTGTACCTAAAAATACATTTCCCTTTTAGACAGGAGTTTGCAGTCACAAGTGTTTCCAGTAACCAATTGTTTGAGTCATGATTTGAGTCCTCACCTCCTCCATCCTGTCCACTTCCCCATGTCTGTGTGCCCTTGGGAAGCCCGAGACATGCAGAGATGGCTTGATATGTTCAGGTTCTCACCTCAGGTCTTTGTTAAGAATTTTAGAGTGAGGCAGCTCCAGTTCAAATCTCAACTGTCCTTCACTCACTGGCTTACAAAGGCAAATTATTTTACCTCTTTGAGGCTGTTTCCTCAGATATAAATGAGACAATTTTTATGGGAGCCCAAGCACAGTGCTTGCTTCTCAGTAGGCAGTCAATGGCTACTGGTTTCCTCTCCCAAGAGTGCCACATTTCCTTTCCTTTATTTACCTAGTTTGTCTTGCTACATTATTTCAGTGTCTGTTTATTATGGTGCATAAGAAATGTATACAAAATAGCTTTAAACACATTGTGTCTTATAGTACCCAAAATTATCACAAAGCCTCAATAAAGAAAAATGACATCTAAATTGTTCACATTCAGCAAGTCAGTTTGGTTGGTGGGCAGTGGATATTTGAGTTAGCATAAGTATAATAGATGAGACTCAGCAATTTTCATGTTGCAGTAGCTCTTCACCTACTTCTTGGTCATGTTTTCATTTCTCAATCCCACCTGCATCCTAATAACACAGCTGTCATTACTTTGAGGTACCATTTCTGCTAGCACTATAAGACAGCAAAGTTTCTGTAATAAATGACATCATCTACCCTGAGGGAGATTATTGCCGGTGAGCTCACTCCCTCCCTCCTTCACTCTCTGATTCCTTCACTCACTCACTGACTCCCTCCCTCCCTCCCTTTCTTACCTTCCTCCCTCCCTTTCTCACCTCCCTCCATCTTTTACTCTCTCACGCATTCCCTCCCTCGCTCACTCACTCCTTGCAATCACTCCCTCACTCACTACCTCAGTGTTCTCACTTTCTTATTCATCTTCTCCCTTCCTTCCTCCCTCATTTCCCTCATTACCCTCATTACCTCCCCCATTCACTCCCTCATCCCTCACTCACTCTTTCTGTATTAATACTTTGGGATGCAGTTGACACAGCCTCGTTTCAAATTAGAAAGACCTGTTGCAAGAGGCATCTCTCAGAATGGCTATGCCACTGAGTAGGCTTACTAGTAGTTGGGCTTCAGTAGCAATTGGAACCAACAACTTGAATGCCACCATGTTTTTTTCTCTTTGTGCACATCTTTTCTATTTTTCTTTTTTTGAGACAGGGTCTTGCTCTATTGTCCAGACTGGGGTGCAGTGGCATGATCATGGCACAAGTGATTCTCCTACTTCAGCCTCCCAAGTAGTGCCTGCAGGCTGGTCTCTAACTTGTGGGCTCCAGTGATCTTCCTGTTTGGCCTCCCAAAATGTTGGGTTTACAGGTGTGAGCCACTGTGCCTGGCTCTCTGTGCACTTCTGATTCACCCATATCACTTTCTCTGCAGACCAGCCTCCTCATCTTTTTGGTCTATGTGGCAAAGTGGTCCTACTCCAATAATTTGGGAGAGATACAGTGATGTAGCTTGGATCAGATGCCCATCTTGGGTCAGTCAGCCATGGCCAGGAGGGTTTGATCATGTAAAGACATGGTTGCTCCTTCAAGAATTATATGGCTGGAGTTAGGAGAAGAGCATGGAAGGGTTATGCCGAGCACGGAGTTCCGGAGACATCCACATACCCATCCTGCCATCCTAGGCAGTTGGCTCTTGCTGGGAATACAAAAGAACCCCTCTAAACTGCAGCCAAGTAGTGGGAGACAGATGTGCAACCAAATAAGTGTGATAGAGTGATATTGGTTCTATAGTAATGGAGGTACATGTTAGATAGGAATAAAGAACAGGCAGTCAGTTAGGTTAAGTCAGACACAACTAGCATCCGCGAGTAATGATGGCTAACAGGCCTTCTACAGATACATGAGCCAGTCAAATTGCTAGGTATTCTGGGTCTAGAGATAGCCTTGGCATTTTCCAAGCACAAATATTGTGTTCTTTTTTTATTAGGAGGCCTCTTTATCAGAGTGCCTTTTAAAATTATTTGTTGAGTTTTATTTACAAAGGAAGAATGAAGGACACCTTGACATATTTTTATTTTCAACAACTTGTCATGTTTTAGAGAATTCGGATGATCTAAATTTTAGTTCCTTTGATAGCTCTCTAAACTGTTTTTAAAAGACCTCAAACAAAACCAATCACCACTTTATTTTATAGCTCATATGATCTGGCCCTATACTGTTTTTGTTAATCACAGATTCCTGGTTGTAAGTTGAAGACATTATCTTGTTCTTTGTTAAGGGATGTAGGAGCCTTTGCCTTAGTCTCCATTGTTGCTATAGTGGTGACCTGCAACCTAGCCAGATGTGGGCTCATGTTTAGCTTCCTTTAGTGTGATCTTTTTCAGGCAGTGCATACCAGTCCTTTTTCCATCTCCTAGTACATTGGGTGGACTTTCTTTGTCTTCTTCCACAAATCCCCATCCTTTAAGTATGGGTGCCTCAGGCTGAGCACAGCTTGCTCCAGTCTCATTATTCTTGGCCTTGCCCTTCACATCCATACTTCACCAGAGATTTTCAACATCTTTCATGTCTTCTCTGTACCCTATGTTGCTTGCCCTAACATTTTCAAAAATTAGACTTTTTATTTTCAGATACTTGTAGTTTTGTGCAGTTATAAGAATTAATATAGAAAGATTTCCTGTACCCTTTATCAAGGGTCTCCCAGTGGTAACATCATCTTATGGAACTGTTGCATAATATTACAACCAGTGTATTGACGTTGATACAGTCAAGATATAGAACAGTTACCCTAATGTTTGGCATATAGGTTCCTTCTCATTATTTTTTCTTACTCATTTTTATACTCTTCTCTCCTTGCTCTTCTTACTTATATGTTCATTGACCCAGGGATTAGTTAACTCGAGGGTCCTACAGGTTTTACCTTCTCTTTGATAAGTTGGCTAAACCCTAATGTTGTTAGAGTTTCTAACGGTAGTAACTATTCATCTTGAAACGATTTGCCTGGAAAAAATATCATTTAGATGGCTCAAATTGGCCTTAAAATTCATGTGAAGACCCAGCCTTCTGGAGCTCTGCTTGCCTTAATTTCAGACAGGTCACATGAAGATGAAGAGTGTGGGGGGCTGGTATGGTACTAGTCCTTTGAGACTCAAGAGCCCTAATCAAAAGTAATTTCCCCCTAAAAGGACAGTTCTGCACAGAGGATGTGGATGAATGCCTGCTGCAGCCCAATGCCTGTCAAAATGGGGGCACCTGTGCCAACCGCAATGGAGGCTATGGCTGTGTATGTGTCAACGGCTGGAGTGGAGATGACTGCAGTGAGAACATTGATGATTGTGCCTTCGCCTCCTGTACTCCAGGCTCCACCTGCATCGACCGTGTGGCCTCCTTCTCTTGCATGTGCCCAGAGGGGAAGGCAGGTAGGTAGCAGAAGGACGGATCTAGAAACAGGGAAGGGGCAGGGGGCATTCAGGACTCTGCCTTCTCTTTCATCCCAAACAGCATATTCTTTGAGTTACCATCTATGGGAACATATCACTCAGGACTGTTCCAGAAATGTAACCTGCTAGCCAAAGTGCTATGAAGATAATCTTCCTCTTTAGGACTTTAGGCTCTCTTCTCAACTCTACATACTTTAGTTTTTCATTCCAAAAAAGGAAAGTTAGTAACTATTGTCTTTGGAACATCTGCTGAAGTCCTTAAGATCTTAGACTGAAAAGCACCTCAGCTATTAAGATAAAATGGCTAATAAATGGATCCACAGGCTTCATTTTAAGAAGAAACCATCTATTTACTCAGAAGAAGTTGGCAGGAGAGAAACATTTAAGTGCCTTCTAACCCTCAATGTCTATGAAAATATTCCCCTCAGGGAAGATTTTTACATGCTACAAAGTTAACATTGCTCTAGCCTCTCAATTTAACAACTACTAGTTCTAGGAGAAGGAGAGCAATGTAAGGAGGAAGGTGATGGGAGAAGATAATTTAGCTGGGAGAACTTTCTGCCCAGCAGTTTTGAAATGTTCTTTCATGGAGGCCTTTCCAAAAGCTCTAGCTCCAGCTTTGTGGAAGAAGCTTTAGTTACCTCTTCTTAAGTTAATTGCAGACTGGAAAATCCAGTTCCCATGTGAACTATATAAAACAGGAAGCCTAGTAATATCTTCAGAGACCTGGGGCCACCTGAATCAGGAATGTTGATGCTATTAAAAGATTACTCTAGTAGAGGCTGATGGTGTTCAGGTGGCCCCATGATCATCAGGTAGCATAATATTGGGGAAGTAGGATTCCGGATAAAATATAGGATGTATGGAATATTTGAGACATACTAAAAATTACTTCTTGTTTATCTAAAATTCAACTGGACATCCTCTATTTTATTTGCTAAATCTGGCACACTATCTGGAAGATAGCTCCACTTTCCTGTCTCCGTCTTCTTATCTTCTGGCCTGTAGATGTCTCTGTCCTGGAGGAGAGGTCTAGCTGAGAGCTCAGGGTCAGAGTCTAGGGTTGCATCTAGGTGCTTTGCTGGTGGCCAAGCATGTCCCCAAGGTAGGGTCAGGCAAAGCAGAAGTTGCGTATAAATCTCCATGTTGGATTCTGAGGAACTGATCATGAGGTTTTCCCTCCTGGGTGAAAGAGAAAGCTCTTCCCCAAGTGAGAGACATTTTCTCTTAGTTGTCCTTTGCCCCACCCTGTGACAGGTCTCCTGTGTCATCTGGATGATGCATGCATCAGCAATCCTTGCCACAAGGGGGCACTGTGTGACACCAACCCCCTAAATGGGCAATATATTTGCACCTGCCCACAAGGCTACAAAGGGGCTGACTGCACAGAAGATGTGGATGAATGTGCCATGGGTGAGTAAGCAGAACTTTTTCTGTTCTGTGAAGTGTCTGTTGAGCTCAGCAAATGTTTAAACTGAAGCACATTTTACTGTAGAAGCAAATTACATACACCCAAACCTCAGATTACTCTTGCTACATGGCCAGTGTTTACAAGTGACCTTTCAGCATAGCCATAACCATATATTCCATTCTGGGGATTAACTGTATGAAACGTATGTACTTGATTCTTAATATAAAGCCCTACCTCAATGACAGTTTGGGCAGAAACTGCAATAGCAGAAATGCATAACAGTTGAGGATACTCCGCTTTTATTTCTTTTTAAATTAAGGAAAAAAAAATAGAAAATTGGGAATGATATTATTGAAGGCCTGGCCCTGATGCTATAACCATCAGATGCTCTTCTATTGTTCACATTTGTGGAAACTCAACTGCTTTGATCCCAGTAATTGGTACTTGTGTCTTTCAGCCAATAGCAATCCTTGTGAGCATGCAGGAAAATGTGTGAACACGGATGGCGCCTTCCACTGTGAGTGTCTGAAGGGTTATGCAGGACCTCGTTGTGAGATGGACATCAATGAGTGCCATTCAGACCCCTGCCAGAATGATGCTACCTGTCTGGATAAGATTGGAGGCTTCACATGTCTGTGCATGCCAGGTAAATGGGCCCATCAGCATGTTGGGTCTAGAGAGGAGGGACTGTTCTGAACTTCTCTTGGTAGAGCATTCAGTATACTATTGCAGTCTGATGAGCTCTGTCAGCATTTGATTTCCTTTGCTGACTGGGGACTAGAGGAAGTCAGGGTTCACAAGCAAACCTTCCTTACTCAAAGAGTAAGGCAGTGCTAGAATTCATCAAGCTATGTAGACCAAATTAAACAAGCCTGTTATATCAAAATCCACATGTAATAGAAAATTTCAAAAATGATTTACTGTAAGAATCCTTTAAATAGCAAGTTTTCCTGATACCTTCATGTAATTACAAATACCATACCATTCCATTTATATAAATAAATTTTATCCACAATTATATAGGAAGTTTCCATTTATCTAAAGTGCAGTACATGTTTAGTTGTATTCTGGAGCTCTTCTGCATAGACCATGTCTTTAATTTTGAGAGGATACAGCCAAATCCAGCTTGAAATGATGGCTAACATTGGCTGCTCTGCCTGATTAAGGCTGCCGGCCACTCCAGCCTTGAAAGGCACTGCTGACCTTGAACTGCACCCTGAAGGCAACAACAGCTCCAGCTCAGCTTGTCTTTAGGAACATAGAGTGGGGACATTTTGGGCCTTCCACAGTCCAGAAAGTATGGATTTATCACAGAAAATGTGGAGCAGTCCTTGTTTATATGCTAGGTCTTGCCAATGTCTTTTAATGTAATCCCTTCCCGCTTTTCACAGTGACATGGGTATTTCACAGTATGCCCTGTCCTGCTTGACACTTGGAGTGACTATTTCTCATCATGGCAGAGTTCCTTTTTTCTCTGCAGAAATGTGTGTACTCGCAAAGGATGTAGTTATCATTGCAAATTTGTGCTTCCTTGTCTGGAATACACCTTTCTCTCTCTTTAAGCCACTTGTGTGGTCTGTTTTGTTTAGGTTTCAAAGGTGTGCATTGTGAATTAGAAATAAATGAATGTCAGAGCAACCCTTGTGTGAACAATGGGCAGTGTGTGGATAAAGTCAATCGTTTCCAGTGCCTGTGTCCTCCTGGTAAGTGCCCACGACCTGGCCCTGTTTTCTCTTAAAGCACAAAGCCAACTGACCACAGGGAAGAGAGCAGGGAGAGAATGTGTGTGGGCTGTGCATGAGGAAATCATTAGAGTAAGTGCTTGGTGATAGGAGTGTGTGTGTACAGAAATAGAGAATTTGTTTTAGCTACTATATCTTACAAGTCCTTTGTGGCCAAAAGTCCAAGTCTATTCTTGAATGGCCCATGACCTCTTCGTCTGTGTATATATTTCAGAATGCTCATACCTCACAGAAGCCTTAGTTGTAGGCTATTCGGGATTTTATTTTTTTCCCATGGGTCATATTCTTGAAGGCCCTCTGTGAGACTGTTATTTTTAGACATTTCACCCATGAGTTCAGAAACAGACAACACATGCCAATTTTTCCAAGATTCTCTGTCTCTCCTTTTTTTTCCTCAAGCTATTTTTGAAGATATGCCAAATTGTCCTCCATAGATTGCATCTTACCCCATTGTATCTTCAGAGAGAAGGTTTCTGTTGCCTCTGAAGCTACAGTTACTTGTTTGAGGTTCCACCTATAAATTTCACTTCCTACATCCTTCATTTAGAAGTGAAGTCTGTCTGTGAAGAAGCAATGGTAGAGACACACCACAAGTGCCTCTGATTCCCTGAGTGTCACCTGGTTATTCCAGTTACCTGTTGGGGAGAATAATAAAGCATAGGCTTATTGACCCATTGGTATAAGCCCTGCTAGTAACCTAACATCATTCTCATGGTAAAGGGAGACACAAGATAATCCTTTGACTCATGTTACCACTGTCCCTTTTTGAGGTTTCACTGGGCCAGTTTGCCAGATTGATATTGATGACTGTTCCAGTACTCCGTGTCTGAATGGGGCAAAGTGTATCGATCACCCGAATGGCTATGAATGCCAGTGTGCCACAGGTAAGATTCTTCTCACTTTTCATCTCCTTGGTAGGTCCATCTGAACAAAATAGGGTGATTGTCCCTGTCCTCTGCTAGCTGCTGTGCCAGGCCAGTCCACTCCCAGAGGCTCCTCTGTGTTTAGGAAGAGCTGTTTCTAACAAATTTTTTGCTGCTCTCTTTTTCTGCAGCACCTGCCTCCTCCACCACAACAGTGGTCTGGCCCAGATATTTCCATTTGGTATCCATGTCTTTCTGGGACAGATTTTGGCAGCAGTAAGTTTCCAGCTGGCTAGATTGACTCATTTAGGAAAGAGAAGAAATCCAGTTGAAAGCTATTTTTCACTGGGGCTTCTCAGCAGGAGGCCTGGCTCTGTGTTTCTTGAAGCAAGTGACTGAAAGAAGGCCCAGAAATTTAAAGGCTGAATGTGTACAAGTGCAGGGGTATTCTGCATAAAAGACACCAAAATAGGATTGAGAGTCAAGTGTGTAAATGACAGGAGAGAGAGCTCTCACTGGGAAAGTTTGGGTCCTCTTTGCTGACTTCTGCAACTAGAGTCAAAAACGATCTGTGCACAAATATTCTGCATTTCTGGGTTTGTAATCACATTTTGTACTTGGGATTGGATTTCAGTAAGCCAGATGTTCCCTATTACACATTTCCTTTTACACAGGCAAATATTATACAGAAAGGCTAGAAATTATTAGAAGTGAACTTCTTTATTATCTGACTGCTTGAGAAAGAAGTTATTTATGTAATTCAAGACATTAATTTTAGAGAATGGAGTCTTAAAGATTAAAGGCATCATGCATATAATTTATTTCTGATCACAGAAAAGCAAATTTAATTGTGAAAATTAATACAAAAAGTTAATATTTTAATTATTAGACCTACTTAGTTTAGGACAACTCAGATGAGCCACTTTCTTTCTTTTTGCAAATAGTTAATGCTTGTCAGAGAATCCAGATTTTGTCTTCCCCTGGCCAGATTCTTCTTGTAGAGGATAAGTTTCAAAGAGATTAAAAACCTTTAGCTCAGGTTTAAAAGTGGGGGGAGGACTCCTGGAGTCTTTTAGGGAAAGATATAATGTTTGTCTATTTACACCTCGAAGAAAGGAAATCTTACTTGTCTCTTTTTCTTTTAAATTCTCATAACAGGTTCATTCATTTTATTCAACCAGTATTTATTTAAAACTACTATATATGCATACTACTCTCAGAGGAGTTGAGAGAAGTAAAATAAAGCTCTCTTACCTCCAAAGTCAGAATTGGGGACATAAGATACATGAAATCATTAACCTGTATATTGGACTTGGGAAGAAAGAAATACAAAGATAAATATATAAAGGAAAAATATTTTGAGCTGTTATACCTGAAGCCTAGTAAGAAATGAAGGTGCAGTTAAAGCATCTCTGCAATGAAATTATTGATCAGTTGCGAAGGTATTTCAATTCTAAAATTTGATTTGGAAATCTTTATTTTAAGCACCTCTCTCCAGGCATACTTTCTAAATCAATGCAGATCGTCGTTTTCTACTGCTCAAGACCTGCAGTATTAATTGACCACACATCGAATGTGTAGAGTAAATGGATGTAGCTACACTTGTGTTCTGGTGTGGAATATCTGCCTTGGTCTTTGAGAATCCTTGATAAAATTCTTTCCAAAGGTTTCACTGGTGTGTTGTGTGAGGAGAACATTGACAACTGTGACCCCGATCCTTGCCACCATGGTCAGTGTCAGGATGGTATTGATTCCTACACCTGCATCTGCAATCCCGGGTACATGGGCGCCATCTGCAGTGACCAGATTGATGAATGTTACAGCAGCCCTTGCCTGAACGATGGTCGCTGCATTGACCTGGTCAATGGCTACCAGTGCAACTGCCAGCCAGGCACGTCAGGTAAGCCCACTCTGTTTATGTTTGGTATGGGGTTTTCACTGTTTCTCAAATCTGTTTACACAGATGTTTCAGACTGTTGGCATATGCTCAGATACCTAAAAAACAGTCCTGATTCTGAGAAGCACAGCCAAAGCCACAAACATAAATGTCTCAAGGCAAATGGCCCTAGCCAGTGGAGAAGTCAGAGACAATAGCTCTGCCAATCTGATGATTTTGTGTGTGTGTTTGTGTGTGTTTTGTTAAATAGAGGCATACCACTTCAAAAATTAAAATTAATGATTTAAAATTGAAAACCCTCTTTTTTGTGGCTATATTATCTTTTTTTCTTTAAGTTCCACCCCACCCAGATTAATAAATTCAGTCCTTCCTTCCTTCCTTCCTTCCTTCCTTCCTACCTACCTTCCTTCTTCCCTTCTTCCCTTCCTTTAATGTATTTTCTCTTTCACAGTTCAGTCTCTTTATTGTGACATGTTTCTTCAGTCACTTGTCTCTGGTGGGGCCTTAGCCATCTTGGGGGATTCTAAGGAAGAGGAGATACCTTACAACACACCACAGTAACTAAAGTAGAACGCAGAGCTGTCATTTCCTATCCTCGGAGTTCATCATTGTTCTCTGACCTTGGTTGAATGACTCCTTGTTGGTCGTGAGGACATGCTGCTCCTTTCTGGGGGGATGTGGAATTATTTTCTCAGGCAGCAGCATCTCACAGGTTTGGATGGTTCTGTTTTACTTATTAGATGAATGATTATGGTCACAACTATGGTTAGTGGACAGAGATGTACTATGTTCCAGATCAAAGGAAAATGTATTAGTGGAAGATTAACCAATGTGTGCCTTTGTTAGAAGGAAACCTGCCAATATAAAGGAGTGATTTATTGAGAACTCATTCTGGATGTAAGGAAAATGACCTATGTAGAGAGCAGAGGTGGAGAGGGTAGTTAGCTACCCTCATTTTCTTTTACTGTTTCCAAATCCATTTCTTCAAATTTGTCAAAGGCTCTGGTCTTTACCCAAGGCTTCATACATGCCAAGTTTGAAAACAAAGTCCTTTTTGAATTGCTCAAGCATACGAAAAACATCCCATGCCGTCACAGCTGAAAATGCCTTTCCCTCCCCACATTTAGATAACTCACTAAAAGGGCTGAATAGATCTTTGTGAAAACTTCCAAAAGCAATTTGCTTCCGGGCTGTTCCTCAGACATGAGAAATTATAGTAGGAAAAGAAATTTGAGAGATTTACAAGCAATTGACTGGATGTCTTTAGAATCGAGGGGCTTTAGACTTTGCTATCATTCCCATCATAATAAACATACTGGAAACCTGGGTGAGTGGTGGGTTGGCAAGCACTTTGTTTTCTCTGGCATTATATCATTATACCAGGATATATCAGGTGTTTTCTGGGGAGGACAGAGAGGGTATGGTATAAGTAGCTGTCACTGAGAAGGTGAGAAGTCAATATGAGTGATCTGTAGGCAGCATGGAAAGGAAGGCCCGGAATCTGTCAGAACCTGCCAAAGATGTTCCTGCAGTTATTTGGAGAATTAAAGCAAGCAACGGTCAGACAACATTAAAAAAATGTTGATCTGTAATGGGTGGAGAAAGACCTGGCATGTATCAGGGACCTGGGTGGAAAATCCATTAAAAGAGGCATTATGAATAGAGTCTGAAGTTCTAGAGTAAGAATTCCTGTTCCACTTATATGGCCTAAGTTGGTAGTTTGGTGTTTGGATAGGGGAGTGGATGGAAGAAATATTTTACAGTTTGTCAGCTAAAATTGTGGTAGTCACTCACTGGGTACTTAAAGTGAGATATACTACCCAGAGTTACCTTCAGTGCGTTCTCTCATCTGTGCTTTTATGATAGTAAAGTTTTAAGTAAGTTTCTTTGTGTTTCAAGTAACAGACCAACTTGAGCTAGTTTAAGTCATCATTTACAAAAAATAAACAACAACAAAACAAAGAAACAGAAAGAGCTTAGCGAAAGCACCCAGAGCCTCTTATAGATTCCAAGCAATTGAATAATAAGGCTTTGGAGAAAAGAATAGGAAACTGGGCATTTGTAGACCAGAGGTCACACAGTCTGTGTTTCAGTGTTGTAATGAGAGAATCTCATTGGCCTGGCTTGATCCAGGCATCTTTTCCTACTCAAATAAACCATGGACAGGGGGCTGGAGTCACATTGGATCATCAGGGCTTCATTGGGAGGGGGTGCTGCCTTCTTAGTTTGAGGGTAAAGCAGGGTTGTCAGTCAAGGGTTAGAAACATCTCCTAAAGGTATCCACTCCTCTGCAGGGAATATGGAAATCTTTCCCTCATTTATGGCTAATTAGGCAGTATAGCCTCATTAATCATGGGATGACAGTACAGTGTGGTGGAAAGAGGATGCTGTGGAGCCACACAAACAGGGTTCAGAGCCCAGCTTTCCTGCCCTAATGGTGGCACTGTGCAGGTCAGCCCTGTTGTCTGTAAAATGGGTGTAACACAGACTAATGTGCAGGGTGGGTGACAGGGTTAGAGAAAACTTACATGACAGGCAAAGCAGCGTACTTTGCTCATAGAACTCAATAAACTGTTCCTCTGTAATTATTATTAATAAACATTATTGCAGAGTATGGGCACAGTGGCTCATACCTGTAATCTCAACATTTTGGGAGGCCGAGGTGGGACGATTGCTTGCGCCTGGGAGTTTGAGACCAGCCTGGGCAACATAGCAAAACCTCGTCCCTACAAAAAATAAATAAAAATTAGCCAGGTAAGGTGGTACACACCTGTAATCGGGAGGCTGAGGTGGGGGGATAGCTTGAGTCAGGGATATTGAGGTTGCAGGGAGCTGTGCTCGTGTCATTGCTCTCCAGTCTGGGTGACAGATCAGGACCCTATCTCTGAAAAAAAAGAAAGAAAAACAAAGTATGAGTGAATCACAAGTATGGCATTTTATCCTGGATGTTTTGTTTTCTTATATTCTCATTACCAGTTTTTATTTTTAGTCTTTTTAAACTACCAAAATATTATTCTGTGATACTCAGAAAGCATCACTAAATTCATACAAAAATAAAAAGTAAATATTGTTACCATTATTTGTAAAGAGATATTTGTGAAATATATTACAAATATATTTCACAAATATCTCTTTACAAATAATGGTAACAATAATGATTGTATACTGTTAATATAACCAAACTCTTCCATTCATCTGGGCAGTAGAGCAAAAATAAGGCAGCTTACCTCAGGAGGAAGTTACTAGACTCAAGATTTATCCTGAAATTTAGCCTACAATACTGACAGGCAGTGTCAAGCTCACAGTGATAGATACAAATTCCAAAATCCTAATTTTGATTTGAAAGCTTAAGTTTTATCTTTGGCAAAAATACTGTCAATTTGCTTTTCCTCAAAATGACAGGTTTGCTGCTTTCACTTAATATTTGCTAAATACTCAATTCTGATTAACCCTGGTTTGCCTGTCAGTTGCTCTTTCAATTAAAATGGGGTTTCATGAAGAAAGCAGCTATTTCAACTCACAGCTCAAACAATAGCATTATAGCTCTTCCTGGAGACAACTCTCATACTTGGCATGCCACAGAAATGCTTTATGTATACTTCCATTTCATCACATGGAGTAGTAGACATTACTCAAGGTTCGAGATTTATTAAAATTATAAAGTTACTAATTTTAACTTCCAACAAAGCCACTCTTGAGTGAAACTGGCGTTTTTGCTTGTTTAACTGTGGCATGTGGAGGTGAGCAGTAGAATAATTATAGTACAGTCTGGTTCTACTGCCTTGATTCATGCTGATGTGATCGGTTTCACCCCATTGCCTCTGCACCATCAGTTTGAATGTTAGCACAGTGAAAAGGAAAGATCATGGCTAAGTATGATTAATAAAATCCTTTGGACCTCCTGTATCTTCCTGAACGAGTCTGTGGACTGCATTTTGAGAACTTCTGCTTTATTCTGTCCAGGGTTGGCTGGAATTCACCTTAGATTTCTTACCACGTTGCTGCATCACAAGCAGAAAGCCTTAGTATTTCTGTGGTAACATTGAATGGTTTCCGTTGGGTTTTCTCTTCCAGGGGTTAATTGTGAAATTAATTTTGATGACTGTGCAAGTAACCCTTGTATCCATGGAATCTGTATGGATGGCATTAATCGCTACAGTTGTGTCTGCTCACCAGGATTCACAGGTAAAGCTCCTTTTACTGCAAGGCCCCTCCTTCAGCCCTATCACTTTGGGAATATAGCATCCAAAGGAATATTGCTTTTCAAGTGTTTCCTATTTCTTTGTCACTCTGGAGGGTTAGTAGTCTGTTTCTCTGCTTCTCTAGATCAGTTTTCTGTTCACAGACCTTTTCTAAACTGAAACATACTTTTCATTAATTAGAGTTTTTCGATTATGTGTTTATTTGCTGCCAGAAAATAATTCCTAGACAGACCATAAATTGCCTTTGCTTTGCTTGAGTTACATTGCTTCCAAAGCTATGTTTATTGATTACAGGTAGTAGTCAAGGCCTTCCGTAAAGACATATTCAAGGTAAAATCTTATGAAAATACTGAATGCTTGCTTCTGGGTACCTCCTCTTTGACATACTCAAGGTAGAATTCTGTGAAAATACTGAATGCTTATTTCTGGGTACTTCGTCTTCTGAAATATTGTTGGATGAGGTCAGAGCTTGGGGAGACCACCCTAATTTGGGTAGCATGAGAGAGATCTTTCTGCCCAGGAGGAAGAAAGTAAATGGCTAGAAGAATTTTGAATATAACTTCTCTTAAAGTATGAACAGCCTAGGCATTTACACATACACACATGTGCGTGTACATGCACACGCACACACAGACACACACACACACACACACACACACATCTTCTCTCTCTTTACTTGTCAATATTACCTTTATCTTTTACCCTCCTGATCAAAAAGTGCTAGAGGCTACTACTGCAGAAACCTGAGGCCCCTCACTGACACACCTGAGTTTCTTCTTGGCATCATCAGAAGGCACACACTGTACATTCTGTTCTTCCTGGACAGTGACACACAGAAGCAGCCACTAACATGTTACCCTTTAATAATTTCCATGTGGTTGTTTGTACTCGAATGTGAGAAACACCCTTCAGAGTTTTTGATAGAGTCTGCAGAAAGCAGCCAGAGCAAAGTGAAGTGAATGTCCACCATTCATTTGCCAAGAATGTACTTTGTTCTCTATTTCACAAGAATTTCTCCTATTTGGTATGATTGTGGACATTAGAAAGGAAAGTTTGCACCCAAATGGGTCACAGTGATCCCTGTTCAGTGAAAGATCACTGAGAAGCAAAATCTGATGAAAACTGTCATACCCAATGCCCAGTGCTGCTGTAGTAGCCTGATGTTCTGCATCCTGAAACTTGTTACTCCAAGATCAAGTGGCAGTCGAGTGAATACACAAAAATCCCTGCTAGATAGGATAATAGGTACATTGTTGATAAGTGGGTAATACAAAGAGAATAGGTAACATTTATGAAGAACTAATTTTGAGCTAGGCACTAAATTGTCAATTGTCACCGACGTTGAGAATACCTACAGAATAAGAAACCCAGAACACAGAGATGTTAAGTAATGTTACCAGTGCACAGCAGCCAGAATTACATCCCAGGCAATCTGACCCCTGAGCCCATGCTCATTCCCACTACACTGGACATCCTGATTAGGGGCCTGTTGTGTGTGTGTGTGTGTGTGTGTGTGTGTGTGTGTGTGTGTGTGTGTGTGTGTGTTTATATAAGGCTTCTACTGGACTCATTTTTTTCAGAATGCCAATGAATCATATTCTTTCTCTTTTTAATATTCAGCAAACCAGGAAGGCCAAGAAGGGAGAACATAGGCTAAAAATATTCTAAAATAAACCTAAGGTGTAGCATGAAACCTTATAAGCAAGAAATGGAATGTTTTGGTTACTAGGTGGTCCCCTGTTCATGGAACTGTTGCCTATGTCTGAGATGATTTTTTTAATCAGCTGCTAAAAACATTAGAGATGACTGTGGTATATACTCATGAGTGGTAAATGTGAGGAGTTTTATTCTTGCTCTTGTTTTATTTTAATATATTTTTCCCATATCATTCTAATAATAGCTTTGACAGCTTTAAAGGGGATTTTTTTGTTTTAATACTAAGTTATCTGTTCTCTTAGAACCTTTTTAAATGGGGGAATGTAAGGAATTATGTGATACTTCTATAAACTGCTTTTCAGTTTTACAAAGCACCTTCATGCCCATTATCTTCCTGAATTCTCATAACAATCCAGAAAGGAAGTTCTACTATACCCGTTTAACAAATAAGGCAACTGAGAGACAGACCTTGATGTATATACTCATGGCCTCTGCCAGTGAGTTGCATAGTGAGGACTGTGAGTTCCCAGAAGGCAGAGACCTCGTTTAATCATCTTTATAGCAAGTGTCTAAAGCAATGTCTGGCACGTAGGAAACGCTTAGTGAATGTTGCTGAATGAACGAATGAATGGGACTCAAATATAGCGCTTTTGCTAGCTAATGCCAGACTCTGAAGTGTGGACTATACCATGTTTTCATTTATTAAACACCAATTTATTGAGTGCCTAAGTCAGAAGAAACACTGGGTAACTTCTCATTTTAGTTACCTAGCCCAAAAAATTTCTTGGCCTTCCACTGGACTTTCCTCATGCTCAGTGGAAACTCCTTGAGGGTAGGACCTTCCTGATGGAACAGCTGTCAATCAACATAGTGGACTGCATTTAATGCTTTCAGATAAAGATGGCTTGAAAATTTATTCTGCAAAGAATAAATTTAAAAGCAAATAAAGAAAACTTGGGAGGAGTGGCTTCTGAGGAGACGCTTCCAAGAAAAGACCAAAAATGAAGAAACCTTTTTCCTGTTATCCTTCACTATATTACGGGCCGAGGCTAACTGTGTGGTTGAAGAGCTCTGGTTCATATTTTGGTGCCACTGACAAACAGCTCAAAGAATCAGTGGTTGAGGCCAAGGAAATAGTATTTAAAAATAAGCTATTAATAAAACACTTAAGAGGAAAACAGCAGCCACTTCCAGATTATGGGTTTTTACCACAAGAACCACCAATGATGGTTTAGAGAGCAATGGAGGGTGAAAAAATGTGAATACTCATACTTCATAGGAGTGGGTATCTGTTTCATTTGGAATGTCCTATTCTAAATACAGGATTGCTCTTTCTTAAATGAGAAAAATGCATGTTTTCAAAATCAGAATCAGAACATTGTGTTCTTTGAAATATATAAATTCATAGCAGTTGCTTGATGCCACTCATTTATAGAATTATAGGTAATTTTAACATTTCATATCATTTTGGAATATATAGTTAAATCTCAGTTACTCAAAATGTAACAAATGGAAACACTTGTATAACTGACCCGTATTACTTTATTCAGCCTAAGAAATATCAAGGTTATAGCAGACATCTTTTTAAAGAGCAATCTTGGCTATGTCTTGGAGGAGCAACATATTCACTTCAATTTCACTTACTCCCAGTATCCACATTGTATGATGATGATAAGTAATAATTGTCTAGAACAGAATTTCTCAAAATCTAGTTTTTACACCACCTACATTTAAAAAAATATGGTTTGCTAGATTCTATTCATCACAATCTATGGTGATAGGGCCTAGGAATCTCCACTTAAAATAACAACTTAAAGTGATGATTTTGCACATTAAAGTTTAAGAACCATAGGTCTGCAGTGACAGACTGCATTATTTTCTCTAATATCAGAAGACAACAAAATTATACTTTGAGACTCTACTTCCTGAGGTCAAAAAAAATGGATTAATAGACTCTAAGAATGAAAACAAAATAACCTTTCTTTACAATCAATTTAATTATTGAATTAAGTTACTAGCCCATTCATTAAGCATTCCAGTTAATTTGGATTTACCATAAATAGAAATGTAAGAGGCTGAGAAAATGAATTTGTGCTAAACCGGCACAAAGCATGTTAATGAATGCTTCTTTGAGTTGTACTCAGGGCAGCATTAAGAAGAGAAGCCTTCTTTGGTAACATTTGACATTCTCTTCTTAGAACCTTGTGAAGTTTCCCCATTTCTGAGTTGAAAGAAAATGCCAAATTGCTATAACACTTTTCCAGCCTTTTGTTAACTTTCCTTGATTATCAAAAGTCAATGCTCTTTGCTCCTTTGCATGGCATTAAGTGTTATTGGGTGTCTAATTCCTTACATCTTGACATTTGGTGCCTCAAGGCACCTTATGGCCTGAGCAGATGAAGGATGTCAACATAACGTGTCTTATAGTTCTGGGTCTATTTCCTAAGCATTTAGGATGTGACTAACACTGTCCCCCTTCTCCACAGGGCAGAGATGTAACATTGACATTGATGAGTGTGCCTCCAATCCCTGTCGCAAGGGTGCAACATGTATCAACGGTGTGAATGGTTTCCGCTGTATATGCCCCGAGGGACCCCATCACCCCAGCTGCTACTCACAGGTGAACGAATGCCTGAGCAATCCCTGCATCCATGGAAACTGTACTGGAGGTCTCAGTGGGTGAGTAGCTGCCCCATGTGATAGTTTCTTATTGACCTGTGTTAAGCCAGTTGGCTTGTAGTACTGGTGACAGCCTGAAGTTGTCAAATGGGGCTTTGAGCTGAAACTTTGCTGAAGATTTGGTAGTCTGCATCAAAGCCTTCTGAATTACCATTTAATCCATGGAAGCTGGCCCCTCCCTTCCATAAGTGAGGACCTAGATGGAACATAAGGAGGAATGTCTCCCTTATATGGGTCATTAGCAAGGACCTCATGGGAGGAACCCATACTCATTGTATGAATCTTTGGCAGTTATGTTTTTAGTATGTATTACTGGAATGATTTCTGAAGAATGTTCTAGCTTTTGATTTTTTTTCCCCTGCTTAAACATAGCTCAGCTCTGTTCTGTCACAGTGCCAGTGTGTGCTCTGAAGTAGGGCCGCTTCAGCCAACTTTAGAAATGTCCCTGATAAAACATTTGCAATTTTTAAGCCCCACAGACTTGTGTGATGTGTTAGTGATTTTCTAGAATCATAGAGTGACCTTAGGTCTCACGAGACGCTCTTATACTCTTGCTGCATTTGCCATAGGATATGGCTTTGGACATTTTCCTTTGCCAAACTTTGAAAGATGAAAGGATAAAGAGTGTTTAGTGGCAAATAGTAAATAAAGTTATTTAAAAATTAATTAACTCAGTATTGGTGTTTCAGAGTATAGCAGCCTTCAAGGCACCCTTATCCATCTCTCATTTTCTTAAAATTCTCCCGATAAGAAAGCTATCATTTCCTGATATCACATTCTAAGTGTTAGTGATGTTCAAATTGGAGATTATATTTACAATTCAAATACCTTCATTCCTGTGCCTTTTCCTGCAGAATACCCTAGGTGCTTTCTGAAGCCAAGTGTTAGGTCAAGACAAAGCATGACTTAGATATGAAATATCCCAGGAGCATCTTAGAGTGGCTCAGGGTCCCTGACAGTGACCTAGGTATCTATTTGGCACCAAAAACTAATGATCTTAATGTTTGCTTTACTTTAGTTTTATGTATAATAACATACATTGTGCAGATTTATCCATGATATTGTTTCCTTCAGAGTGGCCCAATATATTGTAGAAACCATTGTTTACATAAGAAATTTCATTATAATTTCACTAACTTAGTGAGCCAGGAAAGCACCAAGAAGGTTTCTTTACTGGATACACCTGATAGGGCCACATGGTACACACCATGTGCAAGGTGATGCAAGGATAGTTCCATGAAAGTAGAAATGAGATCAGTTTACCCCATTTCTTCACCAAGTCCTGTATTTCACTCTATGACTCAATCATACGTTTATACCTCCTATAGTAAAAAGTTTTGTCTTCTTTCAGATATAAGTGTCTCTGTGATGCAGGCTGGGTTGGCATCAACTGTGAAGTGGACAAAAATGAATGCCTTTCGAATCCATGCCAGAATGGAGGAACTTGTGACAATCTGGTGAATGGATACAGGTGTACTTGCAAGAAGGGCTTTAAAGGTGAAAACAAAAGTACATCTTTCTGCGTCTGCTCTTTGTCTTCTTGTTGTTGCATACTGCTTGACTCACTTCTTAGTTTCCTTTTCTCTTTTTCATTCATTCGTGTAACAAACATATTGAGCAATTAGACTTGTAAGGCACTTGGGGAATAAAAACATGAATAGATACAATTTCTACCTTCAGCCTAGCAGAGAGGTGACCTATTGAAATAGTAATTTTTTTTTTTTTTGACACAGAGTTTTGCTCTTGTTGCCCAGGCTGGAGTGCAATGGTGCGTGATCTTGGCTCACTGCAAGCTCTACCTCCCGGGTTCAAGCCATTCTCCTGCCTCAGCCTCCCTAGTAGTTGGGATTACAGGCATATGCCACCACACCCGGCTAATTTTGTATTTTTAGTAGAGACGGGGTTTCTCCATGTTGGTTAGGCTGGTCATGAACTCCTGACCTCAGGTGATCTGCCCACCTCGGCCTCTCAAAGTGCTGGGATTACAGGCGTGAGCCACCGCACCCAGCCTGAAATGGTAATATTTAAGATGAGCAGTTAAGACTCCAGTTTTACAGCATTGGCCAAGTGTCTAATTATAAGCTTCCTGGTCCAGGTTTGAGTCTATGATAGTTCAAATAGATATATGGAAGTAGAATGAAAATATTATGCTTACTATAATTAAGATAGTAGTAATATCAAGGAAGAATCCACATGTTCAGAACTCTTTCAACAAACTTTTTAACACATTGAGATATTCTTAGTTATTTAGTCATCTTTGGTCTACACCGGAGGTCCTCAACCCTCAGGCTACAGACCAGTACCTGTGTGTGGCCTGTTAGGAACCAGGCCACACAGCAGGAGGTGAGCAGCCAGTGAGGGAGCAAAGCTTCATCTGTATTTATAGCCACTCCCCGTCACTCACATTACCGCCTGAGCTCTGTCTCTGTCAGATCAGTGGTGGCCTTAGATTCTCATAGGACTGCGAACCCTATTGTGAACTCCACATGTGAAGGATGTAGATTGTGCGCTCCTTATAAGAATCTAGTGCCTGATGATCTGTCACTGTCTCCCATCACCTCCAGATGGGACTGTCTAGTGGCAGGAAAACAAGCTCAGGGCTCCCACCAATTCTACATTATAGTAAGTTGTAAAACTACTTCATTGTATATTACAGTGTAATATTATAATAATAAAAGTAAAGTGCACAATAAATGGGATGTGCTTGAATCATCATCCTAAAATCATCCCCCCAACCCCGGATCATGGAAAAATTGTCTTCCACGAAACCAATCCCTGGTGCCAAAAATGCTGAGGGACTGCTGGCCTACCCAACAAATGGATAGTCATGGGAATTGTGTAAAATCTGCTTCTGAGTTATCACTGTTATATTTCTACCATCAGTTTTCTCTTGGAAACTCACAAAAGAGAGCCGTGTGGGTAAATCATTATATTTGCACTCATCTGTCTATTTATTCATTGATTTCCTCACTCAAATATTGTGCTATGCTATTGTGATACATCAGCATGTTTTAGAGCCACTTTATTTGATTACTTGAAACATTTCTGAGACTGTATTTCAGCCATTAATTTTCTGATATATTGTATTACATTGGCAAAGAAACTTGTAGATTTCAAAACACTTTTATTTCTTTATCTTCTGAGACTTGCTTATCAGTGAACAAAATAAAATTCAAAAGGTAAAATCCCAAATTATATGCCCAGTGGGCAGCAGAATACTCCTTGAACCCATACCTCTGCATTCCTAGACCATGTTTTCTTTTCCACAGTGCCATAGTTTCTCTACTTTAAGGCTCTGTGCCAGGCCCTATTGGAGATGCAAAGGTGTGCAGTATTTGGGTACTGTGCTATCTCCACTAATTTTTTATTCCTTTTATCCTTTTCTTAGTGGGAGAAGGTTTCATGCCTTGAATCAGGAGAAAACAGCTTTGTAACTTCAGGAAGTACCACATGGGTGGTAGACATGGTGCCTATGAAAAAATGGGCATAAACCAGAGGCTTTGATTAATGTATTCAAAAACATCATCCCTTTTCCTGACCAGAAATGTTATATACAAAGAGCTTATGTTTATCATGCAACAAGCTATTGGCTGGGTGCGATGGCTCACACCTGTAATCCCAGCATTTTGGGAGGGTAAGGTGGGAGGATCACTTGGCCACAGAAATTGGAGACCAGCCTAGGCAACATAACGAGACCTCATCTCTACAAGAAATTTAAAAAATCAAGTGGGCATGATGGCATGCACCTGTGGTTCTAGCTACTCAGGAGGCTGAGGTGGGAGGATTGCTGAGCCCGAGAGGTCGAGGCTGCAGTGAGCCATGATTACACAACTGCACTCCAGCCTGAATGACAAGAGTGAGACCCCCTGTCTCAAAAATAAATAAATAATAAATAGATCCTGCAACAAGCTTTTGAACCAAGAACTTCATTATTGAGAAGTTATTTGTAGTTGGAGGGGCATTAGGCTTTCAGATCATTAGAATAGACTGTTTTTCCATTCATCTTTTCAACTAATTGCTGTCATTTACTGACTGTATTTCAGGGACATGGGGCTGAAATGAATGAACAGGTATTTCAGTGGCCTGAAGAAATGAATGCAATTTCTGATGTGTTCAGTTTTTACCCCTAAAGAGAATTGGTTAGAAATTGATGAGGCTGTCAGAAAGTTTTACTGTTTTTGGTTTTTTCCTTTTGTCTACAGGCTATAACTGCCAGGTGAATATTGATGAATGTGCCTCAAATCCATGCCTGAACCAAGGAACCTGCTTTGATGACATAAGTGGCTACACTTGCCACTGTGTGCTGCCATACACAGGTGGGTCCTGGAGGTACCAGCAGGGACCAGAGGGGATACTTGACCTTGCTTTGTCAGTGCCTGAGTCTCAGTGCCCAGGTCTGTGGGGCTGTAATGCTCCTCCGAGGGCTCACTCCTCAGTTGTCCTTCCTGCCTTTACTGACTGGATCTTGAGCTTTGAGGAAACATTGTGGCCTCCTAAGATGCAAGTGGTGGACAGTCATTTGCCTACATTGTACTTTAGTATTTGAAAGAAATTTTTTTTTAATTGTATGTGGCTGGAACCAGGCACATAGATGATGGTTGTCTATCATTTGAATGTTTCCAGGACATTAGCTATTTGTCTTAGTTTCAATAATACAGCTACCACTTATTGGTAATTTACTATGTGCCAGACACTTTTTGTACTTTGGATTATTTAATGTATTCCTCAATAATTCTACAATGTAGAAGTTCCTATTGCCATTTTACACATGAGGAGGCTGAGGCAAAGGGAGCTTGCTTGCTCAAGGTCATATAGGTAAGTAGTACATCTAGGATTTACCTGTAGGTCTCTTTGAATCTGAAGCTTTTCCTCTTAATGGCCTTTTTACTTCCCACATTCAGTACCGCTACATCTCACTCAGAGGTGTCACCCCTTCGATGGCTGTTACAACTGAGAAGACGTGAGTGTGACTGCATGTCACATAGCTGTTCTTTGTTTCAGTTGTTATGTTTGGAGTGTGCTTGGGACATTTATTCTTTGTTTTCTACTGGCTTATTATCGCCTTCTTGTGATTGGTTATATTTCTATGGCTTGTTTATCTCCTCTTCATCTATTTTTCTCATTCAGAGGGAACAAAACACAAACATAGACAATAACTTTGCCTGTTTCATCAGGTTGCGGCATGCAGTCAGGAGCATGGCTGAGTTATTACTTCCCTGGAGTCTTGAGCTGTTAATAGCAGCTGTTAATAGTGACTCTAAGTTGTGTAGAGTAGCAGAATAGCCATAGCATGACTGTGTTACCTGAAAGACTTGATAGCACATTGTTACTTTTTCCCCTCTAGAAGAAATAGTAGGCCAGGCACGGTGGCTCACCCTGTAATCCCAGCACTTTGGGAGGCCGAGGCAGGCGGATCACGAGGTCAGGAGATCACAGCCATCCTGGCTAACATGGTGAAACCCCGTCTCTACTAAAAATATAAAAAATTAGCCGGGCGTCGTGGTGGGTGCCTGTAGTCCCAGCTACTCGGGAGGCGGAGGCAGGAGAATGGCATGAACCTGGGAGGTGGAGGTTGCAGTGAGCCGAGATCGCATCACTGCACTCCAGCCTGAGAGTCAGAGTGAGACTCCGTCTCAAAAAAAAAAAAAAAAAAAAAGAAATAGTAGTGTAGGGAAACTACATTTAACAGGCCTAGTTCATAAAATCACAGTTGTAGGAGGTCCCTAACTATCTTGCCCAAGGTTACACAGTTAACAATATCAGAGCCAATGCTGGAAAGATCATGGGCTTCTCCATTTTCAAAGCCTCTTAATCAGGACTTTTGACTTGAATTCAGAGAACATCCTTGGGATAAGGAAAATTTTCGTTTTCTTACCTGTTTATCTGTCATAAACTCTGTCATTTACTTTCTAGGCAAGAATTGTCAGACAGTATTGGCTCCCTGTTCCCCAAACCCTTGTGAGAATGCTGCTGTTTGCAAAGAGTCACCAAATTTTGAGAGTTATACTTGCTTGTGTGCTCCTGGCTGGCAAGGTAAGAACATGGGTGTGGAGAAGCCAAGAACATGCATTCTGACTTTAAACAAAGTGGTCAGGTTATCAGATCATATGGAAGGCCCTGCTGGTCTTATGAGGCCTGTCCATCTTGTCAAGAGCACACAGGTTTTGCAAAGGAGCTGCTACTTGAAATGGCTTAGAAAGCCTTTCCATTGTCCTTGTCTTCGGGGCCCCCTAGCGGCTGGAAGGCTGCAACCTAAGCCTCACAAGCCATGATGTTCATTCTTCAGGGAGTTTAAGCACCTTGGCAGCAACTTCCTAGGCCACAGAAGTCTTCCTGGAACTTCCTAAAGCAGGGGGCCAACCAGTTTGTCTGTGGAATAGCTCCATGCACCCCAACTAAGCTCAGGTCCTGCGTAGATTTTTGTGGGAATCAGCTTCCAAGGACTAGGTCATTTATTGGCCCTGTGTTCCTAGGTCAGCGGTGTACCATTGACATTGACGAGTGTATCTCCAAGCCCTGCATGAACCATGGTCTCTGCCATAACACCCAGGGCAGCTACATGTGTGAATGTCCACCAGGCTTCAGTGGTATGGACTGTGAGGAGGACATTGATGACTGCCTTGCCAGTGAGTATGCCAGTCAGCTCTTAAGCCCCCAGAGGAGAGGAAAACACACAGGGAGCAGAGGAGAGCCCAGTGGAGGCTGCCGCCTTTCACGCCTGACATTGGGCATACCGGTCATTTATCCAGCATATTTAACAGTAGTGTTTTAACTCTTTCTTTTGAAGCTAGTGTCCTTGGGAATTGAGGCAGTGGAATATATTTTAAGCATTCCCTTTAATTTGTGAACATTGAAAATGTGAGGACAATGCTATGATAGTGTTTTTTAAAAAACAGATTTATTGAGGTATAATTAAGGTACATTAAACTGCAAATATTTTCAGTGTACAATTTGGCACATTTTGACATATAGTAAGTGAAACTATCACCCAAAATAATAAACATATTTGTCACCCTAAAACTATCTTCATCCCATTGCAATTTAACCTTCTCTCTTTCTTGCCTGTGGAGTCACAGTTTTACCTTCTGTCACTATAGATTATTAGTTGGCAGATTTTATCATTTTATATAAATGCAGTTAGATAAGCATAAGTCAGGAGAGGTTCTGACTTGTTTTAATGAACATAGTATTTGAGATCCGTCCATGTTGTTTATATCAATAGTACATTCTAGTTTATTGTTCTGCAGTATTCCATTGTATGGACATATTACAGTTCATTGGTTGATGGCCATTTGGGTGTTTTCCAATTTGGGGATATTACAAATGAAGTTGCTATGAATGAGTCTTTGTGTGGACATATGGTTTTAGTTCTCTTGAGTAAATACCTAGGAGTAGAATCGGTGAATCATGTCGTAAGTGTATGTTTCACTTTTTAAGAAATTGCCAGAATGTTTTCCAAGGTGGTTGTACTATTTTCATTCTCACCAGAATTGTATGAAAGTTCTGTTTGAACCATATGCTCACAAACTCTTGGTGATATCATTTAAATTTAGCTCTTCTAGTGGGTGTAGAGTGGTATTTCATTGTGATTTTAATTTGTATTATTCTCTCTGCCAATGATGTTAAGCATCATTTCGTGTGCTTTGCCCATCTGCCTATCTTCGTTGGTGAAATGTCTATTTAAATTTTTTGCCCATTTGAAATAATTAGGTTGTCTTCTTGAGTTGAAAGAGTTCTTTGTATTTTTAAATAAGAATTCTTTGACAGGTATTTGCTTCCCAATGATTTCCCTCCAATTTATAGCTTCTCTTTTGATTTTCTTTTGAAGAGGAAAATGTTAACATTGATGAAATTCAGTGTATGCATGTTTTTCCTTTATAGTTCATGCTTCATGTATCTTGTTTAACAAATCTTCACCTAATCCAAATTTGAGGTTTATCTACTGTGGTTTCTTCTAAAAGTTGTGTAATTTTAGCTCTTACATTTTGGCCTATGATTTGTTTTGAGTTAATTTTTACATATTGTGTGACTTAAAAGTCAAGTTTAATTTTGTTTTCTTACTGTACTAAACTAACTTCTTATTAGTTGTAGGTTCGTAGGTTAGCCTCTAGATAGTTTAGATTCTTAGGATTTTCTACAGATACAATCATCCTGTCTATAAATAACCCTTATGCCTTTTAATTTCTTTTCAACCCTGTATGCCTTTTATTTATTTTAGTATTATTGTACTAAGATCTTCAATAAATACAGAATAGAAGTGGTGAGAGAAGCCTTACCTTGTTTTTGATCCTAGGGGAAAAGTATGTAGTCTTTTACCATTAAGTGAGATGTTACCTATAGGTTTTCATAAAGGCCCTTTATCAAATTGAGAGACCTTGTACTTCTGGTTTTTAAGAGGTCTTTTTGTATTTTTATAATGAATGAATGTTGATTTTTTGGTGTGCAATTGATTTCTCTACATCTGTTGACATGGTGATATTATTTTTTGGTCTTTTAATGTAAGTAAATTGTCATCAACTTTATTTAACATTTTGCAAATGTTAAAAGCTAATCTTAAATTTATGGGCTATATTCCACTTGGTCATTATGTGTTATTCCTTTTATGTATTATTGGATTTGATTTGCCAAAATGTTGTTAAGGATTTCTATATCTGTGTTCATGAAGGATATTGTTCTCCAGGTTTCTTGGACTACCATTGTCTGGTTGTGATAAGAGGGCAATGCTGTCCTCATAGAACATATCAGGAAGTGTTTTTCTTTCTACTTTCTGGGAGAGTTTGTGTAGAACTGGTGTGTTTTCTTCCAAATATATAGACATGGAACCTTCTTTCTGGGAAAGTTTTTAACTACAAGTTTGGTTTTCCTAATACATATAAGTGCCATATGGGCTATCTGTTTTTAATTGAGCTTTGGTAATATCTGTCTTTCAAAGAATTAGTCCAATTCACCTGTTTTGTCAAATTTGTTGACATAACATCAATTTGTTTTATAACATTTCCTTACTGTGCTTTAATAGTCTATTAGATCTGTGATGGTTTCCTTCTCTTGTTTCTACTATTGGTAATTTGTCTCTTCTTTCTTTGAAAGGGAAGAATGTCTGTTTTGCAGATTTTTTTCATACAGTGTTCTATAAATGTTATTAATTCAAATTGGATAGGGTAGTGTTATTCAGGTCTTTTATGTCCTCTATGACTTTCTGTCTACTTATTATTCATAGAATATAATAAGGAGGCTTTCTGTTTACTTCTTATTCAAGAGTATTGAAATCTTTTACTATCATTGTATATTCATCTGTTTCTCTAGTAATTCTATTTGTTTTGGCTTAATGAATTTTGAAACTCTAATCTTAAGTGCATAAACATTTAGGGTTCTTATGTCCTTTTGAGGAATTGACCCATTTATCATTTTGAAATGGCCTTTTTAAACTCTTGTCATATTTCTCTCTCTGAAGTCTACTTTGCCTGATACTGATATAGCTACTCTAGCTTTATTTTATTATTAGAGTGTGTTTTTAAAAATCCTTTTACTTCTGGCCTGTTTCTCTAAAATGGGTTTCTTGTAGAGAGCGTATATTGGGTCTTGTCTTTTTTTCTCCAGTATGATGGTGTCTATCTTTTAATTCAGGTATTTAGACTGTTTAAATTTAATGTAGTTTTTATATGGCTGGCTTCAAAATATGCCATCTTGCTGTTTGCTTTATCTTTGTTCTTCTGTGTATTGTTTCCATTTTCCTTTTTCTGACATCTTTTGAAATAATTGAGTATTTTTATGATTACATTTTATCTACATACATAAATTTCAAAACTTTATCTATATTCACTACCATATTGGTTACATATTTTTTAGTAGTTATTGTAGGGTTTACTGGTGTGCAGCTTTAACTTATTATAATGTACCTTCAATCGTACCACTTCATATAGAGGAGAAGAGCTGTACACTCACATTTACATTCCTCCTGGCCTCTCTTCTATTGTTGTTATAAAATGTATATAGCATTAAACCCATCAAATATGTAATTAAAAGGTCAATTTTTTTCAAGATATTTGAAAAATAATTTAAAAGTCTTTAAGTTACCTACGTATTTTCAAGTCTTATTGGTCTTTATTCTTTTATGTAGATTTGTGTTTCCATCAGGTATCATTTTCCTTCTGTCTGAAAAAATCCCTTGAATATTTTGTGTAGTCTTTGTCTCCTGGTGATGAAGTCTTTCTGTTTTTGTGTGTCAGAAAGGTTTTTATTTTGCTTTAGTTTTCAAAGATATTTTCACAGGGAGGAGAATTCTAAATTGACTTTCTCTTTCAGCACTTTAAAGCTATCCTATTATCTTCTTCCTTGCATTATTTCTGAGGAGAAATCTGCTGTTATTCCACAATTCTTTTATCTGTTCCTTCATATATAATTCTCTCTCCTGTGGCTGCTTTTAAGATATCCTCTTTCCACTGATTTTTACCAACTTGATTATAATGCCTGTTGGTGTGGTGGTCTTTTTTTTTTTTTTTTTTTTTTAGACTGAGTCTCGCTCTGTCGCCCAGGCTGGAGTGCAGTGGCGTGAACTTGGCTCAATGCAAGCTCCGCCTCCTGGGTTTGCGCCATTCTTCTGCCTCAGCCTGCCAAGTAGCTGGGACTACAGGTGCCCGCCACCACGCCCGGCTGATTTTTTGTATTTTTAGTAGAGATGGGGTTTCACCGTGTTAGCCAGGGTGGTCTTGATCTCCTGATCTTGTTATCCGTCCACCTGGACCTCCCAAAGTGCTGGGATTACAGCGTGAGCCACCATGCCTAGCCTGGTGTAGTGTTCTTTATGTTTCTTCTGTTTGGAGTTTACTGATATTTTTGGTTATGGGTCCAAGTCTGGAAAATATTTTAACCATTATTTGGTAAATATTTAGCCATTATTTTTTTCAAAAGTTTTTGCGTCTCCCTTTTATAATGTTCATTATGCATTTATTAGGCTGCAAGGTTGATTTATTTATTTTTCAGTGTTTTTTCCACTTAGTGTTTTATTTTGGATTATTTTACTATTTGAAGTTATTTTGTTATACTTTCAAGTTTACTAATTGTTTCCTCTATAGTTTCTCGTTTACTGTTCATCTCATTTAGTATATTTTTCCCTCAGATATTATGTTTTTATATGTGGAAGTTTAATTCAAGTCTTTCTTTTAACGTTACCTCCCTCTTTGTCATGTTCATGCTTTTATTTCCTTCTTGAATATATTGAGTATCGTTGTTTTCTAGTTGATAATAATTGACCATATTTTATTGTCCTTACCTACTTTTCTACCATATGAGAAATTCCTGAGTATGTTTCTGTTCATATTTTTTCTACTCATTTTGAATGTATTTCCTGCTTCTTTGCCTGCCTGGTAACTTTTTACTGGATGCTAGACATCCATCTTACATTGTTCCATGCTGAATTTTTTTAAAAATCTTTTTTAAAAAAACATTTTTGAGCTTTGTTCAAATATTCAATTATTTGGACATAGTTCAATCCTTCAGAGTCTTACTTCAAGGTTTGTTAATTGGTTCCAAAATAGTCTTTAGTTGAGGGCTAATATGGCTCACTACTACAACAGGGGTCCCTCAGGACTCTACTTACTGCCACGTGGTTTTTTTCATTCTTATTGAATAAACATGAGCTGTTCTCAGCCCAGTGAAACCTCTAGGGATTATTCTGCCTACTTCTTTCTGGTGGTTCTTCCCCCAGCCTTAATAGTTTTATTACATGTATGTACTGACCGATCCTTAGTTACTTGTATAGTGATTTAACTTCAAATGAGATTATCACAATGCATTAATAATGGCACCTTAATTTACAGGATATATAACTTCAGATTATCATATAGAGGCCACCATGCTAGGTGCCGGCAGTGATAAGATAAATAAGTTTTAGTTTCTATTTTCATGAAGCTCATAGTCTGTTAGGGAAGAAAGACATATAGACACAGTTCAAGACCAGCCTGGCCACATGGTGAAACCTGGTCTGTACTAAAAATACAAAAATTAGCCAGGCGTGGTGGCAGGCACCTGTAATTCCAGCTACTCGGGAGGCTGATGCACGAGAATCTCTTGAACCCGGGAGGCGGAGGTTGCAGTGAGCCAAGATTGTGCCACTGCACTCCAGCCGGGGCAACAGAGTGAGACTTCACCAAAAAAAAAAAAAAAAAAAGACATATGGACAAATAATTTTAATGATGTATTACAAATAGTGAAAAAGTATCCAAGGCACAATTGATGGAGAACTTTAGGGAGTGAGATCAAGCTGTTTGTATTCCTTTCTCACATTAAGTAACATGTCATTCAAAATATTGAGTATTTTTAAATTTTTCTGTATGAAGTGGGACCAACAATATTTACAATGAGTTTAAAATAATTCAGTAAATTATGGATGGTGAGTTTCCTGAAAGATGCTATGGAAATTATAGTAGCTGTGTACTGTGGTTAAGAAAAACTGAAACAATTTTTACAATTGCTTTAATAGAGATTGCAGATGAGTCTTATAAGGGAATTAGTTCAAGAGATGAATAAAGTATATTAAATGTTTCGCTAATAAAATAAAGGTCACATTACCCTTTAGTTTAGTATTTAGTTTTCATTTTACATGTATGACCTGTCTTTGCAATTATATTTTTAAGTTCCTTAAGAGCCATAGCTACAGCTTATTTTTCTTGTTCTGATTTGTATGGCATATAATTGTAGAGTGCCGTGGCATGACTGTAGCTTAAAATTTGTTGGTTCCTTACTATGAGTATAAAGTGTTCCAAGATCAAGCTATGTGATATTTCAATTTTTATTTAAACTGTGTTTCATAAGGCTACTGAAATCTAAAAGAGAGAGAAAAAGAGAGAGAGAGGAGATGGAAATGAAAGGGAGAGAGAAGATTATATAATTAATATGCCTGGAAAAACATGAATATGTGTATTTTGTCCTCCCCCACACACTCCACAATCACATATACCTTTTGAAAATATTGATTGATATTCTGTGTATTGGGGCACATATTTGATTTCCAAATGTGTGAGGGACCAATGCAAGTTTTATGACTATTAATTTTACAAAACTGTTGGTGGTGACATAGATGAAGTTTATTCCAATTAATAAACAGGTTAAAAACTTCAAGCAAGTATTATTGAATTCATTTTCATAAATGAGGGAGTTGGCAAAATTGAATGAAAAAGTCAGAATTATGCTGCCCCCAGCATGACTTAGTTCAGGTCATTCACTTTTATGAATCTAAGATTAAACTGATGCTACTCTTCAGAGGTCTAATTCTTTTGTAATGGCTTAGATCCTTGCCAGAATGGAGGTTCCTGTATGGATGGAGTGAATACTTTCTCCTGCCTCTGCCTTCCGGGTTTCACTGGGGATAAGTGCCAGACAGACATGAATGAGTGTCTGAGTGAACCCTGTAAGAATGGAGGGACCTGCTCTGACTACGTCAACAGTTACACTTGCAAGTGCCAGGCAGGATTTGATGGAGTCCATTGTGAGAACAACATCAATGAGTGCACTGAGAGGTGAGCAACCAGTCCCTCGGGCATCAGCATCTTACGAGAGAAAGGGAGAAAGGGAAGGAAATTTCAGAGCACAATGCTAGAATTGTGGAGCAGGGATGAGGTGTCCACATGGATCCCAGTCCACAGTCATCTCCTATTGCCCGGTTACTGGTTCCTGATAAACATATATAATAGAAAGTTAAAGGTCAGAGGTTGCAAAGTTTATAGGGATGGTTTATTATTTCTTGCTTAGGGAACAGAAAGAGCTATAATTTTGTTCTGTTCTTCCCTTGGCCTCTCATTCATTTCAAAAATCCAAAAATTCCAGTTTTTCTGCAGAGATTGGAATTGTTACTAGTCTTTAAGTAATTTCTGGGAGTTTTGTTTCATTTCTTTTTATAATATTATGAGCATGTTTGTTCTATTTGTCTTTTATAAATAATCTATAGTGAATAGGACTTTTCAAATAAATTAAATTGACTTAGAGATAAAATGAAATGTGATACATGGGAAAACTACAGAAGGACTGGGTAAAACCTAGAAAACTTCATTTTCTGTAGGTATCTATAGTAAGCTCAGTCTTTTAAATACTTCTAAGCCTTTGATTATAGAAAGGAAGTGGGCACCTCAGAGCTTCTGGCACCCAATCTAGCTTGTAAGAAAGTTTAAGGGATATGGGTTGCTCAGAGGTATTTGCCTCTGTATGATCTTAGATTCCAGAAATCTTACTTTGTAGTAGTAAGTCACAGGCACCAGATACATAGCTGATGTTGCTCTGTTTGCTTCTTAGCTCCTGTTTCAATGGTGGCACATGTGTTGATGGGATTAACTCCTTCTCTTGCTTGTGCCCTGTGGGTTTCACTGGATCCTTCTGCCTCCATGAGATCAATGAATGCAGCTCTCATCCATGCCTGAATGAGGGAACGTGTGTTGATGGCCTGGGTACCTACCGCTGCAGCTGCCCCCTGGGCTACACTGGGAAAAACTGTCAGGTAATTGACTTCCTTCCCATTCACTCAGCTCCCCTAGAGCAGCTGAATATTATACCTGTTCACTTTCTAGTCTGAATAAGTTCCTTCTAAAAGAGAAAATTGTGGATCTCAGGGATTCCCTGAGATAATCTAGGTAACTTCTTAATAACTTGCAGATTCCAAAATGGTGCTGGCAATATGATATAGATTCACAAACATAAGATCTTGAAAAGAGGCTAACCAAGAACTGCAGAAAAATACATGTGGGAAATAAACACAGATTTTTGTTTTTTGTTTTTTGTTTTTTTGTTTTTTACATTGGAAGCACAAAAAGAACTGAAGAAAATAGAGAATAATCAAAATAACCTTTTAAAGGTCAGATGCAACATCTAAGTGTTTAATAATGATAATTGTTGTATCTTGCAATGTGGTAACATTCTCAAAACCAAACAATTTACATATCTTTTAAGTTCAAATATGTAAATACACACTTCCATTAAATTTTAGAATGGAAAGAGCCCTTATAGGCAACTAATCTAACCTTCGATTTCATGGAAGGCGAAACAGCCCCAGAGGGGCAAAGTAACTTTTCCAAAGTTGCATACCAAACAGCCCTGTGTTTAATTTAATGTTATTCTACCTCTTTAATAGTGATAGAATAATAACTCCAAAGAACATAGGAATAAATGGCCAAACTTAACTTGACTTACAGGGCGCACTTAAGTAAGGCTTAGGCTATATTAGACATGTGAGCACCCACCTCCACAAAATTAAGCAGCTTGTTGCTGATTCCATGGATCACGAGAGCATTTTTGGTTGGGCTCCTATTTGTTCTCACAGTGTAGATTGGCAGTGCTGGTGAAGCACTCCTCCCTTCCTCCAGCAAACTGTCTATATTGTGAATTTGGCCTTCCTCTCCTCAAGGGGCCAAGCCACTCCGTGTGTGAATTAAGATGAAAGGTGCCAGTCCTTGTGCACTCTTTGCTTCAGATTTTTCATAAGTCTGATTGCCTTCCTTAGAAATAAGCTCTTAAACGGTTTTAGGCTTATTAACAGGCATTAAGTCCTTTTACCCATATTCACCAAAGATAGATTTGGTCAAGACCCATGTGGATTTCTCACACAGGATTAGCACAGAAAGTATGAACCTGTCTGACAGCTTTAACTCTTTCTTTCTAGCATTACAGGGTGGCTATACATGTAGGCAAATCATGTCTAGAGCATTGGGAATAGCTTAACCTGTTGGGTTTCCCTGAATTTTTAAACTTTTTTGGTAAGAACTTTTTAAATAGAAGACCTAAGAGGAATTAGACTACAGCAGGCCCTCAAGTAACTTTGTTTCCTTCGGTGTCATTTTGTTACAACATTGAGTGGGGGAAAAATCTGTTTTTGGCCAGAGCTGCTATCTGTGTGGGGTTTGCATGTTCTCCCCATGTCTGTGTGGGTTTTCTCCAGGGACTCCAGTTTCTTTCCACAACTCAAAGTCATGTATGTTGGGTGAAGTGGACATGTCTACATTGTCCCATTGTGCCAGAATAGGCTCTGGCCACTCATGAACCTGAACTGGAGTAAGTGAGTTAGAAAATAAATGAATGGGGCCGGGCACGGTGGCTCACACCTGTAATCCCAGCACTTTGGGAGGCCGAGGCAGGTGGATCACGAGGTCAGGAGATCGAGACCGTCCTGGCTAACACGGTGAAACCCCGCCTCTACTAAAAATACAAAAAATTAGCCGGGTGTGGTAGCGGGTGCCTGTAGTCCCAGCTACTCGGGAGGCTGAGGCAGGAGAATGGCGTGAACCTGGGAAGCAGAGCTTGCAGTTAGCGGAGATAGCGCCACTGCACTCCAGCCTGGGCAACAGAGTGAGACTCCGTCTCAAAAAAAAAAAAGAATGAATATACCAATTATTATAAAATGAAAACCCATAAAGCCTATGATAATCATATGAGTGCACAACAATAAACAATGTGGTACAAAACCACCCAGCAAGCCTGCCATATTGGTTAGTGTTGCTTTCTGAGCTGTGTGGTGGTAAGAGGTGCTGACGGTTTTGCTTTGCAAACATTTATTCCTTGACTTGACCTGCCACCACTAGGACTGCTATTACTCATGGATTCACCAAAAATTGGATAAATAATTATCTTGTTTTTATTAATATTTCTTAAATGAATGTATAGCTTGTTTATTTTAATGTTTAATATCAGAAGTGGGTGTTAATTTGAAGTTTAGTGATTTTTTTTTTAACCAGAAATAAGTAGAGGAACTTAACTCTTTTTTATATCAATTAGACTGTGGTAAAATTGGTTTCGTTATATATCGTTGTCCTTAAAGTCACAGTTTCCAAGAACCTAATGATGACATTAAGTGAAGACTTAACGGTACGTAAAAATGGTTAGGTGTACCTCGGAACACTGAATCTAGTTTAAGGGCTCTTTTACTAGATGAAGGCTCTTTTTCTTTTTAATCAGTTTGCTTTTCTTTGATTTCTTGTAACACAATATAACTTCTTTTCTTCATTTCTAGTATTTGAATTTTGATGTATGTACACCCCTGCCTCTGTTTCAGACCCTGGTGAATCTCTGCAGTCGGTCTCCATGTAAAAACAAAGGTACTTGCGTTCAGAAAAAAGCAGAGTCCCAGTGCCTATGTCCATCTGGATGGGCTGGTGCCTATTGTGACGTGCCCAATGTCTCTTGTGACATAGCAGCCTCCAGGAGAGGTAAGCTTTGCTCCCTTGGGCTCAGGTCATTCACTGCAGTATTGACTGTCCAGTGGCATTTAGAGAAGGTATCATTTTTTTGTGGAATAAGAGGGAAGGGCAGATAGTAGTGGGTGGGCAGGGCTCTGGGGAAAGGGCTCAAGACAGAAGGTGTAAGGGTAGAGGAATAGGTTCAGAGATTCGGAGAAGAATGTATTTGAAATGAAACTAAGGTATATTCCACTTTCAGGGTTTATTTTTAATATGCATCTGGTACTGAGGGTTGTGAAGAACTGGCTAAGAATAAGATTGGATGTGTCAGCCAGTTTAGATTTACTTGCTCATTGGTTGATTTGAACCCCATGTGTCACATGTTCTTCTATGACATTTCTCCCTCACTGGGTTTCCCAGGTGTGCTTGTTGAACACTTGTGCCAGCACTCAGGTGTCTGCATCAATGCTGGCAACACGCATTACTGTCAGTGCCCCCTGGGCTATACTGGGAGCTACTGTGAGGAGCAACTCGATGAGTGTGCGTCCAACCCCTGCCAGCACGGGGCAACATGCAGTGACTTCATTGGTGGATACAGATGCGAGGTGAGGACACTGAGCAAGCAGAGGTCATGGACCTCCCAGGAGATTGTACAACTGTTTGAGCACTGATATATTGAATTTAGCTGCTTGTATCTTATATTGATAGTTTATAGATTTTTACCAATCCCCGTCATAATGTTTACCACTGTTTCTTTCAGCCTCTCTGTGCAATAAGTTAACAGGTCCCTAGTATGATATTTTTATAGGCGTCTGGAACCATCCCAGCTCCTTAGGCTTGCTTTTAGGATTCAGAGCCAAGAGTCACTACCAGAGTGCATTTTACAGGCCCACCCAACATAGCAGTCCACACTTCCCTGAATAGCAGCTGAGATAGGAAAAACTGCTTTGTGGAGTGTCCCTTTGGCCCCTGTCACCTTTGTATTTAGTCATTAATCAGTCAACTAGCAATTTTCTCTCAAAAAAAAAAAATGTTGCTCATCCTGTTCCCCATAGCATCATGCTAAACGTTACATGTATATATTTGAGGAAGTATGTGTCTTCAAGGTACATGTCACTATTTTAATGTCTGGGCTGATAATGGTTAGAGCAAGCAAGATATTAGCAAAATGCCTGAGACATTAATTTGATACCAATTCAAACCATCAAGCAACACTGAGAAAAGCTTTGCTTCTCTATTGTTATATAAATGAGCCAACGATAGCTTCTGTATTTTGGCCCCTAGGTTGTTTATTTCTTCACAGCAGGCTGGGGCTGGGTCTCATTAGCTCAAAAGCCTACCAGTGCCAAACCCAAATTTTGACACATCTAGTTGTTTTAAACATAGCCCCCAAATAAGCAGATTTTTAGCTATTTAGAGCTTGCCTGCTTTGCATAGCCTGTAAAACTGCAGCCAAAATCTGCTAGCCATAGTATAAGTAGGACAAGATATACCCTGGGGCCATACAGACCCCAGGCTGATGCTGGCCTTTAGAGCTCTCTGACCCAGAGATTCCTGCCACTGGCTGTTGAGTGACATCACCTAGACTCCTTCTCTGATCCTTCTTTCCCAGAGTTTACTTGCTGTCTTCCCCTTACTCACCTACCCCTCTGGAAGGTCTCATGCTATTTGGGACTTCTCCCAGGTGCAAACCTGTCAAAGTGTCCAAATAAAGCCACCTCACAGCCATATCTTTTTTCTTGGTCAGCCCTGAAATCCTTCCAACCCCTACAGCCACCACAGCCAGCCAGCCAGCCCCACCTCCCTCTACCCCTAAGCCTATCTCAACCAGTTTCTCACACATAGATCCAATTTCCTAAACCTGGAGATCAATAATTGCATGTCTGTACTACCATCCACATATGCCTTTTGACCGAGTCATAGGGTCCTCATCACATACGGAGGAATGTGTATTTTAAAGATGAGGAAACCTGTACCCAGGAGGAACAAAAGGTTTGCACACAAGTCAAATCTGAAACATCCTTCATTGTATTCAGTCCTTGCCTTCCCTTTAAAGTGCCTTTTTCAACTGAAAGAGGAGTAGGTAAATGCCAGTAAGCTGCAGGTTTTCTGTCCCTGCATAGAATGATTAGCAGAGAGTGTGATGGTTCCAGAGAAAACATACAAAAGCTAAATTAGGAGGTGGGAGACAGTCACAGAAATGTTCCAGATCTCACTAGCTCTCATGGTCTGTTTCCAGTAATGGTCCAATATTTCTTGTCCTTTTTGTTTCCTCATGGCAGTGTGTCCCAGGCTATCAGGGTGTCAACTGTGAGTATGAAGTGGATGAGTGCCAGAATCAGCCCTGCCAGAATGGAGGCACCTGTATTGACCTTGTGAACCATTTCAAGTGCTCTTGCCCACCAGGCACTCGGGGTATGAAATCATCCTTATCCATTTTCCATCCAGGGCATTGTCTTAAGTTATAAATCCATTCTTAGTGTTCAGGGGATTTTATAAAATTAAAGATAGGAAGACTAGCTTCATTCCAAGCATTTAGTTCTACATCCTAGTAATTCAAGCCATTTTATTCTCCCATCTCTTGCTAGCTCTGATGTTGTGGTTTATGTTGTCAGTTTTATCTGGTTGTTTGGCATCTTGATATTCCATGAAACACAGAATATGGAAGGGATACAACATTAGCATAACATTAAAAAATTAGCCTGGTCAGTAAGATTTCTTGTTGCTTCACAGAAAAGCAACTAATGGCCTCTAAAATAAACAATTTACATTTACCTGCTTTTGTATTTTTTTAATTAGCCAAGTCTTACCTCTATAAGGTGGGGGAATGAATGAAATGAAAATATCTGCCTATTTTCATAGCTTCAGGGGAGGATACTGATGGTGTAAGGTTCTACCTTAGGATGCAGTAAGGCCTGATGAGAGATGCAACCCTGGACTGTTGAGTGATGGGGCCATCATTCTTCTGTGGGCATTGCCACTGCTTTTGAACTGAGTGGTATGGCCATCATTCTGCTGTGGACATTGACACTGCTTTTGAACCATCCCTTGGAAAGAGCTTTGAGTATTGTTTGTTAGAAGGGATGTAGTTATGCTGGGGCCTACTCTGAGAAGGCTGTGAAAAAAATGTAAAAGGCCATCCACACTGGTGAGAAATTCATCCTTGTTAGTGTCAAAGAGAATAGAATGCCAGAGAAGTATTTGTATTGCCTTAGAGCTTTGTGTCAGTAAAGTTTGATAATTTGCCACCCCAGGTATCAGAGTTTGACTAAATTAAAATAGGAGAGTACCCTAGTAGTAGGCTGATTATTAAGGAATGAGGTTAATGGGAAGAAGAAAACTAAGGAGAAACAGTCTTTAAGTATTTGAAGAATTGTCCTGTAAAAAGGAGAATTGTTCTTTATTCTAGAAATCAGTGGTTGAGTAGAAATTAATTCCAGTTCATTGTTAGTTTGTTCCTTTGAGAAACTGTACTGGTTAGGACAAGCTACGATTCTGGTGATAGCTGTTATCGTAGTTCATTTATGTTGCTATAAAAGAATACCTGAGACTAAGTAATTTATTTTTCGAAAGAGGTATATTTGGCTCGCAGTTCTATAGGCTGTACAGGAAGCACGGTGCCAGCATCTGCCTCTGGTGTGAGCGTCAGGCTGTTTCCACTCATGGTGAAAAGTGAAGAAGATCCAGGGACCCAAACACCTCCCATTAGGCCCCACCTCCAACATTGGAGATCACATTTTAACATGTGGTTTGGTGCAGTCAAACTTCAAGCTATAGCAGCTAATTAAACCTCAAATCTCAGAGCTTAATATAACACTGATTTTGTCACTCAAATAAAGTCGAATATGTGTTGGGCTACCTTTCTCTGTGTTTTAGATATGTGGTTTGAAACACCTGGCCTCCAAGGCCTCCACAGTACAGGGAAGAGGGACAGACTTGAAGGGTCATACAGCAGCTTCCACTAGCTCAGTCTGGAAGCAACACATATCACTATCCCTCGCAGTATATTGACCGGAATTATTAAATGGTCTCTGTGACTTCAAGGGAGGCTGGGAAATATAGGAGAGTACATGAGTATTCATCAAACTCTAAAATCACTACTATACCATGAACTTTTAATTAATAAGACATGTCCAGTCCTAGAATGGATCATTTCAGAAGGAAACAAAATTTTTGTCTCTTCTAACCATATGGTAAAGATGGCTTAGAATACTAGTTTTGATATTATCATTGACAGTCTTTTTCTTTCAGCACTTTGAATATATCATCCCACTGCTTTCTGATATCCATGGTTTTTAATGAGAAATATGCTGTTAATCTTATTGAGGTTCCCTTATATGTGATACATTGCTTCTTTCTTGATGCCTTCAAGATTCTTTATCTTTTGATAGTTTGATTATGATGTATGTAGGTATGAATTTCTTTGAGTTTATCCTACTTACAGTTCCTTGGATTATTTTACTGTGTGTGCTTGTTTAGGTATGTGGAACAGTATTTTTTTATCCTGACTTAACTTCTCTGGCCATTGGTAAACATTCCAGGAAACTCTCAAGTCCCATAACCCCATTGTTAGAGTCATCACAATGTGTGTTTTGGTCACCATATTTCTAAGCCTTAGATCTTTGCCTGCATGTCCCACCAGTTTCCCAGGTCAAGGGCTAAATGTAACAGTTCTGCCTCTTCCTACTACTTTGCTTCAGGCTGAGGTTGAGTTCTCTCTCAGTTGATAGATCTGTTTATTTCTGGTGGTTCCATTCTGATGGGGAAATATGCATTTATGCTCATTTTACTAGCAATCCCTAAATATCAAATATTCTTTGAGACAGGGAGCATATACTAGATTTTGTTTGTTTTTACTTTTTTGTTTTCAATTTACTCTATGTATAAGGTGATATATGCATATATGCATATAGACCAAAAGTGTATTCACACATAGAAAAGTATACAGTGAAAATACTTCTCATTCCCATCTCTCTTCTGGTGGGCAAATTTTCCCTCTCCTGCAAACATGTAATCGCCACTTTTGGTTGTTTGTGTTTCTTTCTAGAATTTTTCAAAAACTGTATCCTTCAGAATTTCTTTATGTAGAGAGAAGCCAAATGCAAAGATATTTTATTTCCTTTACTTTTTACTCTGAAGATAGAATATTAGACACATTTTTTGCACTTGATTTTTTTTTACTTAATTGGAGATATTTTCATATCAAAATATAGAACTTCCTCTCTCTCTCTCTGAGATAGATAGATAGATAGATAGATAGATAGATAGATAGATAGATATTTGTTTGTTTGTTTGTTTTGAGATGGAGTTTTGCTCTTGTTGCCCAGGCTGGAGTGCAATGGTATGATCTCAGCTCACCGCAACCTCCGCCTCCTGGGTTCGAGTGATTTTCCTGCCTCAGCGCCCTGAGTAGCTGGGATTACAGGCATGTGCCACCATGCCTGGCTGATTTTGTATTTTTAATAGAGACAGGGTTTCTCCATGTTGGTCAGGCTGGTCTTGAACTCCTGGCCTCAAGCAATCCACCCGCCTCAGCCTCCCAAAGTGCTGGGATGACAGGCGTGAGCCACCACACCCAGCCTGAACTTCCTCAATATTTTTTATAGCTACAGAATTCCCTTTTACAGGCATACCATATTTTAACCAGTGCCATCATGATAGATATTTCAGTTATCTTGCAGGCATATAAGTATATTGGTGAAATAAATTTTCAGAAATAGAATCGCTGGATTGGATAATATGTGCATTTATCATTTTAATCAGTGATTGCAGTATATCAGCATATTGGCTTTTTCTTAAGGTGGAGAATATATTTTCATTTAAGAATCATTTTCTTTTGATTTTTTTTGCAGTTTCTTTGTTTATATATATATATATGTATATATACATATATATATATATACACACATATATCTTTTTTCCCACATTAAGTTGTTGATGTAATGTTTTGTGGAAATTGGCTATGATATAAAAAAACAAATATATTCCCAGTATTTTTTTATCTTTTTTCTTTATAGTGATTTTTAGTGCACACTTTTACTTTTTAATCAAGTTGAATTTATCACTTTTAAAATGGCTTCTGGATTTTGAGTTGTAGTTAGCAACATCATATACACTTGAAGATCGTAAAGAAATTCTCCCATATTTTCTTCAAGTACTTTTGCCATATGACTACTCATTTGTTAATACACAATTTATTGAATATTTTGTTTTTTATATATATAATGATTTGAGATGGCACCTTTGCCAGATTCTAAATTCCCATGTGTATTTTTGGTGTTCTTCTGGATTTTCTTTATTTTCTGTGTTATTCTATTAATTCACCAATAACGTTCTATTTCAATTATTAAGGATCTTCTTCTTCATAGTTTTCCTGGTTATTTTTTTTCACATAATTTTATAATCAGCTTGTCTGTTAATAAATTCCTGTTGATAATTTTTAGTGGGGTCTCATTAAATTTATGAATTATAGTATAGAGAAAACTGATAACTTTATGATGAGGAGTCTTGCTAACCAAATCCTGGTATGTCTTTCCATTTATTCAAGTCTCTTTTGTGTCTGTTAGGACAGTATTAAAGTTGTCTTCATTTAGGTGTAACACATTTCTTGTGAAGATTGTTCCTAGGTATTTTATCTTTGGTAATTTGGTAATTGCTTTTGAAAATTGGGCCTTACTTTACATTTAAAAAAAAAAATCTTGCTTTTGTTAGTGTATGCTACAATGCAAGTGGCAGGAATACATACAGAACTGTTTTCTTTTGTACCTTTTTTTTTTTTTTTTTTAAGACAGAGTCTTGCTCTGTTGCCCAGGCTGGAGTGCAGTAGCGCAATCTCGGCTTACTGCAAGCTCCACCTCCCAGGTTCATGCCATTCTCCTGCCTCAGCCTCCCGAGTAGCTGGGACTACAAGCGCCCGCCACCATGCCTGGCTAATTTTTTTTTTGTATTTTTTAGTGGAGACGGGGTTTCACCATGTTAGCCAGGATGGTCTCGATCTCCTGACCTCGTGATCCACCTGCCTTGGCCTCCCAGAGTGCTGGGATTACAGGCTTGAGCCACTGCACCCAGCCTGTACCTTTTTTTTTAATTATGATTATTATTATTTTTTGAGACAGAGTCTTGCTCTGTTGCCCAGGCTGGAGTGCAGTGGCATAACCTCGGCTCACTGCAAGCTTCATCTCCCGGTTTCAAGTGATTCTCCTGCCTCAGCCTCCCAAGTAGCTGAGATTACAGACATGTACCACCACACGCAGCTAATTTTTGTATATTTAGTAGAGATGGGGTTTCACTGTGTTGGGCAGATTGGTCTTGAACTCCTGACCTCAAGTGATCCGCCTGCCTTAGCCTCCCAAAGTGCTGGGATTACAGGTGTGAGCCACTGTGCCCAGCCTCTTTTGTGCCTTTTTGAATTAATCATAGAATAATTTCTAGAATAGTCATTGATTTCTTTTGTTTCTTTGTAAGACACTATATGCAGATATTCATACTAGATGGCTCATTTACATCTATAGTACAATAAATTAGTCCTGTTTTAAATGGAATAACTTTTGAACTCTCAGCAGGAAATTTATCCTCTATTTTTGTTAAATAAAAAGCATTGGTGCACTTATACACTATTACAGAAAAAAGCCAGTGATTATAAAACTTAAAAATGTATTTCATTCAAAATTCAGTTCCAGTTGTTACCAATATTTTTACATAACCTATGTATAGTCATGGGTCACTTAACAGTGGGGATATGTTCTGAGAAATATGCCCTTAGGCAATTTCATTGTTGTACAATCATCATGGAGTGTAATTACACAAACAGAGAGAGTATGGCTTACTACACACCTAGGCTCCAAACCTGCACCTTGTTTTACTGAACTGAATATTGTAGGCAATTATAACACAATGGTAAGTATTTATGTGTCTGAACATATTTAAGAAGAGGTACAGTAGAAGATTTAAAAGGTACAGTAAAAATACAATATAAAAGATAAAAAATAGTACACCTGTATAGGGCATTTACTATGAAAGGAGCTTGCAAGACTGGAACTTGCTGGGTGAGTCAGTGAATGGTAAGTGAATGTGAAGGCCTAGGACATTACTGTACACTACTGCAGACTTTGTAAATACTGTACACCTAAGCTACACTGAATTTATTTAAAAAGTAATTGTGCTATGACATTACAAGGCTATGATGTTACTAGGCAACAGGAATTTGTCAGCTTCAGCTTCATTATGGGACCACTGTCGTATGTGCTGCCTGCATTGACTAAAATGTCATTATGCGGTTGCATAACTGTATTTATTGTTATGTTCTTTTTTGGACTGTTTTTATATTTTGGATTATACTTTGGAAAAATTACTGAGCCTCTCTTGAGCTCCAGTTTCCTTCTCTTTGAGATGGGACAAATAATAGGACCTACACCATAGGGTGCTACTTCACTGGATTGTGTGGGAGAGTACATGCGGAGCCCTAGTATGTTCTTTCCTTTACTTGTACAACTCACCAGGATGACAGCTGTCATGAATAAAGAGTGTGCTTTGCCCTGCCCAACTACAAGGTCCCACTACCAGTTGAGGAGTATACTCTGATTCATTGTGAAAATGCCAACAAGGGTGGTTATCCCTTGCTGGAAAGCAGGTTAAAAGGATTTTCATAATTCTGTACCTCTTCTCTTTCCTCCAGGCCTACTCTGTGAAGAGAACATTGATGACTGTGCCCGGGGTCCCCATTGCCTTAATGGTGGTCAGTGCATGGATAGGATTGGAGGCTACAGTTGTCGCTGCTTGCCTGGCTTTGCTGGGGAGCGTTGTGAGGGAGACATCAACGAGTGCCTCTCCAACCCCTGCAGCTCTGAGGGCAGCCTGGACTGTATACAGCTCACCAATGACTACCTGTGTGTTTGCCGTAGTGCCTTTACTGGTGAGAAGCTCTCTAGCCTCCTGGCCACTCTGCCTTGGAGGATGGTTTTAGTGAACAAATTGGGCCCTGTGAGTTGTCCCAGACCCAAGTGAAGCTTTTCTTATATAAGAAAAACAACAGCAGCTTAATTTTTTAAAGCCAGTTTTTTCTTAGTCTGTACTTTATGGATGTTATGATCAGTGTCTACCTTTAATTTTTCCTAAGAGATTCTTTTGTTGTGCATTGATTATATCATGCTATGGCAGGAATATTTTTTACAATGTATATTGAAAGTAGTTGAACAAAATAACATTTTTTAATAGTGGCAAAATATCCAAAACCTAAAATTTACTATCTGAATCATTTTAAAGTGTACAGTGTACAGTTCAGTGGCATTGTTTAGTACATTGACATTGTTGTTCTACTATCACCCCCATTCATTCACAGAACTCTTTTCATCTGAACAAAATAACATTTTGTTTTAAGGAACCTTACGTCTAACTCCGGTTTCTTCACCCTGCCTCCTTTGACATGTGATGGCTTGAATTACTGGGTAGTTCCTGCCACCATGATCTTTCCACCCCTAGGACTCAGAGAAGCTTAGGACCCTGCTTAGATACTTAAAGGGGGCAGGTCCAAATTCAAGTGTGTTTAACCAAAGATCAGTTGATGTGGGTATGAAATGAAAAGTTGCAGTGGTCACAAGTAATGCCTTGCCCAGTAAAGGCTTGGCCATGTTCCTACTCTGTTCCCAAGCTTCTTTCTTTCATCACAGGGCCTGAAGATGACCAAGCTCTGCCTCAGAATAGGGGTCTTATCACAAGAACTTACTAGTTACTTCTGGAGAGGGCAGCATGGTGACTTTTGGGAACTAAAATAGTTGTTTGTATCCAGATGTGGCAGGATACTCAGATTTGAAATTTATCATGCATTTCCTGGGGTCTGTAGTTGTATTTCTTATATGGAGGGTGTGATCAGATTCCTTAGGAGTCAGAAAATAGGCTTTAATAGTCTGTTTACAAACAATTCATCAAGCTGAACTCTGCTACATCCTGAGCCCATCTCCAGCCATCTTTCCTTCCAACTTTAAAGATATGCTACCTTACAATCTTGGAATTTTGTAAAGAATGGGAGGGATTCTGCAATATGGAAGCTCCCTGGATACACTAACATCAAAAAAGAAATAGTCCATTGTGAACATAATAGCTATTGAGGCAATGTGGAACAGAATAAGTATGAATAATCTGTCTACAGCCTCGTATTGGCCAAACTGCACTTTGAAAGCCAAAGCATCAAAACTGGCTCCTGTTTCTTTCATTGCCCCTGAGGCTTTTTTCTCTGGAAACACAAGCATTTGCAAAGTAAGGGGGAAGCAGGAGAAGGAAGGAATGGAGACCACTTTGAAGTAGTATCCCACAGCCAGGAAGTAGTGTTTGTGCATTTTCCACATTTGTGAATGAAAAAAAAAAAATCCCTTGAATACATTGAGCACAGTTATTGTGGGATGCTGTTGCAGAGATAAACAGCAAGGGACTGGTGGTCCACCAAGCTGTGTCCATGTGGTGGCTGCTCTTGGTTAGCGGCTGCTGCTGTGATTTGAAGAGACAAACATTTATACCTCTTGCTGCTTGATCTCGTTGGCCAAAAACATTACTATTTTTATTTCATTTTTAAAGCTACCTCTTCTTTCCCAAGTGACCACCGGCCAAATGGGGCCTATCTCCTGCTGTTGGCCAGGAGTCCCAGCTGTGCCCTGCGTCTCCTCTGTGGTTCCAGTTGCCTCGTTCTTTATCTTGGAGCAGTGGCCCCCAGGGGCCTTCCGTTTTAGAACTATTCCTAGAGGAAACTAACTCTAGGAAAATTAAGCTGTGTTTTAAGGAATACGAGTTAGGTTACAGAAAGGCCAAAAAGTGATTGAAATGAGGTATCACAGATGAAAATTCTCTATACCGCAAATCACCATTTAAATGTATTGGCCTGGTGTAGCCTCTCCTATGAAGTAGATAACATTAACAAAATGCAGTGAATAGTTTTTCAACTGTTTTTTTGCAACTTATGAAAGCTAAAATGACTTCAAAAAGCTGAAGTGTGATTTCTCTTTTTTTGATGGGATTTAAGTCACTTTTCTCACCCACCCTGTTGTGTGAGTTGGTACTTACTGTGTAGGCAAGACAGAGTAAGGGACTGGCCTGAGCTGGTGACAGGCCAATCATGTTGAGATGCAGTGAGTGTTTTCTTTCTATGCTCAGATTACCACAGGCCTAGAACTGAACTCTCTCACACTTGCTTCACCTATGGCTAGTTCCCATCCCAGCAAAGTTTGTTGAGTAACTTGCAGTGACTACTTCTGCCTTTTAAAACCTTTTTTATTTTTTATTTTCTGAGGCCGGCACTGTGAAACCTTCGTCGATGTGTGTCCCCAGATGCCCTGCCTGAATGGAGGGACTTGTGCTGTGGCCAGTAACATGCCTGATGGTTTCATTTGCCGTTGTCCCCCGGTAAGTGCCCTGTTGCTCATCTAAGAAGGGGCATTGTCTCTTCCATACAATCTGTGAACAGAACTGAGATTAAACCTGGTTTTACCAATCTTCGAAATGGGAAGATTTCTCAATTTTAGCTCTTTCAGAGGAAAGTGCTTGGGTTTTTCCATTTAAAGCTGTTTACAAGTGACAAAACAAAACAAAAACAAATAAAAGCTGTTTAGACACTCCCAGAAACAGTGAGCTTCCCAATCCATGACTGTCAGTCTTAAGAAAAACTAAGGGAAAACCACAAAAAGTGGTGGAGTGCCCCCTTGAAAATAGGGCTGATGTGTGGGGCTTCTTGGCCCCAGGCTGGAGGGTAATCTCACTGCCCAGATTGGGCCAGAGTTGGTGGAAATGCTGCTCTTACATTCTTTAGCAGGAACCATTTGGAAGCAAGTTGTCTCTTAAAGTAGAGGGAAGCTCAATTTTAGCTATTTGCTATACCCATTCTTTTATCACTGCCAGAGGTTGAAACCTTCCCAAAACAAGAGATCCCTATGCCTCGGGAGATACCAAAAGGAAACCTGTCTAGTAACCTTGGCTTGGGCTGAACGGGAAGTACAGAAGGGAGTGAGATGTGGAGGTTTTCTAGAAACCTCAAACTTCCAATATGACTGTTTTCCTACCAATGCCATTTTTATTTCCTCACTGATTTCCACAGGGATTTTCCGGGGCAAGGTGCCAGAGCAGCTGTGGACAAGTGAAATGTAGGAAGGGGGAGCAGTGTGTGCACACCGCCTCTGGACCCCGCTGCTTCTGCCCCAGTCCCCGGGACTGCGAGTCAGGCTGTGCCAGTAGCCCCTGCCAGCACGGGGGCAGCTGCCACCCTCAGCGCCAGCCTCCTTATTACTCCTGCCAGTGTGCCCCACCATTCTCGGGTAGCCGCTGTGAACTCTACACGGCACCCCCCAGCACCCCTCCTGCCACCTGTCTGAGCCAGTATTGTGCCGACAAAGCTCGGGATGGCGTCTGTGATGAGGCCTGCAACAGCCATGCCTGCCAGTGGGATGGGGGTGACTGTTCTCTCACCATGGAGAACCCCTGGGCCAACTGCTCCTCCCCACTTCCCTGCTGGGATTATATCAACAACCAGTGTGATGAGCTGTGCAACACGGTCGAGTGCCTGTTTGACAACTTTGAATGCCAGGGGAACAGCAAGACATGCAAGTAAGGGCTTCACGTTTTCCAGAACTGAAGGGGACTGTCACTAACACACTTCAGTTTCTCGTTCTTGCTCCTAACCACTCCAGTGCTTCAGCCTAAGCTGCCTCTGCTTTTCAGATGGTGCCAGCCTTGTCCCATCGCACACTGCCCTGTGCTCTCCCTTGCTGACAATGGGCCAGGAATGCTCATTGCATAATGACCCTCTCTCTCTGCCTATCTTTGCCTTCTCACCTGCTGCCTTCGTGACCTCCTGGGGGATATAACTTTTGGAAGTGGTGTTTCCCACTTCAAGCAGCCTCTCACATAACCTGCCTGCAGGATGGATGGAAAGGTCTGTATCTCTCTCTTCACCCCATTCCTTTCCCTAAGACTGTTTTTCCCCATCTAGATTTATCAGGAAGCATGAATTAGATTAAGTCTGTGAACCCTCCCGGTCTTAATTGTATAGGATGCTCTATGGTTTACTTAGGAACTTTCCTATTAACTAGCCATTCCATATAATTTAATCCCAATTAATTCTCAGCAACTCACGAGGCATAGGTATTACTAACATTCTTTCATAGGTGAGAGAACTTAGGCCCAAGGGTTAAAGAACTTGCCAAAGCAAGTTGTTTCTTTGACTCCTAATCTTCTGATTGAGCTAGCATGAAAAGTTGTACCAAATAGTATAAATATCAAGGGGTAGGGGATGAGGAGAGGAGAGTATAGATGGAATAGTTTGTACATCATTTAGGTTTGGGGGTTCTAATTCCTTTTCCAAATATTGAAAGAGCCTGTACAAGTAATATCTGGTGTGCTATAAGGACATACCCATCTGCCTTTACCTTCTGTAGTTGGGATTCACTCTTGAAAGGGAAAGAAATGGGTCATGTTAATATTGTTCTCTGTATGGCAACTCTCAATGGTTCAGGGCCTTGTATCAAGTTTCTAGAGGCATCTTTCACTTCCTAAAGCCCGTTGTTACCTTACTGGGGGCAATGGATTTCTCTAAAGTAGAGGAAGCATGAACCAGGTTGACTTTTGTTTCAGATATGCAGCTTTGTTTGAAAACCTGACTTAACAGGCTTGTAAACTGCCTGGGAGCCCCTAAGCTCCTGCAGCATAGTGAGTACAATGTTCTTCATTTAGGAAGTACTCAACAAGGATGAGTGGCATAGGCATCAGGGATAGGAGATGCAAAGAAGGTTTTGTGGGGCATTTGGGTCCTGGGTGTGGGCCACAGAAAATGGGTAGGAAAATCCACAGTAGTTCCAAATGAAAAAGCAAATAGAGCTCCAGTCTAATCTGAGCTCTTTTGCCTGTTCTCTGCTTCCCCTTACCTAGGTATGACAAATACTGTGCAGACCACTTCAAAGACAACCACTGTGACCAGGGGTGCAACAGTGAGGAGTGTGGTTGGGATGGGCTGGACTGTGCTGCTGACCAACCTGAGAACCTGGCAGAAGGTACCCTGGTTATTGTGGTATTGATGCCACCTGAACAACTGCTCCAGGATGCTCGCAGCTTCTTGCGGGCACTGGGTACCCTGCTCCACACCAACCTGCGCATTAAGCGGGACTCCCAGGGGGAACTCATGGTGTACCCCTATTATGGTGAGAAGTCAGCTGCTATGAAGAAACAGAGGATGACACGCAGATCCCTTCCTGGTGAACAAGAACAGGAGGTGGCTGGGTAGGTGTTTGGTTTCTGAACTTCAAGGCTAATTTTATGAAGCCTAGCACTTTGACATATAGCACAAGTCATAACTCAACCTATAGAAATGCAAAGATCAGAAAAATAGAATGGCCCACCACTTAAGATAAACCCGTTACCCCAGTACTTACGTTTAAATGTAAAGATATGCCTTCGTCTTGGCTGAAAAGTGGGCAGGGGTACACAGGAGGCAGAATGTCTGGAAGGCCTCCTCAGATGCCAGAATCCATAACCTTTTGCCAGAGTTGCCTCAAATCCCTTTATTAGTGACATTCCTTTTTACATTAATCATTGCCTTATTGTTAAGGCCCTTCTTTAGAATATATGTCTCTTTGACACAGGTAATGATCTTCAGTTGCTCTGTCATTCACACCTCACTCTTTGTTGGTATATTGTCAAACTTTCAACCCTCCAGCTAGCTGAGATACCAATGCAGAGACAAAGGAAAATAAGGACTAAAAACACACAGGGATGTATGTTTAGAGTAGCACCAAGTACCACTGAGTAGGTATGAAAGAGTGGAAGAAGACCACTGAAACCTTCGGGAGGAAAGCACAGCTTCTCACTTTGTCATGCATTGCCTCAGCCAGAAGGCTTTGGTCAGCCAGACTAAGGAAGGTGGGACATCCTCTATGTGGGAATTAGTGTTTAAGATCTCAAGGGACAGTATTCTAATTCCTGAGATATGTCTTAAGGCAGCATCCCAGAGGTGGGGACCTGATGCTGAAGGGGAGGAAGGGAGGCTCCTGTCACCCTTTATGACATGTTCTGCCTGACCTGCACTCTTCTGTTTTACCCCCATCTCTCCTCCTCCGCTTCTCCCTTGGCATCCCACAGCTCTAAAGTCTTTCTGGAAATTGACAACCGCCAGTGTGTTCAAGACTCAGACCACTGCTTCAAGAACACGGATGCAGCAGCAGCTCTCCTGGCCTCTCACGCCATACAGGGGACCCTGTCATACCCTCTTGTGTCTGTCGTCAGTGAGTGGCACTGGTGTAAAGGGGAAAGGTGGCGGGGGAAGAGTGTCAATTGGGGGAACAATTTTCATTATGTAGCCCTCTATTTTTTCAGGACTGTTGAGGTCAAAGTTGCCCTCTAAATGAATCTAATGCTGACATTGAGAGGTTAATGTTTTATTCAGCACTTTCCCTGTCTCTGTGGACTTTCAGGTGAATCCCTGACTCCAGAACGCACTCAGCTCCTCTATCTCCTTGCTGTTGCTGTTGTCATCATTCTGTTTATTATTCTGCTGGGGGTAATCATGGCAAAACGAAAGCGTAAGCATGGCTCTCTCTGGCTGCCTGAAGGTTTCACTCTTCGCCGAGATGCAAGCAATCACAAGCGTCGTGAGCCAGTGGGACAGGATGCTGTGGGGCTGAAGTAAGAGGCATTGCCAATAAGCCACTATTCACAGTATAAGTAGGGATGACTAGAAAAGCATATCTTGTTGAATCATGATTTTAAATTCTAAGCTCTGGGCATTTACTCACATTGACCATGATTCTAAATGCCTTGTGAGTGACTGAAACCACAGTCAGAGCGTGGGTGCATCTATTCTGTGTATATTATCACAATGCCGCCCAGCTTCTGTGTTGAGGTGCCCTTTTGTTGTAAGCTCACGATCAATGGGAAGGGAAAGGATGAATGCCAAGGGAATGTCACCAAAAATACTGCCCATCTTCTCTGGGCCAAGACCCTGCAAAATTGTAATATAGCCACGGGAGTGTGTCATGGTGGAAAGTGTTGAAAACCACTGTATTAGTTTATGACTGCCATTCTTATTTTTTCTTTTTATAATCATATTAGAAATCTCTCAGTGCAAGTCTCAGAAGCTAACCTAATTGGTACTGGAACAAGTGAACACTGGGTCGATGATGAAGGGCCCCAGCCAAAGAAAGTAAAGGTGAGGTGGCCATGGTAGAACCACCATTGTCAGCCATTATCTGGTTACATTTCAAATTTCTGTCCTTTAGCTCCAGAGTGTCCTGAATGGGAGTAAAGAGTGATAGTCTTGATGTCTTACCCAGACAATAACTATCCTAGGTTCTCCTAAACAGCAGGAATCCTTAGGACGTAAATGACCTTGGGTTACCTATATATGCTCTTCAAGAATAACTCTTTAAAAATACTAAGCACATCTGTTTCCTTTAGTGTTATGCTGGCAGTAGTCAAGTCAGGAATGGTGTGTGTAGATGGCAATTCCTTCATGGCCACATCTCTTCCTTATCCTTTATGGGCACTTCTTCTATAAGAGAAGATGAAATTAAGCAGTGGAAGAAAGCCAGTTATCATTGACATTGGCAAAATGAAAGCCAGTGATCATGGCAAAACGTTGACATTGGAGGCTCCATACCTTGAGCCCAGGAAACTAAAGCCATATAAAAGCAAGTGGTAGATTGGGCTGAGACTGACATGAAAAAGCAGACCATCCATCCACAGCTGTGCATGGCTGGGAGCTGGTGGAGCATGATGGTTAAGAAGATTGCTTTAGTTAATATCAGAACTGGATTCAAATCCAAAACTCTGCCGCTTAGTAGCTGGCAAGTTACTTAACCTCTTTGTAATTATCCTTCCTTGTAAAATGCGGATAATAATAACCCTTTCCTCTGTGAGTTGTTGTGTTGGCATATGTGCCTTATCTACTTTCCTGTCATGTACTAGGTATTCAGTAAAGGGTAGCTGCTTTTAAATTATCATGATTATTATTATTGAATAGTCTTTCCTGAGTGCTTACTACATGTTGGGTGCTATGTTGAGTACAAGGAAACAACCTTGAACAAGGCTTATTTTCCCTTCTTGAGAAGCTTACAGCCTTGTGGTGGAGATGGCCATGTAGTGCTGTGTAAGCATTTAACACATGATCAGTTAAGCAGAGGTAAGCAGAGTATGCTTTTTAGGGCCAACAAGAAGAATTAAAGTTTACTTTCTAGTGGAGGGTAGGAAAAGTGAGAATTGGGTGCTCTGGAGATCTAAAGGCTAAAGCCTAGAGTTTGGGATTGGGGGAGGGAGTTGTCTAGATGATGCAGGAAAGGTAAGCAGGAGCCACATCACGAGAGCAGTGGGAAGCCAAGGCTGAGGTAATCCTCTGGAGGGGTGGAGGAGTAGGAAGAGAGAAAACAATGGGAGATAAGCAGCGGTGGTGGAGGCTCTGGACACCTTCTGATTAGCAGTTTCTGGTGGTGGCCAGATTGATAGGGAGCATTGTTTTCACCTTTCAGGCTGAAGATGAGGCCTTACTCTCAGAAGAAGATGACCCCATTGATCGACGGCCATGGACACAGCAGCACCTTGAAGCTGCAGACATCCGTAGGACACCATCGCTGGCTCTCACCCCTCCTCAGGCAGAGCAGGAGGTGGATGTGTTAGATGTGAATGTCCGTGGCCCAGGTCAGCACCGGGCCTCTTCCCCTCTTCACTGGGCTGTGTCTGCCCATGGTTCCACATTGTTGTCCCTGTGTTTGCCCTGTCCAGTCATAAACCCCTTCCCAATTTCACAGACTCTAAATCAGCTCGAGGAAATGAATGCTTAAGGAATGTAGCCACAAAGAAATTATCAGCTCAGAAAGGGAAGGATTTCACATTGCTTCATGTACAGTGTGTTGAGACTAAACAGGCTGATAAAATGGGTTAGATTGTAGTGGGATAGAAAAATAATATCCCAAAGCAGAGGATAGTTAGTATCTTATGCATGTATTAATTGTTCTATTAATATTAGATATTTTTAAATGTCCAATTAAAATAACAGCACTTAAACTTGAACAGAAAAACGTGTTTAGAGAAGAGCCCCCAGCTTAAAAAGACTTGTACTTTCCCATTATTCTTTACAGAAATGATACTATCAGAGGAAAAGGTGGCAAATGTGAAACTAATAACCAGTTACTACAAGAAGTACAGGGAATTCTTTGCCCCTAAGAATAACTTTAGTCAAATAGAGCTGTTTCAACCATAGGGTTAACTACCTTCTCCTTCTTGAGTACTTTATGGAATTTTCCATTCCTACAGATGGCTGCACCCCATTGATGTTGGCTTCTCTCCGAGGAGGCAGCTCAGATTTGAGTGATGAAGATGAAGATGCAGAGGACTCTTCTGCTAACATCATCACAGACTTGGTCTACCAGGGTGCCAGCCTCCAGGCCCAGACAGACCGGACTGGTGAGATGGCCCTGCACCTTGCAGCCCGCTACTCACGGGCTGATGCTGCCAAGCGTCTCCTGGATGCAGGTGCAGATGCCAATGCCCAGGACAACATGGGCCGCTGTCCACTCCATGCTGCAGTGGCAGCTGATGCCCAAGGTGTCTTCCAGGTAAAGAACATGAGAAGAGTCACTTGAATAATAATTCCTATGGCTCTATAATGTTTTATCGTTTTTAAAGAATTAATATCTCATTGAATTTATTCAATCATTTGAGAGATTAGGGCAGGTATTAGAGTCATGCTTGGTAGATGGGAAAGTGGGAAAAGGGAGGCAGGCAAATTGACCTAGCTATATATAGGAAGATAGTGATAGAGCCAACTGCAGACAACACCAGTCTTTCTGATTATTAGTGATAATTTGTTGTGCCAAGATGCCTCCCAAATGCGTAGATTAGATGAGAGTGATAGCTGGTCCGGAGCCTTTGACTAGTATCCGCTACTTCTTATGGATTGGCCTGACTGTATGGGCTTCTAGCTGCTCATTGGCAGTTTTCTTGACCTGAGTTCATATTATATTCCCTGATGCCTGTTTATCCTTATGAGGAAATTGGAAGCATTCTGAATCACCTTAGGCTGTATCCTGACTGAAGTTGTGATATTTCCCCACATCCCTCTTCTTTCCTGAGAAAGTAGAAGGCTCATCACTTTACATCAGCCATTATTTATTGAGCATGTATTTATTTATTCATGCAACAAATATTTATTGATTGATCATGATAGAATCTTGGGCACAAAGATAACAAGACTTTCCCTCTCCTCCAGGAATCTACACTGTAGCCTCAGCTCTGATGCCCTTGTTTCTTCACTGAGTTTCATTATTTTCCTTCATCCAGGTGACTCTCTTTTCTGTACTTTCTCCTCTTCTAGATTCTGATTCGCAACCGAGTAACTGATCTAGATGCCAGGATGAATGATGGTACTACACCCCTGATCCTGGCTGCCCGCCTGGCTGTGGAGGGAATGGTGGCAGAACTGATCAACTGCCAAGCGGATGTGAATGCAGTGGATGACCATGGTAGGGATGAAAGGCAGGGATTTGGATTCTTACCTGCAAAGCATGCCTCTGACGAGGGGAATAGAGTTACGTGACCCTTAGAGAACTGCCTGAGATCCAAATACGTGAGAGATTCACTCATTCTTTCATTCATGCATTTATTTAACATGCTGAGCTCAGAGATCCAAGCCAGTAGGAGATCCCTAATTAAAATGAGGGATTTTTAATGAGGGTTCTTGGACCTCAGAGCAGATACATGAAAGGTGTTCCCATGTAGTTTCCTAGGCATAACACTTGATTTGAGGATTTATGAGAGCTGACTTCTCTAGGAGAGTTGTAGAATATTCTCAATATAAATTCTGACATGTAATATATAGGTTTTTATCTTCAGTATGTAACAGGGTAGATTCTGCCATGTAGGGGACATGAATGCCTCATACAAGTGATCCTTTCACCTAGAGGTCTTCTGCAGGCTAGGCAGCCTGTACTGAAGTATTTCTAGAACAGAGGAAAAAGAAGAGATTACTTTGGTTTTTCCTATAGACCCCTACAGAGAACTGCTTCCTGCTGATCTCTGGGGAGTTTAAGATTTCATTGTGCAAGTCATAGTGTCTTATACTAAGAGTAGGATATGTCTGTTTATAAAAATGTTTCTCCCCTGCAGGAAAATCTGCTCTTCACTGGGCAGCTGCTGTCAATAATGTGGAGGCAACTCTTTTGTTGTTGAAAAATGGGGCCAACCGAGACATGCAGGACAACAAGGTACAGTTTGTGGGCTCTGAGCTTGAGGAGGCTCATAGCAGTGCCTCAGTTATAAGCCCATTCCCGTTTCTCCTTACAGCTTCTCTTGTTATATGTATAGACAAAGATGGAAGCAGTTTGGGCAGACACTGGGTTTCGAGAGCTTGATGAGGATATTGGGCTTGTCCAGGCATGTGTCAGGATGGAGTTCTCTGCCCTCTCAGTACTCAGCTTGCAGTAGGCTGGCTATAGATAGCTTGGTGTAACTCTTTCTCTTCCCTGACATTTCCTTTTCTCCAGTTGTCTCTTCTGTTCATAATCACTTCTTTTTCTCGTTTTCTTTCTTTTTTCCCTCCGGCTGCTTTTTTTTCTGTCCTTGGATACCCTGATGTTTTCCTGTTTGATTTTTCTCCATCTGAGTTTTTTGTCCTGCTTCCTTCTCTCATTCATCTTCTCTCAGTTTTCTTTGTTTTCCTTATCTTAGTCCTTTCTTGCACATGTTTTGTCTCTTCTTTCACTGTTTCCCTTACTTTTCCCAGTTCTGTGCATGCCTTAGTTTTTTCTCTTCCTACCTTTCTTATTTCTAACTCCTTTTCCTATTATTTCTTATTTCTAACTCCTATTCCTACCTTTCTTATTTCTAACTCCTTTTCCTTAACCTTATTTTGATAAGCTCAGTACTCTTTTAAGTGAGTCTCTGGCTCAGGGGCATGCTTTATTTTATGAATTCCCAACTAAAGAGATGTTCCCCCTAAGGGGCAAAATTGTTTTTTTGAGGAGAGGTGAAATAATCTTACTTTTTTTATGTGTAAATCACAGATACACATTCAGTACATTGGTAGAGGCACAGCCTATCTGTGGTGTTAATATTTCATCGGGGAGATAATTAGGAAAACATGTCTAAGGGGGTGATAATAAAAAAGATTGAGAAAAACTGCTATATTCTCAAGAGTGTTATTAACATGTGTTCTGTGATGGGCCTTTTCTGTAGGAAGAGACACCTCTGTTTCTTGCTGCCCGGGAGGGGAGCTATGAAGCAGCCAAGATCCTGTTAGACCATTTTGCCAATCGAGACATCACAGACCATATGGATCGTCTTCCCCGGGATGTGGCTCGGGATCGCATGCACCATGACATTGTGCGCCTTCTGGATGAATACAATGTGACCCCAAGCCCTCCAGGCACCGTGTTGACTTCTGCTCTCTCACCTGTCATCTGTGGGCCCAACAGATCTTTCCTCAGCCTGAAGCACACCCCAATGGGCAAGAAGTCTAGACGGCCCAGTGCCAAGAGTACCATGCCTACTAGCCTCCCTAACCTTGCCAAGGAGGCAAAGGATGCCAAGGGTAGTAGGAGGAAGAAGTCTCTGAGTGAGAAGGTCCAACTGTCTGAGAGTTCAGTAACTTTATCCCCTGTTGATTCCCTAGAATCTCCTCACACGTATGTTTCCGACACCACATCCTCTCCAATGATTACATCCCCTGGGATCTTACAGGCCTCACCCAACCCTATGTTGGCCACTGCCGCCCCTCCTGCCCCAGTCCATGCCCAGCATGCACTATCTTTTTCTAACCTTCATGAAATGCAGCCTTTGGCACATGGGGCCAGCACTGTGCTTCCCTCAGTGAGCCAGTTGCTATCCCACCACCACATTGTGTCTCCAGGCAGTGGCAGTGCTGGAAGCTTGAGTAGGCTCCATCCAGTCCCAGTCCCAGCAGATTGGATGAACCGCATGGAGGTGAATGAGACCCAGTACAATGAGATGTTTGGTATGGTCCTGGCTCCAGCTGAGGGCACCCATCCTGGCATAGCTCCCCAGAGCAGGCCACCTGAAGGGAAGCACATAACCACCCCTCGGGAGCCCTTGCCCCCCATTGTGACTTTCCAGCTCATCCCTAAAGGCAGTATTGCCCAACCAGCGGGGGCTCCCCAGCCTCAGTCCACCTGCCCTCCAGCTGTTGCGGGCCCCCTGCCCACCATGTACCAGATTCCAGAAATGGCCCGTTTGCCCAGTGTGGCTTTCCCCACTGCCATGATGCCCCAGCAGGACGGGCAGGTAGCTCAGACCATTCTCCCAGCCTATCATCCTTTCCCAGCCTCTGTGGGCAAGTACCCCACACCCCCTTCACAGCACAGTTATGCTTCCTCAAATGCTGCTGAGCGAACACCCAGTCACAGTGGTCACCTCCAGGGTGAGCATCCCTACCTGACACCATCCCCAGAGTCTCCTGACCAGTGGTCAAGTTCATCACCCCACTCTGCTTCTGACTGGTCAGATGTGACCACCAGCCCTACCCCTGGGGGTGCTGGAGGAGGTCAGCGGGGACCTGGGACACACATGTCTGAGCCACCACACAACAACATGCAGGTTTATGCGTGAGAGAGTCCACCTCCAGTGTAGAGACATAACTGACTTTTGTAAATGCTGCTGAGGAACAAATGAAGGTCATCCGGGAGAGAAATGAAGAAATCTCTGGAGCCAGCTTCTAGAGGTAGGAAAGAGAAGATGTTCTTATTCAGATAATGCAAGAGAAGCAATTCGTCAGTTTCACTGGGTATCTGCAAGGCTTATTGATTATTCTAATCTAATAAGACAAGTTTGTGGAAATGCAAGATGAATACAAGCCTTGGGTCCATGTTTACTCTCTTCTATTTGGAGAATAAGATGGATGCTTATTGAAGCCCAGACATTCTTGCAGCTTGGACTGCATTTTAAGCCCTGCAGGCTTCTGCCATATCCATGAGAAGATTCTACACTAGCGTCCTGTTGGGAATTATGCCCTGGAATTCTGCCTGAATTGACCTACGCATCTCCTCCTCCTTGGACATTCTTTTGTCTTCATTTGGTGCTTTTGGTTTTGCACCTCTCCGTGATTGTAGCCCTACCAGCATGTTATAGGGCAAGACCTTTGTGCTTTTGATCATTCTGGCCCATGAAAGCAACTTTGGTCTCCTTTCCCCTCCTGTCTTCCCGGTATCCCTTGGAGTCTCACAAGGTTTACTTTGGTATGGTTCTCAGCACAAACCTTTCAAGTATGTTGTTTCTTTGGAAAATGGACATACTGTATTGTGTTCTCCTGCATATATCATTCCTGGAGAGAGAAGGGGAGAAGAATACTTTTCTTCAACAAATTTTGGGGGCAGGAGATCCCTTCAAGAGGCTGCACCTTAATTTTTCTTGTCTGTGTGCAGGTCTTCATATAAACTTTACCAGGAAGAAGGGTGTGAGTTTGTTGTTTTTCTGTGTATGGGCCTGGTCAGTGTAAAGTTTTATCCTTGATAGTCTAGTTACTATGACCCTCCCCACTTTTTTAAAACCAGAAAAAGGTTTGGAATGTTGGAATGACCAAGAGACAAGTTAACTCGTGCAAGAGCCAGTTACCCACCCACAGGTCCCCCTACTTCCTGCCAAGCATTCCATTGACTGCCTGTATGGAACACATTTGTCCCAGATCTGAGCATTCTAGGCCTGTTTCACTCACTCACCCAGCATATGAAACTAGTCTTAACTGTTGAGCCTTTCCTTTCATATCCACAGAAGACACTGTCTCAAATGTTGTACCCTTGCCATTTAGGACTGAACTTTCCTTAGCCCAAGGGACCCAGTGACAGTTGTCTTCCGTTTGTCAGATGATCAGTCTCTACTGATTATCTTGCTGCTTAAAGGCCTGCTCACCAATCTTTCTTTCACACCGTGTGGTCCGTGTTACTGGTATACCCAGTATGTTCTCACTGAAGACATGGACTTTATATGTTCAAGTGCAGGAATTGGAAAGTTGGACTTGTTTTCTATGATCCAAAACAGCCCTATAAGAAGGTTGGAAAAGGAGGAACTATATAGCAGCCTTTGCTATTTTCTGCTACCATTTCTTTTCCTCTGAAGCGGCCATGACATTCCCTTTGGCAACTAACGTAGAAACTCAACAGAACATTTTCCTTTCCTAGAGTCACCTTTTAGATGATAATGGACAACTATAGACTTGCTCATTGTTCAGACTGATTGCCCCTCACCTGAATCCACTCTCTGTATTCATGCTCTTGGCAATTTCTTTGACTTTCTTTTAAGGGCAGAAGCATTTTAGTTAATTGTAGATAAAGAATAGTTTTCTTCCTCTTCTCCTTGGGCCAGTTAATAATTGGTCCATGGCTACACTGCAACTTCCGTCCAGTGCTGTGATGCCCATGACACCTGCAAAATAAGTTCTGCCTGGGCATTTTGTAGATATTAACAGGTGAATTCCCGACTCTTTTGGTTTGAATGACAGTTCTCATTCCTTCTATGGCTGCAAGTATGCATCAGTGCTTCCCACTTACCTGATTTGTCTGTCGGTGGCCCCATATGGAAACCCTGCGTGTCTGTTGGCATAATAGTTTACAAATGGTTTTTTCAGTCCTATCCAAATTTATTGAACCAACAAAAATAATTACTTCTGCCCTGAGATAAGCAGATTAAGTTTGTTCATTCTCTGCTTTATTCTCTCCATGTGGCAACATTCTGTCAGCCTCTTTCATAGTGTGCAAACATTTTATCATTCTAAATGGTGACTCTCTGCCCTTGGACCCATTTATTATTCACAGATGGGGAGAACCTATCTGCATGGACCTCTGTGGACCACAGCGTACCTGCCCCTTTCTGCCCTCCTGCTCCAGCCCCACTTCTGAAAGTATCAGCTACTGATCCAGCCACTGGATATTTTATATCCTCCCTTTTCCTTAAGCACAATGTCAGACCAAATTGCTTGTTTCTTTTTCTTGGACTACTTTAATTTGGATCCTTTGGGTTTGGAGAAAGGGAATGTGAAAGCTGTCATTACAGACAACAGGTTTCAGTGATGAGGAGGACAACACTGCCTTTCAAACTTTTTACTGATCTCTTAGATTTTAAGAACTCTTGAATTGTGTGGTATCTAATAAAAGGGAAGGTAAGATGGATAATCACTTTCTCATTTGGGTTCTGAATTGGAGACTCAGTTTTTATGAGACACATCTTTTATGCCATGTATAGATCCTCCCCTGCTATTTTTGGTTTATTTTTATTGTTATAAATGCTTTCTTTCTTTGACTCCTCTTCTGCCTGCCTTTGGGGATAGGTTTTTTTGTTTGTTTATTTGCTTCCTCTGTTTTGTTTTAAGCATCATTTTCTTATGTGAGGTGGGGAAGGGAAAGGTATGAGGGAAAGAGAGTCTGAGAATTAAAATATTTTAGTATAAGCAATTGGCTGTGATGCTCAAATCCATTGCATCCTCTTATTGAATTTGCCAATTTGTAATTTTTGCATAATAAAGAACCAAAGGTGTAATGTTTTGTTGAGAGGTGGTTTAGGGATTTTGGCCCTAACCAATACATTGAATGTATGATGACTATTTGGGAGGACACATTTATGTACCCAGAGGCCCCCACTAATAAGTGGTACTATGGTTACTTCCTTGTGTACATTTCTCTTAAAAGTGATATTATATCTGTTTGTATGAGAAACCCAGTAACCAATAAAATGACCGCATATTCCTGACTAAACGTAGTAAGGAAAATGCACACTTTGTTTTTACTTTTCCGTTTCATTCTAAAGGTAGTTAAGATGAAATTTATATGAAAGCATTTTTATCACAAAATAAAAAAGGTTTGCCAAGCTCAGTGGTGTTGTATTTTTTATTTTCCAATACTGCATCCATGGCCTGGCAGTGTTACCTCATGATGTCATAATTTGCTGAGAGAGCAAATTTTCTTTTCTTTCTGAATCCCACAAAGCCTAGCACCAAACTTCTTTTTTTCTTCCTTTAATTAGATCATAAATAAATGATCCTGGGGAAAAAGCATCTGTCAAATAGGAAACATCACAAAACTGAGCACTCTTCTGTGCACTAGCCATAGCTGGTGACAAACAGATGGTTGCTCAGGGACAAGGTGCCTTCCAATGGAAATGCGAAGTAGTTGCTATAGCAAGAATTGGGAACTGGGATATAAGTCATAATATTAATTATGCTGTTATGTAAATGATTGGTTTGTAACATTCCTTAAGTGAAATTTGTGTAGAACTTAATATACAGGATTATAAAATAATATTTTGTGTATAAATTTGTTATAAGTTCACATTCATACATTTATTTATAAAGTCAGTGAGATATTTGAACATGAATACTTGATGTTGTTAATATGTATGGCATTAGCAGTCTCATATTGACCCTAGCATCTTATTTCCATTTTCCATTATTTTGCAGAAACTTATCAGTCACACATGCATAGTTATAAATGGTAACAGTTTTTTTTTTAATGACTTGAAATCTTAGGATATGCTTCTGCTAAGCAGATAAAGGAGCCTTGTTCAAGATCTGCACAGTTAAGGTTTTAACGTAATTTAGCATTAATTGGTTATGTTCAGAATGTTTTAATTTTATATAAAACATTTTAGTCTTCATATTGGGTTTTATAATGGTGGAAGAATAAAATGAATTTGAGAGCTAAGGAATGATCACCTGTGCAGGCCGGCCACTCAGAGCTCAAGTTGCCACTTGCAAACTATTTGGGAACTAAATTGCTCCATGAAAACCTGCTTCAGTGGATCCAGGTTGCAGGCCATTGGGTGGCTGACCACATCCTGCCCCTGCAATTTTAAGTCTTGAATGCTAGCCTTTGATTATGCAGGGAGGACTCGGGGCACTCCCAGACGTGAAAGCCAAAAAAGGAGAGTAGGGCCGAAGCCAAGTGCCACCCCATCACAAAGCTGGAGCAGTAGGCTTGGACACTAGACCATGAGCATGCCAGGAGAGGGGCTAGTGCCTCAGTCATGCAACTAAAAAGCTTCACGACCCAAGGAGAGGGGCTGCTTCCTTTATCAGAACAACCTCCTTAATGCCCACATGTTTTTCAGGATGTGGGCAGTGGGGGAACTGCGAGCCTGTTAATTGCCTCTGCCACTACGTCTTTCAGCCACAGGGTATATGAAGTTGTGTGTGTGTTGTGTGTGTGAAAGAATACAACTTTTCCTTCTTTTGCCTTAGCACTTAGCAAAACACATTTAAAATATTTGTACCAGTCAAGTCCCATCCACAAAGTGTGGGCACACTCAAATTAGGATACATCAAAGAGGGCTATTTACAAAGGATTAATTACAAAAGTGTGTGTGCAATGTCAGGGACCGACACACAGTTGTGCAGAAACCCGTGTTAGCATCAGCAGAGCTATTTCCACTTGTGGGCCCAAAAGGCCAGGAGAAGTCACTAGGACCTGGAAGCAGAGTCCTGTAGAGCAGGTCCCCAACCCCCCGGGCCACAGACTGGATACCTTAGCCTGTGGGGAACCGTTAGGAACCGGGCTGCACAGCAGGAGGTGAGCAGCAGGCAAGCAAGCATTACTGCCTGAGCTCCACCTCCTGTCAGATCAGCAGTGGCGTTAGATTCTCATAGGAGCATGAACCCTATTGTGAACTGCATATGTGAAGGATCTAGGTTGCGCACTCCTTATGATAATCTAATGTCTGATGATCTGAGATGGAAGAGTTTCATCCCCAAACCATTCCCTGGCCCCAGTCCATGGAAATATTGTCTTCCACGAAACTGGTTCCTGGTGCCAAAAAGGTTGGAGACTGCTGCTGTAGAGCAGGCTACCTCAAGAAGAGCTGTGACTTCCTTCAAAGCACACAGTGGGCCTTAAGCCCTCCCAGAAAGAAGCTAGGGAATGAATGAATACCCTGATCTCATTTGCTTCACTGGGCTCTCTGTTTGCCGACTCCAAGTGGAAGCCTGCAAATATGGGAGCTGTTGATTATAATCTATCAATGTAAGTCAGCTTTCTGGCTGGGAGCTTGGTGGAGAAGGAAAGAGAGTGAATCTGAAGGGGCAAACATATTACCTAAAATAACATTCTCCTTCCAACTATATTTCTGAGAAATTTCCACTGGTAACCTGTTATTGATGTGTCTAGGCAGAAAGCATAAAGTTAAAAAAAAGTACGTATTTAGAATCCTGACTTCTTTTTCTGATCTAGTAGTGTGTTTCTTCACCACTTTGGCTTTGAGCACTCAAAGTGCAGACAGTCATCAGCAGTGGGATGGATAAATTCTGGTACATTCATTGAAATGAATGCTACGCATAAATGAAAAAGAGCAACTTGCAACAACACGTAGTATATTCATCAAAATAATGTTGAGCAAAATAAGCCAGACACAAGTAATACATTCTGTATGATTCCATTACATAAGTTTAGGAAAAACCAACCAATAGTAAATAGATAATCTGAACAGTGGCTACTTTTTGGGAGAAAGGTCTAGACTGAAGTGAGAGAAAGAAGAATCTTTCTGGAGTCTGAAAGTATCTTGACCTGGGTGGTGACTACATGAGTGTATATATACGTAAAATTTCATGTAAAATTTAACTTAAGATTTATGCATTTGACTTATGTAAATTATACTTCAATAAAATGTTTCTACAATAACCTACAGAAACGTACAAGCATCTAATATTGGAATTCATAAAATGTTGATATTTTATACTTATTTCAGATGTTTGAAGATGTATAATGCTTATGGCTTAAAACTCCTATATTTCATCCTCTAATTCCATTTCCCTTCCTGTTTTTTCCTTCCTCCTTTCTTTCCCAGTTAGTTATTTTTATAAATTTGCTCTGTGGGGATTATTTTTGTTCTGGAAAACATTGTTATTTGCAATAGTTGGTCCATGAAAAAAGTCTATTTTCAAATGCAATTGTATAAAATGTGGGACTCCATTATTGTGAATTTAATTGACCAAGTGAGACAAGCCAGGGGAGTCAGGTTGCAAGGCAGGAGTTCTGGGCTCCAGCTGAATAATTCATACCCATCTGGGTCATGGCTGCCATCTGGCACTACCTGGTAGCACTTGTGTGCCTCAGCATAAATATATGTTTGATTGAATATGGGCTTTGTAACCTGGCCGATAATTTTGAGAGCTTCAAGAGCCTCATTGTAAAACATCACCTGTCTATTGCACGTGCCTATTTGAGAAAATTTAGGCTGGGCAAGCACTGAGATGTAGGGACCCAGCCCTTGTCCCGCTGTCATGCAATTGTCTCACATTTCTGTCTCTCTCCTTTTTCTCTCTTCCATGACCCCTTTCCCTTGCCTCCTAGAAAAGTTTGAAGAAAGTGGATTTGGAAGAGGATAGGCATCAACCACTAATCATGTTACATCAGAATGTGTGTTACTGTGCTTAGGTTTTACATATAAAACTAGGGTTTTACATATAATAGTTAGAAGGTTAATACGACTATATGCCTGGACAACTGAAGAAAACAGAGGAGAACTACCATAAACTATTAGGGATTCAGTAAATAAAATGATGTAAAACCAATTCACAGAAGAACCATTTGCAGGATGTAATTGAAAAGACCACATTTACAATAGTGCACACGTGCACGCACACACACAGACACACACCCCAATAACCTTAAAAAAATTCAAACCCAGTGGAGGGGCTTCAATATATATAGCTAACTAGAGGCATGTGGTACTTGTGTTTTTAAAAAAATTCAAACCCAGTGGACGGGCTTCAATATAGCTAACTAGAGGCATCTGGTACTTGTGTTTTCTACAAAGAAGAACAAAAATAACAAGAAGATAATCACACTTCAACTAGATCATCTAAAAGAGTACACAGGAATTCAACAGAAAAGTGGCCAGAAACACCTAAGGCAAGGAAAGAGAGAAGTGAGACAGCCTGCTCAGCCATGACCAGCTGGGAGCCCAGAGAGGCTCTCCAGTGTGGAGAAAGGGTAAGTGAGAGACCCCCAGCAGTCCACATTCCCACTGTAGATTCTTGCAATCCTAGCCATGAGATAACTCCTCGACCCTTGAGGACCTTAAAACTAACATAGGAAGCTGCCTGAAGACCATACAACTCTACTGCTCTAGAATGGGAGCTCACGCTGGGTCCCGCACACACCACCCCTGGCAAATCCTAAGCAGCTACAGCAAGGTTCCATTTTGAGAGTCCATCTCTCAGCAGAATGAATCCTGTCATGAGGCTCAAAAGCCTCTGCATCTCCACATCCTGGGTCCCCCGTTGATATCCTCCACCCACAGCTGCTGCTGCTGGTTGCTGCTGTTGGCTGCTACTGCCAGGCCCAAAGTGTAAGCCATTGGCTGTGACACTGCCCACCCCCAGCAGTTGGCCACCACACATTTATAAGCAACCTAAGGACAGGCTACCTCATGCACATCTTCCACTTAGGGCCAAAGCATGCACTCCCCAACCACCTGCCCATGGTTGCTGCCACTGAAAACAACCCTGCCCACTAGCAGCAGGGTCACAGGGCATCTGCTGCCACCCTCACCCAAGCATTCTGCCAGGGACCTGGTGTATTGGTGAGAGTTCTCCAAAGGGACAGAACTAATAGGATATATGCATATATGAAAGGGAGTTTATTAAGGAGAATTGATTCACACGATCACAAAGTGAAATCCCACAATAGGCTGTTTTCAAGCTGAGGAGCTAGGAAGCCAGTAGTGGCTCACTCCAAGTCCAAAGCTCAAAAGTAGGGAAGCCGACAGTGCAGCCTTCAGTCTGTGGTCAAAGGCCTGAGAGTCTGCAGCAAACCACTGGTATAAGTCCAAGAGTCCAAAGGCCGAAGAACCTGGAGCCTGATGTTCAAGGGCAGGAAGCATCTAGCGCAGGAGAGAGAGATGAAAGCCAGAAGACTCAGCAAGTCAGCTTCTTCCACTTTCTCCCACCTGCTTTTTCTAGCTGTGCTGGCAGCTGATGGGATGGTACCCACTTAGATTGAGGGTGGGTCTTCCTCTCCCAGTCCACTGACTCAAATGTTAATCTCCTCGGCAACACCCATACAGACACACCCAGAAACAATACTTTGCATCCTTCATTCCAGTCAAGTTGACAATGTTAACCATCACATCCAGGATCACTCTGCCCCTGTCTACCACAGCTAGCACCTGCACACACTGCCAGTGGTTGTTGAAGACAGGCCTGCCTGGCCCAGCTCTGCCTCTTCCCACAGTGCCCAGGCATACTGTTCAGGAGCCTGGAGATCACCCTGCCCCATCCACCACCTTCGGCATGTGAGCACTCCTTCCAGGAGCCTAAGGATGGGCCATCCAACCTGCTGCTACCACCACAGCTGGCACCCACCTGCATGCATGACCTACGGGCTTGGGGACTGGCCCAACTAGCAAATTTCTGCCCCTGCCAACCCCAGTGCAGACTGCTTGGAAACAAGAAGGTTGTCCCACTACTGCTACTGCCATCATCTATGCCTTGCTCACTGTGCAGGGGCCCAAAGACCCACCAACCTGTCCAGCCCACCACTGCCACTGCCAGCACCAAAGCAAGCCATTTGGAGGCCCAAGAACCAGCCTGTCTAGATCTGCTAACACTGGTGCCAGTGCACATTACCCTGGGGCTCAACAACAGGCATTGTCAGCCTGCCACTGCCACCACTGGGACACAAGGACTGGCCCATTTTGTGTCCCCATCCCTAGCAGAATGTCACCACAGCCTCCACTAACAACCACACCCTATGCCACTGCTACTGATGCTGGTTACAGCCAAAGAAATCATACAGAGACTACACTACCGCATGCACCTGGAATCAAAGCCAAAGTGCCCTACACAACCAATACCATAGATACATCCTCAGAAAAAAGTCCTCCCTTATGAAAGCAAATTCACAAAATTGGAATAAGTGATTGTTACACCAGATGTGCAGATATCAGTGTAAAGACACAAGAAACATGAAAAAGCAAGGAAAGATAGCATCCTCAAAGGAACACAATAATTCTCCAGCAAAAGATTCCCATTAAAAAGAAACTTACAAAATCCCAGAAAGGAATTCAAAATAATGATTTTTTAAAGCTTAGTGAGATACAACAGAACAAAGTAAACAATACAAAGAAATTAGAAAAACAATTCAGGGTATGAATGAGAAATTTACCAGAGATAGAGGTCATACATAAAAGAACCAAACAGATTCTGAAACTGAAAAACTCATTGAATGGAATTAAAACATATATTCAAAAACTTCAATAATAGACTAGATCAAGCAGAAGAATTTCAGAGCTTGAAGACAGATCTTTTGAAATAACCCAGCCAGACAAAAATAAAGAAAAAAGAATTTAAAAGAATGAGTGAAGCCCACATGACATATAGCATACTATTAAGCAACCAAATGTTTAAATTTTTGGTGTCTCAGAAGGTGAGAGAAAATATAAGATCGAAAACCTATTTAACAAAACAATAGCTGGGAATTTTCCAAGTCTAGCAAGAGATTTAGACATCCAGATAACAGGAAACTCATAGATCTCCAAATAGATACAATTTAAAAAGGTCTTCTCCATGGCCCATTATAGTCAAACTGCCAAAAGTCAAAGACAGAGAATTCTAAAAAGAGCAAGAGAAATGTGTTTAGTCACTTATAAGGGAATCCCCATCAGACTAACAGCACATTTCTCAGCAGAAACCTTATAGGCCAGAAGATAATTAGATTATATATTCAAAGTGTTGAAAGAAAAAATGCCAACCAAGAACACTATACCCAAAATGTTATTTATAAACGAAAGAGAAATAGTCTTTCCCAAATAAGCAAATGCTGAGGGAATTCATCACCACTAGACAAGTTCTACAAGAAATGATTAAGGAAGTCCTGTACCTGGAAACAAATGGATGATATCTACCATCATGAAAACACATGAGTGTATAAAGCCCACTGGTAGAGCAAACACACAAATAAAGAAAAGAAAGGACTCAAATGTTACCACTAAGGAAAATCACCAAGCCACAATAATAAACGATAAAAGAGAAAGAAACGAACAAAGGATATACAAAAAACTCAAAATCAATTGATAAAATAAAAACAGGAATAAGCCCTCAGATATCAATAATAATCTTAAATGTAAGCAGATTAAACTTTCCACGTAAAAGATATAGACTGGCTAAATGGGTTAAAAAAACGAAATAAAACATGCTCCAACTATATGTTGCCTTCAAACATAGTGAAAGTATTCTAGCTTGATGTGTAAACAAGTTGTAAACTAACCTAGGAGTATACCCTTGTAACAAACCAACTGAGTCTCAGCCAATTATAGTAGCTGAACCTTCAGCAAATCCCAGGCTTTAAATTGCCAGATTATGCCCAAATAAAACAAACCTCAAACTGTACCAATCATTTAATCCCTGTATGTCATTTCTTGTTTCCTGATTTTTAAGTATAGCTCACCATGATGGAGGTGGGGGTATTCTGAACAATTTTTGGTTCAGAATGCTTCCCAGTTCTAAAACCTGTTTCCTGCACAAACTTTGTTAAATTTAATTTGTCTTAGTTTTTTCTTTAATAATTGTAAAATACAGCATATAAAGAAGTGAGGATAAAACTTTCAGGACTATTTTAACAAATATGTACAGCAAACCCTAGCAGTCAAGAAATATATTGCTAACACCCCAGCAAAAGCTACACCAAGCATACCCTTCTTCCTCCCTCCCTTCTTTTCCTGAGTATAGCCCCTTCCTTTCACCCTAGAAATAATAGCTCCCTGACAGGTTTAGTAATAATTTCCTCAATTTATTTTACCAACTATCCATTTGGGCTGCTATGACAAGATACCTCACGCTGGGTAATATATAAATTGAAGACAGATCTTGCTCACAGTTCTGGAGGCTAGGAAATCCAAGATAAAGACAACAGCAAATTTAGTGTCTGGTGAGGACTATTTCTTTCTTTGCTTCAAAGACGACGCTTTCTTCCTGGGTCCTCACATGACAGTAGGGGCAAAGAAGCCCCCTCAGGCTCCTTTTTAAGGGCACTAATCCCATTCATAACTCATGGGACCCTGCTGATCACCTCCCAAAAGCCCACCTCTTAATACCACCACATTGGGGATTAAGTTTTCACATTTCAACTTAGGAGAGACATAAACATTCAGACTGTAGCATTCTGCCTCTGGTGTCCCAAAATTTATTTTGTTCTTACATGCACATTCCATCCCAATAACCTCAAAACTCTTAATTTCAGCATCAACACAGAAGTCTAAAGTCCAGAGTCTTGTCTAAACATCATTTAAATCAGGTATGAGTGAGACTCAAGTTATGATTCATCCTGAGGCAAATTGCCCTCTGGTTGTGAATCTGTGAAATTAAACTTATATGCTTCCAAAATACAGTGGAGGAGAAGGCATACAATAAATGTTTCTATTCCAAAAAGGAAAAATAGGAAGGAATAAAGAGTTAACTGGTCTCAAGTAAGTCCAAAACCCCTCAGGGTAAACAACAGTAAATCTTAAGTCTTGACAATCAACTTTGACTTGATGTCCTGCCTTCTGGACATACTGGTGCAGAGGTTGGAACCTCAAGGCTCCAGGTGACCTCACCCCCATGGCTTTGCTGAGCACAGCCCACACAGCAGCTTTCAGGGGTTGGAATTAGGTGCCTGTGGCTCTCCCAGGCGGCGTTTTACACTGGAGGCTCCACAGTTCTGGGGTTTTGGGGCAGCCCTGCTCCCATGGCTCCATAAGACATTGCCCTATTGGGGACTCTCTGTGGTGACCCAACTCCCACAGTTCCACTGAGCAATGCCCTAGTGGCAGCTGTCTGTGGTGGTCCTTCCCCTGTGGCAGTTCTCAGCCTAGATTTCAAGAATCTCTGCGGTATCCTTTGAAATCAATGTGGAGGTGGCCATCCTCCCACAGTTCTTGCATTCTGAGTGCCTGGAGATTTAGCACCATGTGAATGCTGCAAAGGTTTACTACCCACATCCTCTGGAGGGCCAGCCACTGCTGCTGGCACCACAACTGGGCCCACTGGAGCCACACCGGGGGTGGCCAAAAAGTGCTGCATTTGAATCAAAGAGCAGAGATTTGAAGTGGCACTGGGCAGTGAGTTAAAGGCCCCACATATGTTCTGGGCCCCTCCTTTTAAACCATTATGCCTTCATGGCTCTGCCATTGTGGACCTGTGATGGAAATGGCAGTCCCAAAGATCTCCAAATATGTTCAGGGTCATTCTTTCATTGTCTTGATGAATGACACAGGGCTGAGTGATCCTGATCTCCTTATCAAAGAGTGATTTGGCCACACCCATGGTATTTTCTTCTGAACATGACCCGGCTGAGAATTTTCCATATATTACATTCTTTTCCCTTTTTGATTATCTGTCTTTAGCTCATTTCTGTCTTCTCACATTTTATCATAAGCAATCACGAGAAGTCATGCCACACCCTCAACACTTTGCTTAGAGATTTCTCCCCCGCAAATATCCTATTTAATCACTCAGAAGTTCTACCTTGCACAAAACACAATTCAGCTATGTTTTGTGCCACTTTATCATAAGGATTGTCTTTCCTCTCATTTTCAACAAGACGTTCCTCATTTCCATCTAATACCTCATCAGAATAGCCTTTACCATTCACATTTCTATTTAATACCAACATTCTGACCATGACCACTTAGGTAATCTCTATGAAGACTGAGGCTTTCTCTACAGTTCTTCTCTTCTAAACCCTCACCAGAATCATCCTTAATGCTTCATTAATGGCAATGTACAGTTTAAAAAGAAATCATGTACCCCCAAACTCTTCTAACCTCTACTCATTACCCAGTTCCAAAGCCACTTTTAAATTTTAGGTATTTGTTAAAGTGACAGCCTATTCTCAGTAACAATTTCTGATTGAAACTCTAAAAACAGAGATAGATTTTGCCAGGTTTTGAACTTTATATTCATTATGTTTTGTTTTTCCATATTTGTAAAATTCTTCCGTGTTGTTGCATGTAACTGATTCATCATCTCCATTGCCACAGTCACTGTTCATAGAGATTTGGATTGTTATCAGTGTGGAGAATATTGTTATGTCCATGTATCCTGGTGTACATACATACACATTTCTGTAGGATATATACCTAGAGTGGAATTGCTGGATCACAGGGTCTTCATATTTTCAGATACATAAGAAACACTAAACAGGGCTTTAAAGTGGTTTTACTGATCTACATTGCCACCAAAGGATATAAGAGTTCTTACTCTTCTACAACCTCACCTAAACTTCATGTTAATCGGCTTCCTGAATCATTTTCAACCTGATGGACATCCGATAGAAGCTTTAATTTGCAGTATTCTGATTAGTAATGTGGTTGAGAACCTTTCCAATTGTTTACTGATCATATAAATTTTCTCTTTTGTGAAGTGTTTGTTAAACTCTTTTGCTCATTTTTCTGTTAGATTATCTGTCTTGTTCTCATTGACTTGTCAGAGTCACTTACAATGTCCTTTGTCAGTTATAGGATTATTCAATATCTTGATCCAATAATAAGACAGATTACTACCTTAGATGGGAGACAGAATTATATTCCATATAAAAGAAAAATCAGAGACATACCAAAATAAATTTGTTAAAGCACATATTAGAAAGACATTTTTACAATCATAGAATGAAGAAAGACAGAAGAATGACATGAAACTCAGCAACCAGGAGTGTTTAAAATGTTCTGCATGGTGAAAAACATTATAAAAGTTAGTGACAAATAACTGACTGGAAGAAGAGATTTGCAAAATATAAATAGCTCCAACAAATCACTAAAAGCAGAACAAACCATGTAATATAAGAACGAACAGACAAATTTAAGAATAAAAAAAGTAGACTGGTTTTCAGCTACTAAATATGCTCAACTTCACTAATAACCAGAGAATGCAAATTGAAATAATGAGTTGCCTTCTTTTTATAATGCAGGTATAGGTTAAAGAGTTGGATATTATATACTACTGGAAATGTTTTAAGAATATGGGCCTACTATACCTGTACCGTATAACAACGGCAGCTACTGGTCACAAGTGGCTATTTAAATTTAAATTAGGCCAGGCGCGGTGGCTCACGCCAGTAATCCCAGCACTTTGGGAGGCCGAGGTGGGCGGATCATGAGGTCAAGAGATCAAGACCATCCTGGGCAACATGGTGAAATCCCGTCTCTACTAAAAATACAAAAATTAGCTGGGTACGGTGGTGCGTGCCTGTAATCCCAACTACTCAGGAGGCTGGAGGCTGAGGCAGGAGAATCGTTGAACCTGGGAAGTGGAGGTTGCAGTGAGCCGAGATCACGCCACTGCACTCCAGCCTGGCGACAGAGTGAGTCTCTGTCTCAATAAATAAATACATTAATTAAAAAATGAAATAAATTTAAATTAAATAAATTTTAAAGTATAAAGTTCAATTGCTCAGTCACACTAGCCACATTTCAAGTGCTCAATAGCCAGAGGTGGCTAGTGGCTACAGTATTGGGCTATGTTAACCTTTTCATCATCACAAAAAGTTCTATTGGGAAGCACTATTTTATAGATAGTTTGCAAAGAAGTAGAAGATTTTTAGTGGGAGGTTGTATTCTCCTGGATCTAACACTTTTAATTCTAGGACTCTATCACAATGTAAATGCTTTTCAGGGGCAAAGAAAATGTATGTGTATTTATTATGTGTGTGTGTATAAATTGTTGTAAATATACACATATATATTTACTGTCAAAATATAGAAAACCTTATAAACAAGATAAATGTAATATTTTAAACAACATAATTACATCATCCTTACATGAGGAAAATTGTTAAATAAATATTTGCTTCCATACTATAGAACAGTATACATCTATTGGAAGCAATAATCTAAATCAGAAAACTACTTACAATATGTTGTTCACTTTTTAAAAAAAAATAGAGACAGGCTCTCACTATGTTACCCAGGCTTGTCTTGATCATCTGAGCTCAAGTGATACACCGTCTCACTTCCCAAAGTGCTGGGATTACAGGCGTGAGGCACCACTCCTGGCCCCAATATGTTGTTCACTAAAAAAGGCAAGGGTAAAATAATATGAATAGTATGTACTTATTTATTTATTTGAACCATTTTATTAAGGTATGATTCACATGTAGAAAGTTGTACATATTTAATGTATTTACATCTCAGTGAATTTGGGGAGGAATACATACCTGTGAAACCATCACCATTATCAAGGCCATAACATAGCCATCACCTCCAAAGTTTCCTTGCACCCTCTTTATCATTATTGGCATGTGTGTGTGTGTGTGTGTGTGTGTGTGTAGAATACAAGAGATCAACCCTCTTAGTAAATTTTAAGTATACAGTACAGTACTGTTGGCTATAGGCACTGTACTGTATTATGGATCTCTAGAAGTTGTTTATCTTGCACAGCTGAAACTTTGTACCCTTTGACCATCACCTCATTTCATCCTCCCCCCAGGACCTGGAAACTACCATTCTACTCTCTGCTTCTATGACTTTGATTATTTTATTCCACATATAAGTGAGATGATACAGTATTCATCTTTTTGGGTATGGTTTATTTCACTTGGCATAATGCCGTTAAATATTACATAGTTTCTATACTTGTAAAGACATATCAGAAAATGGAGAAAGAATTATACTTATCAGTCACATCTGCGGAGGGGAGTGTATTAGACAAGCATGCAGGGTTGGAGGATAATGGAGGCTTTCATTTGTTACTCTATTATCATTCAGGGTTATTTGTATCCTTTGTGATACACATGTATAATTTCCATAAATAAAGAGAAATATTTCAAAGCAGGCTGTTTACACAAGGCTCAGGGTCCAACACTCAGATGCTACACATCTGCGTTTAGCACACAAATTATATTGTAGCAATGGGAGTTGATGAATTAGTGTTTTTCTTCAAGAAATTCTATAACAGCCCAAAGAAAAATGGTACAGAGATGAAAATGATGATTTGATTAAATAGAATAGATCCAGAAGATATATTCAAATTGCCCTCCCCAATTTAGGCTGCTGGGTGTTGCTTGAGAAAATCAAATTAATTTACAGATAGGAAACTGCAATTTCTGGTTTCCAACCTGAATTAGGCCCTCAACACACTTGGTGATACTTTTATTTTTCCCTTGTCCTCTGTCTCCTGAGCTCTCTTCTTCATCTCTTTCAGCTCTATCACCCCTACACTCCCAGCAGCTGACGTCACAGAGAAAGCTGAAGCCTTCTGACTAGCTCTCCCTTATTTTCTCACTGCACTCATAGCTTCACTGCCTGCTACCCTGCTGTCTGCTCCACCCCTGCCTCCTGCTCTGATGCCCCCAAGGAGGATCACGCTGCATCATCACCCAACCTCTCCTGGAGGCTGAGCAAGGCTCCAGCAGGGACTCTTTCCTCTAACAAGTCCTCTTTCTACCACATGGTTCCCAAGCTACTTTCTTACCTTTTCTCTCTCCTTCACCCAATTTCTTGAAAGTGCAGTCTAGGTTTGTGATCTCCTCTTTCTAACCTCCAATTTACGTTCCAACCTCCTGGTATGTGGCTTTGCTCATCAGCAGTGCCCCGAAACAGTTTGCACTAAAGTTTCTATAACCTCCTTTGTGCTCATTGCAGTGTTTCTGGAACTCTGCTCAGCATTTCACCTTTTGGTCATAACATCGTTCATGAAGTGCTTCTGCAATCACCTGTTACCCTGCCTTTCTTTTTATATCAATATCCACTACTTCACAGGTCATTGCAAGCTTCTTTCCTTCAGCCTGACCTTAAATCCTACTATTCCTGAGCGATCCAACCTGGTCTTTCTCTGCTCATTCCTCACCATCCCATGAGGCATCATCATCAGCTTTTATGGCTTCAATCAGCACCACTGTGCAGAGGACTCCAGTTCAGCTCCAACTCAGGCATCTCAGCCCAGAGGATGCTGCCTACTCGTCTGCAGTTGAGAAATCCCTTCTTCAATGCTCCTTTACTGGCACCTGGAAATCTACATTTTGCAAGCAGAGCTTTTCATATTTATTTCCTTTATCTAAATCTATTTGTTCTGATGTTTTTCTTCTTTGAGTGGTTAGAACCATGACACACACATACACCTAAGCCAGAAACATCAACATTCTTTTTCATTTTTGCCTCTTTCATTCTGGGAGAATCCATGCAAGCATTAAGTCCAGCAGAGTCTAAGTGGTTTTAAATCTCTTGGAGCTGTCAACTTTTGTCCTTCCCTAAAGAGACAACAGAGTTGACTAGTAAAGAACACAGGCTCCGGGTAGAGTTGCCTAAATGTTCACAGGGATTGCTTCAGCTGACGCCACCTTCTGAACCATGGTACGGTTTTCATGTCCTCATGTGCAAAGTATGGGTGATAATAGTAGTACCTATAACCTAGGGTCATGGTGAAGATTTAATGGGCTGATTTATGCAGAGCATAGCGGGGTGTGTAGCATGAAACGAGCCAGTCTTCCATAAGTACTGCTTATTATCAGCCCTAAGGCCATGCTTTCTGCCAACAGACAACATTGCTTGGTACAAGAGCTTTTAACTAGTCTCCCTGACTCAAGCCTGTTCCTTTTTAACCTTTCCTTGTAATTCAGCCAGATGGAATCTCCCAGGAACAAAACTGAAAATATTCCTCTCTTATCAGAATCCCTCAGAATCACCTCATGACCTTCCGATTTGCCCTTTTACGGACGATAAACCCTTCCATTTTCTGAGCCAGAGGCTTCTTCCTTTGTGGAGTCAGCCTCATCGCTCGACTAGGAACATAACCAGCTATCTACCTTTCTCAGAAAGCACTTGGGTTTGCTCTTATAACAGGCACTTTTTCTAGGTTCTTCCCACCATTGCACATGGACACACAAAAATTACACTGACCCCTGGCACCCCAAAGACAAACAGCAGAAAGCACTCCCAGGCAAAATGAGCTCAGGACCTTTCTGTTGCCTGGGCCCACAACTAAGGTTCAGGGCCTTCTCTAAAAAGAAGCCGCAGCCGAAGACAGAGGAACTGCCCAGAGTGGGGCTGGGGGTGTGGAGTCTACGCTGATACTTTCAGGCTGTTTCCACTCTTGCTGGTTCTGATGCTCCTTTCTTTTGCCACAAGCAACCCTAGTGGAAAACTGGGAAATGTCCAACAATGAAGTTAGGACAGTGGCCCATAAAACATCGGATTCCAACCTGTGTCCTAAGGTGTAAAGACACAGAGTAAAGGCAAAGATACAGTGAGCCTTTAACACGTTCTCCTTTGTTCTTCCTATTTCTCTATTCCTTCTCCATTTCCGATGGTGTTCTCTACCCTCTCTCCAACCCACGTGCCAACAGCCCCTCTTTTCTCTTTTATTCTCGCCCACGTTTCCCTCCTTTCTTCCACCTGCGCCCAACGGTACGGCCCGGAAAACGAACTGGATGCGTTGGACAGGTCACGCGCGCATTGCGGACGCCAGCTAGACCGAGCCCTGGGAGGCTACGGGCTCCCCCGGAAACCCTGCCAGGGGAGCCGGGTTTTGAGCTCAGGCGCCTCTAGCGGCGGCCCCCAGAAATCTGACTCGCGAGGCCAGAGTTGCAGGGACTGAATAGCAAACTGAGGCTGAGTAGGGAACAGACCATGAGGTCAGTGCAGATCTTCCTCTCCCAATGCCGTTTGCTCCTTCTACTAGTTCCGACAATGCTCCTTAAGTCTCTTGGCGAAGATGTAATTTTTCACCCTGAAGGGGAGTTTGACTCGTATGAAGTCACCATTCCTGAGAAGCTGAGCTTCCGGGGAGAGGTGCAGGGTGTGGTCAGTCCCGTGTCCTACCTACTGCAGTTAAAAGGCAAGAAGCACGTCCTCCATTTGTGGCCCAAGAGACTTCTGTTGCCCCGACATCTGCGCGTTTTCTCCTTCACAGAACATGGGGAACTGCTGGAGGATCATCCTTACATACCAAAGGACTGCAACTACATGGGCTCCGTGAAAGAGTCTCTGGACTCTAAAGCTACTATAAGCACATGCATGGGGGGTCTCCGAGGTGTATTTAACATTGATGCCAAACATTACCAAATTGAGCCCCTCAAGGCCTCTCCCAGTTTTGAACATGTCGTCTATCTCCTGAAGAAAGAGCAGTTTGGGAATCAGGTTTGTGGCTTAAGTGATGATGAAATAGAATGGCAGATGGCCCCTTATGAGAATAAGGCGAGGCTAAGGGACTTTCCTGGATCCTATAAACACCCAAAGTACTTGGAATTGATCCTACTCTTTGATCAAAGTAGGTATAGGTTTGTGAACAACAATCTTTCTCAAGTCATACATGATGCCATTCTTTTGACTGGGATTATGGACACCTACTTTCAAGATGTTCGTATGAGGATACACTTAAAGGCTCTTGAAGTATGGACAGATTTTAACAAAATACGCGTTGGATATCCAGAGTTAGCTGAAGTTTTAGGCAGATTTGTAATATATAAAAAAAGTGTATTAAATGCTCGCCTGTCATCAGATTGGGCACATTTATATCTTCAAAGAAAATATAATGATGCTCTTGCATGGTCGTTTGGAAAAGTGTGTTCTCTAGAATATGCTGGATCAGTGAGTACTTTACTAGATACAAATATCCTTGCCCCTGCTACCTGGTCTGCTCATGAGCTGGGTCATGCTGTAGGAATGTCACATGATGAACAATACTGCCAATGTAGGGGTAGGCTTAATTGCATCATGGGCTCAGGACGCACTGGGTTTAGCAATTGCAGTTATATCTCTTTTTTTAAACATATCTCTTCGGGAGCAACATGTCTAAATAATATCCCAGGACTAGGTTATGTGCTTAAGAGATGTGGAAACAAAATTGTGGAGGACAATGAGGAATGTGACTGTGGTTCCACAGAGGAGTGTCAGAAAGATCGGTGTTGCCAATCAAATTGTAAGTTGCAACCAGGTGCCAACTGTAGCATTGGACTTTGCTGTCATGATTGTCGGTTTCGTCCATCTGGATACGTGTGTAGGCAGGAAGGAAATGAATGTGACCTTGCAGAGTACTGCGACGGGAATTCAAGTTCCTGCCCAAATGACGTTTATAAGCAGGATGGAACCCCTTGCAAGTATGAAGGCCGTTGTTTCAGGAAGGGGTGCAGATCCAGATATATGCAGTGCCAAAGCATTTTTGGACCTGATGCCATGGAGGCTCCTAGTGAGTGCTATGATGCAGTTAACTTAATAGGTGATCAATTTGGTAACTGTGAGATTACAGGAATTCGAAATTTTAAAAAGTGTGAAAGTGCAAATTCAATATGTGGCAGGCTACAGTGTATAAATGTTGAAACCATCCCTGATTTGCCAGAGCATACGACTATAATTTCTACTCATTTACAGGCAGAAAATCTCATGTGCTGGGGCACAGGCTATCATCTATCCATGAAACCCATGGGAATACCTGACCTAGGTATGATAAATGATGGCACCTCCTGTGGAGAAGGCCGGGTATGTTTTAAAAAAAATTGCGTCAATAGCTCAGTCCTGCAGTTTGACTGTTTGCCTGAGAAATGCAATACCCGGGGTGTTTGCAACAACAGAAAAAACTGCCACTGCATGTATGGGTGGGCACCTCCATTCTGTGAGGAAGTGGGGTATGGAGGAAGCATTGACAGTGGGCCTCCAGGACTGCTCAGAGGGGCGATTCCCTCGTCAATTTGGGTTGTGTCCATCATAATGTTTCGCCTTATTTTATTAATCCTTTCAGTGGTTTTTGTGTTTTTCCGGCAAGTGATAGGAAACCACTTAAAACCCAAACAGGAAAAAATGCCACTATCCAAAGCAAAAACTGAACAGGAAGAATCTAAAACAAAAACTGTACAGGAAGAATCTAAAACAAAAACTGGACAGGAAGAATCTGAAGCAAAAACTGGACAGGAAGAATCTAAAGCAAAAACTGGACAGGAAGAATCTAAAGCAAACATTGAAAGTAAACGACCCAAAGCAAAGAGTGTCAAGAAACAAAAAAAGTAACCGGGCAATCCATACTCATTCAGTAACACAGGCTCATTTATTTAACCAGCTAATCATTTATCCAAAGGCTTTCCATTCTTCTCCCAATATTTTTTTACTTTAATTTTTCCCACAAGTTTTGATCAGCAAATAAACAGCATTCTTGTTTTGGAAACAAACCAGTGCATTCTACTTCTCGAGTGTTCACTTGCCCCTCAGTTTGTGACCAAGTTGTGGGTATTCTGAGAATCATGCTCTAATGGCTTTTCCATACACTAAAGCTCTGAAAGTAGTGAGTTTCCTAGAATTACCATGCTATTCAAGGTATAGTCTTGTTTCTCAGAATCCCAGGGAACAAAGCAATTGTCTGCCTCTCCCTCTGCCTCCCTCAACTTGATCCATGTGAACATCCGCACCTGCACCCATGCTGATCAATAAATGCCGACAACACATTTTATGAATAGAAAATGATTCTATAAGCATTTTCAGTATTTGGGGTGATCTCAGGTGGGTTAATGACGCTGAGCTGTCCTAACTCTTGCATTGCACCACAGTGCAATGATGACAAGATGATGCCAGGCCCTGGCAGTGTCCTGGGGCAAGGCTGTTAAGAAAATTTTGTGTTTGCAGTGTCTGCTTGCAGAGGCAGAGCTTTTGTGAGTGCGTGTGTGCTGAATGACACCTGGCCCTATGTTTGCCACTCTCCTAAGTAGCACAGAGGAGGAGTGAGGAACGCCTTTCAAGGACCCCCGTGTCTCTGCCTCCACATCTTCCTTCCCGTTTGCACAGTGATTTTGGTGGGAGGAGAGGACTGAGGGGTGCCTTGGCAGGAGTCAGTATCCACTTCTTATATCCAAGGGGGGATTGTCCCTCTCAGATTTGTGTCAGGCTAAGTTTTTTGGTCTTGCTCTAGGCTGGGTCTTCCTGCTTTTCTCTCATCTTACCTCAGTGCTCCTCTCCCTCCTCAGGCAACACCGCAGGCCTGCAGTGCCCCATCCCAATCTCCTGTTTCTTTTTTTTTTTTTTTTTTTTTTTTTTTTGAGACTGAGTCTTGCTCTCTCGCCCAGGCTGGAGTGCCGTGGTGCGATCTCAGCTCACTACAAACTCTGCCTCCAGGGTTCACGTCATTCTCCTGCCTCAGCCTCCTGAGTAGCTGGGACTACAGGTGCCCGCCACCACGCGCAGCTAAGTTTTTGTATTTTTAGTATAGACGGGGTTTCACCGTGTTAGCCAGGATGGTCTCGATCTCCCAACCTCATGATCCACCTGCCTTGGCCTCCCAAAGTGCTGGGATTACAGGCGTGAGCCACCACGCTCGGCCTCCTGTTTCTTAGTCACACTTCTAATGAAAGATGAACTTGCGGCAGTCTCACAGGGAAGGTTGGTCCCCAGACTGTTTTTTCTCAGCATATGTGCCAGCAGCCTTCTAAGAGCTACATGTGTATTATTAACATGCATACTGCTGACAACAGCTCCATGAGATAGGTGTCATTATTTTCTCATTTTAGAAAAGAGAAACTGAGGCACTGCAAGGTTAAATAACCTGCCCGAAGTTACACAGCTAAGTAATGACATTATTGAAGGAAACTTTATATGAAAATTAAAAAACTGAATTGAGAGCATTTATTTAAAAATCATAAGGATATTTACACATTAGGATTTTTTAAAAATTTCGATTGTGGTAAAATACACATACTATAATATTGACCGTCTTAACCATTTTTATGTGTGTGGTTCAGCAGTGTTAAGTATTTTACATTGTTGTGCAAATAATCTCCAGAACTCTTTTCGTCTTGCAAAACTGAAACCCCATACCCATTAAACAACAATTCTCCATTCTTCCATCCCTTTACCCCTCCCAACCAATATCCTGCTTTCTATCTGTGTGAATTTGGCTAATCTAGGTACTTCATGTAAATAGAATCTCATAGTATTTGCCCTTTTGTGATTGGCTTATTTCACTTAGCACAATGTCTTTAGGGTTCATCAATGTTGTAGTATTTTGTGTTGGAATTTCCTTATTTTGTAAGGCTGAATGATAGCTAGATGTTTCTGCCTACCACATTGTGTCTAATCATTCTTCACTGATGGGCACTTGGGTTGCTTCCACCTTTTGCCTATTGTGAGTAAGGCTGCCATGAACATAGGTATACAAACATCTGTTCATGTCTCTGCTTTCAATTCTTTTGGATATAAATCCAGAAGTGGAATTGCTAGATCATGGGGTAGTTCTATTTTTAATTTTTTTAGGAATTGCCATACTGTTTCCCATAACAGCTGCACCTTTTTAGATTCCCACTAGCAGTGTACAAAGGTTCCAATTTCTCTACATCCTCCCCAATACTAGTATTTTCTGGTTTTTATAGATAATGGCCATCTTAATGGGTGTAACGTGGTGTCTCATTGTGGTTATGATTTGCATTTCTCTAATGATGAGTGATATTGTGCATCTTTTCTTGTGCTTATTGGCCATAAGGATATCTTTTTCAGAGAAGTGTGTATTCAAATTTTTGTCCATTGTTTGAGGTGTTTGGTTTCTTTTTTGTTGAATTGTAGGGGTTCTTTAGATATTCTGGAAATTAACCCTGTATCCAAATATATGACTTGAAGATATTTTCTCCCATTCTGTAGGTTGCTTTTTCATTCTGTTGATTTTGTGCTTTGATGCACAGAAGTTTTAAATTTTGATGCACAGAAGTTTTTAAATTGCATAGTACAGTTTATCTATTTTTACTTTTGCTTCCCATTTTTCAGTGTCACATCTAAGAAATCCGATTACCAAATTCAATATCATAATACACTTTTTTCTGTGTTTTTTCTTTTTTTTTTGAGACGGGTTCTCACTCTCACCCAGGCTGGAGTGCAGTGGTGTGATCTCTGCTTACTGCAACCTCTGCCTTCTGGGCTCAAGCAATTCTCCTGCCTCAGCCTCCCAAGTAGCTGGGAATACAGGGCGTGCACCACCATGCCCAGCTAATTTGTATGTTTTTCTCTAAGTGTTTTATACTTTTAGGTCTTACATACAGGTATTTGATCCTTTTTTGGTTTTGTTTTGTTTTGTTTTGAGATGGGGTCATGTTCTGTCACCCAAGCTAGAGTTTGCAGTGGTGTGAACACAGTTCACTGCAGCCTCAACCTCCTGGGCTCAAGTGATCTGATCCTTTCACCTCAGCCTCCCGAGTAGCTGGGACTACAAGCATGTGCCACCACACCCAGCTATTTTTTTTCTATTTTTTTGCAGAGATGAAATTTCACGTGTTGCTTAGGTTGTCTCTAACTCCCAGGCTCAAGCAATCCTCCTGCCTCAGCCTCCCAAATTGTTGGGATTATAGGCATGAGCCACCATGCTTGGCTTTTGAACCATTTTGAGTTAACTTTTGTATGTGGTGTAAAGTGCTTTTTTCTTTTGCATGTACATATATAGTTTTGAAATCTTCTACTATTGTGGTATTTCTTCTATTTCTCCCTTCAGTTTTGTCCATGTTTGCTTTATATATATATATATATATGTGCTTTAATGTTGGGTGCATACATAGTTATGACTGTTGTATCTTGCTGGTGGATTGATATTTTATCATTGTAAAATCCTTTTTTGTCTCTTGAGACAGTTTTTGACAGAAAGTTTACTTTGCCTGATAGAAATACAGTCACTCTTGGTCTCTTTTTGTTACCATTTGCATGTAATTTCTTTTTCCACCCCTTTACTTTCAGCTGATGTGTTTCCTTAAATCTAAAATGACTTTGTCATAGACAGCATAGGTTGGGTCTTGGTTTTTATTTTTATTATTTTTTATTTATTATTTTTTTTTTGAGATGGAGTCTCATTCTGTCACTGAGGCTGGAGTGCAGTGTCATGATCGTGGCTCACTGCAACCTCCACCTTCCGGATTCAAGTGATTCTCCTGCCTCAGCCTCCCGAGTAGTGGTGCCCACCACCACGCTCAGCTAACTTTGGTATTTTCAGTAGAGACAGGGTCTCACCATGTTGGCCAGACTGGTCTTGAACTCCCGACCTCAAGTTATCCACCTACCTTAGCCTCCCCAAATGCTGGGATTACAGGTGTGAACCATCATGCCTGGCCGGCCTTGCTTTTTTGAAAAAAATCCATCCAGCCACTTTATGTCTTTTGATTGGGGAGGGTTTTAACCCATTTATATTTAAAGTTATTACTGACAGAAAAGAATTTACTGTTGGCATTTTTAAGTTGTTATCTGTTAGTCTTGCCATTCCTTTCAGTGTCTTTTCTTCTGTTTCTCTCTTCCTTTGTGTTTTGTTGGGCTGTTTTTCTTTTTTTGGTATAAGTATGCTTTGATTCCTTTCTCTTTTTTAATGTAATCTCTATGGTATTTTTTTTGTGATTACCTTGGGCTTAAATAAAACATTTTATTGTTATAACAGTTTAAGCTGATAACAACTTAAGTTTAACCATGTACAAAAACTACACTTTCAATTATCCCCCCAAACACATACTTTATGTTATTATTGTCACAATTTACATCTATTCATACTGTGAGTCTCTTAACATTTTTTAGTGATAGTTATTTTTAATACTTTGTCTATTAACTTTTATACTAGAGTTAAAAGTAATTTACCCACCACCATTATAATAATACAGTATCCTATATTTGTCTATGTATTTACCTTTACCAATGAGTTTCACTCTTTCTTTTGCTATCAGGTTGCTGTTTTGTGTCCTTTTATTTCAACTTGAAAAACTTCCTTTAGTGTTACTTGTAAGATAGGCCTAGTGGTGATGAACGCTCTCAGCTCTTGTTTGCCTGTTAAAGTCTTTTTCTTGTATATTTGAGTGAGAGTTTTGACAGAGCATTCTTGGTTATCAGGATTATTTTTTCCTTCAGGTCCTTGGATATATCACCCCAATTCCTTCTAGTCTGCAAGATGTCTGCTGAAAAATCTTCTGACAGTCTTCTGGAGGTTTTCTTTTATGTGACAAATCACTTTTGTCTTGCTGCTTTCAAAATTCTCAGTCTTTGACTTTTTACAACTTGATTACAGTGTATCTCAGTGTGGAACTCTTTGTGCTCCTTTTGTTTGGTGTCCTTCGGGCTTCTTGCATCTGTGTGTTTCTTTCCCCAGATTTGGGGAGTTTTCAGCCATTATTTCTTTGAATAAGCTTTTTATTCCTTTCTCTCTCTATTCTCCTTTTGGAACTTTCATAATGTGTATATTGGTCCATTTGATAGTTTTACATAATTCCCCTAATCATTCTTTATTCTTTAAATTTTGTTTTTGTTACTCTGACTGAATTATTTTTGGTGCCCTGTTTCAAGTTCACTGATCCTTAATTCTGCTTTATCTATGTGCTGTTAAATCCCTCTAGTGAATTTTTCAGTTCAGTTATTGTGTTCTTCCCCTTCATGATTCCCATTTAGTACTTCTCAATATTTTCTATCTCTTTTTGTTGAAATTCTCCTTTTGTTCATTTATTGTTCTCTTGGGTTTGGTGAGCATCTTTATGAGAATTATTTTTAATTTGCTGTCAAATAAACCATATAACTGTGTTTCATTAGGGTCAGTTTCTAGATATCTATCTTGTTTCTTTATTCAGAACATCCTTGCTAATTTTTTTTTCTTGACTCTCTGTGTTGGTGCCTACACATCTGAAAGGGCATGCACCTTTCTCAGTCTTTATGGGCTGTCCTTACACAAGAGAAGGTTTGCACCAGTCTTCACAGCCAGAGATTTTTGAGGCCTCTACCAACTTTCTGTCCCCAGAGAGAAGCAGATAGATGTGGCTATTGGCTCTTCACTATGTGCTAAGCCAGGGGGGAAACTATATCACCTACAGGCTCAAGCCACTATCTCTATTCTCTCCCAGGCAGACAGACAGTGCCGAACCCATTAGAATTTCAAGACTGTTGTGACAGATACTAGATCTTTGAGCATCCCTGGAAAAGTTGGAGCACTGGACACATGGATCAACGCTTTCTCCAGAGAGAATCTTAAAGCTGGGTTTTTTACCTCCTCACTCTGTGCTGAGCAGAGGGGTAGGTCAGTGGCTTCCACTAGCCCAAGTGACTGTCTCTGTTTGCCTCCAGGTGACTGTGCTGCACTGCATCCATGAGATCCCAAGACCAGTATGTGGAAATCCAGTCTTCTATGGAGTCCTTTCAGAAAAGTTGACACCAACCCCCTCCCTCCCCTAGGTGAAGCTGGAAACTAGGTTGTCTCTTCCTGACTGTAAGGGGATGAAATGGGGACAGGGTCTCTTGTGAAGGTGTCCTGAATCTCCTTATCAGCTTCATTGAATTTGATTTTTTATTTTCCCAGGGCTCAAGATGCTTTCAATGTGTGTATGATATCTCCCAAAGAGAACTTGTCTATAAATTATTGCTGAATCATGTGTTTGTGAAGAGAAGAAGGGTTGGGAACTTCCACCACCATTTTTCCCTTCTCCCAGTTATGGTAATTTTAAAGGAAAAGAAACAAATAAGAGGTCCTTTCTTCAAGGCTTAAATAAATCAACATTAAACCTTTGCTAAAAGGCTCCATTTGACCTTTCATCCCTTTTAAACATGAATTCAAGGGTTTTAATTTCTTTCCAGTGAAACTTATCCTTCACAAGAAGAATCTGAAGAATCTGTCCAGGGAAAGACAAAACCATTTGCAGAGAAAACCTTTGCACTTGCATGTATTCCACCCTTAAATTTCTGGGCCTTCTTTCAGTCACTTTCCTCAAGAAAGACAGAGAGAGGCCTCTTGTTGAGAAGCCCTGATGAAAAATACATTTCAACTGGAATTCTTCTCTTTTTCAAGGGAGTAAACCAAACCAGCTGGAAACTTATTGCTCTCAAAATTTGTCGCAGAAAGACATGGATACTAAGTGGAAATACCCAGGCCAGACCACTGTTGTGGTGCAGAAGAAAGCAGCTGTTGGAGAAAAAAAAGAGTGAGAGCAGCAAAAAATCTGCCGGAAGAAGCTCTCTAAACACAGAGTAGCCCCTGGGAGTGGTACCGGTAGAGTAGCTAGCAGAGGATGGTCCCCCTATTTTGTTCAATTGGACCTACAAGGGGATGAAGAGTGAGGAGAAACTTACCTGTGGCACACTGGCATTCATAGCTATTCGGGTGATCGGTATGCTTTGCCCCATTCGGACACGAGTACTGGAACAATCATCAGTATCAATCTGGCAAAGTGGCCAGGCCTTTTATAATCTAATTCTTAATTCTTAATTTCCAATTCTACCCTCTAACTAGAAGAGAGGAGAAGTGTGTGTGTGTATGTGTAGGGGTGTGTGTGTGTGTATGAGAGAGAGAGATGTGCGTTTCTGCTATTCTTTTACCCAAACTATCACTGAAGTGGGGCTTTATATTAAGAATCAAGTGCATACCTTCCATATGTTTAATCACGAGATTGAAATATATGGTTATGGTTACGCTGAAAGGTTAGTTGTAAACACTGCAGGTGTAGCAAGAGAAATCCGAGGTTTGGGTGTAACTTGCTCTAACAGTAAAATGTGCCTCTGTTTAAACACTTGCTGAGTTCGATAGACACTCCAAGGAATAGGAAAGGTTCTGGGTACTCCCCCATGACACAGTCGTCCACATCTTCTGGGCAGGTGCAAATATACTGCCCATTGACGGGGTTGGTGTCACACAGTGCCCCCTTGTGGCAAGGATTGCTGATGCGTGCATCATCCAGAAGACACAGGAGACCTGTCGCAGCGTGGGCAAAGGAGAATTAAGAGAAAATGTCCCTCACTTGGGGAAGAGCTTTCTCTTTCACCAAGGAGGGAAAACCTCATGATCAGCTCCTCAAAATCCAACATGGAGATTTATAGTCAACTTCTGCTTTGCCTGATCCTACCTTGGGGACACACTTGGCCACCAGCAAAGCACCTAGCTGCAACCCTAGACTCTGACCCTGAGCCCTCAGCTGGACCTCTCCTCCAGGACAGAGACATCTACAGGCCAGAAAATAGGAAGACGGAGATAGGAAAGTGGAGCTGTTTTCCAAATAGTGTGCCAGATTTAGCAAATAAAATAGAGGATGTCCAGTTGCATTTGAACTTCTGATAAACAGTGTATCTCTCTGTATTCTTATAACTGCCCATTAAACTAAAATTATCTCAGAAGAAGAAGTCTACTTTTTAACTATTATGGCAAGTAAAGATAAAGAGAAGTGATTAAAGATGCAAAGCCCTGGTATAGTACTGCTGTGAATGGTAAAGCCAAGAATGATGAGACTGGAGCAAATTGTGCTCACCCAGAGGCACCCTAGTTTCAGGGATGTGGATTCATGGAATCTGATGAAGGAAGCCCACACAATGTAACAGGATAGGTTGGCTCTGCCTGAAAAAAAGAGCACATTGAAGGATGAAAAGCATGAGACCACCTGTGCTTGATATGGTAGGCCACTACAATAGCAAAGGATGGGGGTCTAAGGCAAAGGCTCCCAGCCCCCACGACGAGGAACAAGGGTGTGGCTTTAAGTTACACCCAAGGTATTTGTGTGAGGCAGTGAGTGCAGGAGAGCTGGGATTTAAACTGGGGCTGCCTCACTCTAAAATTCTTAACAAAGACCTGAGGTGAGGACCTGACCATATCAAGCCGTCTCTGCATGTCTCGGGCTTCCCAAGGGCACACAGGCATGGGGAAGTGGACGGGATGGAGGAGGTGAGGACTCAAATCACGACTCAAACAACTGGTTACTGCAAACTCCTATCTAAAAGGGAAATGCATTTTTTAGGTACGGTTTGCCGGTTTTTGAATGAGACTGAATTTTGAAGATTAGCTGCCTTCACTGAACACCTTTGGACCATGTATCTGTTTGATAGTGCTTGTTAAAGACAGAAAATGTAGAGATTCAAGAAGATATTGGCTTGTAAGTAATTATCTACTGAATGGATCACAGTTCTCTAAGGTTCAGGCACATTTCTTCAAATTCACATTCCCTTCCAGTCTCACTTCTGCCAGATTTTTTTCTCCAGTTATTATTAAAATTCTATCAACTAGTTCTAAAATTCAGAGTGAGGAAACAGCAGCCAGTCATTGTACTTGCTTATTCTAAAAGCCCCGGTGGAATATCTGCTATGATTCAGCAACTTCTTTCATGTCACCACCCTCCTGGCACAGGAGAAAACCAATGCAGAAGCCTAAAAATAAGAAACTTCAGGCTCAGGAATTAAAAAAAAATCCTTCCCAAGTTCACACGGTTGGTGAGTGAGAGTGCTGCACTGAAACCCAGATCAGTCTGACTGCAAATCTGATGCTCTTTTACTGCAGCAGAGTTGAGTGTTCAGTCCTGGATGTGATCAACACAATCTACAGATGAGGTCCCTGATCCCAGGGTCTTACAGCACCCTGAGAAGGCATAGGTGCATAAGACAGTTAAGGAACACTCAGAGAGGGATAAAGGCAGAAGGTCACTAGATAGTGGGAAAAGTTCTTGGTGAGCACCTAGAGGTGTTAAGTGTATGCTCTAAGATCATTGAGCTTATCCCACTACTCCATGGCAAGAAAGCACCAGCCTGGGGTGGAGAAGGAAGGTTTACTGACGGCGGTAGTGAGGGGCTTAATGGGAGAAAATGGTTGGAGATCATTAGGAGATTTGACATCAAGTATAATTCTGAACTTGATACAATAAGCAAAGTAGAGTATAGGTGCATGGGTGGGAGACAACATGATCAAAGATGTGTTTGAACATTCGTTGGGCAGTAGCACATAGAAGAGACTAAAGACAGATGACTGTTAATAGGCAGAGAGGGATGAGAGAGCACTAAGTTATGAGTTACCTAAATATAAAAGCCTGGTGGAAATGGAGAGCTATGTTTTCCCCAGTGCTACCAAGCTACAAAATCTTCAGTTCAACAAGGCTGAGCATGTATTGTCATATATGTCGACACGCAAACTTTGCTGGTGAACTCCCAAAACATGTTCTACGAAGCTGAACAAGGCAAGTTTTTGAGGGCAACAATAATTCCTCTTAGTAATTTCCTCCTGCCAGATATTGCAGGCTAGAATCACTTAACATCAGGCTATGGCAGTGGGCTAATACATCTCACTTCCTAAATGCAAAAGAGAAAATAAAAACCAGCTAGTGTTTAAAAATTTTCTCTCTAATGCCACAATGAGTCTGGGCTAACCTAGTATGACATGTCACCCTCCCCAATTCTTGGCTGATACATTAAACTTAAAACACTGGAGTCACTAGTAGCTACTGATGGTTTTCTGACTGTTTACTTGTGCCTCTTAAATACGTTTCAAACCTAACTCCTTCCATTTCACATGCCACCACATTATTCTAGGAACTCAGAACCTCCCCTCTCTTCTAATCCTGTCCGACTTCAATCTATTATCCATACGACAGCCATAAAATATTTTAAAGATATAAATCAGTTAATATTTTTTTCCTGCTTAAACTTCCAATCCTTTAAATAAAATTCAAACTACTTTTCTGGACTCACATTATCCTGCATGATGCCGACTCTTCTTTCTCTACAATCTTATTTAGCTTCACTCTCCCGTTTGTACTTTTTACTTCAGCCACAACGATTTCCTTTTGGTTCCTTAAACATTAAGTTCTCTCCTGCCTCAGTGCTGCTGCATAAGCTGCTCCGTCCACCTGAAACATTTTTTCCCTGCTTATTCACATGGCGAGATACCCGTCTTATCAATAGAGTAGGTCTCCAAATGCACATCTCCCCATGATTCTCCACCACTGCATCATTCCATTCAATCCATCGTGGAATGTATCACGAGCTGTGATTCTATATTTATTTACTCTTTACAGTCTCTTCCCCATTTCGCTATAAGCTCCAGGAGGGCAGGGACTGTGTCTGCCATTCACCTCGGTATCTATGCCAGCCACTGTACTAGACACTTGGTGTCAGTGGTGGAACTGACCTTGGACAGCATGTAATCTAACATCTAATCTAATCTAATCTAACCTTGGACAGCATCTAATCTAACATGCTCATATTACAGATGAGGAAACTAGGACCTGAGAGATATAGCAACTTGTCCAACTTTGCACAGTTAGTTGGCAAAAGAATTAGAAGTGAAAATATTTCAGTGATGAAAAAGCTTTTGGGGTGTGTGATTGCTGCAGATCAAGTTAGTTTTCGAAATAAAGAAGGTCAATCTGAGCTGACTGTTGAGGGAAGTAGGGAAAGGAGAAGAAGCTCAGAGTGCTACAAGTGAAGATGACATGGCATTACCAACCCACCATTAGCAAAGGAAGTATCCTGTTTTGATTATGTAGGAGGATGCCGATATTTTCTTGTTGCTCTGTCCTCTGGCTTCAGGGTGAACAACTAAGATTATGGGCACAGCCTGTGGCAGTAAATATAACAGGGTGAACCTAAGAAGTCTGTGCTGAAATAGAAACCATGGCCTGGGCCTCATTAGCACCATGCTCCAGCCAAGTGAGCCAAGGACCACAAAACAGTCAGCATTTATGAGCTGTAACACGTGGCGACACAAACAGCTCATTATGGCTCTCTCAAGGCAAGGGCCCCACCCACAAAACACTAATCTGACTCGGAGCAACAAGTCATTAGAAAGAAAGACAGGAGGTCAACAAAGGGAAAGAAAGGAAAGAAGAGAAGAGAAAGGAATTGAAAAAAGAAAGGTTGCTGAGCCACAGTGCTCAACCTTCCTGATCATCTCTCAACTGTGAAGTCTGTGGGAAAAAGTCTGATCACATTACTGGTCCTGTTAAGGGTCAACTCTCATTGCAAAACAATCCCCACAAGAGGAACAGATAAAAAATGAGCTTGGCTGGCCCTTGCACTGAGTCTGCTACCTTCTCCTCTATGGCTGAGTCAAGAGAGCTCCATCTCCTATATACCTTTCCAACCAGCAGTCACCCAAGCCCCTGAGTTCTGGAGTTTCATCTCTTTCTGTGTCAGAGCAGATCATTCCTGGGACTTCTGTCCTACAAAACCTCAGCTCCATACACAGGAGACTTTCTATCACGCTGCTGAAGTTGGAGCTGAAGAACAAAGAACAAGCTTGAGTGTCCCATCACCTGCTCAGAATAAAGTTGGGTGAAACATTCTGTATAAACACTGCTGTCTACAGGGCCTGCCTACTGAGAGGATGGTCTGGGAGTATAGATGTGGCTAAGGGGATAATGTAGTTGTGGAAAGGATATTCATACACAGAATAAATGCAAGAAATTCCTCCACTAATTCTAGACAGCATCATCTTTTTCAGGACTTCTCAAAGGCCTGGTTTCCCTGCATCATGACCAATGTATTTTCTAAAGAGCCGCCAGGATGATCTTAACATGTAAAGTAGAATGCGCCACTCACTTGTTCAAATCCTTTGATGAATTATTTTGCATTTAGGATAAAATTCTAACACCTACCAGTGTTTTCTGCCTATCTCTTTAGGCTCTAACCATGAAATACCACTAGCTCCAGCCACTCTGGGCTTTTTTCATTTCTCAAAATGATCACGTTCTTTCCCTCCTCAGTGGCTAGCACACGTTATTCCTTGTGCCTGGGATAGTCTTATCCTCACTCTCCCCAACTCCTACTCATTGTCTATATGGAAAATGTTACTTTCTCAAAGAGACCTTACTTGCCTGTCACTAAACACAATTAGTTCTGCCTGTTAATATGCTCTCCAGATACATTCTATGTTTCCTGTAAGGCATTTAGTACAGTTCAGAATTTTATAGAGAAGTATATTGTCTATGCCTGTGTTTCTCACTAGACTGTCGGTGCCATGAAGAAATGGGTGGTTGCTGTTTACCTCATCACTAAGTCCCCAGCATACAGCATGGTGCCAAGCTTAAATAAATATTCATTAAATGAATGTTTATCTGCTTCAAGTTCTCTTATTTAAGTTATCCTAATCCCAAAATAATAATAATTTTTCAACTCACCCTTCTCATAGCAACAGAGTGTCTCTATTCTGTTCCTACCCAAAGTGTCCATCACCCTTGTCTACACCACCAGTCCACACAAAAACCCCTCATCCCAGTCCCCTTCCTGTGTCACTGAACTCCATCTCATTTGTATCACACCCAGATTCACCTTGCCTTTGCCCACTAATCCTTCAACTACGCCTCAAGGGCAACTCTACATTAAGGTGTACAACTTCCTTCTTTGACTGAAACCTGAGTTTTCCCTAAACACACCAGCCCAGTCAGCCCTCTGCGGTAGAGCTCCTGCAGTCCTCCTCTTCTAAACACTGCCACTGACAGGAAACTAGGGGAGAAAGAGCGGGTTTTCTCTTTATTATCCAATGCCACTTCCATCAGGACACCCTCCCTCTGTTCCTCCTTTGAAACTAAATCATCTTCAAATCTTCACAACTGAATTCCAGGTCAGTCTACATATATATATGTATGTATATAATATGATACATATTATATATATGTATATATATACGTGTGTGTGTGTATATATATATATATTTATTTGTTTGTTTGTTTATTTCTGGGTTCCAGGCATGGAATGCTTTGCCTCAATTGTCAAATATAATCCTCACCTAGGATTAGTCCACTTTTGCAAATGTAGTAGTGACCTGGTCCATACTAAAGACAGATACTAAAGTACTTCAGGGAAGTAAGAAGAGACTCTGACAGAACTTAATTAACAGCCTGAATTTGGAAGGAGGAGTTAGGTCCAGGAAGAACTGGCAATTTGATACTCACAGTCATTCATGCATTTGTTTTTTTAACAAATATGAACACACTATGTGCCGGGCCCTGATGTATACACACTGGGATTATTATGATAAACAGCCGCGGCTTCTACCCTGCAGAAGTTACAGATAGCAGATTTCCAACAAACAAGCAGGGATGACACAGAGTGATAGGCGCTCTCAGAGATACCTGTGGCCTTTGGAGCACAGAGGAGGGAGAAGAGAGAAGAACTAGAGAAAGGAACTTTTAGGGGAAAGCCTGTAGGGCACACAGGAGGAGTGCGCCAGGTTGTGTGAGAGTGTGGAAGTGTGTGAGGGTGTCTGAGAGAAGGGGGTAGGATGGGGAACATTTCAGGCAGATGGAAGTGATGTGCATAAACTTGAATTGAGGAGAGAACATGGCTCATTTGAGGCAATGAAAAAATATCCACATAGTTGAATTACAAGGCATGCATTAAGGGAGTGCAGAGAGGTGTGGCTGGAGAGGCAGTTACATGCATAGCTTGATCTAAAGACAAGGAGGACCCATTGAAGTATTTCCAGCAAAGAAATGACTCGATCCAATGCGTGTTTCAGAAAGTCCACTCTGCTGCAGCGAGGAGAATGGACTGAACTCCACCTCACCCCTCCAAGTCAACAAAAACTTCAAGCACTGCAGAGTCCAGGCTTCTGTGGCCACTATAGCAACGAGAAATACTGCAGTGCATCTGGGGCAGATTCCGGAGGCAGCAGCACTGAAAAGCATCCAGGCTCAGCCACTGGGTGGATTGCCATGGAGGCTGGGCCAGTACTGGGCATTCAGAAAGCTGACCCCCGCCACAGAGAAGAAAGTGGTGCCAAACTTCGGTCTCCTGCTAGAAGGCCCCACTCTCTGACTCTCCCCACTTCCTTAGGCTGCTGGGTGGTTGAGCCAGTTTACATAATAGAGCCCCTTACTGGACCAGGAGGAAAAATTAGCTGCAGCCAGGTTGAGAGTGAGGGGATCCAGGGAACACCCACCTCCCCTGTCTATGGGCAGGCAGTTACTCTGCTGAGAATAAGTAAAATGGAAAAAAACCAACATGGCACCCTATTAAAAGATTCTACAACATAAAACATGGAGAGCATAGCACTTAAGATGTTGATGAAAAGCATACTGGGAAAATTATTCACCTCCAGGAGCTAATACATTTTAGAAAGAGCTAGCTCTATTCTCTCAAGACATTTAGAAGCATATAGATTTTATAAAGAAATAAAAAATAATATGGGGCATTAGACTTTAAGGAAAAGAGGGAGAGCTAAGAGCCAGAGGACCTAGATGAGATGAGTAAATATTAAAGAAAAGAAGAATGCAATTTCAACAAAAAATCAGGATTTGAAGCTATAAAGTACAAAACTGTCAACGCAAAAAAAGAATGCAAGAAATGAAAAGCTAAGAAGCTCTTGTAAATACAAAGGGGAAAACAAACAGGTTAAAATATTGAAAGAGAACATTTGAGCTGTGGGGAAGAATGAGTGAAGACTCAATGAAAAGGTAGTAGATGTTCCTGAAGGCATGAAAACACATTGTGAATGCACTCTTTTCTAGGTTGAGGGTAGATCTAAGTTGGCAAATCTAGTACTAGGAGAAAAAATGATAAAAGACAATATGCTTAGACAAATGTTAGTTGAAAATTGAATACTTTTTTTGAAAGAGAATGTGGGGAAGCCAGGGTACCTACCAAGAAAGAAAAGACCCCAGTCTGACATTGGATGTCCCTATAATATTCTCCACCAGAAGTTAAGGAATTGTCTAGGAGCTTCATGGGATTAATTTCTCACCCAAGAATTCAGTGCTTAGGAAGAAATGGAATCTTTTCTTCTTTATGTCTTTTATAGCATCTGGAACAGTATATTAGATGAAATTGTAGTTCAAAAATTATTTTTTATTGAAGCTACTTGCAACCATTCTGTGGGAGTGTGAAAAGCCATGAAGTGAAACTGGATCTTGCCTGGAATGTAGCCAAAGTGGGCCATTAAGCATATGCCATTTGTGTATGAAAGCAACTAGATCAAAAGAGATTTTTTAAATATCCAAGGGCTCTGAAAATATGCCAACAAGTGCCCTTCCTGCAAAACAAAAATTACTCAAAGGTATGGTCATTTGATGGCAAAATAGTAATCAAAGAACTTAGGAATGAAAAAGTTGTCACATTAATGTAATGATGGTTAAGACAAACCAAATACATACTGAACTAAATCCAAATGATTATAAATTGATTTCTAAAACATTCTGAATATCAAAAATAATTTTAAAAGGCCGGGCGGGGTGGCTCATGCCTGTAATCCCAGCACTTTGGGCAGCTGAGGCAGGTGGATCATGAGGTCAGGAGATGGAGACAATCCTGGCTAACACGGTGAAACCCCGTCTCTACTAAAAATACAAAAAATTATCTGGGCATGGTGGCACGTGCCTATAATCCCAGCTACTCAGGAGGCTGAGGCAAGAGAATTGCTTGAACCCAGGAGGTGGAGGTTGCAGTGAGCCAAGATGGCGCCATTGCACTCCAGCCTGGGGGACAGAGCAAGACTCCGTCAAAAAAAAAAAAAAAAAAAATTAAAAAAGGTGTATGAGATTTTCAAATTCAATCATAATAGCAATACTACAAAATAAATGTTTAAATTCCATATATTTAAACAAAATATGGGGAGTGAAGGAAAAACAAAGGAGAAATAAGCCTATGCGAGTTTTGCATTTTACATAGAAGGGAATCAATACATATACTTTCATTTTTCACACAAATAGAGAAATTAATTCAAGCTCAAACTTTTCTAAACATGTCTTCTTTAAAAATAAAAAACACATGGTATAGTATAATTTAAATTGTCACACAATGGTCTGTTGTTCTCGTGGACCAATTTCCTCTTCCTAGAATAACAAGCACGTGGCTTATGTTCTCGCTCTTTCCTCTCCTGTCTCGCATGAAATTCAACATCTGGGTTGAGGACCAGTAAGGTCATCTGAGTCAAGAGTTTTTACTTTTGTCAACCTTACAGACCTCCGCATCCACTCCATATCACAAGCACACTCACATTCTGCACCCCTGTTACAAGACACTCATTGTTCTAGTCCAAGATCTCAAACTTGGTACTTCCACTCTCTGACTATAACTTCCCCATCTTCTTCCTTTCCTATTCCCAGCAGACATCTTACCTAATGTATTCCCCCACTAAAACCCGTAAGAGTAAACCCCTCCCAATAATCCACTTCATTAGCCAACGCCCTTTGAGCTGCCTTACCTCTTAGTGTAGCCAAGGCTGTATGGTCAATGAGATGAATAAAATTTCTACCTCCTACAGCCCTGCCTTGTCTCTCTCTTTCTCTCTCTCTTCTTTTTTAGTTGTGCAAAATTTTACATCGTGATCTAAACCCATTTTGCCTCTTCCTCCTTCCCCAAGCCTACTTTTGTCTTTAACTTCCTGTAATCCAACTTCTTTATCTCCTTTGTATTAAAATTGTATTTCAGAAGATTTGTAATGACTCAAAAATTCTGATGAACATTTTGCAGTTATCATTCATATTTGAGTCTCCTGGCTGTGACTTACTAATAACCATGGTTTGTTAAAATCAGTCCTGGGAATGTCAAAATAAGTAAGAGCAGTTTCCTGCCTTCCAGAGGCTGATAGTCTCTTAGGCAAGCTAAGCACATAACCCAGTAAGAGTAGTAAAATATTACAGGAGCCGCCACCGAGGCGTGTAGAATTGAGTTCAGGGCAAGCTTCTAAGGCTGCAGCCTTTGACTCAAGGATGCTATCATGGCCGAGCTCTCTTCCCACCTCTGAAACCCCCTTTTTTCTCACGTTCCTTCTTTGGATCCCCTTCCTCATCTGTTTTCTGAAGTGTGGACATTTCTCATACTTCAGGTCCAAATCCTCTCTTCTTATCACTCCACCCACTTTCCCTCACAGACTTAACACATTCCGTGGTAACCAAAAAAAGATTCAAAATCTGAGTCTCTCATCCCTCCCTGTATTCTGAACTCCTGGGTCTTACTGCTTCATGTTTTTCACTTGGAAAACTCATCTCCAACTTACCATCATCTCTATCCTATTTCTCTATCTCTGTCAATAGTTCCCGCATTCTCCCATTACTCAGACTTAAAACAAAAGTTGACTCCTCTCAAGCACCTTCCTTACCCCACCAAGTACTTAGATGCTTCCCAGTTCCTACCATTGCTTCTTTGAAATTCACATTTACTATTGTTAACAGTGCTGCAATAAGCATATGTGTGCATGTGTCTTTATAGTAGAATGATTTATAATCCTTTGGGTATATACCCAGCAATGGGATTGCTAAGTCAAATGGTATTTCTGGTTCTAGATCCTTGAGGAATTGCCACACTGTCCTCCACAATCGTTGAACTAATTTACACTCCCACCAACAGTGTAAAAGCATTCCTATTTCTTCACGTTCTCTCCAGCATCTGTGGTTTCCCCACTTTTTAATGAACGCCATTCTAACTGGCGTGCGGTGGTATCTCATTGTGGTTTTGATCTGCATTTCTCTAATGACCAGTGATGATGAGCTTCTTTTCATATGTTTGTTGGCCGCATAAATGCCTTCTTCTGAGAAATATCTCTTCATATCCTCCTCCCACTTTTTGATGGGGTTGTGTTTTTCTTGTAAATTTGTTTAAGTTCTTTTTAGATTCTGGATATTAGCCCTTTGTCAGATGGACAGATTGCAAAAATTTTCTCCCATTCTGTAGGTTGCCTGTTCACTCTGATGACAGTTTCTTTTGCCGTGCAGAAGCTCTTTAGTTTAATTAGATCCCATTTGTCTATTTTGGCTTTTGTTGCCATTGCTTTTGGTGTTTTGGTCATGAAGTCTTTCCCCATGCCTATGTCCTGAATGGTATTGCCTAAGTTTTCTTCTAGAGTTTTTATAATTTTAGGGCTTACTTTTAAGTCTTTAATCCATGTTGAGTTAATTTTTGTATAAGGTGTAAGGAAGGGGTCCAGTTTCAGTTTTCTGCATATGGCTAGCCAGTTTTCTCAACACCATTTATTACATAGGGAATCCTTTCTCCATTGCTTGTTTTTGTCAGGTTTATCAAAGATCAGATGGTCGTAGATGTGTGGCATTATTTCTGAGGCCTCTGTTCTGTTCCATTGGTCTATACATCTGTTTTGGTACCAGTACCATGCTGTTTTGGTTACTGTAGCCTTATAGTATAGTTTGAAGTCAGGTAGCATGATGCCTCCAGCTTTAGACTGGATAAAGAAAATGTGGCACGTATACACCATGGAATACTAGGCAGCCATAAAAAAGGATGAGTTCATGTCCTTTGCCAGGATGTGGATGAAGCTGGAAACCATCATTGTCAGCAAACTAACACAGGAACAGAAAACCAAATACCACATGTTCTCACTCATAGGTGGGAGTTGAATAATGAGAACACATGGACACAGGGAGGGGAACATCACACACTGGGGCCTGTTAAGGGGTGGAGAGCTAGGGGAGGGAAGGCATTAGGAGAAATATCTAATGTAGATGACGGGTTGATAGGTGCAGCAAACCACCATGGGACGTGTATACCTATGTAACAAACCTGTACATTCTGCACATGTATCCCAGAACTTAAATATAATAAAAATTAAAAAAAAAGAAATTCACATTCACACATACTTTCTACTTCTTAGTGTGACTATATGTGGACTTTCTTATTTCTCCCTAGTGAATTTTACTACTCTTAAAATAGGAATTAATTTTTTCTTTGTGTCTCTTACAGCATCTAGCATAATATACTTCATGTAGTAGTTGTTCAATAAATATGTTATTGAACCTACTTACAATCATTCCATGGAGGCTTAGAGAGCCATGAAGTTAAACTGGATCGTGCCTGTAACATAGCCAAGGCTACACCCTGAGTCATGGACTGCAGGGCAGGAAAGATCCTGCAGTCTCACCTCCTGCATGTGGGGCTAGACTATCCACTTGTCCCTGTTTCCACCAACAGCGCCACTAATCAACTCTGGGACATCTGGGGCAAGGGTGCTTCCAGTTAGCACTGTGGCAGTCTGCCCAACTGATAGGAAACTGAATTTGGGGTGAGGAGGTAGAATTCAGAGAACAGGCTTACTGTAGAGTCCTCACAATCAAGTTGACAGCAGATAAATTGAAATATGAGACACATTTTCCCATTCCTCCATGCAGAATATAAGTGAGAATACCTGTCCAGTCCCAGATTTAAGTATTTTCCTCTCTCAATCAAAAAGCTCCATCCCTACAGTCTTAAAAAAAAATAGAAAGATGGTTGTGAGAAAAGCCTCATTCTAGAGAATAACTCTTCACCAGCTAGAGGCTGGACTGAAACAGGAACATCTAGCTCAAAATAAAAGCACCATGATGAAAATCTCCATTCCCAGACACAAGGAGCTCATGCACCACCTCTGGCAAATGTACTTGTCAACTCATGCCAAACATTTTTACTGAACTGGGAGCACTGACAGCAATGGAAACCTCCCCCAGCTCTTGAGGCTCATCATGCTGTAAAAGAGAGCTGAGAGAAAGTGTGGTCAGTTTTCTTTGACTCATATCCACCTAACCTCCATTGTTCACTTCTGCTTCATGTCCCAGAGCACTATTCCAAGCCCACACTGAAATTACATTTCTGGATTAATAACAAGCACAAGAAAATAAATCACATCTGCCCCAGGCGTGAACCCAAAACCAAAAGCAGCCACAGAGAAGAATTTGTGAGCTGAGCTTAGGGTCAACTTTAATTCTGAAGGAAATGAACCTTTTTTTAAAAATCAAATAACAATCTATGTAGACAAAACATTTATCTACACTGCTCTAATTAGTTTTGGGGTCTTTAAAACCTCTTTCTTTCTCGTGTAGATATCTACCAGAGCAGAAATTCTGTGATAAGATGGCCTGAGGCCAAATACAGTTTAATAAAGTGCTTCATCTTTATCCAACCCTCAGGACTATTTTCATTTCCTAAAGGAACATCCAGGTATCCAGGCATATCTCTAGAACATCATCTCACTGGGGCTTATAAACCACCTGCCCTTTCTGTCAGGACATTTCCCTGTGCCATCAAGTTCAAGTAAAAGGCTGCAGTGCGGTCACTGCACCATTGCTGCCAGCTTCTATTTTTTATTTTGTTGTTGCTCTGTGTGTGTGTGTGTGTGTGTGTGTGTGTGTGTGCATAGGCATGCATGCAAGCATGCTTCCACATGTTTCCATCAGGAATGATCTTTCGGGAGAACATAAGAAGTGCATGTGGGAATCTCATGCTATGTCTTGCAGGCTCTGTCTCATCTCTGTTGTCCATTCTCTCCAAATTTTCTGGACTCTGTTGGAGATTACCAACCCTTGCTTCTGCCTTTAGACATCCTGTCTAAATGCCTCTAAGACACCTGGAACACTCTGACAACCCTGTCCTTAAGGAACTCTATCCTCTGGGCTCACAAAATACCTGCAGGTAACTGGGCTGTGCTGTGCTGTGCCAGTTTCCACACTCTCTGCTTTGAGAGGTCCCAGGAGTCAGGACAATCCTTTCCCCCCGGAAAGCACTTGGCACCACAGTCCCAGGCTTTAGAATACAAAGGGCTCCAGGCTCCTCTGAAGCACTGCTGTTGCTCTGGGACATTAGGTATGGCTTGTGGTTGCCAGCACCATCTCTGCACAGAGGGCCTCCTAGAGTCCTGGTGACATCGCTGGCCTGGCTGGGACCAGGGTTACCTCCTATCCTTTCCCTGTGTGTCATATGGACATAATAGTACCCACAGCTCAGTATGCTGTGCCGACTGAAATAACCCAAATGCACACTTAGCACAGTATGGTTCCTGGTAAAAGCTCTGCTAATATTAGTTATTAGGATATGTACTGACAAGAAATAATATTTTTTCTTTAATTGTGTAATGCAATATACAGAAGTTGAATAAAACATAGGTATAAATTCTTGCATATGTTAACATGCAAGCACTAGCTAGGACTAAATACTAGCTTCCCACATGCCCCTTCCTCACCACAGCACCCCTCATATCCTTAGCAATGACCATTACCTGATTTTCACGATGTTTGGTTCTTTATAATTTTCTGCTTCTCATGCCCGCCCTCCTGATGGGTCTAGGTTTTAACCTGTGATCATACACGTGTATTCTCTTATGCCTGGGTTTTTTTTTAACTAAATGTTGTGGATTTAACAGTCATCACTGATTCACCCACTTTCGTTGCTAGTGAAATATACCATAATCTGTTTATGCACATGCTTGATGATGGGCATCTGGGCTGTTTCCAGTTTGTGGCTGTTAGGCACAGTGTGGCTGTGGTCATTCATGTAATGGTGTCCGGGGGCATGGGAGCACCAATGCCTCTGGGTTACACACAAGGAATGGAATTCCAGGCCCTGTGTTTCACTAATCTAAGCCTTTTTGAGGTTAAGAAAAAATTGGGCTCTGCATAGCGGCACACACCTATAATCCTAGCTACTTAGGAGGCTAAGGTGGAAAGATTGCTTGAGCCCCGAAGTTCGAGGCTGCAGTGAGCTATGATCACATCATTGCATTCCAGCCTGGGAGACAGAGTGAGACCCTGACTCTGAAAAAAAAAAAAAAGAAAGAAAGAAAATGAAAGAGTCCCCATAATCAGCGGAAAGGAAAAGGGATAAGAAGCTGTTTTGTAGAAAGAAAGGCAGCTAGGGGATGCTTGACCACGGTAGGATGTGTGGGCACAGAGTAGGGTCGGGGGCATTCCAGAGAAAGGGTCTGCCCTTCTGCGGATGACAAGAGAACCACCTTGACAGTCAGCTCGCCCACCGCCCCCCGTGCCCCACCACTCTTCCGCATGTGTCTCTTTGGCCCTTTTCTCATCTGTCTCCACCTCCCCAGTCTTGCCATTCTCCTCCTATCTTGTTACTGCTTCTCCTCCACTCTCCCAATTGAATTGCCCCAAAGCACACAGCAGGAGGCCCCGGACTACTGGAAGGTTTGCTCAGTCTGAGAGAAATACGAGGGAATATTTTCCACCAACAGAAGAAGCATGAATGCGTCTTTCTCCGGTTAGGATCTGTTTTCGAGGAAATCAAATAAGATTGCTTCACCCGAGGCTCTGAGCCTCCACAGCCAACTCCCGAGGCCTGGGCAGTGCAGGCCTTAGGCCGCTCCCTGGAATGGTGTGACCAAAAGTCAGGAACCTCTGGATACGCAGGGCTAATATTTGCCACAATCTCCCAGGAACTGAAACCGGCAGGCATCTTGCTTCATTACAGAGTTCCAAGGGAAAGCACCATGGCGCACTCTTGTGGCCCCCGTGGGGACTGCAAGCAGAGCCCTAGGGGTCCTCCTGGCCCTAGAAGCAGTGCTAACCTGGAAGACCAACTTATTCTTTAAGTATAGTAGGCACCCGCGCGTGTTTTACTTTGTTTTAAAATCAGAGGAAAATAGAAGGAATCAGCAGGTGTAGCGCAAGTCCTTTGTCCTTGGTGATCCCTAGCAAGGAACTTCCCTCCTCCAGGGAAGGGGTCTTACCTGGAAGGCCCAGAGTAGAGTTCCTTCAGCTCTTGGAGTTCAGCCTCAGTTTATCTTTTCTCCTTTTCATGCTGGAGGATTTCGGAGCTCAGGGCAAGAGTTTTCTTGGAGGTCACAGTTGCTGCCCGTGTTAGGAGAGATGAGGAAGAATTCCATTATGCATTTTATAAATGGCCCAATTTTCTTCCAACCTACATGGATGAGCTGAAGTGAAATAATGGTTTAAGGAGGTCAAGTCACGAAAAAGGTCTCAGTGGGACATGGCAGCACTAGGGCAGCTCCTAAGTGAAAAACTCAGCGCCACCACCAGACAACTACTTCCTCAGTCCCATGGGCCTGGAGACTGTCGTGGGTGGGAGAAAAAGAGAGATACAGCCATGAGGGGAAGGTGCAGGATCCCAAGAGTGTGTGAGAAGAAAAAGAATAGTGAATAAAATGATTGAAAACAAAGGTGTTTTAAATTATGCTGGGAATGAGGAAGCTGTGATTACCTCCCTGTTGAAGTAGAGTCCCTTGAGATACCTCTCATCTGTCAGGAAGCCTCGTAAGACCCCACATCACCATAGAGCTGTTGACCACAAACAACAAGGTTCAGTATGCCAGAGCTCCAAGCCATTTGGCTTCCCTCTGAAAATCACATTATGCTGATTTATGAGGAGTGCTAATAAAATTAAGCTTATCACATACCATATATTGAGCAATTATGTACCAAGCTTATTAAGATCCATTGGAGTCCTAGCCTGTAATTGCTCAGTGGGTAAAAGTAAGTTTTCAGAGTGATGAATTATCTTTGAGTTACTGGTACAATATGAACTCACTTCTCAATGGGATAAATAGAGGCAGTATAAATAACTCTGTATAAAACTTTTAATAATAAGTATAAAAATCACCCACTTTCCAGATAAATATAAAAGATAATTCATTAAGAACAAAGAGTGCTGCTCAACTCCATTGTTCTTCAGAGAAACAAGAGTCTCTTTACGCCCTTCAATAAGCTGTACTTATCTTGACCTCTCAGTCCATGTAATAAAACAGAAAGCTTCAATTTGTAAGTTAAGATTACTGGAGTTCAAAACAGAGACCATAAAGTAGCAGTGAAAACTGGCATCATGCTTCTGGAGTTGGAAATGGGCACATACAAAAGAATATATGGTTTGGGAAGGAACTTCGGTAACATATTTAGTTTAATAGGGACCTAAAGGCCACGGAGTATTTGATCCATAAGCTAACCATGACCCTACACACTGATTATTCTGGTTTGACTTTGGCCAACAGTCACTATGTTTTTAAACTTTTATTTTAGGTTAAGGAGTATATGTGCATGTTTGTTATATAAACTCATATTCCATAGATTATTTCATTACCCAGGTACTAAACCTAGTACCCAATAGTTATTTTTTCTGCTCCTCTCCCTCCTCCCAACCTCCGCCCTCAGGTAAGCTCCAGTGTCTGTTGTTCCCCTCTTTGTGTCTGTGTGCTCACATTATTTTGCTCCCACTTATAAGTGACAACCTGCAGTATTGGTTTACTGTTCCTGAGTTGGTGTAGATAATGACCTCCAGCTCCATCCATGTTCCTGCAAAGGACATGACCTCTATTTTAAGAAAGGTCAGGGAATTGCATAAGAGAATATCCACATGAAATGGAGAAAACACAAAAGATCGGGTTGCAAATAAACCTTATGAGAATCATAAACCATACCTAGTTTCAAATTTTATTAATTGATATTATCATACTCAAGAAGAAAGCTAATTGTGAGACACACACAAATCACAAGTATGAGAGCACCACCATCATTCCCCAAAGAGCCTCCCTTCCATATTAGGAAATAATGTAGCCCAGATGTAATATAAGAGCTCTGTAAGTGATGTGCGAGATTGTAACTTACTTAAATATGGAGCCATTTTTGGTCATTTCCATTTGATAAAGCTGATAGTTGCATAGACTATGTGACAATTTCCAAGTAACAATGGCATGCAAATCTACAGATTCCAGGTCTCACTACCATGATTACCTATGTAGATCAGACACATCTTACTAAAAGCATTCCACATATAAGAAGGTTTCCAATAGTAAGGACCATTGGTGTATTTACCAGGCAGCCTGTCACTATCTGTTTACAATGAAAATTGACTGGGCTACCTTTTTTCTTTTCCCAGGCTATCCTTCAGTAAAGGGAGATCATAGCAGCTGAAAGAAACAGTTCTTTGTGTCTTTTCTCCAAATCATTTTGTGGAGATTTTAGCCAAATCAGCAGGAGTTCAATTTTCCTTGTCTAAGAAAAGGAACAATGATTCCTTCCAGCGTTGGCCATTAGTCAGTGCCAGATCTCAGAGAGTTAGTTCAGAGTATTATTCTTAGAAATAGCATGATAGCAATCCTATCTGGAATCATTACACACCTAAGAACACCCCTATGGTGTGCAATAATCTGTCTCTAAGGCTTTTTATTATATCCTGGACACATATCCTTTTCCCAGTGGTGAAACCAGTTTACAGGTACTGTTTAACCTGGGATGGGGCCAAGCAGAAGCCTGACCAAGCTTGGAATTGAGCTGCATACAAAGTTGGCTTCCATAAGGCTACATGATGTGAAGTTAAATTCCATCCTGAAATACTATTAGGAATACACATTCCAAATTTAAATGTATAGATATGGTATCTTTGGGATGGGTATCAAAGTTCTACGCCTGTAATCCCAGCACTTTGGGAGGCCAAGGTGGGCAGATCACGAGGTCAGGAGATAGAGACCATCCTTGCTAACATGGTGAAACCCCGTCTCTACTAAAACTACCAAAAATTAGCCGGGCGTGGTGGCAGGCGCCTGTAGTTCCAGCTACCAGGGAGGCTAAGGCAGGAGAATGGCATGAACCTGGGAGGTGGAGCTTGCAGTGAGCTGAGATCACGCCACTGCACTCCAGCCTGGGTGACAGAGCGAGACTCTGTCTCAAAAACAAACAAACAAAAAAAAAAAAACAAAGCTCTTGGTACAGGATGTGCTCTCAGAAGTTATGTTGCTGGACTCTGTAAAAGGCAACCATCCCCTCACCTACACACTTGGGCATTTCCTGTCCAAAGGCCTCTGAGACATCTAAGACATGCCAGCAATCCTACCTTTGAGGAGCTCCACCTTTATAGGCCCCCAAATAGTGAAGGTACCTGGGAAGTGGATTCTTCTCTGCCCACGGTTAGGCATTGGTGCTACACTTGGGCCTGGAACCCTGAGATCAGACAAAATAAAAAAGAAATTGTGAGGTGGGAAAGATATTTTATTATACTAAGCTATATAATTGCATTCTCCCTTTACCCTTCATTCCACTTCACAAATCTAGAAGACATTCCAGTGGGATCTGCACTTTACTTACCCTCATTCAAGCTGAGGACTCAATAATTAGAATAAACTACAAACCCAACCTTTATGTTTTGACTACCATGTGTTTCAGTTGAATATCAGGGATTTCATTTTCATTTTCAGAAAGGCTACTGCAGTGAGAGTGATAAGTAATGTGTTATAACTATGTAACATTACATTCCCTGAACTATCTATTTATTCAGAGTGTCAAATTCATTAGGCTAGTGTTCCTTTGACCACACATAGGAAACCCAACAAATCTTAAAAGTGTGGGGTCTGTGGGCTGGGATAGGGCAATATCAGCTAACACTTAGGATTCTCTCAGAGTTCACTGGTTCTTAAGTGGATGGAACCCTTGATTGTCAAGTTTCTGTATCTTTTCTTTAGGAGATTATAAGTCTAGATGCCTGCTATTTTCATGTTGACAAAAATGTGTACAAACTATGAAATGCCTTCCATATGTTCCTAACTCCCAAGACACATGTTTACTGAGTCCTTGATATGTGCAAGTTCCCCTTTGCATCCATCTCAGGAGGAGACTTCCTAGGAACCCAACCTATATCACCTGAGATCCCTGTTAGCCCCTCTGTACAGTCCTTCCCTGCTTTTGGTGCGTTTTTGCTCCTCAGGATTCTTCTAGTAGGACTATCCTTGGGCTACTGTAACCATTTTGCACCCAGTCCCCCAAAACGGGATGTATACGGGAGTGTATAATCCACATATCCCATTTATCTCTCTTCCCTCAAGGCATTAGCCAATCACTAACAGATGCAGCAGGAAATTTCGGTTTCATGGGCTGGGGAAGGATAGCTCTTAAACATAACTTACCTCCAAGTTCTGCTGCTGCTATCCAGATAAAGCTCCCTCATGGCACTTTGCCTGACATCACACATACACAGCAATTGACTCAAAATGGATATAGACCTAGTTGTAAGAGCTAAAATATAAAAGTTCAGGAGGAATCCATGGGAGAAAATCTTTCTGAATTTGGGTTAAGCAAAGAGTTCTAAGATAATACAGCAAAAGCACAAGCTATAATAGAAATCATTAATAAAATGGACTTCATTAAAATTAACAACCTTTCTGCTTCTAAAGAGACCATTAAGAAGAAAATAGTCATAGGCTGAAGGAAAATGTTTGCTAATCATACATCCTACAAAGGACTTGAATTCACAATATATAAAGAACTCTGTTAACTCAACAAGAAGAAACCTAATTTTAAAAATCAGCAAAGGGCATGGATGCACATTTTAACAAAGAAGAAATATAAATGGCTAAAAAGCATATAACAGGGTACTCAAAGTCATCAGTCTTTAGGTAGATGCAAATTAAAACCACACTAATATACCACCTACACCCATGAATATGATTATGCTTTTAAAAACACAGAGAATACCAAGCCTTGCTGATTATGTGGGAAAACTGGAATCCTCTACTATTGCTGGTGGGCTGGTGGAAAGGTCAAATAATAGTCACTTTGGAAACCAGTTTGACAGTTTCTTAAAAAGTTAAACATATGGTTACCATATGATCCAACAACTCCACACCTAGAAATCTATCCAAGAAAAATCAAAACATATGTCTACACCAGATTTGTTCTGGAATGTTCACAACAGCATTATTTACAAGGGTCAAAAACCGGAAGTACCTCAACGTCCATCAGCTGCTAAATGGATAAACAAAATGTGGTGTGTCTGTGGAATGGAATTCTATTCAGCAATGAAATCTCATATATGCTGCAGCATGGATGAACCTCAAAAACACGTTAAGTGAAGGAAGCTGATTGCAAAATACTACATATTGTTTTACTCTATTTCTATGAAATGGCCAGAAAGGACACATTTATAGAGACACGGAGCAGAGTAATGATTGCTTGGGGCTGGAGTAGAGGGGGTGGGTGAGGGAGGAGAGACTGACTGCAAAGGAGCTGGAGGGAAATTGAAAAGGTGAAGAAACTGTTCTAAAACTGGATTTTGGTGACAGCTGCACAACTGTATGAGTCTACTAAAATTGTATGAATTTGTCAAAATGCATTAAGCTGTATACTTAAGAGGAGTTTTGTTTTTTTTTTTTTTTTTGCTACAGAGTCTTGCTCTGTCACCCAGGCTGGAGAGCAGTGGTGCGATCCTAGCTCACTGCAGCCTCCAACTTCTGGCTCAAGTGATCCTCCTGCCTCAGCCTCCACAAGTTGATTAGGAACAATTGTATAGTATCAGTACATAAACCAAAAAATAAATAGATAAGTGAAAAAGTATAGATAACTCATTATAGATCATTGTCTATAAAAATTTAATACTTAGTAATGATATGTCAAATCAGTGAAGAAAATAAATTTTAAAAAATAGTCTATGCTGGCAAAATTTAGTGTCCATCTGGAAGAAAATAATGTTGGACCTCATCACACTCAAAAGTAATTTCTAAATGAATTTAAGCCTAAAACGTAAAATAAAATTTTAATTTAATTTAAAAAGCTTTCAAGATAACTTAAAGTATATACATAATATTGGCAATGGGGATAAATTTTCCAACTAACACTGGAAACCCAGGAGATGCAAAGTAAAAATGACATCTGTGATAGCATTAATACCTTCCCATTTTTTCACATGTTATATCTCTTTATTTGTTGAGGCTTTCTAGCTTTTGTCCATTTAATCCTGTGACCCTGCTGAATTCACAGATTAATACTAGTAATTTTAAGAATGTTTCTTAGGATTTTCTACATACATGTTTGTTGTGAATACAGATTGTTTTACATATCATTTCCACACTTTATTCCTTTTAATTTGTCTTTGTTTTTTATTATTGCACTAAGACCTCCAGGATGTTAGTGAATAAATGTGGGAAGAGCTGACATCAATCCCTTATTCCCTGTCTGAGATGGAAAGCATTCAGCATTTCACTATTAACCACGATATTAACTCTATGTTCTTCTTAGATGCATTTTGCAAGTTAAAGAAAATTTATTCTATTCTTAGTGTGCCACATGTTTTGTTTTCTTTTTAAAATCATGAATGAGTTTCAATCTTGTCAAATACTTTTTCTGCATTTATTGAAATAATTGTATAATATTTTTATTCTGTCATTGGGCTGAATTACATTAATTGATTTATGTTCCTCGGATAAACTAGACTTGGTCAGGATTTATTATACCTGTTATATATTTGGATTTGATTTGTTAATATTTTGTAGGATTTCTCGAATCTATGTTTACGAGAAAGAGTGGTGTATAATTTTTTTTCTTATAAAATTTTCTGATATTAGCGTTATACTTACTTTGGTTTTGGTATCAGGGTTATGCTTGCCTCAAAAACGTTGAAATGTTTCTTCTTCTATATTCTGAAGAATTTAATATTTGTATCATGTCATCCATAGATAAAGAAAAGAACTCAACTTGAAAGCATCTGGGCTTCGATTTTGCTTAGTGTCAGATTTTTAAATTATAAATGCAACTTCTTTCATGGGGGAGGGATATTCTTGCTATTCCTTCTTGTCAGTTCGGGTGAATTGTACTTTCCAAGAGATTTGCCCATTTTATCTGAGTATTGCTTTTATGGGTGTAAAGTTGTTTATCATGATGTTTTATTATCCCTTTAATGTCTGTAGAATCTATGGATATCACCTTTTTAATTCCTGATAAAAAGAAAATTTGCATTTTCTTTCCTTTTCCTTAATTCATCTTTGTAGGTATGTATCAGTTGTATTAATCTTTTAAAAAACAGCTTTTGGCTTTAATTTTTAATTGTTTATCTGATTTTTATTTCATTGTTTTCTGCTTTTTATGATTTCTTTTGTTCTACTTACTTTTAGTTTAATCTGCTTGTCTTTTTCTAGAATCTTAAGACTATAAATTTAGATCATTAATTTTAAAATTTTCTTCTTCTCTATTACAGACCTATAAACTTATGTGTTTTTTCCTAAGTATCACTTTAGCTTCATCTCACAAATTTTAATATGTTTTGTTCTTATTTTCATTAAGTTTGAAGTATTTGCCAATTTTCTCTCCAGCGAGACTCCCTCTGGCCATAGCACTGGTTACTCCTGGACCGGCTTTGGCAGTTCCATTTAAAGTGATTACAAAGATGGCTTTATTTTGGGCGAGAAGTCGGTGTTCTAATGAACATGGTCATGATATAGTCGACAGATGAAGTGATGGTAATTTCCCTTGTGCTGGGGTTTCCAAAGGCTTGAAGTATTTCCTTATTAAAATTTTCAAATATAAAACAAAGTTGAAAGACTTTTACAAACGTGGGGTGCTTTTACCTATATACCTATCCCCTAGATTCTATCATTAATATTTACTATCCTTGCTTTATCATATATCTATATATTTACCCATCTCCCAATCCACCTCTTCATTCATCTATGTTTTTTGATGCATTTCAAGTAAACTACAGACATCAGTACACTGAATTCACATCCCACTGAATCCTTCAGCATTCACATCCTTTCCTAAAGTTCAATATTTATCTATAGTTTTTTTGCTTTTCAGGTACAATTTACATACAATAAAATGCTCAAATTATAAGTGAACATTAGATGAGTTTTGATAAATGCATATAAACATATGGAACATTCTCCTCACCATAAAATTTCTTCATGCCCCTTCCTGGTCAATTTTGACTTTATCTATAGGCAAATACTGCTTTTTTTTTCCATCAGAACATCTATCAATGGAATTAAAAAGTGAGTACTCTTTTGCATATGGCTCCTATTGCACTTGAAATGTTTTTGAGATTCGTCCATGTTTTGTGTGTCAACCATTTGTTCCTTTAGCCATTCCATGGAATGAATGTATCACAGTTTATTGATCCATTCTTGTATTGACAGATACTTCAATTTTTCTAGTTTTTCCTATTATGAATTAAACTGCTATGAACCTTCTTGTATAAATTATTTTCTGGACATATGTTTTAATTTCTCTTGGATAAATGCTTAGGAATTACTGAGTCATAGAATAGATAGTTGTTTAGTTCTGTAAGAATATGCCAGACATTTTTTCCTGAAGTGTTTATACTATTGTACATTCCAGCCATTAATGTATGAAGGTGAGAAAGCTTTTACTACTTCCAAAGAGGCCTCTCTAGATACATGTAATTTTTTCTAACTGGAGACATGGCTGATGCCTTCAGGGACATGAGCATGGGATACAGGACACCTGTCATCACCACCACCATGAAGTTGGGATTCAGAAAGGAGGTTAATCATATAAAGAACCCTGTGACCAGCATGAGCTTCTGCCAGGCCACACAGGGCACTCAAGTGAACAAGGTATAGGGTGCCCTGGGGTCATGGTAAGAAAGTGTCTCATTGGTAAAACCTTTTCTCATGGGAAAGCAAATAAATTCTTTGTTCCTTCTTGGTAGCCCTTGAAGATAAGGATGGTCAAACAAAATAATATCATACCTGGAGAAACTCAGATCTTGCTAAGATTTACTGGTTGGGAATCCATTGTTAATGCCAAGAAGCAGCCGCCAGTTGGGATCAAATGTGAGCCTATGGATCAAGGTATGTACTCAAACACAGAGAGCTTTTTGAAAGATGCTACCGGTAGTTTTTCCAGGGCAGAGATGGGTCCTTTACTTTTCTGTCTAATCTAGCCCGTATGCTTAGCTGAGAAGGTTTCTTCATATCACTTTAAATGATGATGTCCCTTGTTCAACAACTTTCTAAACATTCTTTAGATAAGAATTTTATGGGCATTCTTTATTGCATTAGGATTAAAATTAATGCATCTTAAGGTTTTATTGCAAAGTCTTGCCTTGTTTCCTAAGATGATACAATTTATAACATGCAAGTTTGCTGTCTGTCTCCTCCCTTTATGTACACACAAAATGAGCAAACAGGTGGCCATGAAACAGATGGTCATAGAATTGGTTCAGTGGTTGTGAGTGCAGCAACCCAAGAGTGTCTTGTCTGAACTACCACCAGGAATGCCCGGACACAGTAGACAAAGGTTGTTCAACTGGACGCCTTAGGATACATGCTTCCAAAAGCAAAGTAGCCGAAAAGAAACCAGAATCACAGAATATCGGAGCCAGAGGAACATTTGGAGTTAATTCAGTACCTCCTCCTTTTCAGCCTACAGGGAGATAGTGGAACAGAAGCAGGGATGGGCCTGCCTTCTGTGCCCACAATTCACTGGGGATTGTTGTGGTGAAGAATTTCATTTATGATGAAGGAGAAATAAACTCCTGTCAGCTTAAATTCAGGCAGGTTTATTGAAAAGGTGAAGAAGCATCCTGCAGAAGCAAAGCATGGCTGAGGCTTGTGGGCTCTGTCTGGGAAAATGAGCAGCCGATAGTGGCTGTTGCTGCAACTGACTCTGGGGCCTCATGGTCTGTTGTTCTCTGTGAGCACCTCTTCTATTCTCTTGTATCTTCCCTCAGCCTGGCAGTCTCTGTGTATTCTTCAACACATAATTGAACATGGCTGTGCCAGCCCCAATGCCACCTGGCAGTTTAAGTCAAATTAAAAAGGCATGAAATGAACTGGCCCTTTATAATACAGCTGTTGGAACAACAGTTGAAAATATAATATCTTGACTCCTGGTTGAGTGCTTTATGCTGAATTTTCTTTTCTGAATAGAGCAAAGACTTTGGGATATTAGTGTCATCTAGCATTATTAGCTAGTATGCTCCTTTTGTTTCCCCTATAACATCCCCTCCACCTGACCACAGATCCACTCTCCACTCATTTCCACCCTGTCTTATGCCACTCGGGGCTTGTCCCTTCTAGAATGCATCCCTGGCTCCCCTGCGTGCACACTTCCAGTTAGGTTTAGCAATGGGGGGCACCCAGTGGAGCCTGGAAGTGAGAGGAAGGTGAGGTCCGTATTTCTTCCCTCTCCCTCCCTGCTCTGGCACTGAGTATCTGGCAATAGCTGCATCTGTCTATTACTTCAGTGGCCACTCTTCCACAGCCCCAATTCTCAGTGGGTCCCATAACATTATTTACCTTTGTTCTTTTAGCTCCCATCAAGGAAGATCCAGAGACATTCTTCTCACCAAGGCATTAAGAAATGCATGGGTGAGGGGAACAGCAGTGTGTGTGTAAAGGTCCTGTGGCGCCTCTCCTCTGCAGGCTGGAGGTCATGGCGGGAGATGCTGCATGGATTTGCCCTCCCTGCTGTCAGTGAGAACAGCAGGGTTCTGGAAGAGTAGAGGACAGGCCATGGGACTCGGCTGTCTAGAGACAAGGCCGAAGGGATTTCCTTGAGAGGCAGGGACACGTGGTGGTGACCAATCATTGTGAGGTGTCTGGGATGTAATGGATGGGAAATCCACTAAGAAACCAACTTATGTAATAATTAGGAAAGCTCTAGTTCTGAGGACAGAGACCTGTTGGAGTTACCATAGTGGGAATTTATGACCTGGTATCAAGTTCAGATGAGAGGAGATTGGATCCCTTGGGGAAGAGTGAAGCCTTCAATGCTGCCACAAGTGTATGCTGTAAATCTTCCTCCAGGTCTTCCCCAGAAGGACCTGAAGCCTTTTATGTGGGTGACTGAGGAAAGGGAAATACTCAGAGCTTCTATGGCTTGTTGGATTCTGGCTCTGAAAATGCTAGCCTAAGGACACCTGCGGTGGACATGAAAATGCACTACTTGCATCTCCAGCTGCAGGAGGCCTAACAAATCAACAGCCCCAGCTGCTACACTCCGAATCGAGGACTTGATGACATTTCCCCCGGATCTGTACTAGCCCATGAGGAGGAAACCCTCATATCAAGTCCTCCCAACAGAACACTCATGATGACTCATGAGGATGTGGAAGCTGTTTTCCTGTGGCAACTGTGACTTTCTTTCTTCAAAGTCTGTTTTGTTCCTGCATATTAACTGATTTATATAAAATAAGAGAATAAATGCCTAGACTTCCATGAGTCTATCTTTTACTGATAAACTCTAGTTCTGTGAACAGAAGCTTGATGGAATCAGTATAGTGGGAATTTATAACCTGTCGTCCAGTTCTGAGACCTGGAGCTTCTTGACTGAGGGGAGATCGGGTCCCTTTGGGGAAGAAAGAAGCCTTCAATGTTGTCACAAGTGTATCCTGTAAATCTTCCTCTAGGCCTTCCCAGAGGGACCTGGTATATGACTTATGATACGGTGACCCCAAATTCAGGATGTTCTCGTCTGCTCTCAAGAATGCAATATCTTCTCCCTCAGGATTCAACCTAGTACCAGTATTTGTGTATAGCTACGCACGTTAATAGACCATAGCTAATTAGTTGAGGAATGGTAGACCCAATTCAACCATACAGGCATCAACCGTATCAGCATACAGGCATCCCTTTCCCACCGTTTCATTCTTGTCCCCACTCCAAAGTCTTCTTCATTTTATTTGTATTAATTTTCTATTGCTGCATACAAAATTACTGCAAGCTTTAGAGGCTTAAAATAACAACCATTTACTTTCTTGCAGTGTCCACAGATCAGAAGTTCAGGCCTGGATTAGCTGGGTCTTCTTCTCCGGGCCTCACAGGCTGAGATTAGGCTGGGTTTCTTTCTGGAGGTTCTGGGGAAGAACTTCCTCTCAAGTTTCCTCAGGTTGTCAGCTGAGTTCAGTTCCTTGTGACTGTAGGACTGAGATCTCTGTTTTCTTGCTGGCTGTCAGCCAGGGGCCTCTCGCTGCTCCTAGAGGCCTCCTGTGTTCCCAGTGCATGCTTCCTCCAGCCAGCAGAGAGAATCGCCCTGCATGGAAACCCTCCTGCACTTCACATCTCTCCAGGAAGACCTCAGTCCCCCCAAGGAACTCACCTTCATTAGGTCAAGCTCATAAGATAATCTCTATCTTAGATTTGACTGATTTGGGATCTCGATTACATCTGCTGACTTGTTTTTGCCACAAATTGTAACAGAATCACAGGAGTGATAGCTCATCACTGGCTTTGTCTACACTCAGGAAGAAGTGATTATATAAGAGCAAAGATCACTGGGGGTCATCTTAGGATTCTGTCTACCATAATATTATAAAGACACAATAATTAAAGAGTATAACAGATTTCTGCTTCTGTCTGTTAGAATAAATCATATCAGACCAATCCTGCCTCCATAAACAACCATAAAATTGTTTTCAGACAGTGGACAACAGGCAGTACAACAGGATACTTAAGGGAGAAGCCCTGTGATTTCCTAGTTCTTTGTCTGGGAAGAATTTCTCAGCAGCTGCACAGTGGGCTAGAGTCCACTCAGAGCAGGGCAGCCCCACTGAGCTGAGAAAGAAGGCAGAGATCAGAGTTCAAGGCCACTGAAGAAATTGCAATCTGCAGGGCAGGGCACCAATAGGAGACAGCTGTTCAGAGGGGGAGCTCTCGAAGTCCATGTGGGGTTCCATGTGCATACTTATCAAGGACTAGACTGTACCTGCACGAGGAAAAGACTAACAGATTTAACAGAGGGGTGGCTGTTATAAAATTGAGTTTGGACCAGCGGTACTTGAGGTGGAGGAGGATTGGGGAATGGATGATGGAGTTCCTGCCATCCAGGGTGGGAAGAACCCATGCACACCTCATTAGCACCCAGGTATCCAACTAAGACACTAGAATGGCTGTGCTTTAGGAATAAGTGTCATGCTTTAAAACCCCTTCTAGACCAGCCCTAGTAAAGCCTGAAATCAAACCCTGTCAAAATCCACAAAGGGGTGGATTGGTGATTGAGTCCTGCCAAATTAGAGGGTCTTGGGAAATGCTGTGGGCTTTCCGTGAATCCACTGTAATAAAACATAAGCCAAATCCACATAAGTCCAATGTGATCAGGCAGTAATTTTACTGCCCACTAGAACAAAATTAATTCACACAATCAATGACAGAAGTTAGCCAAGTCGACATTTAAGCAAAATACGTCTAAGAACAGCTAACAAATAACTCTTCTCAAACTCACATAGAACATTCACCAAGACAGACCACATATGCTGAGCCATACTTAGTATTTTCTGTCCTTTCTCTTTGACTCATGTATACTGTGATCAAACTCTTAAAATTATACACTTTAATGATGTGCAGTTATTTGTATGTAAGTTACATTTCAATATATTTGTTAAAAGTTTATAATTAAAAAAAACTGTCCTAGCTTGATTCAAGAAATCTTTTTTATATTTAAAAAATATATTTTTTTGTATTATCAGTGCAAAAGAGAAAAACTGTATGATTACCCTGACATACACAGTAAAAGCATTTGGCAAAATTGAAAACTTTTTTCATGATTTATAAAAACAAACCCCAGAAAACTCTCAGATTGATAAGAACAGAAGGCACCAATTCCAACCTCATTAAGTGCAGATTTGAAAAACCCACAGGTAACATTATATTAAATGGCATAAGATTGAATGCTTTTCTATTAAATCAGAGAAAAAAATAGAATACCTGTTGTTACTCTTTCAATTCAGCATTATACTAGAGATCTAAATCAATGCAAAAAAGTAGGAAAAATAAATAAAGTATTGAAAAATTTAAAAATAAGGAATTGAAGCTGTCTTTATTCACAGATGATGACTGTGTGTAGGTTAACAATCCTAGAAATCTACAAAAATCTACCAAAACTAATTAGTGAGTTCGGTAACATTGCAGAATATAAGCTCAATATAAGTAGTCTTTTGTATTTCTGTATATTAGCAATGAGCATTTGGAAAATGAAATAAAAATACAATTTCATTTAGAGTAACATCTAAATACATGTTGTGCTTATAAATAAATTCAACAGACCAGACGAGGTGGCTCACACCTGTAATCTCAGTACTTTGGGAGGCCGAGGTGGGCAGATCATGAGGTCAGGAGATTGAGACCATCATGCCTAACACAGCGAAACCCCATCTCTACTAAAAATACAAAAAATTAGCTGGGCGTGGTGGCATGTGCCTGTAGTCCCAGCTACTCAGGAGGCTGAGGCAGGAGGATCACTTGAACCTGGGAGGCAGAGGTTCAGTGAGCTGAGATCACATCACTGCACTCCAGCCTGGGTAACACAACGAGACTCTGTCTCGAAAGACAGAAAGAAAGAAAGTCAACAAAATTTATTCAAGGCCAGTACACCAAAAACTACAAAAAAAAATCACTTTGAGAAATCATGAAATAACTAAATTAGTGGGGAGATAAACTTTGTCATGTATAAGAAGAGTTGTTGTGTTTAAAAAGTCAGTTCTTCAGAAATTGGTCTCCAGATCTAATGCAATTCTAATAAAAATTCCAACCGGCATTTTGGTAGAAATTTACAAGCTGATTCTACCGTTTATATGGTAATGTCAATTATCAATAATAATAAGACAGCAATATTATAAAAGAATAATGGTGAATGAATTCACTACCTATTTCCAGAATTACTCTACAGCTATGAAAATCAAGATCATGTATTTTGTTGAAAAAAATAGAACATATATCAGTGGAAGAGAAGAGAGAATCCAGAAATAGATACTCACATATATGTCTAATTAATGATTCTTAGGACATACATATACGTATACACACCCACACCCACATATATATATGTGAAGGTTTTTTTTTTTGAAGATTATCTATCATTATCTCCAAATAGGGAACAGTAAGATAACATAAAAAGAAGCCACAATAGAGGAGATATCATATTTATCTCCAACAAAGGGTTTTTTAAGTCTATCTATCTATCTATCTATTGCAGTCTGATAAGATAAACGACACAATGAAACAATTTCTCAAAAGACTTGAAAAGATACTCCCAGAAAAGAAGATACATGAATGGTCAATTATCATAGGAAAACATGCTTTGCTGTTTAGTCATCAGGGAGATCAATAAATACAGCAATGAGATACCAGTAGATATCCTTGAGAATGGCTAAAATTAAAAAGGTTGAAAATAGCATATGTTGGTGAGGATATAAAGCACTTGGAAGTCTTATACTTGTAGGAATGAAAAATGGTATGACTCCTTTGAAAATCTAACAGTTTCTTAAAGGTTAAACATATACAAATCAGATGGACAGTCATTCCATTCCTAGGAATTTACACAGCATGTCTGCACAGTGATCTGTATGTGTGTTTCCAGACCAAACTGAGGGGCGGGCTGCTATTTCTCGTGGCCCAGTAACGAGATGTAGATGAACTGGGGAGGAAGAGAGTTTTTACTTCTGCAACTGGTTACAGGGAAAAGGCCTGGAAATTATCACCAGACCAACTCAAAATTACAAAGTTTTCCAGAGCTTATGTACCTTCTAAGCTATATGTGTATGTGGAAGTGTGCATTCATCTAAATACATAAGTGATTAACTTCATTTACTCTATAACTAAGGTCTGAGTCCTGAAGACCTTCCTCTGGACCTCCAATAAACTTGTTTCTGGAGGCCTGGGGAGTTTCTTCAGACCCCCAATAAAACTTGTTTAATACTAAATGACTCCTGTTAAGAATTCCTTCGTTATTTTGTCATGCTCTAAGGCCCAGAAAAAGCCTAGGCAAAACTCTTGGTGGGCTTTTGTTACATTCCAGCCTTTGTATAAAGGCACTGGCTTTTTTTTTTCTTTCCTTTTAATATTTAACTGAACCACTCAGTCAGTACTGAAACAGTTGTTAGGGAGGCCTGCATTAGTGAGACCTGGCCTGCCACATATGGATGCTCATGATAGTTTCTTCATAATAGCCCAAACGTGGAATGATAGAAATGTCCAATAACAAGTAAAAGGACAAACAAACATGGTATAGCCACACGAAGGAATACTACTCAGCAATTACAAGGCATTAACTGTTGATGCAAATACTCATATGGATGGATTTTAAAATTACGTTGATGCATGAAAGAAGGCAGACACAAAAGAACACAGGTATCATTTCATTTATAGAAAATGGTTAAAAATGCAAACGGACCTGAAGTGACAGCGGCTCCTTGGGGCTGAGGGTTGAAAGACTGATGAACTGCAAAGGGGTACAAGAAACTTTGGGGCATAGGGAATTTCCTCTATCTTGGTTGTGGCAGTAGTTCCGTTAGTGTATCCATTTGTAAACATGCATTGAATTACACATTTTAAAGTGGTGCAGTCTGTTGTACCGAAATTATGCCTTTATAAAGTTGATTTCATCATCTTAATTTCTCCATACTAGCAATTAGCAGCTAGAAAATGAAATTCAATAAAACATAATAGAGATTAATAGCTAGAATCATTACATGCTTAACAATACATGCAATGAAGCAGGTACAAGGCCCCTAAAAGCAATTGATGAGAAAAATTAAAGAAGACTACAGAAATATATATCATGTTCATTGATTGAAAGTCTCAATTTTGTTAACATATTACATCAACACAATTCTGATTAATATTTCTAGTAGGAGATTTTAGAGAAATATAAAAGCTAATTTCAAAATGTATTTGAAAATCAAAGAACCTAGAATAAGCAAGTCGATCTTGAAGAAGCAATAAGTTGGAGGACTTACTCTGCTAGATTTCAAACCTGATTTTAAAGCTACAGTAGTTTAAAAATGGTAGTACTGGTGTAAGTATTCATAAATATATCAAAGTAAAAGAATACAGATTCAAACAATATGCCCACATATGCACAGTTATTTAATTTTTTAGTAGAAGCTTTTTTATTCATAAAAATTCCATCAAAACAAAAAAGTTTTCCAACCACACACAGGAGGGGTATGGGTAGGGGAAGCTGTCTGTCCATCTATCCCTGGCCCCCAGCCCATGCGGTTTTGGCAGCAATAAGGGGTGTGGGGTAATGGCCCCCGAAATTAAAATGGTGTGTGTATGAGAAGGAAAGGGGGGCAAAGTTGTGGGGAGCGGTGGAGGGGAAGGAACAAAGGAGGTCAGTACTGGGAACGCTGAAGGTGGGAGGCCATTTCATAACATTTCTTTGTTATGAAATGGTGAAACTGCCGTGGACACCTTTGCCCATCAGCAGGCCTAGCGTCTTGGCAGTCATGGTGATAGTGACATTGAAGGTGGGGGCTCCACCGATGCTCTTCACATGAAGATCCGCGGTCAATTCCCCATCCTGCAGCAGTGAGTCCGGGACCACAGTATATTTCTGGCCCCCCAGTGTCAGCCCATTCACGAAAAAGTTTGACCAGTCTTTGCCAACCAGGACACCAACCTCAGCTGGCGTGATGTTGACGAAGATTTTCCCTGGGACGGCGGCCCAGATGGAGGGCGAGTCCTTGTTGCCCACAATGGCTGTGTCCTAACAGGTCCCGTCCGCCATGAGGCTGTAGATGGAGGCGTCCACCTGGCCGTCGCGCTGCTGCAGGGGCTCCTCTGGTCGCTGCTGCTGGGGCCGCCTGGGCTGGCGGGCGGGGGAGGTGGAGAGCTCGGGGCAGGCGCGCTCCTCCTCACCACGGCTCTGCTAGCTGTGCAGTAGCCCTCGCTCCGCCACTTCTTTTTATATATATGTATATATATTTTTTATTATTATACTTTAAGTTCTAGGGTACATGCGCACAACGTGCAGGTTTGTTGCATAGGTGTACCTGTGCCATGTTGGTTTGCCGCACCCATTAACTCGTCATTTACATTAGATATTTCTCCTAATGCTATCCCTCCCCCAGCCCTCACCCCAAGACAGGCCCCAGTGTGTGATGTTCTGCGCCCTGTGTCCAAGTGTTCTCATTGTTCAATTCCCACCCATGAGTGAGAACATGCTCGCACCGCCACTTCTAAATGTTTTAAAAACAAAGACACCAATGCCCTTCATTGGGGAAATGAAAGACTTTTAAGTAAAACGATTTTGAGTGAAATAATATTTATTGTTTTAAAAAGTTAATATTAACAACCACTCTCCATCATACATTGAAATTAACTTAAGATGTGAAAGTTAAAATTAGAAACCTTGTAAAGGAAAAAGAGGAAATAGTTTCATGAACTTGATATAGGAAAATATTTCTTAGACTAGATACTGTAGCACTTTCCACAGTAAGAAATCAAGTGAATTGCACTTCATTTTTGAAAACCTTCTGCTTATTATGTTGTTGTTTAACAACTAAAAAGCTATCTGTAGACCAGGAATAATTATTTGCTATATAATACAGCAAAAAATATGTATATATAAATGGACTCATTCAAAATATATAAAGAACTCCTATAGTTTACAAAGAAAATGACAAACACCCCAGTGTATCAATGAACATAAAAAATTGAAAAGATATTTTCCATAAGAAGACATCTAAATGAACATTAGGCATGAGAAAACCAAAATAGGATATCACTACACACCTGGTAGAATGGCTATTATTTAAAAAACTGAACATATTAAGTGTGTGGAAATGTAGAGCGACTGGAAATGGCCTACATCTTTCACAGAAATGTAAAATAATACAATTACTTTGCAAAACTCTGTGCCTGTTTTCTACCCATTCACCAAACAACTCCATCCCTAGTTACAGATACTCAGGAAAATAAGTATGTGTCTTCACAGAAATAATTGTATGAGAATATTCATAGTTACTTATGCACAGTAGCCAACAAGTAAACCTGTTTCTCTACCCGTTCACCAAGCAACTCTATCCCTAGCTATAGATACCCAGGAAAATAAGTATGTATCTTCACAGAAGTAATTGTATGAGAATATTCATAGTTACTTATGCACAGTAGCCAACAAGTAAACCTGTCTCCCATCAGAAAAATGGATATTAAATTGTATGATAGTCATACCATCAATAGGATATTACTTGGCCAAAACAAAATGAAACAAGGAAAAAACACAATCAAACAAATTAGTGGCATATATACCCACCTGAGTAAAGAGAAGTCAAAACAAGAGAACATACTAAATGATTCCATTTTGTTATTGTTTTGAGACAGAGTCTCACTCTGTCTCCCAGGCTGGAGTGCAGTGGCACGATCTCGGCTCTGCCGCCTGGGTTCAAGAAATTTTCCCTGCCTCAGCCTCCCAAGTAGCTGGGATTACAGGCACCTGCCACCACACCCGGCTAATTTTTGTATATTCAGTAGAGACAGGGTTTTGCCATGTCGGCCAGGCTGGTTGCGAACCCCTGACTTCAGGTGATCTGCCTGCCTCAGCCTCACAAAGTCTTGGGATTACAGGCATGAGCTACCAGGCCCGGCCAAAATGATTCCATTTTTGTGAAGCACACGAATAAGCAAAATTAATCTATAGTGGTTGCTATAGTTTAGATATTGGTCCCCTCCAAATCACATGTTTAAATGTGGTCCCCAGTATTGGAGGTGGGGATTAATGGGAGGTGTTTGGGTCATGGGAGTGGATCCCTCATGAATAGGTTGATCCCCACCTTGGGAGAAGGTAGTGAGTGAATTCTCACTCTCTTAGTTCCTGTAGGAGCTGGTTATTAAAAAGTGTCTGTCACCTTTACTTGCTCTCTTTTGCTTCCTCTCTCACCATATGATCTCTGCACACACTGGTTCCTTTTCACCTTCTGCTGCAAGTGGAAGCAGCCTCAGGCCCTCATTAGGAGCAGATGCGAGTGCCATGCTTCTTGTGCAGCCTGTAGAACTATGAGCAAAATGCACCTCTTTTCTTTATAAATTACCCAGCCTCTGGTATTCCTTTCTAGCAACAAAAAGGGACTAAGGCAGTGACAACATTCAGAATACATTCTTCCTTTGGGGGATGAGTATTGACTTGCAAGGACCACATCAGAACTTTGTGGCATGGAGGAAAATGTTGTCTGTCTTGAACTGGGTGTTATTATATAATGTATAATTATGTCAAAATTTATTAAGCTGTACCTTTAGGTTTTTTGCAATATACTCTATGCAAATTATACCTCAGTGAAGAACTGTTAGCATACAACAAAGAGAGAGAAAACACTCAAAAATGTGAAAATTGACAGAATATAGGTAACAAATATTTAGCATATAAATAAGAGGGATCAGTTGAGAAGAAACCAAAAGCAATGGAATAGAACAAAGACAAAAAAGTATAATAAAAAAGTTTTAAATTTCAAAGTTTGAAATGATATTAAAGTGGCACAGTTTCCTTGGGAAAATCAAGCGAGAACCACAAACTCTGAGACTAATTCCAGCAAAAGTATGTAAATCAGTTTGATCTAATGGTACACGGTTAGCTTTGAAGGCCAAAAGGAAATGGTTTCTAATTCTTATTCCTCTCTTCACTAGTTTTGTGACCTAGGGAAATTTTGCAATCTTTCTGAGTTTGTTTTCTCATCAGGAGCAGGATAATACCTAAGTAACAGGATAGTTCATAGATTTAAATATGATTGCATGGCAGTGGACATGGACCATAATTAATTGTTAAGAATATATTTACACTGAGCTCTCCTTAATCCACGTTAAAATTGTAGACAAACAACGATTGACAAAGAATAGACAAAATATTCTAACATAAATATTCTTCCTTTGTTTCTAGAAAGAAGTCACACATATAGTAAAAATAATTAGGGAGGACGTAGTTCATATTGAACAATCTTCCCCAAATCCTGAAGCAGGTCTACTTTCTAACACCAGAGATGTCTTGACTGAGTCCAACTCCTGTGGTCCCCTCTGTCTGGAATAGACGGTAGAAGTTTGCTCCAGCCTTAGAACAGCATGGGCTGGCAAGCGTTCTCAGAGAGCCTCTCAACTTCAATTCTAAAGGCCCTGAAGAATATGTGCAACTGGGTCGGGTTAAGGCCAAGCTGAACCACATGACCAGGGCTCTCACCAGTGCCAAAGTCAGTGGAAGGATATCGGTCCCCAGAGCTCTGTTACAGGCCACGGATGCTCCATGGAGGGGTGGTGAGCATATGAATAACAATCAGGAGAAATATCAGTAATGGACAGAAGGCATAAATAAACAATGTCCACCCTCCACTAAAACCCAGGAAAGTTCTCATTCAAAAAACGATGTATTAAAGAAAACATAGGTACAAATCTTTGTGACTTTGGATTAGACATTTTTTAAGAAGGCACAAACAACCCCAAAATAGATAGATAAATGGACTTCATAAAATAAAAAACTTGTATGCTTCAAAGGACATTGTCAAGGAAGTGAAAAGATGATCCACATAATGGGAGAACTATTTCCAAATTATGTATTTGACAAGGGTCTAATACCTAGAGTATATAAGGGATTCATATAACTGAGCAATAAAAGACAACCACATTTAACAATGGGAGAAAAGTTGTGAGTAGAGGTTTCTCTAAAGGAAACACACAAATGGCCAAGAAGCACATGCAAAGATGTTCGATGTTTTTCATCATTAGGAAAATGTAAATTCAAACCAAAATGAGATACCACTTTACACCCATTAGTATGACTTAAGAAAAAAATAAAGACAATACATGTTTGGAAAGTTATGGAGAATATGGAATTCTCATATATTACTAGTGGGAATGTAAAGTAGCATAGCCACTGAGGTTGGAAAACAGTGTGTGAGTTCCTCAAGAAGTTAAACATAAAAAAATTAAACATAAAAAAGTTAAACATAAAGTGATATATGATGCAGCAATTGCACTCCTAGGTTTATAACCAAAAAAATGAAAAACAGATGTTCACTCAAAAACATGTACAAAGCTGTTCATAGCAGCATTATTCATAATAGTTAAAAAGTGAAAACATTGTTAAATGAATAAACAAAATTAGGTATAACCATATAGTGGAATATTATTTGGCCATAAAATGTTGAAGTACTGCTGCAGGCTAAAAAGGATGAAACTTGAGGACACTATGCTGAGAAGCAGATGCAAAATGCCACAATTTGTTATTCCATATAGAGGAAGTGCCCAGAACAAGTACATCTATATATAGAGAAAGTAGATTAGTGGTTGTCAGAGACTGCAAGAAGGGGGGAATTGCAGAGTGACAGCCCATAGGTGCAGGCATGCTTTTTGGCATTATGAAAATATTTTGGAATTAGGTAGTGCTGCTGGCTGCAAACTTTTGGAATATAGTAAAAAATACTGAAAGGTATGCTTAAAAATCGTGAATTTTGTGATACATGAATTATACTGTAGTAATAATAATAATAACAACAGTAATAAAGCAAGGTGTCTTTCCACATCTCCATGTCCTGTATTTTCATTAAAAAACAAAAAACACAAACAAAAACAAAAGCATTTCAGGGCTAGCCTAAGTGGCTCACTCCTGTAATCCCAGCACTTTTGGAGGCCTAGGTGGGAGGATTGCTTGGGGCCAGAAGTTCAAAACCAGCCCGAGCAACATAGCAAGACCTTGTCTCTATGAAAAACAAAAAAACTAGCCAGAAATGGTGATGTGTGCCTAGAGTTCCAACTAGTGGGAAAGCTGAGGCAGGAAGATCACTTGACCCCAGGAGTTTGAGGTTGCAGTGATCTATAATCACCACTGCACTCCAGCCTGGGTGACAGAACAAGACCCTGTCTCAAAAAAAAAAAAAAAAAAGGCATCTCACTTTAATAGTGAGTGGCCAGAATATGATGCTGGCAGCATGTTGTGAGGAAATGTATTAGATGAAAGAAGTTAAATTCCAGTTTTCCTTTTTTCAGAAATGAGGTATAGGGGAGAGAAACACGTACTTGGAAAGAATTGACCCAGCTGAATTGGAAAATGTGGGAAGGGGATGGGGGAAGAGGCTGCTCCACCTGAGATCTGGCTCCAGGACTTACAGCAAGGGGAACTTGGGCAAGTTACAGATTCTCTGTGCCTCAGTTTCTTCATCAGCAAAACAGAAAGAATCATCCCATAAACTGTAAGGCTGATGGTATCAGCGGGTCCCTAAATTGACTGCACATCTGAGTCATGTTAACAAACACATTCCAGGCCCCACCTGAGCCCTCTGAATCAGAATCCCTGCAAGGAGGACGATGAACTTGTATTTGCACTGACTTTCCCAGCTGTTTATTACTCTGATCAACTTAGGGGTAGGACCCACTGAGCTGCATCACATCATTCCAAAGCCAAAACACAACAGCAGGACAAGAATATTTTCAAGGAAGTCTCTAAAGCAGAGAAGAAACTGTTGAGGGAACCTAGAAGTAAAGGAAACCTGGCTTGCTGGTCTCCATTTAAACTTTGAGTACAACAGAGACAAGAGCCCTTCGGGACACATGCCTGAGGCAGTGATAGTCCAGCTTTGGAAGAGTGGAAGCCCTAGTTTCAAATTCGAGCATGCTTTGAGTAGAAATTAAGTTTACCTCTTTTTGCACAGCAACATAGCCAATCTTTCCTAAGCTGCTCAGCTTACAAGAAAAGGAATCATACTGCTAAGAATTCAAACTTCAGCAGTCATGGGTAAGTAAGGAAGTCTTATAAATCTATTCTAGCCACCTAACCAGAAACCCGAAATTTAGCAGGTTCTTTCACTTTCAGGACAGTTGTGTTCACTAGATCAGAGGCATTGAGACATGAAGAACAGACCCCTAAAAAGGAAAAGTGTTCCCTTCAGTTTGAGGACATCACTGGAACATTAGGGAAGTGGGAACACAGCTGCCCACTCTACAGTATGGGTTGCCTTTGTGTCTGGAATGTGTCTGACATCCTGATCCCTGTGCCCATTTCAGTGAGCCTTGGGAGGACCCCGAATCACTGATGGAATTGGACAGTGCATGGAGATGGCTCAGCAGGACAAGGGTAAGTGCAGGGACAAGACCAGGTCATACTAAGAGACAATGAGTGGCGCTGATGGGGACAGACAAAGACAAAATCAAAAGTTTGTAACTCATCTTCAAAAACTCAATCAAACTAATAACAAACTTGGCCTTATGAGAAATAATAAGCATTTTTTCTATTTACATGAGAATTTAATCTCAAAACAGAAATCAGAAAAATATTAAGTCCAGGGCATAAAACCTAAAGCATTGCTCATATTTATTCTTTCTAAGTAGAGCAAAGAGTAAAATCTTCTCCATAAAGCATACATTGTGGTTATAAAAAGGCAAAAGTCTTAGTGAGAATCATTGGTATTCCATAGAAGAGTGAATTAAACACAGCCAAGGGAAGACCCAAGTCTCATACTTCTCTTGTATTTTCCAAAGTCCCAAGGAAATTCCAGGTGATAGAGGTTATTTCCCATACGGTTAAAGCAAGTTTGCAGACACTTCCGAATTTTGGTCCCAGTACACTAGGAGGGTACACCTCTGTCCTGGAAAATAATACAGGAATGAATACTCTTCCTGTGACTCATTCTGGTCATTCATCCAGCATCCCAAAAACCAAAAAATGGAAATATGGCCAAATACATGATTAGCTATCCCTCATCTTCAGGTTTATCACCTGTTACTTATGGATAATAGCATTACCATAATAGGATTATGATAAAAATACACTGTGGAAATATTAGCACAGTTTTGAACAAAATGCCTGGTATGAATTGTTCAATGAATAATTACTAAATAATTATGTGAATATTTACTGAATTGCATGGATCCTATGAATAATTACTGAATAATTATTGTGATTGCTTCTACTGGCAGTGCTGAAAACTCATCCCTGTGTGACCTCAAGTAAGCCATGTAACTTTGTGAACCTGCAGTTTTATCATTTTTAAAATGAAGAAACTTGATAGATTTTCATTCTGACACAGAATGTCAGGCCTCCCAGACCCCAGAAAATACATTGATTTAAAGTCTTTGATACATTTCAAAGCAGGATCCTTACAGTGTCATTGGAGGATTGTGTGGGCTGCAGAGAAGGATGCTTTCAAATGGGATTGATCCAGTCCTCCTTCCTTCATTTCCACATGAATGCTGAGCAGCCCAGGGTCACAGCCACTGCACCCACTCTTAGGAGACCTGGGCTACCGAACAGTCTCCCAAGTTCCAGGCTCACAAAACCTAGGTGGGGTTGAAAGCTAAGAAAGTGAGGAGGTGGTTCAGGGGATCACTCTTTCCTACTTGTTCCTCTCACCTCAAACTCACCTTCTACTGCGCAGCAACACTGAGGATCACCAACCAACCCTGACCATAAACTTATCTTGCCATGTTCTGTTAGTGGAATGTAACCAAAAACAAATGGTGTTAGTCCAACTCAGCAAAATATATATCAAACCATATTCCATAAGAACTGTTCATGGCCCTGTTCTTTTCAATATATGGGAAAATGAAATGGAAACAATAAAATAGCATCAAGTTTATGAAACTTCCCAAAATAGATGGTCACACATGTTTTCAGGAGATCTCTCTATATAAATGATTTTGATCACTTGATATCTTGAAAAGAGCTCTTGTGGCACTAGAATGACATTCATAAGTGACAAGTATAAAATGTAGTGCTCAGAGACATTAAAAAACAAATCAACCCATGTAGAGGAAGAGCTTTGGACGTAGGGATGTCAAACTGGTCTAGAGCATAATGAAAGCCCAAGATGGTGCCCCAGTAAGAAAAAAGAAATCAACATAACCATGGGATGCAGCAAGAAGAATACTGAGACAGGAAAGAAAACATTTTTAAAAAATGAATTATTCATTCACTTTCTAGTGGATACAGAAAAAACTGCAGAAGACCCAGAGGATATCAGGGCAGGCTAAAAGTTTGATATCTTATACCTGTGGAAAAGGCTTAAGCTCTGTTTTAACTTAGAGCAGGTGGGGTGACTTCATGACTACCATTAAGAAAATATAACCTGTTGGGAAACTGTTTCTGGTTGATGATGTTGTACAGACAAGAGATAAACAGTGAGGAATATGCTTAGATGTATTGGGAAAGAGATGGGTCTGTGGCATTGTCACAAGGGTACACGAATACTGAGAGTGAATGCTGAAGGAATGATCCCCATTGGTGGTGACCCTCAAGTGAGACCAGGGTGCCTGTGTTTCAGCAAAGCCTGGGCAATTGGAATGCAGGGCTCCTAAGATTCCATGACACCCCCACCTTCTAATTCTGTTATTGCAACTGCAGACCGTTACCTGGCATGCTGGCCACAATCTACCTCACTCTTGTCAGAGTCTGAGCTACAGGCAGTGCCTTCAGCTCTGAGCTCAGGCACCTCGAACCTTGTTTTTGTGGTGAAGGATCTTAAAGTGCTGTGGGGAGTGATCACGTTTTTCTCAACAGTAAGTTAAGAATTTCAGTTACTGACCTTCCTCAGTCCTGATTAAACCTATTCGATTTCACCAGTTTTTAACCCATCATGTGTTTGCGTTTCTTCTCCCCAGTCCCTGGCTCCACCTCTTCTGCCACAAACGTCACCATGGTGGTATCTGCCGGCCCCTGGTCCAGTGAGAAAGCAGAGATGAACATTCTAGAAATCAATGAGAAATTGCGCCCCCAGCTGGCAGAGAACAAACAACAGTTCAGAAACATGAAGCAGAAATTTCTTGTAACTCAAATGGCCGGCTTCCTGGCCAACCAGCAGAACAAATACAGTAAGATCTATAGGCTCACCATCATGAAAGTGATGAATGATGTCCTGTCTTCTCTCTGAGACACTAAATGCTCTCTCCATCAAAAGTAATTTCATCCTTCCCGTACTTCTAGGAAAATAGAAATGGGTATTTCAACATTTTGTTTAATTTGGAAGACAGAGGTAGCAAGGTATTTAGCAAATTTCCATGTTTGCAGTCAGGTGGGTGTAGGACTAGAGTTAAAATCCCAGTTATTGATTTCTGACACAGGCACAGAACGACCTGTTTTCTCCAAGAGGCTCAATCATGTTTTCAAGAATCCTCTCTGTACCAGATAAGATCCTGCAGACAAATAACATATATTCTGTTGTTCTAAATGTCTGAGACTAGTGAACTTTTATTCATTTCAAGCTTCTGTTGAGGCCCAATAGGCAAAGCTCTGTTCTAGGGCCCCTGGGGGAAACATGGTGTTAGTACCCAGTACCTGCTCTGAGGAGCTTCAAGAGACTCTGCTCCTAATAGATCCTGTGGTATCTATAAGTGACAGCATCGAGAGCTGGGAGTAGGGGCCATGTGCGGTGGCTCACTCCTGTAATCGTAGAACTTTGAGAGGCCAAGGTGGGCTGTTCACGAGGTCAGGAGTTTGAGACCAGCCTGGCCAAAATAGTGAAACCCCGTCTCTACTAAAAATATAAAAACTAGCTGGGCGTAGTGGCGGGTGCCTGTAATCCTAGCTACTTGGGAGGCTGAGGCAGGAGAATCCTTTCAACCCGGCAGGCAGAAGTTGCAATGAGCGAAGATCACACCATTGCACTACAGCCTTGGGGACAGGGCAAGACTTGACAAAAAAAAAAAAGAAAGAAAGAAAAAGAAAGCAGACAGTACCCTGGTGAGAGGGAAGTCCTGCCTCCTGGGGCACAGGCTCTTGTTCCTAAAGAGGAAGAAAGATCGCACCCAAGAATGTGTGGAGGTAGCAGTGCAGTGTGCAGAGCAGGGACCCTGGGCCTGTCTCCTGGGCTCCATCCAAGTTGTTTGTCGTGTTTTTTCCTCGGTTTCCTCATCTGTTCAGAGGGTACTACAATGATACCTACCTCTGTAAATTGCTGCAGTGAATTACATGAGCTATGTCTTGTCAATCTCCTAGAACAGTTATTGGCACAGAGTAAACACTATCTTTTAGTTCTTCATTCTACTGTTTCTAAATTAACACAAACTTTATTGGAATTTGGGCATATTTCCTTCATGGCCTTATGGTCTTATGTCTCATGCTTTATGCTTCAGATATGATTCTTAAAATCATATCCAAAGATAAGATTTAAAAATCAAAGATTGTTAAAACCTTTGACATGTTTGTCCTTGAAATTCCCAGTAAAAGGGAAACCATCAGTCCCACAGTCCTAGGGGCCTTCCCACCTGTGCGGGAAATCACTACCTCATGCCCCAGTGCAGTGTTTTAGAGGAGAGGCTGCAAGGCTTGGGAAAGTGGCCCCACATTCAGAGTCAGATCTCAGGGACTGTGACTTCTGACTCCACTTCGTTGTGGTTGAATCATCTTGTCAACTTCCTTGATGTGCCCTTGAGTTTCTCTTTCTTCGTCTCTAAATTTTGGAGGATCAGATGCCAGAAAGTCAGAAGACTGAAGAGTAAAGATGTGGAAGTCCCCATCTAGACCCTGGTACTGGGGACAGTTTTGTCCTTGGGATGGGCCTGGCTCCTGCCCTGTAGGCAGTGACCACAGCAGCATGTCCAGCCTTCCACTGAGGCAGGTGCATCTGTCTTTTCTCAGAGTATGAGGAGTGCAAAGACCTCATAAAATCTATGCTGAGGGAAGAGCTGCAGTTCAAGGAGGAGAAGCTTGCAGAGCAGCTCAAGCAAGCTGAGGAGCTCAGGTGAGGGGGCCCCGTGGGACAGGCAGGTGGGCAGGTTTGTAAATCTCTGAAGTACAGCATCTTGGCGGGGAGAAGTAAGAGCTAAGCTGGGCCAGGGGAAGGGCAGGAATTGCCATGGCAGGCTCACGACACACAAATATTTGTCAAACGGAGTACAAGGATAATAATAAGTTATGGGTTGCAGTTGTTTCTCAGAGCCTTGTTTTCTCTTTTTCAAACAAGTAATTGTTGAGGTGAAATTTGCATAACACAAAATTAAGCAAAGGAGTGGGAACCACCCAGCAGCATTCAGTATACTCAAAATGGTGCCCATAACCACCCCACTTACCCTTAGTCAGAATCACCTCCAGACTGACTGAGGCTTCTCATTCTTCCACTCAATCAATGTTGCCTTCTCAACCCTGTCATTCTTTTCTTCTTTTGTCTTTTCAATTTGCCCCATCTGCACCTGGCCTCATTTCTGTACATGGCTTTGTATCTAGTGGCCGCAAGATGCACTATGTGTATTTTCACATGGAAATGTCCATGGCCAGAGTGAGGAACTGAAAGGTTGTCTTTTTGTAACTGAATTAGGAAGACACCCACTTTTGTTTACAGAAGAGAAAGATGAATGGAACATCACCGAGGATCTTACTGGAGCCCTCTCTGATATAGAGGAAGCCTGTAAACCATTTTCTATTCTTTCCCTTGGCCACAGACATTTCTTTAAACATGTGCTGACCTCCTGCTTGGAGGTCTCCTTGAGGATATTGTCTCAGAAATCTCTATTGCAATATTAGAACTGATCACTCATCCCTTTCCGTGTTAAATTTTCTCTACTATCTCACCTTAGGCAATATAAAGTCCTGGTTCACTCTCAGGAACGAGAGCTGATCCAGTTAAGGGAGAAGTTACGGGAAGGGAGAGATGCCTCCCACTCACTGAATCAGCATCTCCAGGCTCTTCTCACTCCGGATAAGCATGACAACTCCCAGGGGCAGGACTTCCGAGAACAGCTGGCTGAGGGGTGTAGGCTGGCACGGCACCTTGTCCACAAGCTCAGCCCAGGTAAGGTGGCCACAGGCCCTGATGACCCAAAACCCCAGGCTTATGAGAGACTCCAGACCTCCACACCTCCACAATGACAGTTGTATCAGTGGTGTTTTTTTCCACTAAACATATGTGGCCATGACATGACCAGGACTTCCTGGGTAAGAACAGAGATGGGAAATCTGTGGGGTTGGAGGTCACAGTATTGCAAATCTTCCTCCTTCCTTAATGGAAATTGGTCTTTGGAACAAGAGGCAGCATCTATTTAGTTTTAAAGGACAGGAAGGAGGCTGTGAAAGGAGGGTGCTTGTTAGAGTGAAAAGAGCTCTAGACTAAGAATGAAGGTTCCCAGGCTATGTCTTCAGCAACGTTCTTAGTAACTGTAGATGAGTGATTGATTTATCTTTCCTGGGTTTCTGTCTCTCAATCTGCAAAGGCAGACACATTATCTCTTGCAAGTGTCTCTAGTAGTCAAATGGAAGAACACTTACACCTGCTTTTCAAAATGAGATAAAGCCCCTCACCATATGGTGTTGGAGAAGGCACTTGATATGGAGGCATTTGATGGTTGAAAGTGCTTCAGACTGGAGCACTCCCCATGCAGAGAATGTCTCTGAATAACACAGCAGAAGCCACATGGAGGGCCAGCAAAATCCCCTGACATGTGGAGGACTGTGGGAGAAGTTTATTTGTTCTCTTCTAAGAGAAATAAATAGGTTCTAAATGCAAACTGTGACAGGACACCAAGCCTGTGCCTGGGAATCAGATCTGTGGCAGGATGGGGGAGACAGCTGCCCAAGTCCAGAGAGAGGCTGCACAAGCCTCCAGTGATATGGAGAGCAAAAGGTCTTTTCAGTGTTTGGTTACATCTTGCTGGTGACCCTCCAGATCAGAAATGCATTGCCTGATGGACCAGGAAACCATGCCAGGTCATTTTGTTAAAGATAAAACAAGAGAGCTTTCAGTACAACACTGACCCATACATAGATGTTCATGTATCTGTGCACATTGGGCTGACTGTGCTTGCAGAGTGTGAAGTGGGAAATATCTGAACGAACACTTCTGTATTTGCAGAAAATGACACAGATGAGGATGAAAATGATAAAACCAAGGAGCTTGATAAAGTACAGGAATCACCTGCTCCCAGGTAAGACTGAATAATCAGGAGCAGGTAATGAGTGGTAAAATATGGAAAAGGTCTCAGCAAGAACACAAGGGAGGTGAAGGTAGTCACAGATTCCAGATGCAGGATAAAGAAAGCTGCAGAGTGCACTGATTTCATGTGCTCACCCAACAAGGAAATAGTCCTGTTAACATGCTTGTCCATTGTCTTCATTGTACCTGTAAGCATGACCCTCGATAAACTCACCAGCCCCGTGGATTTCCTGCACACACAGAGAAGACCTGTTCTCCCCTGTTGTGAAAACCAGGAGGAGGTGCAAAGCTGCTTTCTCCACATTTGTCTTTAGGTTCTTGTTAGGAAAGATAAATAGCAAAGAGGCAACAAGCAGAGGAATTAGGAAGTACCTAGCAAAGCTAAACACCAGGAAAAGTACCTAGACAAAAAAATTTACATTTTATGTCACAGTGTTAAAATAAAAAGGCCTAGAAGGCACACCATGTCTGGAGTCTATAATGGGCCCAAAGCCTGCATTCCCTTGGCCACAGTATGTGAAATTCAACCCAGCTAAGAAACAAGGTGTGGCAGCTGTTGTGTTTCTCTGTGTGTGCTGTGTGTACCATACAGGGATAGCTGAGTCTTCATCCTCCTCAGCTCCTATCTGTCCAGTGCAATGAACACCAGCTGCTCTCTTCCTCTCTGGCTCCCATGGTAGCCATGCTCTGTTGCAGAGAGAAGAGTATTGCATGTTCCCTCTTAAAGGGAACCTCCTGTTTGCTTTCTGGGACCACTCTCTTAATGCCGCCTGTCAAAATCAGCTAGGTCTCCCTGGGATCCAATCCCTCTCTGTTTAATCTTCTGTCATTTCTATCCCACCTGGCTCATCAGGGAGGAGCAGAAGGCTGAAGAAAAGGAAGTCCCTGAGGACTCACTGGAGGAATGTGCCATCACTTATTCAAATAGCCATGGCCCTTCTGACTCCAACCCGCCTCACAAGAACATCAAAATCACATCTGAGGAAGACAAAGTCAACTCAATTCTGGTTGTAGACAGTGAATCTTCTCAAGATGAATGGCAGGATGCTCTAAACATTCTTCTGGGTAACCTCTATTTTCCTTGTGTCTCATACCTCTGTTTAGGCTATGGAAGATCAATTCTGAGGATGAGCTGTATACACAAATATTGGTTTGAGTCAGAAACTAGGATGGAGCTAGGTGCTCCATATAATCACAGCACTTTGGGAGGCCCAGGTGGGTGGATCACTTGAGATCAGGTGTTCAAGACCAGTCTGGACAATATGGTGAATCCCATCTTTACAATAAATACAAAAAATTAGCCAGCTGTGGTGCTGCATGCCTATAGTCCCAACTATTCAAGAGGCTTAGGTGGAAGAATCGTCTGAGCCCAGGAGGTAGAGGCTGCAGTGAGCCATGATTGCACTGCTATACTCTAGCCTAGGCGACAGAGCAAGACCCTGTGTCAAAAAGAAAGAGAGAGAGAGAGAGAAAGAGAGACAGAGAGAGAGAAGTGAAAGAGGAGAGAGAGAAAGAGAAACTAGGATGGAATATTAAACACAGATACCTGTGGGTCAGAGAGCTTTCCTGTCCTCCTTGGCCCATGTCATGCCTTTGTCATCCTGGCCCCAGTATCAGGTTATTGGAACAGAGGCAGGTGTGACAAAGCCATAGCTACCTGTGTACAGGAGGAGTACAGGAGGTATCTGTCAGGCCTCTGAGCTCGGTTCCTATGTCTCTTGTCAGCTGCGATGGTGTAATTTGTGTCTCAATGTCCATGGAGTTTCTCTGCCTGTCTGAGGCCACTGACAGCCTGGTCCATTTATTTGAAGATGTTATTTCCCTGATTTCACAATCCTCATCTGCAGTATGGATTTCCTTTAAGCCAGCTGACTCCAACCCGCCTCACAAGAACACCAAAATCACATTTGAGGAAGACAAAGTCAACTCAATTCTGGATCTCCTTTGTCTCAGCTGTGCAGTGAACTGAAACCAGGACATCAACACTTGTACCCTTATCTTGCTTATAAGTTTCCATAAAGCAAGGCTGGGACCTGAGTTCTTCACCCCATGAATGGCTGCTGTTTCTGTGTAGCACCACAGATTTCTTTTCTTTCTTCTTTTTTTTTCTTTTTCTTTCTTTCTTTCTTTTTCTTTTTTTTTTTTTTTTTTTTTTTTTTTTTTTTTTTTTTTTTGGTGATGGAGTCTTACTCTGTCACCCAGGCTAGAATGCAGTAGCGTGATCTTGGCTCACTAAAACTTTCACCTCTAGGGTTCAAGTGATTCTCTTGCCTCAGCCTCCCGAGTAGCCGGTATTTCTGGTGTGCGCCACCACGCCTGGCTAATTTTTTTATTTTTAGTAGAGGTGGGGTTTCACCATGTTGGCCAGGCTGATCTTGAACTCCTGACATCAAGTGATCTGCCCTCCTTGGTCTCCCAAAGTACTGGGATTAGCGGCGTGAGCCACCCCGCCATCCCCACAGATTCTTTTTTAAGCAAAAGTTGTTAGAATTCATCCATCAGTTCAGTTTTCTATATAAATTTCTCTAACCATTCATTGACCATGATATATGAAGAGATAAATCAGTATTGCAGAAACACTTATGGAAAGTTGTTAGGGCAATTTTTGAAGATCTTAGGGAAAATGTTTTAATTGTTTGTGCTGACTTAGGGCAGAGGATATAAGATTAAGATCTACCAGATGAGGGAGATTTTGTCCCATGGATCTGAAAAGCAGGCTCATCTACTTCTGACAAGACTTAATCTAGGGCACATTAGAACGTTCCTGTCAGAATATCACATTCTTACACTGAGAATATTTATGTCCTTGTGCTATGACTGGACACTGATTTGGTCTTGTGTGAAGCGTGATTTGCATAATATGACCTGCTCTTCTGAATTTGTTTACAGAAAATCAAAATGATGATGAGGAAGAGGAAGGGAAAGCGCCAGTGCCCCCCCAGGTAACTCTGTGGATTTGTGGGCTGTTAGTTCAATAGTGACACCTGGAGACTGCAGATCCAGGGAAAAATAGAAAGTGATGAACAGAACTGCCTCATCCATTCATTCAACTGCAAATTATCCATTTTAACAATGCTGTCTTCCTGATTGTGGTGCTTGAGTAGGTTTCAATTTCTTTTCTTTTCTTTTTTTTTCTTTTTTGAGATGGAGTCTCGCTCTGTCGCCCAGGCTGGAGTGCAGTGGAGTGATCTTGGCTCACTGCCAGCTCTGCCTCCCAGGTTCACACCATTCTCCTGCCTCAGCCTCCTGAATAGCTGGGAATACAGGCGCCCGCCACCAGGCTGGGCTTATTTATTTATTTATTTTTGTATTTTTAGTAGAGGTGGGGATTCACCGTGTTAGCCAGGATGATCTCGATCTCCTGACCACGTGATCCACCTGCCTCGACCTCCCAAAGTGCTGGGATTACAGGCGTGAGCCACAGTGCTCAGCCAGGTTTCAATTTCTTAATCCCCCTCTTGCATAGGAACATGCTATCTGTTGAGCCAGGTGAACTCACCAAACTCAGGGATATCACCTGTTCTCTCCCGTGTGGTTAATCCAGAGTGAGACGCATGTATGCTTTCTATGTGTTTGATGTCAGCATGTTGGCAAGTATTTCATTACAAAACAGGGATATTGTAATTCATGCCAAAATATTTTAAAAATGGCTTTGAAAAGACAAGATCTGTGTATCTGGAATGCCTCAAGAGCTGTGTTTACTTGGGTGCTGCATGTAAACATCAACACGTTTAGGCATAGGAAGCGAAGCCCTGTGTCAGTTCTCTGTGCTGCAAGTCGTGATCGCAGTTTACAGGGGGAGTCTGGGTCCTCCTGCAACAGCTCATTTGTGGCAACCACACTCAGCATCTGCTGCTCACGTCTGCTCTGTCCCAAGGGCAGTCACACTCCACTCCACATTTAGAAGGATAGATTTTTCTCTCTTGGAGGAGACTACCCTTTTGGTTTCTGTGACCACTCCCTTATGTGTCCCATGAAATCACCTGAGATACCATGGTATTTAATCCCTCTTGTCACTCCTCTCCTGTCTGGCTCATCAGGAAGCTGCAGGAGTCTGAAGAGAAGGAAGTCCTGCAGGACTCCCCGGAGGAAAGGGTTACGACTTCTTGTAGTGACCATGATGTGTCCCAATCTTACCAACCTTGTGAAGGCACTTTCTTGGCACTAGTTGAACAGAAAGTTTGCTCTGCTCAGGATGTAGCCAGCGAACACTCCAATTCCAAAGGGGAAGAAACTCCACTTGGCTTCCCAGGTAGGCTTCCTATTCTTTGCATCCCACAACCTGTCTAGAATGACACATGTTTTTTGAATATTTTTGTGGATTGGGAGTGTCTTTGCTTCCTGGCAATCTTGTCATTGCTGGGTAATGTGAGAAAGATCAACAAAAAAGAAAATATCAAAGTGACTCCATTGGCTTCCCCTCACCCTTTGGGTGTCACTTTTCCTTACTTGATGTTCTTTGGGTAGAAGGAAAGTCACAGTAAGATCATCAATGCCAGTGGATCCCACTGTCTGTGGTTTTATTTTCAGAGCTGGGTTTAGAGCCTTCCCTTGCAATGAAGATCCCTCCCCAGCTGGAAGGTGATGCTCTTGAAGGTTCAGCTGACAACACACATGGGCATCAAGTCATTGGCCACATTCACGCCTCAAGTGTCCTAAAACCAAAAATGATCAAAAGAAAACTGCCGTTCAGCAAGTGGAGACTGGCATGCAGATTCTCTGGCCTGCAAGCTTAGAGTAGGAAGGTAATCACATCTATGGCTCTTAGCGGCCCTCACTCCTTATTTCTCTGTCTATGATGATAGCTCATTCTCCCACTGCTTTTCTCTTCCCTATTTGTGAGTATTGTCTGAGGCCTCTGCTACTTCTCATATCCTGGGTTCTTCCAATAGTCTGCTCTCCTGCATCTTCTCAAAAGACTGGGACATGGAGTTGTAAGGGGGTGGTTTTCTTTGCAAAGGGCCCTCTCCTTCTAAGCCCTCTGCTTCTGAGTGTGCATGGTTGATGCTGAGCACATCCTCCCTGGGAGGTGTGAAAAGCCATCACTCTGCTCCGGACAAAGGGGATCAGGAAGAAAGGGGCTGATGTCATCGGATGCTGGTTGGGCATAAGCAGGTCCTTCTATCTGCACTCCAGGCTGACTGGAAGTTCAGGGTTGTTTTCTTCTCACTTGTGGACGGCACTTGCCTCTTCAGCCAGCCGGAGGCTCAGGCTTCAGCTCATCCTCCCAGCAGAAGCTCAGTTTGCCCCTGGGCTATCACCACTTAGCAATCCCTCCAAACTCAGCCATCAGCAAGACCTGACATAGATGCTCTTTTCATTTTTCCTTTCCTCTCTCATACAGATACCAAATACTGCTGGAAGGATGAAAAGGATGAAAGGATGTCACAAAAAGTAGCTTTTCTGCTCGATGAAAAAAACTACAACAGCAAACCAAGTTCAATTCCAAACACAACACTGCAGGGCTCCTTCACTGAGGATTGAATTTTAGACACAGAATGCTCTTGATGATTGCAAACCACTAGGCTCCTTTGATTTGAGAAACCACAATTCATCCTATTTCCACTTGAGATGAATACCCAAGGAGACCAATTCCCAGATGGACAAACAGCATTGAGAGGCCTTAGCCCTGCTCCTCTCAATTCCATCCTGTAGAGAACAGGAGTCAGGAGCCGCTGGCAGGAGACAGCATGTCACCCGGGACTCTGCCAGTGCAGAATATGAACAATGCCATATTCTTGCGGAAAACACTTAGCCTGAGTTTCATAGGAAGTAATCAGCAGACAACTGCAGAATGTAGAACACTGAGCAGGACAACTGACCGCTCTCCTTCACACAATCCATGTCACCACAAATCACACAACAAAAAGAGAAGAGACATTTTGGGTTCAAAAGGATTGAAAAGATAATGTAGCTCACTTCTTTAGTCACTTTGAACCCAAAGTATCTCCTCATCTTTTTGTTGTTGTCATTGATGGTGGTGACATGGATTTGTTTGTAGAGGACGTCAGCTGTCTGGCTCAATTTTCTTCATTCTGAAGTTGTCAGAAAATTTCCTTATGATTAAATTCAGCCTAAATGTTTTGCCAGGAACACTGCAAAGTCAATGCTGTGAGTTTCCAACCTCAGTCCATCTGCGGGCAGAGAAGGTCCAGTTTGTCCATCACCATTATTGTGATATCAGGACTGGTTACCTGGTTAAGGAGGGGTCTAGGAGATCTGTCCCTTGTAAAGACACCTGATTTATAATTAATTTGAAAAGTGGTTTGAAAAAGTACAAATACCTGTATTCTAACAATCTTCCTCTGAGCATTTTATCATCAATTAATCACCCCTGGCTGTGTCAGTTATTATATTTATGTTTGTACGTTGGAAATTTTTATCTCAGTCCTTAGTATGAACTTGTTTCTGCTGGCATTCTGTTGTGAAAAAGAATATTCCCTGCCCAAATTTTAACTTTCATCCAAGATTAATTTTAGTCTATTAAAATTAAAATGTTTATGTTTTAAATCTGTTTAATTAAAATATTCTTGCCTATTACTCTGGACTAGTGAATTTTTTTTACACACAATGTTTTAAGCTTTTATTATTATGATTGTTTTTGGTGGGTAAGGATACAGATTAATAAAAACATTCTTATTTCCCTGTTTACATTCCAAACTCTTCCATATTTTAGTCTACATTTATCATATGTAGTAGTAGATGGTATTTACTACATTTCTTTGTCAATGTTATTTTGTTGTCTTTGTTTGTGTGTGTGTCTTTTGTTTGTTATTTAGGAAGGGTTGTGTAGCTCATGTTTGAAAGTGCACTAAACATGTTTTGGCATCATGTTTAAAAGTCCCCTTTTAACTTGACACACTTCTAATATTTGGTTTATACATTTTTAATCTTCTCTTTTGAATTTAAATTTTTACCACTATGACAACCAAAGATATTATTTTCCTCTTCTCTGACCTCTTAACCTGCCATTTCTTATGGTGTTAGTTCAACCCAAGCATATACCAGTGACCGCCTGTGTTTCCCACCTTGTCTCCACCTTGGCTTTTGGTTCAGATCCACAATTAAATATGCTGAGGCTCATGAACTATTCAAAAGTGAGTGTCCTGGGCATCACTTGTTGAAAGGAATTTATTCTTGACAGAGTCCTCATGGGGGAATAGGGGCTCGCTGAGTTTAGCATGCTTAATAACCTTTTCCCACTGCCTTGGTACATGGCGCACATCACTAGATAAAAGGTACTTGCCAAAAAAGATTTTTCTTGAGTTTTTAGAAAATATTGTCTTGCTTTAGAGGACAAGGATGGTGTTTGTTCTCATTCTGGGATTCTATTTTGTTCTACCAGGACCACTAATTTCTGCCAGTTACTTCATTCATTGTCTTCACCACGAGTCTCCAGAGGATGCTTTCTTTGTCCATACCTCCCCATCTCCCAACAATTCTGCATTTCCGAGACTGGCACCTCTGGTCCTCTGCACGGTGAAGCCCCTTCCTTTCAATTCCCCAGTAGCCAGTGCTCTAATCCACCAGGTCTCAGGCATGATTTCTGTTTCTCCACACTCGCTTTCTGAGGAGAGTTTTACCTGTGTTCTGTCATGAACAGGCCCTCCCTGCTGTCGTGGCCTCTATTTGCATAGTGTTTCCTGCTGTCTCTGCAGTTGTGTGGCTCCCAGACCCTGCTAAAGACAATCACCTGAGGGCCACAGGGTTCTCTACCCCTGGTGTTTAGGGGCAGGGATGTGGTATTTTTGACTCCCTGTTAATTCCTAGGGCTTTGAAGGGTATGTGGAGAAAATCAACTATTATCCTATCCTACTTCTTCAAATGCAGAACTTCAATAGTATAAAAAAGGACACAGAATCATATAATAGAACTCCTTCGTATGCAGTGGCCAGCTCAGCAGTTGTCATTGAATACTGAACTTTTAAAAATAACAATCCTTCCTACTTACTTATGAAATGTGTGTATACATACATATATGTATAAGGCATGTACATGCATGTGTGTGTGTATGTGTGTGTGTGTGTGTGTGTATATATATATATATATATATATATATATATATATACACACACACATTTGGACATATGATTATGGAGGCCGCAATTCCCAAGATGGAAAGCTGGATACCCAGGAAAGTGTTTCCTTCTTATTAGGCCCTTTCCTTCTCCTCTGGCCTTTGGTTGATTGGATGAGGCCCACCACATTAGGGAGGACAATCTGCTTCACTTAGTCTGTCTATTCCAGTGTTAATATCATCCAGAAACACCCTCCAGCACACACCCAGAATAATATTGGAACAAATGTCCTGGCACACTGGGACTCGGTCACAGTGACACACACAATTAACCATTATACAGGTCCTTCATCATATGTGGGATTTTCATATTTTTCTCCCAGTTTGTAGCATATGTTTTTATTCTATTAACAATGTCTTGTGCTGACCAAGGATTTTTAATTTTTATGAAGTTAAATATATCAATGTTTTCTTTAATAGTTTGTGTTGATATAACTAAGAATACTTCGTGCCTAACTCTACATCATGAAAAATTTCTGTTTTCTACTGTAAGTTTACTAGAGTTTCAATTTACATTTAGTTCTATAATCAATTTTGAGTTAGTTTTAGTGCAAGTATGGATGTTTAAGTGGATTTTTTTCTTTGTTTATTGTTTTTTACTTCCACTTTTATTTTAAGTTCAGGGGTACATGTGCTGGATGTGCAGGTTTGCCACATAGGTAAATGTGTGCCATGGTGGTTTGCTGCACAGATCATCTCATCACCTAGGTATCAAGCCCAGCATCCATTAGTTACTCTTCCTGATGCTCTCCCTCCTCCCACTTCCCACCCTCCGACAGGGCCAAGTGTGTGTTGTCTCCACCCCAACCCTATCTGTCCTTGTGTTCTTATCATTCAGCTCCCACTTACAAGCGAGAATATGCAGGGTTTTGTTTTCTGTTCCTGTGTTAGTTTGCTGAGGATAATGGCTTCCAACTCCCTCCATGTCCCTGCAAAGGACATGATCTTATTCCTTTTTATGGCTGCATAGTATTCCATGTGTATATATTCCACATTTTCTTTATCTAATCTATCATTAATGGGCATTTAGGTTGATTCCATATCTTTGCCGCAGTGAACATATGCATGCATATATCTTTATAACAGCATAATTTATATTCCTTTGGATATATACCCAGTAATGGGATTGCTGGGTCAAATGGTATTTCTGCCTCTAGGTCTTAAAGGAATCACTACACTGTCTTCCACAATGGTTGACAGTTACACTCCCACCAACAGTGTAAAAGCATTCTTTTTTCTCCACAACCTCGCCAGCATCTGTGAATTTTTTTCTATTTTTGCCTATGGATGTCTAGTTTTCGCAACACAATTTGTTGACAAGACTATGCTTTCTCTCCTGAATTGTTTTGAACCATTGTCCATCCTTTGGAGGGATGAGACTAGAGAGAGGACTGTCCTGATCATTGGAGGAACAGGGCCTGAAGTAGTGCAGGTCTTATGGAAAAGAAAAGGAACACATATTTTTTCAATGAGGCAGAGGAAAGCCCCAAGCACAAGTGGGGGACTCCCTACCCCCATGTGTGGCACATTTGCCTCTGCTCTGCCTCTCCTGCTGCAAAAGCTTGGGTGTGCATAGACACTGAGGCCGAGTTGTGCCACTGGGCACATTTGGGCATTGACATCAAATGTGTGACATCAAATCCCAGTATATCAAACAGGCAAAGTGGCAGGAAAACAGGAGACATAATGAAGAATGAAATAATTCAGTTGAAAACGACACACATGTTAGAAATAGCAGGCAATAACATTAGAGCAGTTATTATAATTTTAATTAAATGAAGATGTGGGAGATATTTTTAAAATATCAAATTCCATAAGTGAAAACTACATTTTACTGTCTGAAATTTTAAAAAATGCACTGGATTGAACATTGCAGAGGAAAAGATTAATGAATTAAAGGAAACAGCAATAGCAATGAACACAAATGAAACACACAGGAAAAAATGAATTTAAGAAATAAAAAGCCCATCAGTGGGAAAATTTTAAACACTCTACTAAATGGAATCCCTGAAGGGAATGGAGTGGATAAGGGCGATAGAAAAATATTTAAAACATACTGGATGAAAGCTTTCAAAGCTTCATGAAAACCATAAACTCCAAATAACCCAGAAACGTAATGTATTCTAATATCCCAAAGTCTGTGCTCTTTTCAGAAAAGGAAGTTTAGCATAAAGCACTAAACCAGGAGTCAACATATTGTATTTCCAGCTGTTGTTCCAACAGCTGTATTATAAAGGGCCAGTTCATTTCATGCATTTTTAATTTGATCTAAAGTGCCAGGTGGCATTGGGGCTGGCACAGCCTTGCTCAATTATGTGTTGAAGAGTAAACAGAGACTGCTAGGCTGAGGGAAGATGCAAAAGAATAGAAGAGATGCTCACAGGGAGCAAGACAACACACGGCCCCAGAGTCAGAGGCAGCATTAGTCACTGTCGGCTGCTCGTTTTCCCAGAGTCCGCAAGCCTCAGCTATGCTTTGCTTCTGCAAGAGGCCTCTTCACCTTTTCAATAAACCTGCCTGAATTTAAGGTGATGGGGGTTTATTTCTCCTTCATTATAAATGAAATTCTTCACCACAACAATCCCCAGTGAATTGTGGGCACAGAAGGCAGGCCCATCCCTGCTTCTGTTCCACTATCTCCCCTGTAGGACAAAAAGGAGGAGGTACTGACTTACCTCCAAATGCTCCTCTGGCTCTGATATCCTGTTATTCTAGTTTCTTTTCAGCTACTTTGTTTTTGGAAGCATGTATCCTAAGGCGTCCAGTTGAACAACCTTTGTCTACTGTGTCCAGGCATTCCTGGTGGTATTTCAGATAAGACACTCTTGGGTTGCTGCACTCACAACCACTGAACCAATTCTATGACCATCTGTTTCATGGCCACATGTTTGCTCATTTTATATGTACACAAAGGGAGGAGACAGTCAGCAAACTTGCATGTTATAAATTGTATCATCTTAGAAAGGAAACAAGGCAAGACTTTGCAATAAAACCTTAAGATTCATTAATTTTAATCCTAATGCAATAAAGAATGCTCATAAAATTCTTATCTAAAGAATGTTTAGAAAACCAAGGGACATCATCATTTAAAGTGATATGAAGAAAACTTCTCAGCTAAGCATATGGGCTAGATTAGACAGAAAAATAAAGAACCCATCTCTGCCCTGGAAAAACTACTGGTAGCATCTTTCAGAAAGCTCTCTGTGTTCGAGTATGCACCTTGATCCATAGGCTCACATTTGATCCCAACTGGCGGCTGCTTCTTGGCATTATCATTGGATTCCCAACTAGTAAATCTTACCAAGATCTGAGTTTCTGCAGATATGATATTATTTTGTTTGACCATCTTCAAGGACTACCAAGAAGGAACAAATAATTTATTTACCTGCTTTATGGAAGAAAGGTTTCACCAATGAGATACTTTCTTACCATGACTCCAGGGCCCCCTGTGCCATTAACATTTCAGTACTCTGTGTGGCCTGACAGGAGCTGATGCTGGTCAAAGATTCCTTATATGATTAACCTCCTTCCTGAATCCCAACTTCATGGTGGTGGTGATGCCAGGTGTTCCTGTATCCCATGCTCATGTCCCTGAAGTCATCAGCCATGTCTCCAGTTGGAAAAATTTACGTATATGTAGACAGGCCTCTTTGGAAGTAGGAAAAGCTTTCTCCCCTCTCATATATTAATGGTTGGAATGTACAATAGTATAAACACTTTGGGGGGGAAAAGTCTGGCAGAGTCTTATAGAACTAAACAGTTACCCACTGTATGACTCAGTAATTCTTAAGTATTTATCCAAGAAAAATTAAAACGTATGTCCACAAAATGATTTACACGAGAATGTTTATAGCACTTTTATTTGTAATAGCAAAAACTAGAAACATTGAAGTATCTGTCAACATGAGAATGGAGCGATTAATTGTGATACATTCATTCCATGGAATGGCTAAAGGAACAAACTGTTGACACACAAAACAACATTGATGAATCTCAAAAATATTTTATTGAGTGCAAAAGGAGCCATATGCAAAAGAGTACCTATTCTTTAATCACACTGATAGAAGTTCTGGTGGGAAAAAGTCCCCACAGAACAGTAGTTGCCTATGGATGGAATCAAAATTGATGGTGAAGGGGCACAAGGAACTTTTTAGGGTGATGAGAATGTTCCATATCTTCACATGCATTTGTCAAAATTCATCTAATATTCACTTATGATTTGAGTATTTAATTGTATATAAATTTTACCTCAAAAGGAAAAAAGCTGTAGATAAATATTGCACTTTAGTAAAGGATGTGAATGCTGAAGGATTCAGTGGGAAGTGTACTGATGTCTGCAGTTTACCTTGAAATGCATCAAAAAACTAAGATGAATGAATGGTTGGATTGGGAGATGGGTAAATGTATAGATATGTGATAAAGCAAAGATAGTAAATGTTAATGATAGAATGTAGGAGACAGATATACAGGTAAAAACACCCACCTTTGTAAAAGTCTTTCAATTTTGCTTTATGTTCAAAAATTTAAATAAGGAAATACTTCAAGCCTTTGGAGACCCCACAAGGAGGGAAATTACCATCCACATAATCTGTCAACTATATTATGACCATGTTCATTAGAATACCAATTTCTTGCCCAAAATAAAGTCATTCTTTGTCATCAACTTGAAGAGAAACTGTCAAAGCCAGTCCAGGAGTAGCCAGTGCCATGGCCAGAGGGACTCTCAGGGGACTTGGTCTCCCCATGCCTGAGGGTGGAGCTGAGTATCAGCATCGATAGCTTGTTCCCCTTCTCAGTGGAGCATCACAAATCTTGTTTCCTAGTTTTTACATGAAATTGCTCTAGCCACACAGTCTACTAACTGAAAAGATGGCTCCTGACTGCTTCCAACCTGTTCTTGCAGAAGACATGGATTTGCCTCTATTACCCAAGCTGACCACTAGGGGATAAAATCTTCCTCCAAATGGCTGGGAGTCTCTAGGGGAGAAAGCCCCAAAAGGGATTCTAGCCCAGCTAGTTCATAAACCCATTGATTCTCACCATGTTTCCCTCATGTATTCAGTAACCATACATTGAGCCTTTATTATATGCTGGGCACTGTGGTAGATGCTGAAACAGACCAATGAGCCTCTGCTATCATCAAGGTCACAATGTCAGCTTTGCTGCACCCTGTAGTTGATCCTTAGTGCCACATCCTCACACGGGAACTTCCTCAGTTTCCACTTTCTGGCTCTGGTGCTTCCAGATGGCTTGTCAATGTTAGTCAGGGCCAAGATTGCTGAAACAACTGAGAGACACCCTGGGACCCATCACCAACAGTTCCCACTCCCAGAGCAAACCACACCCATTGCTCTCACTTGAAATCATGAGCCCCAAGGCCTGTCTTTCAGTACGTAGGACTGCATGATATGAACTCCAATGCCCCACCACGTTGTGGAGGACCTGAATCAAACATGGCCCTCTCATTCCCCTAATGTCAGTACCAGGGCCTCAAGGCTCCCTCGGCCAGAAAGCATGAAGTCCACTTATTTGTTGACTTTTTAAATTTTTATAAATCTTTGAAAGCATAGAAAAAAAGAAACTCATATGAATTCATAGTATCACCCTCAAAATAAATTCTTCATATTCACTTTCTATTTTTAAAAGAAAATGTATCGATTGTTTATGTGAAGGATGAGACATCTTCTGAAATTCAAAATTAAAAAGCCTGAGAGCATTTAAGGATGTGAATAATTTTCAGAACTGAAGGTAAATAATAATTTTCTTCCTGTCTTTCTTGTTTTTCTTAAAGAGATTGGAAACCTGAGCAAACCAAAAATCGAGGGAGGTAGAAAGTACTGGAGACCTACAGTTGGCCTTGAGCCTTGGCTTAGTAACATCTGTGCTTTCAAGCATAAACCCTGTGCATGAAAATTTATATCCCACCTAATGTGAGTACTTTGGTTAGAATATTGGGAGTAAATGATATTCTCCTCTTTATTCCCAGCTTGTATGTGTCACAGGAACAACTGGGGTACTTCAGGAAGTGCCTACTTTTTAATTTTTATTTTTTGAGATGGGGTTTCACCCTGTCCCCCAGGCTGGAGTGCAGTGGCATGATCTCGGCTCACTGCAACCTCCACCTACCAGGTTCAAGCGCTTCTCCTGCCTCAGCCTCCAGGGTAGCTGGTATTACAGGCGTGCACCACCTCGCATGGCTAATTTTTTTGTATTTTTAGTACAGACAGGGTTTCACCATGTTGGTCAGGCGGTCTTGAACTCTTGACCTCATGATCTGCCTGCCTTGGCCTCCCATGTGTCCACTTTTTAAAAATGATATTAAGAGCTTAATAAAGCTCTTACTATGTGTCAAGCACTATACTAAACTCTTTGCATTCATTATCTCATTTAATATTCACAACTTCCCTATGGCAGATGTGTAATTAATATCTGATTTTATTAGAAGGAAAATAGAGGATTCTTGAGGCTATGTACCCCAAAGCCCCCCAGCTAATAAGCAGCAGAACCCCGTGAGAACCTGAGTCTCTGATGCCAAAGCCCAGGCACTGACAACCGTACTCATCTGCTTTCCTCTAAATCCATTATTTGAGTTAGAAATGAAGCCAGAAATCACCCACTCCAACCCCTTTGTTTTAAAGATGAGAAAACTGAGGCCTTGTAAGGCATACTGATTCCCCCACAAAAGACTTATCTTCTAGAGAAGAACTGGGACATTTTCTTTGAGTAGCTATTTTTTTTTCTTTTATTGTGGTAATATACAAATAACATAAAATATATCATCTTAACCATTTTTTTTTTTGAGACAGTCTCGCTCTGTTGCCTAGGCTGGAGTGCAGTGGCACCATGTCCACTCGCTGCAAGCTTCACCTCCCGGGTTCATGCCATCTCCTGCCTCATCCTCCCGAGTAGCTGGGACTACAGGCGCCTGCCACCATGCCCGGCTAATGTTTTGTATTTTTAGTAGAGACGGGGTTTCACCGTGTTAGCCAGGATGGTCTTGATCTCCTGACCTTATGATCCACCTACCTCCGCCTCCCAAAGTGCTGGGATTACAGGCGTGAGCCACCGTGCCTGGCCCATCTTAACCATTTTTAAGTGTATAGTTCAGTGGTATTAAATACATTCATAAAGTGCAACCATTACCAGTGTCTTTCTCTGTAACACTTTTTATCTTGTAAAACTGAAACACTGCACCCAGTAAACAATAACTCCCCCTGCCTACCTCCTCAAGCTCCTGACAATCACTACTCTACTGTCTGCTTCTGTAATTTTGATTGCTCTAAGTGCTTCATAGAAGTGGAATCATACAGTTTTCGCCTTATTGTGACTGACTTATTTTTAAGAATAATGCCTTCAAAGATCATCCCTGTTGTGCCATATTGCAGGATTTCATTTCCTTTTAAGGCTGAATAATATTCCATTGCATGGATATACCACATTTTGCTTATCCATTCATCTGCTGATGGACACTTAAGTTGCTTATATGTTTTAGTTATTGTGAATAATGCTGCTATGAACATGGGTGTACAAATATATCTTCAAGACCCTGCTTTCAATTCTTTAGGGTATATACCCAGAAGTAGAATTGCTGGATCATATAGTAATTCTATTTCTAGCTTTTTAAGGAATAGCCATACTGTTTTTCACAACATCTGTACCATTTTACATTCCTACCAACAGCACACAGGGGTTCGAATTTCTCCACATCCTCACCAACACTGGTTATTTTCTGTTTTATTGATAGTTGCCATTCTAATGGATGTGAGGTGTTATCTAATTACGGTGTTGATGTGCATTTCCCTAATGTTTAGTGATGTTGAACATCTTTTCATATGCTTATTGGCCATTAGTATATCTTCTCTGGAGAAATTTCTATTCACCTCTTTTGCCCATTTTTGAATCAGATTTTTTTTTTGAAATTGATAGATAAATTGGTATATATTTTCCACATAGAATGTGATGTTTTGAAGTACATACACACTGTGAAATGACTAAATCTAACAACATATGCATTACCTCACCTGGTTATATTTTAGTGATGGGAACACTTTATACCCCCCTTTTTAGAATTTTTCAAGAATGTAATATATTATGAGCTATAGTCACTGTGTTGTACAATAGATCTCTTGAACTTATTTCCCAACTAAAATTTTGTATCCTTTGAGCAACATCCCCCCAATCACCACCCTCTACAAAGAGCTCCACCCCTGGGAACCACCTTTTTATTCTCTATTTCAATGAGACCAACTATTTTAGATTCCACATATGAGTGGGATCATACAGTATTTGTATTTCTGTGCATGGCTTATTTCGCTTAATATTCTCGAGGTTCATTCATGTTGTCATAAATGCTAGAATTTCCTTCTTTTTTATGGCTGGATAGTATTCCATTGTGTATTTATAGTACATTTTCTTTATCCATTCATCTACTGATGAACACTTACGTTGATTCAATGTCTTGTGGCTGTTGTGAATAGTGCTGCAATGAACATGGGAGTGCAGACTGCTATTGTCACTTCAACATGGGTTGTGTTTTGTTGCTGACTTTTAAAAATTCTCTCTATATTCTGGATATTATTCCTTTATCAGATACATGATTTGCAAATATTTTCTCCCATTCTTTGGGTTGCCTTTTTGCTATGTTGATAGTTGGGCAGTTTTTAGTCCCTTACTTTGTGTTAAGTTATAGCACAAAAAATAAATTTCTCACTTTTTGAATTAAGACAAAAAGTATTAAAACACTAACAATGCCAGATTAACAATTACTAACAATTACTGAGGATGTGGAGCACTTGGAACTCTCAAGCATTGCTGGTGGGAATGTAAAATGATTCAAAAGCCCTGAAAGACAGCTTGTCAGTTTCTAATAAGCTTAAATATACACCTATCACATGACACAAAAATCCCACTCCTTGCATGAAGTTAAAACACATGTCCACCAAAAGGCTTGTATAAGAATATTCATACCCCAAGGACCTCCATGAGATAAAGCCAGGAATGGCTTCCCTGTGCTCAAGCTGAGGACCAGGAGTGCCTACACAGCTCTTCTTGCTGCTGCTTCTACTTTTATATTTAGTTTGGCTCCATAAATCCATTTCAGCTATAGATTTCAGACACAGGGTGGTGGGGCCAAGACGGCTGAATAGAAGTAGCAGTGATCAGAGACTCCCATCAAAAAACCCATAATAACCGTGTGAATCCTTCACTGGCAACCAAGGTATCCAGGTTCTCTCATCAGAATTGACTAGAAGGCTGGCATGACTCACAGAGAGAAAGAGTAGTGTGGTGGATGGCCCACTTGAGAGCCACACGGGAAAGGGAAACCCTCTCCACCAAGCCAAGGGAGGTGGTGAGTGAACGTGCTACCCAGCTGGGGAAACTGTGCTTTTTCCACAGAACTGGGCAACCCACAGATTGGAAGATCCCTCTCAAAAACCCACACCACTGGGGCCTTGCGTCCCAACTCCAGAATGTGCAGATTCTTATGGCCCCTCAGCTGGAATCTGCTTAAGTGTACTGAACTCCCAGGGAGAGGGGTGACCAGCACCTGCTGCAGCTGCCTGCTGTCTAAGCCGTTTGAGCTCTTTGGGGAAGGGGAAGCAGCCAGCACTGGGACTAGCAACTGCCTAACATGCTAAGCTCCCTGGGCAGGGGAAGGGCAGCACCCATTTCTATAGCTCCAGGCTGGGCTTTTCCCCTGCTGGAGCCAGGGAGGCTGGACAGCTTGGTCCCAAGACTTGTCCCCACAGCCCAACCGGCTGTGGCAGTCTGTGGCCAGAGTGCCTCTTCAGGCCTAAACCTGACCCATCCTTCCTCATTGGGTGGGGCTTCCATGCACGATCTCCAATAACTCCAACCAGAGGCTCAGGGACAGAATTCGGATCTCCCTGGGCCTGAGCCCCTAGCGGGAGGGGTGGACGCAGTCTCTGCAGACCAGCAGACTTGCCTCTCCTCCTGGTAGTTCTGAGGAATCCAGGCAGCCCAGACAAGTGGGATTCCCTGCAGCAAAGCACACCCTCTCCACCAAAGGACAAAGTGCTTTGTTAAAGGGGTCTTGCTCCCCATGCCACCCAACTGGGTGAGACCTTCTAACAAGGGATGTCAGACATCCTATGCAGGAACGATCCTAGTAGCATCAGGTTGGTGCCCCTCGAGGTCAGAGGTCCCAGAAGAAGGAGCAAGCACCCATCTTTGCTGTTCTCCAGGCTCCTTGAGTGACATCCCTAGGCATGGGAGAAAAACAGATGAATATGGCCTGAAGTGAACCCTTAGCAAACTGCAGATGCCCTACAGAAGAGGGACCTGACTATTGAAAGATAAGTCAGCTTCACCCCTGGGATGCAAGGCTGGCTCAACATATGCAAATCAATAAACACAATCCATCACACAAACAGAACCAAAGACAAAAACCACATGATTATCTCAATAAATGCATAAAAGGCGTTTAATAAAATTCAACACCCCTTCATGTTAAAAACTCTCAATAAACTAGGTATTGATGGAACATATCTCAAAATAATAAGAGCTATTATGACAAACCCATAGCCAATATCATAATGAATAAGCAAAAGCTGGAAGCATTCCTTTTGAAAAGCGGTACAAGACAAGGATACCCTCTTTCACCACTCCTACTCAACATAGTATTAGAAGTTCTGGCCAGGGAAATCAGGCAAGAGAAAGAAATAAAGGGTATTCAGATAGGAAGAGAGGACTTCAAGTTGTCTCTGTTCACAGATGATATGATTTTTTATTTAGAAAACCCCATCAGCTCAGCCCAAAAACTTCTTGAACTGATAAGCAACTTCAGCAAAGTCTCAGGATACAAAATCAATGTGCAAAAATCACAACCATTCCTTTACACCAACAATAGGCAAGCAGAGAGCCAAGTCATGAATGAACTCCCATTCACAATTGCTACAAAGAGAATAAAATACCTAGGAATACAGCTAACAAGGGATGTGAAGGACCTCTTCAAGGGGAACTACAAACCACTGCTGAAGGAAATAAGAGAGAACACAAACAAATGGAAAAACATTCCATCCTCATGGATAGGAAGAATCAGTATCATGAAAATGGCCATACTGCCCAAAGTAATTTATAGATTCAGTGCTATTCCCATCAAAGTACTATTGACATTCTTCATAGAATTAGAAAAAACTATTTTAAATTTAATATGGAATCAAAGAAGACCCTGTATAGCCAAGACAATCCTAAGCAAAAAGAACAAAGCTGGAGGCATCGCGCTACCAGACTTCAAACTATACTACAAGGCTACAGTAACCAAAACACACAGAAAGGGCAACAACACACACCAGGGGCTGTTGGGGGATAGGAGTAGAGGGGAGGGAACTTAGAGGACAGGTCAATAGGTGCAGCAAACCACCATGGCACATGTATACCTATGGAACAAACCCGCATGTTCGGCACATGCGTCCCTTTTTTTTTTTTAAGAAGAAATAAAGAAAAAAAAGAATATTCATAGAAACTTTAGGCCAAAACCAGAAATAGCCAAAATGCCCGTCAACCAAGAATGAATAATAATAATAATAATAATAATAATAATAATAATAATAATAATAATAAATAACCTGTGCCACATTCATATAATGAAATAGTACTTAGCAATATAAAAAAATCCAAACTATTAATACCGGCAACAATGTAGATGAATTACAGAGGCATTATGTTGAGTGAAAAAATCCAGATATGAAAGAGTATGTATTATATGATTTCATTCATATGAAATTGACAAAAAGGCAAAATTAATCTATGGTGAAAGAAGTAAGAATAGTTGTATCATTGGTGGGAAGACTGACTGGGAAAGGGCAGGAGGAATTTTCCAAGGTGATGAAACTGTTCTCTATCTTGATCTGAATTAATGTTACACAAGTGTATAGATATGTCAAAATCCTTCTAGTTTAATATTTAAGATGTGTGCATTTTATTCTATATAAATTAAACCAAATAAAATAATGCTATCACAAAAATCTTCATAAAATACAAAATGAAACAAGGAATTTGGTAATAAAGGAATCTGTATTTTCACCTAGTCATTTAGAGGAGGTGATATGGTAAAACACAACAGATAAGAAACAAGTGGATACATAATAGAAAGAAAATGACTTAAAGGACCAGGGGAGAAGAAAGGAAGACAGGGAGAAAGAGAAGAAGAAGGGAGGGAGGGGGAAATTTTGAAGCCATCAGAATCCAAAGTGAAATAAAAAGAAAGATGAGAGAAAGCAAATAACCAAAAATCACAGGCTAAAGATAGACAAATGGGATCTAATTAAACTAAAGAGCTTCTGCACAGCAAAAGAAACTACCATCAGAGTGAACAGGCGACCTACAGAATGGGAGAAAATTTTTGCAATCTGCCCATCTGACAGAGGGCTAATATCCAGAATCTACAAAGAACTCAAACAAATTAACAATAAAAAAACAAACAACCCCATCAAAAAGTGGGCAAAGGATATGAACAGACACTTCTCAAAAGAAGACATCTATGCAGCCAACAGACACATGAAAAAATGCTCATCATCACTGGTCATCAGAGAAATGCAAATCAAAACCACAATGAGATACCATCTCATGCCAGTTAGAATGGCAATCATTAAAAAGTCAGGAAACAACAGACGCTGGAGAGGATGTGGAGAAATAGGAACACTTTTACACTGTTGGTGGGACTGTAAACTAGTTCAACCATTGTGGAAGTCAGTGTGGTGATTCCTCAGGGATTTAGAACTAGAAATACCATTTGACCCAGCCATCCCATTACTGGGTATATACCCAGAGGATTATAAATCATGCTGCTATAAAGACACATGCACACGCATGTTTATTGTAGCACTATTCACAATAGCAAAGACTTGGAACCAACCCAAATGTCCAACAATGATAGACTGGATTAAGAAAATGTGGCACATATACACCATGGAATACTATTCAGCCATAAGAAATGATGAGTTCATGTCCTTTGTAGGGACATGGATGAAGCTGGAAACCATCATTCTCAGCAAACTATTGCAAGGACAAAAAACCAAACACTGCATGTTCTCACTCGTAGGTGGGAATTGAACAGTGAGAACACATGGACACAGGAAGGGGAACATCACACACTGGGGCCTGTCATGGGGTGGGGGAAGAGGGGAGGGATAGCATTAGGAGATATACCTAATGTTAAATGACGAGTTAATGGGTGCAGCACACCAACATGGCACATGTATACATATGTAACAAACCTGCACGTTGTGCACATGTACCCTAAAACTTAAAGTATAATTTAAAAAAAAAAGGATGAGTTCATGTCCTTTGTAGGGACATAGATGAAGCTGGAAACCATCATTCCCAGCAAGCTATCACAAGGACAGAAAACCGAACACCGTATGTTCTCACTTATAGGTGGGAATTGAACAATGAGATCACTTGGACACAGGGCGGGGAACATCACACACCTGTCAGGAGGTAGGGGATTGGGGGAGGCATAGCATTAGGAGAAATATCTAATGTAAATGATGAGTTGATGGGTGCAGCAAACCCACATGGCACATGTACACCTATGTAACAAACCTGCATGTTGTGCACATGTACCCTAGAACTTAAAGTATAATTTAAAAAAAAAAGAAAAGAAAAAAAATCACAGGCCATGGTCTTCTGGTTAAATAGCTTTTTCCAAGCCAGAAGAGGTACAGACAAGTTCTCAAATAATCCTGGTCATTAAAGATGCTTACAGATATCTAATCCAGCTTTATGGCAACCGAATGAAGTCAGCAAACAGGCAGGCTTCCTGTACATTTAGTGCTGGAGAGCAGCCCTCCTTGAACTCAGGCTAAATAATCTTCAGGGACTCACAAAGCCCAAGGCTACAGACCAGGTGAGCCCTGAGGACATGCTGTGGAAGCCCATAAGGCAGGAGGATGAGATTTTGAGAGCTTGGTGATTGAAAAGCAAGGAACAGAGATACACCATAGAGAATGTGAACCTGGCAGGCGTTTAAGAAACCATCTAGTCCAACTCCCTTATTTTAATGATAAAGAAATGAGAAACCAAAGTCATGGGTCATTTTGCTCAATGACATAAATAATCCCTTGTGTGTTTATAGCACTTCTGAGTTTTCAGAGCACTTTACAGTTTTCAACAATTTTCACATAGATTATCATAACTGGTCTTCCCAGCAGCCTAGTGAGGTGGCTGGAAAAGGGATTATTTCATGTATTTATTTGTTTGGCTAATTACAAAATAAAACATGCTAGTGAGCATTTTCAAACAACACAAAATTCCATAAAAAGTCAAAGTTCTTCTCTTTTTCCACTCCCATCTCATTCCCCAAGAATAATCACAGATCAGTGTGATTTGCATATTTTTCTATGCATACAAATTAATACACCCGTGAATACTTATACAGCTTATTTTTTTTACAAAAATGAAATTGTGGTCTACATATAATACTGTGCTTTTTAATAAACACAACACTTTGAAATTCTAATAGAAAAATAAGAGCAAAGCAACCCAAAATCTCCACTCTTACAAGGCCTCAGTGAACATAGCAGAATTTAGAACGCTTACAATTTACAAAAGAGTAAACAAAAATTTAGTTTAATATTAGACAGACATGTTTTTAAAAGCCCTTTGGAACACATTGCAGTGCTTTACTACTCTGCTGTCTCCTTTCTCTCCCTCTCTTCACCTTTTTTCCTGCTCCCCTCCATTAAATTTCAAGTTTATTGCTAAAAAGCAGAACAATTTAAGTACGTTTTACTGCCTTGCATTTTCCTAATCAATATTCTTAGGGTCTCACTTTCCACCCCAATTTACTTACCAAGGTATTTTCCCTATCAAAGACAATTCCCCTAAAAAAGAATTATAGTGCCTGCTATTATAATAGCCTTTTACACCTCTACATATGCATCTGTAAAATGTATATAAATTATTGAGATAAAAAGCTCAACCTAGTCTGTGAAAATCTTTAGAAGAAAATATAGAGTAAAGAAACTAACATGTATTGTGGGCCTATTATGTGTCAAGTGCTATCCTGGGGATTTCAATACACTGAGATTTGTCTAGTGAGCACTTATTAAACACAACTGAAGTGTCAGACATATAGACAAATATGAAAAGTCACATCTCTGTTCTTGAGAAAAGATACCTTATTGAGGACATTAGGCCCATAAGCAAATAATTTCCACACACTGTGGGAAATGTTATAGAGGAGGGGGCTGGTTTAGGACAGGAATCATGAAGGAAATTAAGTTTGAGTTGAAAACCTTAAGAGATGAAAGCTTTTTATTTTACATCTTGGTAGTGGAACTTCCATTGTGCCTCTTGGGCAAATCAACTGATGCTTTCTAGCTGGAGAGCTTATCATGAAAATAGATAATAGGTTGTTCATGAAGTGGTGGAGAAGGAGAGTTAGTTCCATGCCACGTGTCTCCCACTGTGGGGTGAGTGAGTGGGGATGAATCCTGCTGCTCTCAAGACAAGAGTTTTTTCAAACTGGCTATAAAAGTTAATGGACACCTCCACAGTGACTCATTTCCTTTCTCCTGCTGATAGGATTTGCTTCAATATCAGGAGATGTTAAGGGTTTGCTTGTATCAGTGATCATGGTCAACATCGCTGTCAAATATGAAGGGACAAAGTCCAAGGCCATAAAACTCTGCACCCTGTGGAAGCAGGGACAAAATCACAGTACTTTTTTCCTTCTTTTTAAATATAATGATTAGTTCATGCTGTTTCTTAGGATTTAAGATTAGAAAAAAATTACAAGACTCACCTCCATATTATATAGTCATGTCAGTTCTTCCCCAAATCCTTCTACCAGACTTCATTTTTTTACATTCCCCCAAAATACACCTTCTTTGACCTCTTTCTAACGCCATTTCAATCTATATTTTCCACACTGCTGCCCATCTGGCTGGGGTTCTTCTTTCGACCCTTTCAAAAAACTTCTGACAGTTATCAACTACTAGTAAAACAGAAACTGTTCATTAGTTAAAATGGGTCCTAAGTGAGTAGCTGTCAGACTGAAACTATAGGCAATTTACCCTCGACCTCAAATGAAGAAATACTGAGAAGCTCCACTATTCGACTCAGGATGAAGTTCATCAGTCATTTGAAGAGGAAGGGAAAGGAATCGCATCCAAGCTTCAACTAGGGAAAGAAGAGAACGAAAAATGTGCTGCAGATGTGACAAAAGAACACCAGACTCAGTCTATCACATCGCAGAGAAGGACAAAGATTTCTTTCTAAAATGTACCCTAGGTGTCAGCTGAGACACTCCTGCTTGGTGACCTAATTACATTTGGCTCAAATGCAAGTTCTATAGCTTTCCCCCAAACTCCCCACAATTCCTTCAGTACTCAGAACTTACTTCCACGAGTTTCCCTCTGTCTCTAAGCTTCCCTGCAAACAGGAACGATTCATCTTTTCTTCCACATCAACTTGTTTCCACAAAAATATTCGCCCCCATCTTCTTGGTTTGTGCTGTACAATATGGTAGCCACTAGCCACACATAGCTGTTTAAACTTAAGTTTAACTAATTGGAATTAAATGAAGCTCACAATTCAATTCCACATTCTTAGTCATCGTATTTTGAGTGCTTGATAGCCATATGTGGCTAGTGACTACCTCACTGAAACCACAGATTAGAATACATCCATTATCTTAGGGAATTCTGTTAGACAGCTGTACCAGCATGTCACAAACTGATGAGAGCTTACTGAATATCTGTGGACTTATGGAGAGAGATCACATTTTAATTTTTTATCAGAATATTCACTTTTATCTAAGCATGTTTAATCACATGCCACTTTTGAGAAATGTACTATCTACCTATAGGGATGTACTAATGCACAGGTTTCCATTTGGAGTCTTTTAGGAAGCCAAGTTAAATCACCACATAGATGAAGTTTAATTGTTTCAAGTGGGCTTAGAGCATGAATTCTTCCAAGAGAGGAAATAAGGCTTTTCTCCCTGACAAAGAAGTGAATGTCTTCTCCAAAAATATGTTCAGTGAAGTTTTCCTGGGCTGGGTGCAGTGGTTCATGCCTGTAATCCCAGCACTTTGGGAAGCCCAGGCGGGTGGATCGCCTGAGGTCAGGAGTTCCATACCAGCCTGACCAATATGGTGAAACCCCATCTTTGCTAAAAGTACAAAAATTAGCTGGGCTTGGTGATGGGCACCTATAATCCCAGTCATTTGGGATGCTGAGGCAGGAGAATCACTTGAACCTGGGAGATGGAGGCTGCATAGAGCTGAGATCACACCACTGTACTCCAGCCTGGGCAACAGAGCCAGACTCATCTCAAAAGAGAAAAAAAAAAAGTGAAGTTTTCCTCTGTGGGAAAAAGAAAGATATGAGTGAGCTTGCTTGTTCCCTAGAACCTCTAGATGGAAATACCTAAGAAGAAAAGAGGCAGATTTTGAAGCAATTACTCTTCTTTGGATTGCTGGTTAGTTTCGCTACTAAAAATTGCTGAACATAAGGTGAGAGAGAGGAAGGAGATGTGATCCCTGACCTGAAGTAGCTTAGTGAAATATAGGTAGCCAACCAGAAAATAGAGACTTTAAGTGCCGAGCCTGGGGTATGTGAGCACAATGGAAGGCATCTCTGCTGTCAGAGAGTAGAATAAGGAAAAGCCTCCAAAGCAATGCTGTAAACCAAACCAAGCTGTCATTGTGGCAAGATCCTGCAGGACAGAAACCAGATGGCTGTTCTTCAACTTTTTATCACCTCCTGTCCCCTTCCCTACCACACCTACACCCATATACCCAGATTCTTGCACTTAATCACATTCAATATTTATTGAATGAACTAATTAAAAGATGAATAAACACACCCAAACAAGGAATGAGAAAAAGGGCATTGCAAGCAGAGGAATGACATGAAAAAAGGCATGGAGGTGTGACCTTGAATGGGGTTGTTCCAGGGAGTACCAACATGTGGTGTTGATGGGCACAGATTTGACTGGATGGAGTATTAGTGCTGGAGGCAAGAGTGATATGAAGGTGTACGACTCAGAAAGATTTTCCTGCTATACTGAAAGTCTTGGTGAATGTGGGGCTCAATTGTAATATTTCATCATAAGTGCAGCAACATCAAGTTTGCATTATCAAAAAAGTACTCTGATAATACATATACTTAAATTAATATTTTCTAATGAAGTCTCAATTTAATCATGATCAGATCTTAGAATATTTTAACTTCATTCCTAACTCTCTTTAATCTCGTTTGTTATTGTCTGGTATTTTTGTTCCTACTTATATTAAAAATGAAATAAAGTTACTATTAATTTTATTTTAAACATTATTATAACTAATACAGTCAACACATTTCTTTATTGTAACACATCTTCTGGGATTATTTTATTTTTTGACAAAGGACACGCTTAAGCAGTAATTTCAATGAGTCTATGGATAGCAATCTTACTACGTTCTCATAACTTTAACATATCTTTTTGTCATACTCACCCTTAATGGTTGGTTAGCTGGGTACAGAATTCCAGGTTGAAAGTTGTTTTCCTTTGCACTTTAAAGCTAGTGTTCCATACTACCGAGCCATAAAAAGGAATGAAATAATGGCATTCACAGCAACCTGGATGGAATTGGAGACTATTATTCTAAGTGAAGTAACTCAGGAATGGAAAACCAAACACTGATGTTTTCAGTCATATGTGGGAGTTATGAGGATGCAAAGGCACAAGAACGATCCACTGGACTTTGGGGACTCGGGCGAAAGGGTGGGGGGTGGCAGGAGATAAAAGGCTACACGTTGGGTATAGTATACACCGCTTGGATGATGGGTGCCCCAAAATCTCAGAAATCACCGCTAAAGAACTTATCATGTAACCAAACACCACCTGTTCCCCAAAAACCTATTGAAATTAAAAATAATAAATAAATAAATAAAGCTACTATTCGAAAGCTGCCTGGCTTCCACTTTATCTCTCCATTATGGTGCCATCCCCATCCTTGTCACTTTGAAGGTGATCATTGCTGATTTGGGGCTTTTAGGATTCTCACTTTGACCATTTCATGTATGAGGTGTTTATATGTAGACTTTTTTTTTTTAAATAAACTTACTATTCAGTGGACCTTTTTGATTCAGACAATTTTCTGGTCCTTTACATTCTTACATCTCAAAGGTTTATGTGAGTCCTATCAATGCCTTAATTTGGAGCTAGTCAATGTGAGGGTTCAGTAAGAGACCTCTTAAAAGTCCTATGAACATCTTGTTTTCTAATCTGTTCTACTCTCTTCTCTCTCATCTCAAGTCTTTAAATCTGGATAATGGCATGGGGATAGCAGACTAAGGGTTGGGATGGCTGCTGGAAACACAGGAGATCTATCTAATCACCCATTTTGTTAAAACTTTTCTGTCTTACATCTGGACCAGGACTTCTGAAATTGAAAGGCTTGGAGTTAACATCTTTGTACGCCATTGTGCCATGAAGCAATGATGATTCCCATCCAGCTGCCTAAAGAGAAAGAGGTTTGTGTCAAACATTCTGATGGGAGAGATTCTTTAAAATGTTCTTTGTGAACCATGAAAGCATTACTTTCTCATGTCCTACCATGAATTTACACAACTGATGCAAAAATCTAATAACAAAGGTTGAGTAGCATTTTCCAAACAACAGTGAGCTGGGAGCAAGGAAGCTGGCTTCTGATATCAGCTTCACCCACAACTGTCTGTGCATTAAACTAGTCACAATGTTTCTCTAGGCCTCAATTTCCTCACCAGTAGAACAAAAGAGTAAGATTTGATAACTACTATGGTCCCTTCCAGACTTAAAGTTTCCAGACATAAAGGTCCTTTACAGACTTAAATCTGTAGTTTAAAGTTGAGTCATCTCTGGCACCTACAACCTAACCCTTTGCCATCTATACTGGAAAAGAAAATCTTGTTACTCTTTTCAAATAGCCTATTTTTCAGTAGAACTGTATTTTGGCAAACACCTATATTTGGAGTCAGAAGGACAAGGTTCAGTGTCCAGGTCCACTGCTGACCAGTGTTGTGAACCTCGGAAGGTTTCTAATCTCTCTTAAGGTTGGGTTTCTTGAGTGTGTAATGGGGATATGTGTCCTATGCTGCTCACAAGGATTTTGTTGGCATCTTATTTGATGACTTCACTGAAAACCCGTTATTGTAACACACTCTGTTGATGTAAGCTATTTTGACATGATCATCCATGTTCTGCGGGAGAAGCTCAAATAGTAGATCTCTGAGGAAACTCACGCATGTTGAAGGAGTGGAGTCGGTGCTTTAGGAAGGAAAATCTGTGTGTGGGTCTCAAGTCTCACCGCATGGGTCATAACCTATTCCTGACCCTGACAGAAAATCCTTCTAGAAATAAAAGAGAAATAAAGGAAATCCACCATACCAAGGCATAAAAAGACAGCCATGAAAAAGTAACATAAGGGGAGAGGAAGATGGGCTTATAACAGATTACAGGATGTTGTCAGTTTTAATAACGTGATGTGAAGAAAAGATTCTGTTTGCACACAGGGAGAGGTTCTTTTCCTGGCTAGTCAAAGCACACCTTACGTACATTCTGAAGCCGTCTCTTATATGATTCATTTTTTTCACTGTAGATAAGACTTTTATGGATGGATTGTTTTTCTCAAATAATATTATCGCTTTGTGACTAAAGTAAAGATTATTAATTCCTGAGGCAAGAAGATATAAAAGCTCCAGAAACGTTGACTGGGACCACTGGAGACACTGAAGAAGGCAGGGGCCCTTAGAGTCTTGGTTGCCAAACAGGTAATCCTCCTCGCGGTTGATGATGGGGGACTTTCTTTAAACATCTGTTTTCCTCTGTCAGCTATTAGCCAGGCCAGAAATGACAAATTGTATTTCTAGTGAGGCTTGTCAGGCTTTCTGTTGCTGTGTTGTTTGATTTAAATTATTTACCTTCTTTTCTTCCTTCACTGCAAAGAGCATTGGCTTTGGTGTCAAGCTGTTGGGTTAAATCTTGGCTCTGCAGTCTGGTAGCTGGGAAACTTTAGAAAAGTTACTCAATCATAAGTGTCAGTGTCTTCATTTGTAACATGCATTCATGAGATCTACAGTGCAGGTTTTTTGTTTTTGTTTCTGTTTTTGTTTTTGTTTTTGTTTTTTTATGGAGTCTTGCTCTGTCTCCCAGGCTGGAGAGCAATGGTGCAATCTTGGCTCACTGCAACTTCTGCCTCCCAGGTTCAAGTGATTCTCCTGCCTCAGCCTCCTGAGTAGCTGTGATTACAGGCACTTGCCACCACGCCCAGCTAATTTTTGTATTTTTTAATAGAGACAGGGTTGTGCCATGTTGGCCAGGCTGGTCTTGAACTCCTGACCTCAGGTGATCCACCTGCCTCAGCCTCTCAAAGTGCTGGGATTTCAGCCATGAGCCACCACACCCGGCCCAGTGCAGCTTACTTATGAACATGACATGCAGACATTCAATGAATATCAGTTCACTAAAAATTATTCACAGATTAGTAAAAAAGATGCTGCCTCTCCCTTCCCCCAGATGGTCACCTTGACAGAGAAATTCTGTTTGCGTTTTAAAGGGGTTTGAGGACATTGAAAATACACTATTACTTTTGGAAGGAAAGTTTAGCAAAGTGCAAGGTTCACGCAATGATTTAAAAAGAAGTAAGGGGTGGGGAAGGTCACATCCACACTCTCCAAGCTTTGTCTCATTCTCAGTTAATGTTGCCTTAAAGTGTTCAGATGGACCCCAGAATTGATTTTCCAGAAAAGTCATCATTTACATTATTCTCTTTAAGCAATCCATTATTTGAGAGTTAGATTGTATATTCAGATTTTTTAATCATAAAGTATGATTAAATGTGAATTCAATGAATTAACTCATTTTAAGAATTATTTGGGAGGGAAATCCAGAACTCAGTTTCATACTTATGTTAAAACAAAGCCCAGACAGATGAAAATAGAACAGTGATAAATATTTTAACCTTATGTGACAGTAATGGCCAGTCTTTTGATATAAATTTAAAAATTATTTTTAAAAACATAAAAAATAACAATATTTTTGAAAATTTCAGAATGGCAAAAATTATAATAAGTAAGAGAAAAATACAAACTGAGAAATACTATTAGTAACACGTGAAAGGCAATAAACATACAAAAAAGATCTCACAAATAAACATACAAAAAAGATCTCACAAACAATGAAATAGAAAAATGTGCAAAACTGTAAAATGAAAATTCACCAAATACTAAAAGCAAATCATTATATAAAAAGATGTTCAACTTCATTAGTAATTATAAAATATTTTAAAACACTAAGGTTCTTCTTTAATATACCAAAATTAGCCAAAAACTTGACAAAATTAAGCATTCTCTGGGAGCTTAGGGAACCAATCCTTTTAGTGCCCTATTAATGAGGTAAATATCACAGCCCATACATTTTAACAAAGGGTATTAAAATGACAATGTGCATGTTGTGTGATGCCACAACCCTATATATGAGAATTTATACTAAAGAAAAAATAAAAAATGCATGAAAGTTATGTGAGTGCAAGACAATGTATTACAATTAATCTGTTTCTGAGAAACAAAACCAGGCTATAGGACTATATGATCTTATTTTTATAAAATTGTACACAGAGAGAGGTGCATAGAAAGATATCTGTAGGCTACTCACCAAATTATCTCCTGGAGATGGGATTTACTTCTTATTTTCTAGTTTTGCATTGATTTTCTAATAGCTCATGTGTTGTTTGCTAATGGGGAAAAGATAAAGCCATGTTCTTTATTTTTAAAAATGATGTCAACTAAGTGTAAAGGAAAGAGTGCTGATGGAGTCAGATCTGCTTATAGCTGGTGTCCATGAACAAATGACTTCATACTTACTGACCTCAGGTTTTCTCATCTGTAAAATGTGGGTATTGGACACTGTGCTCACGTTTAATTTTAACATTTAAAAATTCAATGTCGGAGCCATTCTATTGGATTTTCTTGACAACAGAATGCCCATATCCGTCTTACCTGTGAGGAAGCTTGCCTTGGGCGCCCTCTGCTGGCCCTCCTGAAGCTAACAGGGGCGAGTGCTCGGTGGTTTACAAATTGCCTCCATGCAGACTATGAAACTGTTCAGCCTGCTATAGTTAGATCTCTGGCACTGGCCCAGGAGGTCTTGCAGGTAAGAACAAAATCTCTTAAAATTTTCTAACCTGTACATCTAACTTGAGATTCCCTTCATTATAAAGTCTGGATTTAGCCAGGAAAATATTGTATTATTTTCCTCCATATGTATTAGTTGGCATCTAGATTCCTGGGTCCTTCTCACCTGTGCAAATGTGTTCAGATTTGCAGATCAAGGAGAACCCAGGAGTTTCAAAGAAGCGCTAGTAAGGTCTCTGAGATCCTTGCACTAGCTACATCCTCAGGGTAGGAGGAAGATGGCTTCCAGAAGCATGCGGCTGCTCCTATTGCTGAGCTGCCTGGCCAAAACAGGAGTCCTGGGTGGTGAGTATCCATCACGTAGCTGGAACTGAGCCACAGCCAGTGTTCACACAGCCCATGTGAGACAGTCATCCATTTGCCCACAAAAACATTTAGGAACTGCAGGAAATAGGTTTTTAAACATGGAGATGAAAAACAAAGATAGGTACTAAAAAATTCAAGGGCTCTAGAATCCAACAAAACTCAATTCCATATGATTATAACCCATACTTAAATCATCAGTTAAGGGTAAGTTATAATATTAATTTGGCAAGTTTATTGTGAAGGGCAGAGATAATGTGTTTGAAACACCTGTTGCCTAGCAGATTGTCAATAAGTCATAGCCATAATTAGAATTCCCCAATGCTTATGCACTGGTTTATCATTTTGAGCATTATTAGGGATTCCAGTTTGCAAGGTACCTACAATCTAGTTAGAGAGATGGCGCTTATACATTTATAGATCACACATCAAGTGCAAAGTAACATGGCAACAAAGTGGGTAGCAATATTGTAGAATCCACCAATAGAGAAAGCAGGGGAGGAACAGTGTACGAGTGAGCTAAGAAGAAATGTCACAGAATACCAGAAATGGAAGGAAATGAAATGTGATCTCATCTGGTGTAATGTCTTTGTTCTATTTACAAGGAAAATGAATTCCAGAAAAGGGTAGAGATTTGCCCAATGTCACACAGTAAGATTAAGTGATGCTTGGGCTTCTAGTGCCTTTCACAGTCCCATGTGGCTTTGCTGGGTGTTGGACATGTAAGAGTGAGTGAAGAATCCATACTTGAGCATTGCCTCTGTTGAGAAGAGGGCTTCCAGAGGGGACCAGTGCTATCTGTTACTTAGTACTGCTACTGCTGGGGAATGCCCTTGGCCAAGGGTAGGACGGTTTGGAAGGACATACTAAGAGAAGCAAGGTTCTTTGGGCATCATTTTGGCCCCTATGGCTGCAGTCTGCGGTCCTGGTCATAGTTATCCCTAATATGTCTTTCATGGCTCTTTGTCTTCAACCCTACACCAGTTCACTGAACTATCGCAGGCTGCTCAGGACCTGTGGAACTCAGCCATGCAAAGGAAACCATGCAAGAGAGTGCAAGGCTCTGGGGGGCTGCTCTTGAGCCCCTCCTGCAGAGCTGCCTTCTGTGGCCATTTCTATGTGGCCAGGTGGTTCCCTGCCACTCTTGTTCTGTGCTGACTTCAGACCTACTTAGTGAAACTTGAAATTTGCCCAAGCTATATCCTGGGGAATGTGATACAACCATCTTCCTATCCCTGGGATCTCACTAAACTCTCTGGCTTCTCTCCTGAGGAGGAGATGCAGACACAAGATTCACTACAGGTCCTTCAATTTCTCTCTTCCAGATAGATCTTCCTTCCAGCTGCAGAAGGACATTCTACTTATTCTTACTATCTTGGGGGAACCTCCCTTATGACATATCCTAAATGTTCTTTGCACTGCTGTACTTAAGAGAAATAGAGGGGACTTAGAAATTAATTTTCTCTCTCAATGAGACCTTGTAGTGAATATTAAACTCTTATTGCTTCCACAGTGAGTTCTTTGTCCTGATACCTGCCCTTCACCTGAAGCAATTCATGGCATTGATTCAGTGAGTGGAGAGACATAGAGCAACATCATTTATGGACACTAAAAAACTTCATCTGGCTTATCTTTTCAAAACTATTACATAATAATGATGATGGGTTTTAATAGCTTCAGGTTTTAACTAGCTACTATTTGTCGAACAATTCCTATACACTAGGCTCTGTGCTAATCACTGTACGTGAATTATCTTAATTAATCTTCCCAACAACTGTGTGAAGAAGGCATATATTGTTGATCCCACTGTACAGACAAGAAAAGTAAAGCTGAAAGAGATTAAATCATGTTCCTAAGGTCATACATGTAATAAGTGAGGGAGTAGAACGAGTATTGGAGTAGTCCAGGCAAGATGCTAGAAGCTGAAACCTCTTGATACTGCATGTGTAGAGATGACGAGCTCTAGCACCATGTGAGGTGGGGTCAAGGTTCTAAGGCCACCATGGAAACATTGGCTTCTCTCCCAGTTTCCACCACACTCCCCATCTGGGTAACCTCAGCAGGTTACTCGCCCCTGTGAGGAGGTTCTCTTCTCTGTACAATGGAAATGGTTATCCACACCTATCTCTCAGGGAGGCTCTGGTAATTAAACAAAATAATCTCAACGAATGTGCTTGACCCATGTAGGATTTAAAGCAATAACTTGAGCATCATTACTAAGATGACTAAGACTTGGAGTCAGACTGTCTGTCTGGGGTCAAATCTTACCTTTATCATTTATTTGCTGTAGGATCCTGGGACACGATGTCTTCTTTCTGCCTTTGTTTCTTCATCTGGAACGTAGGAATAATGACAGGGTTATTATGAAGATGATTAGAATATATGTAAACGGCCTGGACCTGCATCGGGTACATAGTAAATGCTCAATAAATGTGTGGAGTAAAGCCGGGTGCGGTGGCTCAGGCCTGTAATCCCAGAACTTTGAGACACCAAGGCGGGTAGATCACTTGAGCCCAGAAGTTCCAGATCAGCCTGGGCAATGTGGCGAAACTCTGTCTGTCTCTACTAAAAAAAAAGTACAAAAAACTAGCCTGGTACAGTGGTGCTCGCCTGTAGTCCCAGCTACTCAGGAGGCTGAGGTGGGAGGATCACCTGAGCCCGGGAAGTCGAGGCTGCAGTGAGCCGAGATGGCGCCGCTGCCCTCCAGCCTGGGCGATGGGAGTGGGGTAGTGCAAGGCAGAGCCATAGCGCAGCAGAGCGGCCGTTGGTTGCATATCTAGGAGCTAAAATGTCTCCACCAAGGAGCTCACGGCCACAGCCGCAACTTGCAGAGTGTGGGGCAGAGGGGAGGGGAGAGAGATGAAGTGAGGAAGGAGGAGGGGGAGAAAAAGAATGAGAGTCAGGGAACAGACAGTCATAGGCAAGGAGGAACACACATAGGCACAGAGAGAAAAGAGAGAGTACAAAGACAGGGAGAGAACGGAGAGATACATAGAAAGTCAAAGACAGAGATGCACAAACAGAGAGATGGTAAGACAGAGAGCAGCACTCAGAGAAACACAAAGAGAGACAGAGAAAGGGGAGAAAGAGAAGAGAGAGAGTCATGATTGTCTGGGCTCCGGCGTGGTCTTCCAAGTCCTCTGCGTGTGTCCCTCGGCCCTCTGCTTTCATGGCTTGGATCCAGGGGAAACAAAGACCGTGGTGGTAGAGGGTCTGTCCTAACATGTTTGCTCACGGAAGGCCAAGGACAGTTGCTTCAGAGTGCACAAGACCAAACCAGGAGCACCAGGTGTGATGCCAGGGGTCTTTGTCCTCGGGCCAAAGGTCAGAAATTTGGGTTCCTCTTTGCCACCTCTTTCAGAACAGTCTCACTGGTATTACATTGGAAGGCATGTTTTCGCAGCTGTCCCTTTCTGAAATTTAAGCCCATGTCATTATCTGCCCTCTGGTAATCAATGGCCAGCCTTCTCTTAAGAAGATCAATTTTTACGTAAAGTGCAAGGATTTCTTTTCCTCCTGAGAAAATAATCAAGGCAGCCCAATTAATTATTTCTGTTGCTAAGTTTTGAATTTCTCGTTTTTATAAAGGTTGGGAGGGTTGGTGGCAGTAACATAGATTTTTAAATCATAGAGAACTGGATCTGCAAAGCAGCTTTTCCATCTTACTGTGTGACCGTGGGCAGATGACCATCCTGAGCCTGTTTCCTCACCTCCTCAAGCAATTATGATAAAAATGCCATATGGATAAAACACCTAACATGGTGCCTGGCATCAAGAAAGCACCTTGCAGGGTGAGGGGCAGAAAGGGGAGGGGAGAGAGATAGAAAAGTGAGGAAGGAGGAGGGGGAGAAAAAAGAATGAGAGCAGAAAACAGTCACAGACAAGGAGGGACACACAGAAACACAGAGACAAAAGAGACCGAGATGTAGACAGAGTGCAAAGACAGGTAGAGAACAGAGAGATGATAGAAAGTCAAGCACCTTATTTACAAAAGCTAGTGACAGTGGTACTAGTAGTAACGGCAATGGCATAAAGGCTGTGTTTTATTTATCATAAAATTATGTTCATGTTTATGAATGTAGTAGAAGATGAAGCATTTAAATACATGAATATCTTTGCTGTTTGTTTGTAGTATATTTGACATACTCACTGAAACATTTCCTGCCTTGCCGTAGTTAGGTTGGTCATTATTCATTATTCATAGGTACAAGGAATAGCACATACAAAGGATCTAAAGCTACACTGAGCATTCGTGTTCCAAGACGGAGCTGGGACTATGGCATAGAAGGATGTGGCTGGATAGGGGCATACAACCAGGTTATAAAATCTCTTACATGCTAGACGAGCAGAGAGCTCATCTGAAAGCAATGGGGAGCCCTGGGAGATGCATAGGCAGGGGCTGAAATAAAACAGAAGAGTGGGGCAAACAAGCGACAGTAGTATCATTTGAATGAGGAGAGAGAAAATGCTGTTATGACAGCTGCAGTCTGTGGACCTCCCTTATGGAAGGAAACACTTTTCACCCACCATGGTGTCAGAAGGTAGCCACATAGTCACAAAGCCTACACTTGCTAGCTTGACATCCCCTTGATCACCTGATGCCTCTGTACATCCAGCCATCTCCCCCTCTTTATAAACCTTCAGATTCAGTGACATGGCACATTCACCAATGGACTAGCAGGAAAAGCATGTGCCTCCCTGAATCATGGATTCCTTTGCTTCTAGGCCCTGGCTCTTTCCTATTTCTGCCATGGTTGCCTGACAGACACCCTGTACTTAAGGCAGACTTAAGTGCTTGCTGTTTCTATCCTTCCCCACACATTCCTGCCTCCTTTGCCTAAAATGTTCCCTCCCCCAGTACTGACACATAGCCCACCTATGCTCAAGTTCCAGTCAAGTTGCCATGTAACCCTTCCCTTGTCTCCCAAGCCAAAGTGACTCCTCCCTCCTTGGAATGCTCCAAACTACCAATTTGTGTCCCTCATCCACTCTTGTGATGCCTTAAATTATAGTTATTTGACCTTCACTGCTAATACAAGATTCTGCCAGCTGCTGAGAATCTATTCCAATTATGAGTGTCTATCTAGTCCAATTATGTATGTATGTATATTCCAATTATGCATTCCAGAACTGGGGAGATAACCACAGCATGGGTTCAGGGGACCCACTGGACTCACTGGACCCACTGTGAGGCAGATCAAGCTAAAACTCCATTGATCACCTGACTTCCATAACCCCTACTCTGACTGGTGGACCGCAGTGACGTTTTCTTGGAATTAATGTCTGTTCAGAGGCAGTGTCCAGTAATCGCAGAAACACAGTCACACTGGTAAAAGGCCATAGGTCCCTTTGGGAAAAGCCAGAAGAAGGGTAAGCTGTATACATTTTTGGCAGTGTAGCAGGACCCTTCATGAAGGGACTCTCTTCATTCAAGGGGTTCCTGATTGCAAACTGTATCAAGTCTGGGAATTGATTGTTTTTGCTATCATAATGTGCAATTGCCTTTTGTTTATGTGCAGATATCATCATGAGACCCAGCTGTGCTCCTGGATGGTTTTACCACAAGTCCAATTGCTATGGTTACTTCAGGAAGCTGAGGAACTGGTCTGATGCCGAGGTAAGAAACTTGCTGCCTGCTTGGCCTGGCCTTTCTAGAGCAAAGGACCAGCCAGAGCCCCAGATCTCATTTGATTCAGGATCAAGTGTCCTTCCTGGGCACTATGAAGAGAAGCCCCTTTGGCTGGTGAAATGGAGAGAAGAGGGTTGTGTGTTCAACTCATTCAATTCTGTAAGCATTGCTGAAGCAGGTGCTGTATGCCAGACCCTAGATGGGCTACAAGCACATACGGATACATAGGAAAGAGCCCCTACCCTCAGCAAGCTCACTGTCAGTAAAGGAGACAGAAATACATCAATCAAAGGAGGAAGAGAAGATGAGGAATTCACAGAAAGGATAATGGAGTTTCTGTACAAGATTTACCAGAAAGAGAGTGGTGTGTAGACATGCCTGGAGCAGACACCTTGGAGCCGCTGACAGAAGGTGAAGCAGTCCAAGAAAATGTGGAAACTTTTCCGCTGCTCTACACAGTCCACAAACCTGTCCATTTTATTTCGTTGAAGCTTTGTCTGAGAGATAACCAAATAGACAGTCAAAGTAAGTTATCTCAGCCACATATGGGGAGTGGATGCTGCTGAATTGTGATTAATTGGGGGAGCCATATAGGTACATTTGGCATGATCTGGGCCTATGCGGTCTTACAATCCCTGTATAAAACTAGACAATGAAAAACAGAAAACAAAACAAACAAACAAAAAAACAAGAACGAAGCACCTACCACATGCCAGCTACTGAGGCTATGAAGGTATTCTCCCGCCTTAGAAAGCCCAGGATTAATGCAGGATTGCGACATTTAAACAGAACATTTCCATACAGCATGAGTATAAATGACTTTCCCAAGTTTACACTGAGAGTAACTGACACAGCAACCCCAGCAAAGTCTGAGCTGAGTCCTGAATAATTGTATAAAAAGGGGAGAGAAACAGAGTGAAGAAAGGGTTTCCCAGACTCTGTCCCAGGAAAGAAAATGAGCTCGTGGAGAGGAATAGACTTTCTCTATGAAAACAGAGGGAACAAAGAGGAAGATGTCTGGGAACCGAGGAGTAATAGAGACCTGAGTTTACATCACTACTCTGCCACTCCCTAGGTACCTCCCTTTACCTGTTTCCCTACTGGAAAGTGGGATAATACTTTTTACCTCATGGACTTGTCAGGAGGATTCATTAAAACGACTCGCATAAAGCCTATGCCACATGGTAGATGCCAATTCAGGGTCTCAAGAAAGAACAGCCCACAGGATTGACACTGAACCTTAACAAAGTTAACAGGACCAAGGTGCAGAGAGGGTGCTAGGACAGCGAAGCCAAAGAGGACCCCTCAAACCCAACAAGAGCTGTGCGGCTCCCTGATTCCTCGCCAGTGTTGCTACCGCCCTTGGCTCTTCTTGCATGGCTGGCTCTTGAGACCCCTGGAAGCTGATGGAGGCAACGTGAGAAGCACATGGACATCCGACCTTGAGCTTGAGAGGCAGAGGCCTGAGTTCTAGTTACAGCCCCAGCAGTACCAGTTGTGTGGACTGGGAGGGAGGCTATCACGTACATACTTCAAGCCTCCAAACCTGTTTCCCCTTCTGACACAGGATCTTCTGTGGCTGGTATAGAGTGGGCACTCAATAAATGCTGTCTGGTCGTCTGGCTGGCATGCCTCATGGGCCTGAGAATTGAATAGAATTACAGTGATAGAAGCATGCTGGTATTGTAAGTGGTTTGTAAGTGTGAGGACTAAATTATTATTAAATAGTAATCACATCTAATCTTGGATAAATTAGTAAAAGCAAGAATGGGAGCAGTAAAAACCTAAGCAACCCGAACTAAAATTTTATTGAATTAATTCAATTTCTTGTCATGTAACACAACCCCAGAAGAGAATAAAATAAAGTTTATATACATACACCCATATATATAAACATTTGCCGTGTTTAATTGAACAATAGGTTTCTGGTTACAGAATAAGAATTTATCATGTCATGTGTTTCATACAATCCTTAAAACAGTGAGTGATTACCATTTATTTGCCCACAAGAAAAATTCAGATTGCATGGCCTTGGATATGAAAGAAGACAGCACTTTTGCAAAGGAAGAAGGAAAAATTGGGGATCGATATGCAGACATACAGAAGTAAAACAGATTTGGGATTAGAGCTGAAAGTTTTAAAAGTTGCAACAAAGCAGATAGTTACATATCTGCCTCTAGTGCCCAGGAAACCCCCAAAATCCAACCAGATTTGGAGGCATGGTTACTGTTGAGGAAAGACAAAGGGGTGGGCATATTCACCTCCAATCAGCAGGAATTCTACACCAGCACGGGGAGCAGTCTCCTCTCCTCTGGAGGATCACCTCACATGTTTAGGCAATTGATCCATGCCCATTCACTAGCAAGTCAAAATAAGTTACAGACCACTGTTTACAATTTACAGTGTGTTATTCTTATGTAATATAGGGTAATAATAATTAAAATAAACACAATATAGGCTTAGGAATTAGGGAGAGCTGGGCTCTCTTCCTGTGTCCAGTTGCCCATTCCTGATCCTCTCTCTCCCCATCCATAAACTAAAGGTGGGCCCCACCTACTTAGGCTGCTGTTAGGACCGAATGTGAGGTGCCCAGTGTGTTGGAGGTGTCCCGCAAAGAGCACTGCCATAATGCCTGTTCTCTGATGCACATTGTGTTCACATACTGACACCTCTAAAATCAGGAGTGTGCTACAAACACACTGTGTCACTGTGTATCATAGATTCATTGACAGTGATTTTATTTTCTTTCTTCGTGGGACACAAAATAATGGCACATTTTACAATCAGCAGTTTCTTAGATCTGTTGAAATGCAGTACTATAATACAATAGGCCTCATGACAGGTCCTAGGTAGCAGTAATTATTTTACAGATGAAGAAACTGAGCCTCAGAGAGGTGAAGTGACTTGTCAAGGTCACATAAACCACTGAGAGGCAAGACCAGGACCCCGGGCACGTCCTCAGACCCTAAATCTCTTGCCCTGGCCTTGTACTGCCTCTTTCTCTGAGACCGAACGCTGCAGCAGTTGTGTTTTTTCCCAGGGTGGCAGGAAGCCTTCTGTGGGGCTTAGAGCACGATGTGTGGAGGAAGTGGGGGCTGCGTGAGTCCCTCCTTCTTGGCACGCTAGCGTTCTGAGGGGAGGGCTGTGCTTTAAACATGCAGGCATAATTAACAGGACCTCTCCTTGTACATAGCTCGAGTGTCAGTCTTACGGAAACGGAGCCCACCTGGCATCTATCCTGAGTTTAAAGGAAGCCAGCACCATAGCAGAGTACATAAGTGGCTATCAGAGAAGCCAGCCGATATGGATTGGCCTGCACGACCCACAGAAGGTAACCTCAGACTTGGCCACAAAGGCCCTCTTGGGAAAGCCAGGCTGGCATCCTCTTTTTGGGGAATGGCCTCCCGGCCTATAACAAGGACACAGCGGGTGGATCTTCTCCAGATGTGCCTCCAGCTGACGGAGACCAAAGTCTCAAGGTCAGGGGCCCAGTTCTGGCCCTCGGTGGAGGATATGATTTAAATGACTCCATTGTATAGACCTTTGTCTAATTAAGGCCCTCCTGAATGGCAGAACACAAAATTACCAGCTTTCTAGAGCCTTAAAAAGTGTGTGTGTGTGTGTGTGTGTGTGTGTGTGTGTGTGTACGCACACAGGCCTATTATGAGACAGATTAATCAAATCTCCATTGGATCTTGAGTTAAAGTTGAAAACTTTCAGCTAGCCTTTTTTTTTAGATGCTGTAATTTTTTTTATGTTATCCTTGATGTTTTTCACTGTAACTTCCTGTTCTTTTCATCAATACCTTCTTGTAAGAAATGACGTGAGTGGTTTTTGTAAGGAACAGCTGGTTGATGAGGTCTAGGTGTGGGGTCTTCAGTTCACAGATTCTTGGTGGGGCTTCTTTAGTTGACTCAGACAAACACAGGGAACATAAAGCGGGAAGCCCCATACTTCCTGCTTCTTAATAAAACTGCTGAAGATACCACACATTCGTTCAACCTCTTTCACGAATATGTATGTGTCCATCCTTTAGTACTTGTCTATAAACATCTTATGGCTTTTTCTCTTTTTAAATATTATGTTACAGAAAAACAGATAATCCTTTACCATAGTTGTTACAAATATTTTATACAATTATTTCGTTTTTAATGTCATTTATTTGACTATCAGAAATTTTACATTTTTATGTATTCACATTGCTATCAATCAGAACCCTGTCATTCAGATGGAGTAAATATTTACATCTATTTCTATTTTTTGCAGTAATATTGGTAATGTTTTCCTATTAGCGGTTGAGTGGAATGACTTTCTCTTTTTCCTTCTTTAAGCATTTCTGTACTTTCCCAATGTTTGCAATGAAAACCATGTTTTAAAGGGGACTGAGGGGACTTCCTTGGCTGTGGCAGGTGGGTTGCTGAGCTGTACACTTCTCCATCTCCTGTTGTTGCAGAGGCAGCAGTGGCAGTGGATTGATGGGGCCATGTATCTGTACAGATCCTGGTCTGGCAAGTCCATGGGTGGGAACAAGCACTGTGCTGAGATGAGCTCCAATAACAGTAAGTTATAATGCACCACCCCTCACCACTTCCCAATGCGCAGACTCTTCCCTTTACCTAGTAAGCACAAAAATAGGCACAGGGGACCACTGCCCTCCTCATTCCACACCAACAACTCTTTTCTCCAGCAAGGCAGTGGCCTTGCCACAGACATTGGTTACCAACATTCAGTCCTTTGTGATCACTTTACAGTCTTTGTCACATCAATGTACCAGCTGTTCTGTTATTTACTCAATATTTTCTTTAAATCCATTCATTTTTTTTCTGAAATACACTTATTTTAAAATCACATTCTATACCATGAGAGGGATATATATCCCATTTTGGGAAGCCCAGACCACAGGGAGTAAATATATGTGGTGAAAACAGATAAATCTCTTCTGACTTCTTTAAAATGAGGGTTTGCCATGAGCCCTGGAAGGCCGGTCTTTGCCTGAGTTCTTCCCTTCTGTCTGTTTCCCTGAATCCTGTCCCCAGAATGTGGTGGCCTGAAGCTCAGCGCAGGCTGCACACACTCGCGTGAGCCTTCTCCTTTCTCTGGCCTGCTTTCATTCTTTGTCTTTATGCTCATGAGTTAGACTTTTCAGCATTCATACTGGTGACATCTTGGGCTGGATACTTCTTGGTTGTGGGGGCTATCCTGTACATTGCAGGAGGTTGAGCGGCATCCCTGGTCTCTAATCAGTAGGTGCCAGTAGCACTCCTCCTCCCAGGTCGTGACAATCAAAAATATCTCCAGGCATAGCCAAGTGTTTCCTGTGGGGGGCAAATTCACCCCCTGGTGAGAACCATGATTAATAAGCGGTGTAGAAAACTTCAGCTGTACAAGATCACAGAATATTAAAGAATACTCAGTGCCAAAGGTCGTATACTTGAGAATATCCCAGTGGGTCTAATAGGCCATCATAGTGACACCAGGACCCCCTGCCAGCCAAGAAGTCGGCCTGGAGCAGGCCTGGGCTGAGGTCTCAGCTATTGGGCTGGGGTAGGGAGGGACTTGGTCATCCCCAGCAGGACATGGGGGCAGTTTACTGTTGTCAGAGGAATAAACTTATAAGAAGGAAAGAGAGAGTGAGAAAACTTTCTAACAGCATGAGGCAAAGGGCAGGCATGAGGAGACACACTCTGAGGAAAGCCCTCAGAGATAAACAGCCATAGAGGGGATTTTCACAGACCAGTGAGAGCACAGCTGCTGCTGTTCAAGGCAGAAGTTGGCTCAAATGGAAAAAACACAACCAAAACCAATAGGTAGAGGCTATCAACAAGTGGATTTTTACTCCAATCAAGGAAAAAATTTTAAACAGTTAGCACTGCTCAAACACATAATGAGCTACCCCAGGAAGTAGTGAGAAACCTTATAACCAGAGTTAACCAAGCAAAAGGTGGACATTGTAGTTGTTATTGCAGTTGACGCATTAAGTGTTAGAAGCGAGGCTCCATGGCACAAAAGAATCAAATGAGGAACATTGTAAAAATACCAATATCAGGGATTCGTTTTCAGACCTGCAGCATCAGAATTTCTGGGACTGGAGGCCAGACCTGCTTTGGGAGCAGTAGACCAGATGCCTCCCTAAGTCCCTCACATTCCCCAGATTCTGACATTCCCATTGGACAAAGTCCTCAAACGAAAGTCCTTTCCCTGTGAGTCGATGATCACATCAGCAAAATTCAGTAGCGAAGTTGCCTCTGTTGTGTGGATGGGAACCAGAAGCCTGAAGCTCTCTGAGAACAGCACGTCTTTGGGTTCCTTTCCTTTCCCATGGTTACTTACCCAGCTCGTGGCTGTCAGAACACAGGCTCTCAAGGCAGAAAAGCACAAGGAATGAAGCAAGGATTTGAGAGAAACTGGTGGAAGGTAGAATTTAAAAGCCCATCCCCCTCAGCCACATCAGTACAATGGATTTTGCTCCCCACTCAGTTTCTATTTTTTTTAATTCAAAATGTATATTAATGCCCCAATATACAGCCACACACACATTCTTGTTCTCTCTTTGTGACAGGGCTGTTCCTTTTTTATAACTCTTTAGAAAGAATTCCAGAGCATTTTATTTTGTGTGTCCCTCTCTCACCCTTTCTGACTCTCCCCTTTACATCAAAATGTGTTTTGTGACTCTGGAAAATTGCAGCTTGCAATGTTTCCTGATGTTTTGCTGGTCCACTTTGAGACATTTAATAATGATAACTTGGGTTTTGCAGTTGGAAAAGAAATTTCATATTCAGTATACGTTGAGGTCAAGAGCATGGGTTCTGCATTCTGAATGCCCAGGGTAGAATTCCAGCTCCTCCTAGCTGAGCTGTGTGACCCTGTGCAGATCTCTGACTTCTCTGTGCCTCAAATGCCTCCTTATAAAAAGGAGGAAATAATCGCCCTAATCATCTGAATACATGTGGCATGCTTATCACGTGCAAGCTAGGCTAATGGCTCCGTGGCCTGGAGAAAAGGGAAAGTAAGGTTTCTCAGTCACCCTTCCCTGCACTCCGCCTCTGATGAGGTGGGAAAAGCAGACCTCTTGCTTAGTGCCTATAGTGAGCTGGGCTGTGCTTGATTGTTTGAAGCTGCTATTCTAGCTTATCCACAGGCTCAATGGGCAGCAACCTCAAAAGGACCTGCTGATGAGACAGTCAGTCTCAAGCCTGGCCCATGGCCTTGTGCCGTATTCTCTTTGCCCCACACTGTGAAAGTACCCACAAGCTTGCAGGCCCTGTTTCATTTATACTCTGTGGCTCCTGCGCTGAGCACTATGGATGCAGGCATGGGCAGGCCCCATCCTCTGTGGCTCCTGAGAACCAGGAGTGGGAGGGGCACACCTCACCCCCTCCTCTCCCCAGGGTTCTCACCCACCCACACGCACTGGGAACAGGGCCAGATCTGCAGGTCAGGGCCCAAGCAGACACCTAGCCAGGGAACAACTCCTCGCTCTGCTGCAGACACCCATGGAAGACAAGTGATGCTGTGGAGCTTGGCTTCTGGGAGGGAAATAGTTGGATCTCACCTCAAAAATACTTCAGTCCTTCAAAAGGCCACCTCCGCCTTGGGCTCTCTCCTTTTTCATAAGCAGATGGCCTGTTGGGATGTGAATGGCTTTAGCAGCTTTCAGTTCTTTGAACTTTGAACAGGAGCTTCTTAGAGCCTCAGCTGTGGGCTTGAGGACAGGCCACACTCAGATCCTCACTGCATCCTGCCTCAACACAAGAGCCCCTCATTCTCAGTTGATTCATGTCAACCCCTGCCTTTCCTCAAAAGCAGTGCTGGAGTGGAGCTTTTGCCATGGTGTGTGACATTTCAAGTGTTTTTCTTTCATTGGGAAAGTTGGTATCTGTATTACGGTTCTCCAGGGAAACAGAAGTAGTTGGATGTATATATAGAGAGACAGAGATTTACTTTGAGGAATTGGCTCATGCAATTGTGGGGGCTGTGAAGTCTCAAAACCGCAGGACAGGCCAGCAGCCTGGAAATTCTTGCAGGACTTAATGTTGTTGTCTTGAGTCCAAAGACGGTCTGGAGGCAGAATTTCTTCCTCTTTGGGAGACAGGTCTTTTCTCTTAAGGCCTTCAATTGATTGGAGGAGGCCCACACACATGATGGAGGGCCATCTGCTTTACTCAAAGTCTACTGATTGTTAAACGTTAATCACAGCTAAAAAACACCTTCGCAGCAATCAAACAACTGTACATCATAGTCTAGCTAAGTTGACACATAAAGTCAACCATCATATTGCCTTATCTATGCTTCCAAGAAAAACACCCAGATAACTCTGGCAAGCTCAGTATAGTACTGAATGGATTTAAATATCTGTTTATTTTCTTACAGACTTTTTAACTTGGAGCAGCAACGAATGCAACAAGCGCCAACACTTCCTGTGCAAGTACCGACCATAGAGCAAGAATCAAGATTCTGCTAACTCCTGCACAGCCCCGTCCTCTTCCTTTCTGCTAGCCTGGCTAAATCTGCTCATTATTTCAGAGGGGAAACCTAGCAAACTAAGAGTGATAAGGGCCCTACTACACTGGCTTTTTTAGGCTTAGAGACAGAAACTTTAGCATTGGCCCAGTAGTGGCTTCTAGCTCTAAATGTTTGCCCCGCCATCCCTTTCCACAGTATCCTTCTTCCCTCCTCCCCTGTCTCTGGCTGTCTCGAGCAGTCTAGAAGAGTGCATCTCCAGCCTATGAAACAGCTGGGTCTTTGGCCATAAGAAGTAAAGATTTGAAGACAGAAGGAAGAAACTCAGGAGTAAGCTTCTAGACCCCTTCAGCTTCTACACCCTTCTGCCCTCTCTCCATTGCCTGCACCCCACCCCAGCCACTCAACTCCTGCTTGTTTTTCCTTTGGCCATGGGAAGGTTTACCAGTAGAATCCTTGCTAGGTTGATGTGGGCCATACATTCCTTTAATAAACCATTGTGTACATAAGAGGTTGCTGTGTTCCAGTTCAGTAATGGTGAATGTGGAAAAGTGAAATAAGACCAAGAAATACACCCAAGTGCTTCTTCGTCTCCTTCATCTGAGTCTCTGCCTCCTCCACCCCAGCAACAGCACTGGTTCAAGGAGAGGAGAGATGCAGGTGACATGCCTGCCAACTTCTGAGCAAGGTTGGGCGAGTGGGTGCTATTTAGTTGTAAGTGCTTCTCAGCTTATGAGGGGGATGACAGTCACAGCAGGTATGGTGGAGCTGACCTGGACCCTGGACACTCTTCTCCCCCACTGCCACTGACAACATGTGTGGCCTTGTGTGACTCTCTTTGCCCTGTGAGGTTTGCAATGGCTTATGAGGTGGTTACTTCAATAATAAGGATGTGATTTTGCCTGCAAACAGATATATGACTCCCCAGGTCACGAATCTGAGTGGTCATGTAAACAGAAGCAAATATGGACTCAATGATTATAGCATATGGCTGTGGTATGATCACATTCGCATTCCTTAGAGGGAAATGCCACCATACAAGAGAGGCCATGTGGGTTGGCCATGCAGTTCAGGCTGTGTAGATCACCACTTGCTTCATCCATGATGTGCTGCCAACCGGCAAACACACCAAGTCATATTCCCTAGTCTGAGAACATTCCCTCTCATCTTAGCAGCTATTGAGTGCTGGCTGAAAGAAGAGTAAAAAGAAGGGGGAAAAGGAAGTCATGGAGCCTCTGCCCTAACCAGTTCTCCTTCTACTCTCCCTTCCTTTCTTCTTCCTTCCTTCATCACGCCCTTGTCATTCTTTTGGTTGTCAAAGAGGAAAACACTAGAAATAATGTATTGCTCCTCTCAAGTATAAAAAGGCTGGATAACCGAAAAGGTAAGTCTCCTAATAGTGATATTTCAGATAAGGTGACAGGCAAATGGAAAAGGCTCATTCTTTCAAAGCATATAGTTAGCTTCAGCAAAACTGCAACCACCAACTCCTAAGAGGGTTCTGGGCAAGTCACTGTCAGAGAAACAAACAAAATTATCAGACTGCATGATAGAGATAAAAGATAAATTGGGGTGGCTCATGCCTGTAATCCCAGCACTTGGGGAGGCCGAGGCGGGCAGATCACAAGGTCAGGAGATCGAGACCATCCTGGCTAACATGGTGAAACCCTGTCTCTACTAAAAATACAAAAAAATTAGCCAGGTGTAGTGGCGGGTGCCTGTAGTCCCAGCTACTCAGGAGGCTGAGGCAGGAGAATGGTGTGAACCTGGGAGGCGGAGCTTGCAGTGAGCCGAGATCGCGCCACTGCACTCCAGCCTGGGTGACTGAGCAAGACTCTGTAGTATTACCTGTAGGAACCGAAAAAGAAATGCAAAGGAAACATGGCTGAGAATATCTCAGAAAGGTAGAAGCTCTCAGTTTTTTCTGACTGTGGCACATATGAAAGTTAAAAAAAGGAACATCATGGCCCACCTCCCTCTCCTAATTTATTTGCTTTTTCAAGAGGAAAAATACCTCATGATAGCAAAGAAGTAGAGATGAACAAAATAAAAATCAAAAAAATTACAGATAGCAAATCTACTGAGACAAAATAAAGTCAAGTCATTCTATAAATATTTACAATATATAAAAATATATACAATATATTTAAAAATAGTTCCAATTGAAAAGGATCACCAACTTAAGACCATCTTGGCAATGTAATAATAACAAGGCTCCCTCCCTGAAATTGCTGAAATGCTGACAGTCTGCATGTGCACATACGCTGGGAAAGGCATGGATAAGCAGTCACCCATCTTATTGGAAGCCTGGGATAGTACGGAGTTAATTCTAGAACTGTCATGATTTTCATTTATGTATGTAAAACTTTAATAATCCTCAATAATTCACTGAGTGGATATATCATTCAACATATCTTTATTGAATGCATGCTGTGCGCCAAGAACTCATTTTAGAAGCTGAGAATCCATCAGTGAGCAAAATAGATAAAATTCCTTGCAATCATAGAGTATCCATTTCATCACGGATGGGGAGAGGATGTAGACAAACAACAAACTAAATAAGTAAAGGACATAGTATGAGAGGATGACAAGAGCTGTGGTGAAAACATAAAGCCAGCAAGGGGCACAGGGAACAGGGATGTGTTGGAGTGTGTATGGAATAGGTGCTATGCTTCCCCTCCTCCTTTGGTCACAACTGACAGCCAGACTGTTTCACCATTAAAAAAAATGTATAGGTTTGTGTCACTCCACACTCCATAAGTATATTTGAGCTTCAGGTATAACTTGACCAACAGCTCAACAAAGTTACCAGACGGGAGTTTCCTCTATTTTGTGGCTATTTTTTGCTGGGGATTAGCTTCATTTTCTGGCCCCGTCTAATGCAAGGTGGCTGAAGCAGGTCCAGCCTCACCTCTACCAGGAAAGAGATCCACAACCCTTAAACAGGAGCCTCCAAGTTAAGCCCCATTGGCCAGGAAAGGCCCTACATGAGTTATGTGCTCATTCTCCAACAGATTAAGGTAGCGAGGAGGATGGAATGTGATGATTAACTTAGCTAAGTCATCACCTGTAACTCCTCTAGAGCCCAGGAATTTACGCAGCTTCACCTGAAGGACAGAACCACTTCTCACCCATGTGGTGGCTTTGTAGAAATTGAAAAAAAAAAGATGCCCCTTCTTTGTAAGAAAACATAGCCCCACGGTCTCTCAGAATCAAGACAGGCTGGAATTTAGCCCTTTCTTGTCCTCTTAGTTGTGTGCCTTTGTGCAGTGCACAAACTAGACAGTCTTATTCTGTGGCCCACTGTACATGAAAGGGCAGTAGGGCAGAGTGGTTCTCAACCCAGGGGACCAAGGACCACGCTTTGGGAAATTTTATCCTAAGGCCTTACTGCAATAATTTAGAACCAGGAGTCTCAACTGAGACTAGAGAAGCATCTGATGCAAGAGAAAATTCAGGTAAATGTTGTTTCCTGAGATGTGCCCGTTTATATGACTCCAGCCACGGCTCATGGCAGTTTATTATGGTGGGAAGAGCAAAGGGTTAAGAGTTAAGCCACACTAGAACTGGCTGTCTCTGCCTCAAACTGGCTGGGTGACATTTAGCCTACAGTGTCAGAGCCTTTGTTTTCTTTTCTCCGGGATTTGAGGATTAAATTAGTTAAGATATGTGATGCATTTGGAATGGGGCCTGCCATAAATGCTTAGCAAATGTTATTGTCTCCATTTTAAATCTTTGTGATCGCGAATATATGTCTCTCTTCCAAACCACAGTTTATCTATAAAATGGGGGCCTTAAACTAAATCCCAACGCTTATAGGGTTTAGTTAGATGTGAATAAGTGGAGTGGTCTCTTGTAGGGCAATTTGAACTGGGAAATGAGCTCGGAAATCAATTTCTTTCAACCATATGAGAGCCAAACAAAGCAGGTCTGTTGACCTTTGCCCACGGGGCCAGTTGACAACCCTGGAATAAACAATCCCTTCCAGCTCCAGCATTATCTTGTTCTGTTTATATCTGGATCGTGTACTTCCCTAAGTCAAGAATCAGTCTCTAAAGTCACTGAGAACTTTTACAAAAGTAAGTGAATATGAAACAAAAGAGTATGCACAATAATAGTGGATCAGATATGTATCCTACTTGAGGACAGTCATTTCAGGCTATCTTGGAACCAAGGAACAGACAGTACAGACATATAAGCAGGTTATGAAAGTAGAAGTTTATGAGCAACCTCAAGGCCCTGCCCTGCAGCCCAAGGACCCCATGAAGACAGCTGGAGAGGAAATTTTAGGGACAAGGTGGAGCAAAAAGAAATCTGCAGGTGGAATCCTGGATTTGGGAGTAATGACTTTGACTTTAAACCTTTTTAAGGTTCTAGAATAGAGTATTATGTCATAGTAAATTCATAGTCAATAGTAAATACATGATTGATTGATCATATCTTATTTAAAACTATTATTGCTTCCAAAAACTTCAGAAGATAGAATTAAGACAATGAACAGGTCTAGAATCTGATAATCTAGAAGGATGTGACTGGGTGCAGTGGCTCATGTCTGTAATTTGCACTTTGGGAGGCTGAGGCAGGTGTATCACCTGAGGTCAGGTTCGAGACTAGCCTGGCCAACATAGTGAAACCCCGTCTCTACTAAAAATACAAAAATTAGCCAGGTGTGGTGGTGGGCACCTGTAATCCCAGCTACTTGGGAGGCTGAAGCACAAGAATTGCTTGATCCCGGGAGGCAGAGGTTGCAGTGAGCCGAGATGGCACCACTGCACTCAAGCCTGGGTGACAGAGACGCTGTCTCAAAAAAAAAAAAAAAAAAAGGAAACAATGCATTGATTTTCATTGAAACACAAAATTTTTTTGTATTACAAATTAAAATTGAATCACCACAATACCTATGAATAAACATTGCAAAAATAAGGGGAGGATTAGCATAGAAAAAAAGAAAAGCAGATAAACAGCTCAATAGGAAAAGCCAGGGAATAAGGGGAGGAGATCAGAAAAATTGTTCTCCATTTATTCAAATAAATTACAGATAACGTGATATCCACTCCATGCCCCTCTCCCAAAAAGAGCTCAGAGACGAAATAATAAGGGGATCTGGCAGAATTGTAGAAAGAAAAAGAAAGAAATTAGCATTGAAATGAGAGAGTAGAAATAATTAAAGGGAGAAATAATATTACTAAGAAAATCGTGTGGCATGGTGAATTGGCTTGAGGAAATCACAACAAAACAAGGAAAATAGCAATTATATTTAAGTGGTTAAAGAGAAAATGATAAAAATTGAAGACATAAAGGAACAAATGTGTAATTTTTGTTCCTGAAGAAGAGAATAGAACATATAGAACAGAAAAAAAATTCAGAGATAAAATATAAGAAAATTTCATTGAACCTGCATCTGCTCATTGAAAAGACACATGCGTTCCTGGAAAAATTCATTCAAAATGATAAACACTAAGACATATGCTATCTTGGTTTCTGAACTCTATGGGTAAAGAATCTATTGGGTACATAGGAAAAATAAAGACAAATACCTGGGAATAAGTATCTTGTCAGTCTCAGACTTCTTAACAGCAATGCTCAATGTCAGAAGACAGTGAAGCAATATTTACAAGCTTCTGAAAGAAAGAAGTCTGAATAATAATTTTATATGTAATAGAGTAAAAAGGCACTAAAATTATTGGTGGCTAATTAATTATAGAGCTAAGGCTGAGTAACTGAGATTTATGGCAGTGGAATGGAATGTAAATGTTTTAAACCATGACAATATAAAAAAAGATTAGAATTACATTGGAAATATGAAGGGGGAGAAAACAGAATAAAGTATAAATGCATGAATTTTCTAACTTTGAAGTAAGGAGGTAATAGATACTCTCTAAAGTTGAAACATGTATTACTTATAATAATAAAAATAGCTGAGGTTTTTAAGTTTAAAAAATGCTTCTTCAGATACTAATATTTTCTGCTGCAAACATTTATTTAAAGAAAGGCAATTCCCTTAGTTTCACTATAGGTGCTTAGTTTATATAAAAATCAAAGCTGATACTTTTATCTTAAATAGATGCATCTGCTATATCCCCATATCTAAAATTATTTTTTATCTCTCCTTCCATCTGCATGCATGTAGGTAGATATTTGAAGCCATGTCACCATTGTTAACAATGTTTATTTTTGCAGTGGTGGGATTGAGGTAACCTCTGTTAAATTTACTCTTTACATTTTTTAGAGTTAACTTTTTATAACATGCATATTTTGTTCCTAAAAAGACAATAAGGCTATTGTACTTTAATAAAAATATTGTCAAATGTGAGTAATGATCAGTTTTTATAGTGAAAAATTCTTGTGGTTCCCCAGTGTATAAGAGAACTATCTTCTTATGTTAAATTCATACAAACCTTAAAGTAAGCATATGTCCGTTATGCTTGTAGCTCTTATAAAACCAAGAAAATGACATACTAAATAGAAATAAACTACATATCTAATAAACTTCAAACTCAGATAAGTTTGATTTCATGGAGAATGTGGGTTTGTTGCAACTAAACTTGGCTTACGAAACAAGTCTGGAATGCCTTGCTGTGGTTCAGGTTCTTTTGGGGTTTGACAGTCAGTTTGTGGCTGAAATATTACTTTACTTTTCTTTATTTAAAGATGAAGTGGTGCAAGGCCTTTGTTCTTTGAGAGCCCTGCAACACTTGGCCTCTACTCCACACCCTGTTCCAGAGGAAGTCAGCTTATGTTCTCTCCCATTATCTCAGTTACTGTACAACTCGATGTCAATGAACTTTAACATAAATGCAAAATGCAGCATGAAAATCCCAATGCATTTCTCAGAAAGTAATCAAGCACGTTATCTAGAAAACTCTGTTTTTAAATACACATTATTATCCAAATGAAAATAAACTTTCAATAAAACAAAGGGGGCAGGTGGAAACTTTTGGAGGTGAAGGCTAAGTTTATTGAGTTGATGTGATAATGGTTTCACAGGTGTACACTTTTCTCCAAACACATTAAGTTGTATGCATTAAATATCTACAGCTTTTTAATATCAATAATACCTCAACAAAGTGATTTAAAAAAAATACAGGCTGGGCGTGGTGGTGTGCACATGCAATCCCAGCATTTTGGGAGGCTCAGGTGGGACGCTCACTAGAGCCCAGGAGCTGGAGGCTGCAGTGAGCTATGATCACAATGCTGCACCAGCTTGGGTGACAGGTAAGACCTTGTCTGTAGTCTCTAAAAAAAAAAAAGAAAAAAAGAAAAGAAAGAAAATACATTTTAAGATTTTTTTTCAGTTAGAAAGAATAAATAATACCTAGTATTTGATAGCATAACAGGGGGACTACAGTTGATTATGATTTAATTGCACATTTAAAAATAACTAAAATAATGTAATTGGATTGTTTGTAACACAAAGGATAAATGCTTGAGGGGGGTAGATATCCAATTTTGCATGATGTAATTATTATGCATTGTATGCCTGTACCAAAATATCTCACATACCCCGTAAATATATACACCTAACTATATACTCACAAAATTTTTTTAAAAAAATAAATATTTTTCCAGAGAACCAGTAGCAAAGCAAACTGCCCAACTGTAGGGAGACCCCTGATGTGCTTCCCCCTGCAGAGAGCCTATGAATGGACGTGCAGTCAGGAAAGTTTCACATCACCAAGATTCCTATCCCAGGAAAGCAGATGTTCATAGCTCTGGGAATGGAATGCAACCCTTGTGGAGAGCCTATAAACGAACGCATGGGAGGCAGCTGTCCATATGGATAAGACAGGGCTATAAACGCCCTCATCTTGCCATGGCTCTTCTAGGCCTCTTTAGGGTTAAGGCATACTCCCTTCTGAGAATTTCTGGTCTAACCAGTTGTCTAGCTTCACATCCTGTTTCCATGGGTTGTTTGTAACCAGCTTTTGTGGCAATTGTTACTGCTGACTAATATCTTGCTAATCATAGGTTATGGAAAGACTGTGTTTCTGTTTTAAGGCTCTGTTAGAAATTACTGATGCACACACTATGTTGTAAATTCTTATCTCTGTATACTGTACTTCTGCATACAAATGTACTGTACTTCTACATACAAATGTTATGTTAAAGAATTACTTCATCCCCATGTGACCATCTCACCTCATAATCAAATAACCCTAAATCCCTCACTAACCTACCCCCGCCCTCACTAAACTTAATAATAAATGCTGGTATATCCAGTGTATTGTTGGCACCACAGGACCAGAAGGCGGTGACCCCCCTGGACCCAGCTTTCACTATCTTGTGTGTGTCTATTATTTCTCAACCTGCCGATCTGCCTGGGAACAAAGAGAAAGCCCCGTTGCATTGCGGGCTGCTGGCCAGATCCCGCAATACCCAACATATTTCTACAGAGCACAAGGGGTGCACAGGCTCCAGTTTCAGGTGTTTAGGTTCATGAGGCAAGTCTTTATATTCTCTTTCTTTATGTCAGAGGACAAGGAAAAAGCATGGATTTTTGTTGTCATATGCACTCGGGTTACAATCCCAGGCCTGGCAACTAATAGCTCTGTGACTTTAAACAGCTCACTAACCTCTTTGAGGCTGTTTTCCCACCTAAAAAATGGAGGGTGGGGGCATGGGGGGAATGACTTTTTTATGATTGTGGAACAGATGACATGAAATTGTGTGTCAACACAGGTATTAAATTAGGAGCACAGTGACATGTGTCCCTAGACCCATGTAGTGAGTCTGCCCTTTCAAGAAATAACACATTTGAATGGCTGCTGTCAATCAATGGCAACTAGGTATTGTCCCAGGCAGTCATTGTCCCGGGATAAGGATTTAACAGAAAGTTTTGAGGCTTGATTAAAATTTCCTGAGAGTCACAGTAAACAAAGTTGTCACAGGGAGAGATGGATCATCTGCCTAAGCAGCTCCAGAGCAGGAGAAGCACTCTGCGCTCTGTAGAATGGGAGGGTATGGTGCCGTCAGCTCAGCCCATGGCTGATTCTGCAAACTACTGGGAACAAGCTCTCCCAGCCCAATGGCTGGGCTTCAGGGAATACTGGCTGAGCGTGAGAGGGGGACCTGAAGGGGCGATGGGCTTAGATCCCAAGCATGGAAACACCTTGACAAGATGTCTCCCTCCTGTGTCAGTGAACAAAGCCATCAAGTGAATGTACCTGACCAGACTCCGATAATCAGAATCAAGAGTGACAGCAGCAGTAGTCCAGCACTAGAGAGAGCAGCCCGCTCCTGTGAAGGGTTCGTGGGTGGTGTGGATGCTTGATATTAGGAATACCCATGGACTGTGATGAGCCAGAGTTTGAAAGGATCCTACTTGCAGACTTTTTTAAAATGAGGGCAAATATAACATAGTTTGAAAAACTATTCACAGGAGAAGACAAAGTGACTACAGCTTTAATAGGATATTAATTTTTCTGACTTCCAGTGTGATAATAGAGAAGGGAAATAACCAGAAAGTGATTTTTAAAGATCCTAACTTTGTCTAAATTTCTCAAAAGACTAATCTTTTTGAGGCATGAGAGAATTCAGTACAGTCATCCCCCAGTATCCTGTGGGTGATTAGTTCCAGGACACTTATCAGACACCGAAATCCTCAGATACCTGAGTCCCTTACATAAAATGGTGTAGTATTTGCATATAACCTTCTTACATTCTCCCAAATGCTTTAAATCATCTCTAGATTACTTATAATACCTAACACAATGTAAATAATCGTTATGCTGTATTGTTTTTGTTTGTATTAACTTTTATTGCTATATTGTTATTTTTATTAATAATCTAATATTCAATATTTTCTATCACATTTGGTTGAATCTGCAGATGTGGAGCCTGCTGATATGGAGGCCCAACCCTGGCCTGGGTTACGCAAGCCTGCCTATTGCCCAAGCTGGGAACAGCCAACAGAGATGAGGGCTGGGGTGTGGGACAGCCAGGGAGCAGCTCTACTTAGCCAAATTGAAATGCTGAGATGCCAGAAGAAGCTTCCCCCATCACTCTCTCTAGGAAGAAATATTTGAATCTTGACTGGAAAGAGTACAGATATCAGAAAGGAAGAACAAGAGGAGGCTAATGTGGTTTCACTCCAGAAAATGCCTCCACAGCTGCAGGGAAGTTCTTGGAAGCCTGTAAAACTGTGTTTGGAAATAGGCAGAGCTGCCAAATAATGCTGGTAAATTTCTCATAGCAGAGTAAGAGAGAGCTTCGGCTTTATAGCATTTTAGAAGATTGCATAAATTCATAAGTTAAATATATGACACTCATGTTCAGGAAGGACAGAACTTTACCCCACAGACTTTTGAAATGAGCCATGGAACAAGGTCCTGTGAGCCTTGACCTGGTCCTGACGTTGGAAAAATCAGGCTGTGTTGGCAAGCCCTGCAGAAGCAATGATGGAGAAGCATTATTGAAGAAATACGTATTCAACAGAGAATTGTTGGGCCATCCTAAAATTTACTTTCAGTAAAAATCATTCAGGAGGAACAAGAAAGGGTGGCAATATTGGCTGTTCTCAAAACAAACCAAAGAGCAAAGTGGGCTGGGCCTGGTGGCTGGCACCTGTAGTCCCAGCTTCTTGGGAGGCCAAGGCAGGAGGATTGCTGGAGTACAGGAGTTCAAGGCTGCAGTGAGCTATGATCATGCCACTACACGCCAGCCTGAGCAACAGAGTGAGGTCCTATCTCGAAAGAAAGAAGAAAGGAAGGAAGGAAGGAAGGAGAAAGAAAGAAAGAAAGAATAAAGAAAGAAAGAAAGAAGGAAAGAAAGAAAAAGGAAGGAAGGAAGGAAGAAAGAAAGAGAAAGAAGAAGGAAGGAAGAAAAGAAGGAAGGAAGGAAAGGAAAGAAAGAAAGAAAGAAAAGAAAGAAAGAAAGGCACCTTGAGGTCAGATCCCTGCCAACAAATTCCTAGAGTGGAAAGAAATAATGCTCCAACTCTGGTCAGAAGTTCCCATAGAGAACAGTTTTCTATGTTGCGTAATAAATTACCACAAACTTAGCAGCTTCAAGCAACGCACATTTGTTATCTCTGAATTTCTGTGCATCCAAAGTGTACACATGACCTAGCTGGGTCCTCTTGTCTGAGGTCATGTAAAGCTGCTGTCAGGGTGTCAGCAGGGCTGTGTTTTCATCAGAGGCTTTAAGAATCCGCTCCAGACTTGGGTTTTGACAGAATTTATCTCCTGGTGGTTGTGGGACAGAGGCCCCTATTTCTCACTGGCTGTTGGCTAGAAACTAGACCCTACTCCTAGAGGCCAGCCACAGTTCTCATCCTGTAAACCCCATAGACAGTTCAAACATAGTAGCCGTGTTCTTCAAAACTGGAGAGAATCTCTCTCTCTAGTCTGCTGTAATGGAACACAGTCACAGGAGTAATCATCTTATATTCGCTTGGCTACAGATAAGTCACAGGTTCCTTCCACTCTCAAGGGGAGAGAATTAAACAAAGGGCATGACTCACTGGGGGTAACGTTAAGGTATGTCTGCCACGCACCAATAAAATTCATTGTGTGTGCATGTGTACCTGTGCACACAGGCACATGTGTATGTTTATGGGAAAGGCAGATCACTGCCTTGGTTTTGAGTTCCCCCAGGCTCAGACTCTGAGGCAGGAATTCATGTGGAGCTGGTCTCTTTGGGAGCTGATCCTAGGAAATGCCTGCAGGGCTGCAGGGGAAGGGGAAATTGCCATAGTGAAGAGAGGCAGCTAAGAAAAGATGTGTTAATAAATTATGAACTGTGGACTGCTTGAGCTTTCATCCCTCTGGGAATTCAAGACTCCCACACAATACACACGCGTCAGAGTATTACCTGAGGGCTGGGGGCTGCAGTGTTTATCCACCAGCAGCAGGTACTGAAAACAGCAGGAACTGAGAGGATACAGGAAAGACCTGAGGGCAACTTCATGAGCACAAATATCACAAGGTCGATCACTAGACTAGCACCCCTAGTACTTAGCATGTAACTTCCTTGAGAGAAGGAAGATGAAGAAATATGTTTGTACTGTAAGTCAGTGGACTACTAGATCTCTTCTCCTAATCTATCCCATAGGGAGAGAATTTTTGAATCCAAAATTGTAAATATTTTCAAATACTTTCCTCAGGTTGAAAACATCATGAGATGAAGGACATTTCATTTACAAGAACCGTGGAAGAACCAGGGAAGCCAGAAGGCCAGGCAGGGCTGACCCCCAAGAGAGAAGCAGTTACAGTAGAAGACTGCAACTTCCAGGGAGCTGTACAGAGCAGAGATGCGCACACGTTTAAAGCAGGACCCCTGAGCATGAGGGGTGCAGTGGGGATGCAGCTAACAGCTGACAGCAGAAGCATCCCTGATTGGCCTGACCACCAAGGAGGCACTGTGGGAAGAGAAGGACTGTCAAAGTTGCTTTAACTTTTTATTGAGTATATCATACACGAACAGAAATGTGCACATATCGTAAGTACACACCTGAATGAATTTTCACAGACAGGACACAGCCATGGAACCAGACCCAGATCAAGAAGCAGAACCTGGACAGCACCCCAGAAGCTGCCTTTGTGCCCATTTCCACTCTTGATCCTTCCCCCCGAGGAGGCAACCACTATCCTGACTCAGCACAACGTGGACTCGCTTTGCCTGTTTTCATATACATGGAATCATATAACATATACTCATTTTTGTCCGACAATATTGTTTGTGACATCATCCATGTCATTGCATCATTCTAGAGCATTTATTTTCATGCTATGTCATATTTCATTCTGGAAATATATACTAAATTGTTCATTCTATTGTTGATGGGCATTGGGGTAGTTTCTTAATAGGATTTGAGTTTGGTTGAGTTTGTTTGCTCTGTGGCATACAATATCATCATTTTCTCTGTCTCAACACAAAATCTTTAATCAATGATGTGGGGCGTGAAAGGATTTTGTAAAGTCAACGCAAAGAAGTGCCAAGTCCAGTGTCGGGGATAGTGTGGCATGGAACAGAAGCCACGTGAGAACCAGCCACATCAGGTCGATTTTAATTTCTTGAGTTACTCATTAGATTTCATTCAACAAAATGCATCAAGTTACCTAATCAGGCTGACTGGAACCAGGCAAATTTAGACAAATGCCTCCAGTGGACATCTTGTATAATTTTGCTTTTTTGCTTCCCTTCTTGAGAAATTCCATGTAGTCCAGAGCTGTTGATTATAAAATCCCACTTATACACCAAGAGAATGGACATGGGACCCAAAACAGACCAATTAAAGTTTCATTCTTAGGAATTTTAATTTTGTGTGTGTGACTTTCTTAGTTGTTTTGTTTGTTTATTTGTTTAATGAGACAGGAGGATCTCACAATGGTTTCGAGACTGGTCTTGAACTCCTGGGTTTAAGGGATATTCCTACATCAGCCTCTGGTGTAGTTGGGATTATAGTCGTATGCTACCACACCCAGGAATTTGAATCTTGAAAATCAAATGTTTTTGAACCTGAGTTACCGAGTGCACACCCAAAGCAGATGGTTCTTGAATAAGTGCTACTGCAATTCCCAAAGGGTCCCCGGTTCTTGCCCCTCCTAAGGACATGAACAGCCCTTCTTTCTAGTCTGCCAAAGAACTGGAACTGTTGAACTCTTCTGACCCAAAATTTCTTCCCCATTACCCCAGCCTATACTTTTTTTGAAATCCCCACATTAGTGATTCCTAGAGGGTCATACAATGAAAACATACAATACTACAGCTATTGTATGAAAGTACTGGGGAAGGAAATTTTACTCAGCTAAAATTAATCACTGAAATATTAGTTGTCATGATACCCCTGCAGCTGAAAATCTCTAGAAAACTGGGAGAAAGTTAGGAGGATGCAGCGAGTTGAGTGGGTGGAAGGAGGCTGCTGAAGACAACAGCTGTCAATGTCATGGCTTTGGTTAGGTCAGTTTAACTTATTGTAGGTAGTCAGGAGTGTGGCCTCATATCCACAATAAATGGCACAGAAAGAGTATTCTCTGTTTTCGTTTTTGCTTCCAGTGATTATCGTGTGCTACAAGTCTGGAAACCATGGAGTTAAATGCTTTATAATAACTTTGCTCGGGATTTTACCTCGGTACATTTTTATGTAACATTACCTTTCCTGAACTTCTAGAAGGTGGGGCGGTTAGAGGCAACTCATCCAACTTTGGAGAGCTCCCTATTCTTTGTTTTTTGGGTAGTGTTCTGAAGCATGGCCGCTTGCTCTCTGAAATGCCCTGGCTCTGTTCCATCCCCACTTTTTATATCAACCTTCTCTTCCCTTCATTGCTGTTGTCCTTATTCCTGCTCAGTTTTTATTTCACTCCCAAAGGTCCAGCCAGTCCTGGAAAAGAGCCCTGGCTCTTCCCAGAGTTCACAGCTGCCTCCAATCAGAGTCAACTGTGTATAACACTTCCCAGCGTCATGTTCATGTCGGTAGCCTGCAATCGACCGTGATGAGAGTGTTTACATCATGGAAATCAGCAAACACTACAAATCAGGTTGTGCAAGTTATCAGCACAGCACTGTTTATGCTGTGCCAGCCCTTGAGATCTTATCTGGGGTTGGGGAGTGGAGCTTAAACTCATCAGCATTGGGGTAGGCAAAACTACTTCTGATTTGAGCTACTGCTGCTGAATCGGTCTGCCTGCTCTCCAGTGAGTTCTCTGGGTATTCAGAGATTCACATTCCTTAGACACATCATTGCTGCCCTCTGCTTCCTCCCTCTCAGATGCTGCTGCAGGTCTCATGACTGTTGGTTTATCCTCATCCACTTTTTTTGCGGGGCTTCTACTAACAAGACACACTATCACTTAGCTTTATTGCAAATATTGATTTGCAAATTTTTGTTTTCTTCTGTTTTTATGTGGGGATTCAGAGATTTGAAAACTATGCCACCACCATCTTCCCAGAATCTATAAGATGGATGACTTATAGATTCGTTCTAAGGTTTGTTCCTGTTCTGAAATTGTCTAGGTTCAAATCTCTGAAAACTCTTTTTGTGAAACAGTGAGTTGGACCTAGAGCTATAGCTGGCCTCTCATGAGGCCCCCGAAGGCCTCCTGGGGGTCAGGGCTGGAGTACTACTGATCTTTCATAGAAAACGCCTTTTGTTAAATTTTTGTAGAAGGTACTTCTCCTTAGCTATCAGCTCTCTGGGGTTCTACAGTTTCCACCATTAAACTTCATGCCCTTCTGCCTGCTTCACACAGCCTCTGATGTTCTCTTGACTTTCTAGTCACTGTTTAACTCAGCAGATGCCAAAGTAATGTAAAACAAAAACAAAACAGGTTTTAAAGTCTTTAGCTCCAGAACAACCATTTTTCTGGAATTGTCTCCTCCAAAAAAGAAGGTTCCAAGACTCAGGGTCAGGAAATTTCTCCTCGACTTAGTGTCAGTTTCTCACTTTGCAAATTAAAAAAAAAGGGGGGTTGTGCCAGAATCATGGTGTGTTTTCTGTTTGCTTATTTACATTTTTCTGAAATGAGTTTTGTCTTTATATTGAGAAGGGAACAATCAAGGAAACTTGCTCTGTGGGAAAAAAATTCACGTTTGCTGTCCAGATGTTTTTACTAAGAATTCCAGGCCGGGCGCGGTGGCTCTCGCCTGTAATCCCAGCACTTTGGGAGGCCGAGTCCGGCGGCTCACAAGGTCAGGAGATCTAGACCATCCTGGCTAACATGGTGAAACCCCATCTCTACTAAAAATACAAAAAATTAGCCGGGCGTCGTGGCGGGCGCCTATAGTCCCAGCTACTCGGGAGGCTGAGGCAGGAGAATGGCGTGAACCCGGGAGGCGGAGCTTGCAGTGAGCCGAGATCGCGCCACTGCACTCCAGCCTGGGCGACAGAGCGAGACTCCGTCTCAAAAAATAAAAATAAATAATAATAATAATTCCAGATATTTTACAATAATTTTCAGGCACAAGAGTTTTCACGAGAGTAGGAGTCCGGAGTCCCTGGCACCACCACTTAACCAGCTACGTGCACTTGAACAAAGCACTTCATTTCTGAGGCTGTGTGCTCTGTCCAGTGGCTTTAATACTTGACTTTTCCTCCAGATCGCGTCTCCCCATAACCAAACATGTCCTGAGTTCAAAAGGAAGGGGAAAAGAAACACCAATAAGCACACACAAAATTTATGTTTTATCACTGTACTATCAAATCATACAGCCATGGATATAAAATTTATGTTTTTATGATTATTTATTTTTCCATTTCCAGTTCCCTCCCCGAATCCACTGTGGCAACTATTCTTGTTTTTAATCTGTTTTTGTGAAACGCATATTTTTGTTTTGTGGGTCTTTATTTTAAACTTATATAAATGTTACTTTGCATTACTTTAGCACTGCCTTTAAGATGCATCCATGCTATCATTTGTACATTTAATGTGCTTTTTCTAACAATTTCACAGCACTTTGTGTCATATCTCCAACCACATTTTACCCATCTCTCCCCAAAGATGGACACCCAATTACCCTCAACTCCTTGTTTGAGCTCGATTTTATTTTTCTCTACATCATGTATTAAATAATCCATTTGATTTTCTGCCAATTGACCTGGGGTATGATATTTGTCATTAAAATGTCCATCTATACATGAATTTCCTTTTGATCTCTCCGTTCTACTCCAATGGTCTTTTTTTTTTTTTTTTTTTTTTTTTTTTGTGGAGGTGGGGACAAGGTCTGGCACTGTCACCCAGGCTGGAGTGCAGTGGCACTATCATGGCTCACTGAAACCCCCGACTACCAGGTTTAAGCGATTCTTATGCCTCAGCCTCCCCAGTAGCTGGGATTACAAGCACCCACCACCACACTGGGCTACTTTTGAATTGTTAGTAGAGCTAGGGTTTCTCCATGTTGGCCAGGCTGGTCTCAAATTGCTGGCCTCAAGTGATCCACCTGCCTGGGCCTCCAAAAGTGCTGGGATTACAGGCATGAGCCACTGCACCCGGCCTAATGATATATTTTTTCTTGCACCAAAACCACACTGTTTCTATTACTAGAGATTTGTACTAAGTTACAGTGACTGGTAAAAGAAATCTCCCTCATTATTCTTATTTTTCAATTTTAACTTAGTTATTTCTGAATATTTATTATTTCTTTTCAGTGTAGTTCAGAATAATAATTCAAGTTCCTCAAAAAATCCAACTAGAATTTGTATGGGGATTGCATTGAATTTTTGGATTAATTCGGGAAAAACAAATACCTTTATAATAGTAAATTGTGTCATCCAAGAGCACAGAATATTTTTCTATTATTTTAAAATCAGCTGGGCATGGTGGCTCATGCCTATAGTCCCAGCACTTTAGGAGGCCGAGGTGAGAGGATCGCTTTAGCCCAGGAATTCGAGACCAGCCTGGACAACATAGGAAAATATGTTGCCCTACAAAAAAATAAAATAAAATAAATAAGTAAAATTATTTTCTCTACAAAAAAAATAAAATAAATAAGTAAAATTCTTTTCTATATTATCTGTTCAAGTTGTAAAAGTTTTTCATAGAGATCTTTTATAACCTTGGTTAAAATAATTTCTAGACACTAGTTTTTGTTGTTATTGCGAATTGCTCTTGTTGGTTCATTTTTTCATCAAATTTTCTAGTTGATTAATGCAAATGTAAGGAAATCCTACTGATTTTTATAAACTGATGTTGTCTGTTGGAACTTTGTTGCATCAGCAATACATTTACCAAAGTATTTGATCAGCTATGCTTTTTCTGTACTTAGTACTGCATCCTCCTGAATTTGTTTTTCTCTACAAATGTAAAGAGATTTAGCTTCTTCCTCCGATTCTGTTTCCATTACGGGTCTTTGAGTGCCTGAGGACATATTTGTTATGCCCCTATGTTTGAATGACAATTTCATGTGTCATCTTCATCAGTTCTTTAAATATATTACTTCATTGTCTAATTGAGTCCAGTGTTGCTGATGTGTAGTACAATGCCACCTGACTTTTTTCTTTTTAGGTGATCTTTCTCTCTAGCAGCGTTTAGAATGTCCTGTTTGTCTTTGTGTACTCTAGGTCCATTTTCTCCTGAACTCTCTTGTTTGTTCCTTGATGAGCTTTTTTTTTTTTTTTTTTTTTTTTTTTTTTTTTTTTTTTTTTCTGTTGAGACTGAGTCTTGTTCTGTCACCCAGGCTGGAGTGCAGTGGCGTGATCTCAGCTCACTGCAACCTCCGCCTCCGAGGTTCCAGCGATTCTCTTGCCTCAGCCTCCCAAGTAGCTGGGATTACAGGCACGCCCCACGACACACGGGTGTTTCTTGTATTTTTAGTAGCGCAGGGTTTCTCCATGTTGCCCACGCTTGTCTCGAACTCCTGGCCTCAAGTGATCTGCCCACCTCAGCCTCCCAAAGTGCTGGGATTACAAGCATGAGCCACTGTGCCCAGCCTTTTTTTTTTCTTTTTCTTTTTTTAAATGAGATGTGTCATCTTTCCTTAAAAATGGAAATACGTCTTTATTAGTTCTAATTTTTCCTATGTGGGGATCCCGTTATTCAAATAGTCTTGCTACTTTTATTTCTAGTCTCCCAACATCTTAGCACTTTTCTAAATGTTTTCTCTCTTTGCTCTTTCCTTTTTTGTGAGAGTTCCCCAATCAAATATGCCTCCTCACTAAAAATATGCCTCCTCATTAATTATTTTTAGTTACATCCATCCTGTAATATTTCTCATTTAGCATATTCTTTATTTCAACATTATATTTAAGTATTTATACATGTAATTCTTAGTTATGATTTCTTTTTAGTGCACTATAGTAGGAAATCTTTCTTTGTGTCCTTGAGTACATGTACTAGATTATTCTACATTCTTGGTCTGTTTCAGGTGGTGCCTGTTGTTCAGGGTGCTGTCTTCCTTTTCCAATCCCCAGGTGTCTGATTATGTTGGTGTGTGAGTTCATGTTCCTTGGTGGTCATGGCTGGTGCTTCTGGGGAAGCACAGAAGGCCTGGTCCCAGCCTATGTCCCTCCAGGCATATGTAAGGTGAGGGACGGGGAGGAACCCCACAGTGGAGAGCCCTAGACATGGCAGAAGACCATCCCTGTTTGCTGCCTCTTCACCTGGAGACTCCTGTGACCAAGGTTTCACATTTAAGCTGCTAGAAGGCAAGAGCACCAGGAGGAAATTATTGCTGGGACACCCATCTGGGGGTTGGAAATGGAGGTTTGTTGGAGTGATTGTCAGAGTGTGATTGCTCAGTCCGAAACTCTTGTCATCAAAGAGGCCCCACGGTAGGGCTTTTACAATGTTCCTCCTCTCACTGCCACCCCCCTACCCCGCCCAGCCATCCTCCACCTCAGGCTCCAGCCCTTCCTATCCCCAGCTCTGCCTCTGACCTTTACACATCCAACTCCTCAGAGATTTTGTGGCAAGTCAGGTCTCACTAATGCAGGTCTCAGTAACAACTGTTTCAGTACTGACTGAGTGGTTAAGTTAAATATTAAAAGCTGATTAAGCCAGTGCCCTTATACAAAGGCTAGATTGTATCAAAAGCCCACCAAGAGTTTTGCCCAGGCCTCTCCTGGGCCTTGAAGCATTACAAGATAACCAAGGAATTCTTAACAGGACCCGTTTAGAATTAAACAAGTTTTATTGGGGGTCTGAAAAAAACTTCCCAGGCCTCCACAAACAAGTTTATTGGGAGTCTGAAGGAACTCCCCAAATCTCCATGATTTAGCAGGAGACGAGATAAGGTTAATCACCCCAGCACCTGGACCCATTTAGATTAAGTAAATTTACGAGGCTCCTGAGGAAGGTCTTTAGGACTGAGACCTTAGTTATAGATTAGAAGAAGTTAATCACTGATGTCTTTAGATGAATGCACACTTACACGTTGACATATAGCTTAGAAGGTATATAAGCCCTGGAAAATTTTGTAATTTTGAGCTGGTCTGGCAATATTTTCCCGGCCTTCTCCCTGTACCTGGTTATAGAAATAAACTCTCTTCTTTCCCAGTTCACCAGCATCTCGTTATTGGGCCACAAGAATAAACAACCCAACCTTCGGTTTGGTCCAGGAACAATTTCTGTCAGATTTTTTTATAAATTGTTTTTCAAATTAATACTTCCTTTTTTTTAAGTGCCTTTCAGTTTGATTTTGGAAGAAGCACTCCACAGCCTATGACAGTTTGCCATATTGCCAGGTAGAAAAGTGATGACATGATAAAATGTTATGCAAATATAAAATATGATAAGAACTAGGACAAATACTTGATAATTATCTATCAATAAACTTCTAGTGCTCAAAAACAAAAAAAGAAAAGGAAGTTAGTTATGGGTATTATTGTGACATTATTTGTTTGACATAAAGTGGCTGTGAGAACAGATTTTTTTTTTTTAACTGTTTAAGTGTCTGTGAAGATGAAAGCTTGACAATAGACACTAAGAAGGATTGACACGTAGTGATGCCGGGGTCAGGTCCTTGAGAGCTATGGGCAGCTGCACACTAGGTCTCCCCATGCAAATGCTTAATTCCCACTTGAGACTCCAATTAGCTTGTCAGGTTTGCTCCCTAGAAGCTGAACATACACTAAGGAACTCCTGGAATGGTGAAACTTGAGAAGCATCAAAACACCAGTGCTCATTGGTTTTGTTTGGGAGATCTCATCAGACTCCATGCCCTTTCCCCTACTTTCCTCTGGACCTTTCACCTAATTAGCTAGGAATTTATATATACTAGTCACAGGATTCAGGACTCCTCCCTCACCAAACTCTGCAGGCTTTGAAATCAAAGTTCTAAATGTCTCCCCAGGCAATCAGAAAAGGCAAGACCTGGCAAATAAGAGGTTGTACTAACCAGTAACAAAATCACAAACAACATTTGCTCTTCCTCTTCCACAGCAGACTCCACAAGTAGGTGCAATGAAAGAGCCCTAGATTTGGAGCCAAGGCCGTCAAATGCCCTCCCAGCCATTGTCACTAATCACATATCCACAAGCCAGATCACTTAATCTCTCAAAGCCTCAATGTCCATATCTTCCAAATGGGGCTAATAATTCAGGTTAACTCCATGGAACTTTCATGAGAAAAGACCGTATGCAAAAGCAACTGAAAACTGATAAAGCACCAGATATGCTAGTAATGCATTAGTATCGTGAAATAAACAGGGCTCATTTCCAAAGGTACAAAGACCCTGCAAGTATAAAGACTTCTTCCTAGGTCTAGACTTTCCATAGAAATAGCTTTCCTACCCACTTTCTGATGCCGAGAATTTTGAAAGTTCTTTTTCCCTTAGGTTGAGATGTAAAGGGCAAATCTGCATGGGAAAAGATTGCTTCAATTTATCAGTCATGGGAACCTGGGGTAAATGCATTTTCAGAGCATTTATTGAAAGGAGAATAGTGGGCTACTGAGGTAGAAGAGTTGCAATCTTTATGTGGGCTAAAAGAGGCAAATCCAGGTGCCTGGGAACCTTGTTTATAGTTTTGTTCTCCTACACCGGCTCTTTTGTCAGAATTGCTTAAAAAACAAACATTGTTTTTGCAAGACCTCACCCTAGATGTCTAAACTTCTAAAATCCCTCATAATCAATTTTTCTGACTTTTAATGCTTATCTAGCAGGTAACATGCATTTTAAATTAATCCTTTTATCAACACTTCAGCTGAAAAGCTGAAGTCTAGGAGTTGAAGGACCCTAAAGTCTCAAATCAAAAATAAATACATCTTTTTTCATCTAGGAAGTATCAAAATGTGGGTTTATTTAAGTATTTGGGAGGTAGTATCTTCTTCAGACACAAATAGTGTGTTCCATTTTCTTCAACACTTTGAGCAATTAGTAGACAAACCAGTTATTTGATTGTATTTGAATACAATTACTTGACTAAGTCATATAAATTTCCTTCAGTATGAAAAACTACCACCTCATGGTGTTTTACTATTATTTCCCTCAATTTATACTTTGCATAATGCATTCCTGGTGCTTCCTCAATCTACAAGTTCCCTTATCCCAAAGGAACAACTTAATATTAGATTGGCCATATAAAATTTCCACCTTCCCAAGTCAAAAATGGTTCATGATTGACTCAGGTTATGTGTAGAGCCAGATACCTGGATTCAAAGCCCATTCAGGCCATTTACTAGATCTAAAACCACAAATGGTTATATAATTTTCCTGAACCTCAGTTTCCTCATCTGTAAAATGGGCTTAACAATAGTGCCAACCTCAGACAGTTGTAAAAATTAAATGAGATAATGAACGGAAAGTACTTAGCACAGTACCTAGCACGCAGTAATTACTTAGTACATGTCAGCTTAAAAGAGAGAAGGGAATGAAGTTGATCCATCTATCTGTATTCCCAGTGCTTATCACAGTGCCAATTTGTTATATACACTAATTAAAATTTGCATTGGATTGGATAGTTTTGGTCTTCAATTCTATCAAACTGAGCCATGATGTAGCCATAATCCCGTGTGATGTTTGTGTAAGAGTTTAATGTTTCTATTGTTAAAAGTAAAACCTTGAACAAATTAAATTTAGTTGAATTTATTTGAGCAAAGAAACCATTCATGAATAAGTCAGCACCCTGAATTAGTAAAGATTTAGAGATCTCCAATAGAAATATTGGACTGTCAGTATTTAGAGACAAAAATAGCTTGATTGGTTACAGCTGGCATTTGCCTTACAGGAACATGTTTTGGCAATTTGCAGCCTGCGATTGACTGAAAGCATGGCTGCTATGATTGGTCAAGACTCAGCTACTTGTTACATGAATACACTCTCAGGTTAGGTTGCGGTTTGTTTATATATTAGGTTAAGTACCCTACCTACCTAGGCAGTTTTGGGCCACATTAAATTTACTTTAACACTATCGAGTTTTATCCATTTTCTTAGTGGAATAAGGAACATGTGGAGACTACCTGAGTACTCCAAAATTTAGAGATCAGAAAGAGGGGAGCACCTGTGGGGAGTGGCCAGGGATTTGGAGGAAAACCATGGGATTGTCAGGTCTAAGGGCAAAGTGAAAAAGGTGCTTTGAGAAGAAGGGAGAGCAGCCTTGCCATTTGCTGCTAAGAGGTCTAGTAAGCTGAAGGTTCAAGAGCAAACACTGCATTTGGCAATAAGGAAGCCACTGGTGACCTTGATGAGAGGGAATTCCTTGGAGCACTGGGGGCAAAAGCCTTAGTGGTCAATTAAAGACAGAATGAGAGGTAAGCTTGTAAAACACTGAAAGCAGACATTTTAAATAAATTTCCCTATAGATGACAGCATAGATTTGGTGGCACTCAGTAAGACATATAGAGTCAAGAGGAGGTATTTAAAGATGGGATTGTATAAGAACAATAACACAAGAAGAATGTAGTAGAAAGGGAAAATAGATCATGAGAAAGAGAGGGGAAAACTGCAGGAGCACAGCCTTATGTGAGAAACAAGCAGTACAACCAGTGCACACATGGTGGTGCTGGCCCGAGGCCAGAGCAGGGACTCTTCCTCTGCATAGTGAGAAGGCAGTGAGAAGGCAATGTGTGGGGTATAAAGGCAGGCAATTTGCCAGATTTGCTCATGGAAAACGGAGTTATTCTTTTCTGATTGTTTCTATTTTCTCAGTGAATTCAGAGTCAAAGTGATCAGCTGAGAATGAGTAGAAAGGGGCTATGGCAGAAGAGAAGTTGTGACTAGCCCTCTTGGGATGGGAGAGCAAATGGACTGGGAAAAGGTAGTAGAGTTACCAGGCCATGGTGAGGGTCCACTTGAGATGTATGTTTGTAAATTTAAAGCTAACAAGTTAGTACAAAGTTGTGTTTTTCTTCATCTATGTTTAGCTGCTCAGATGCAGGCGCAGAGTAGATTAAGAGTTGGGTTTAACCAAAATTGAAGGTTTGCTAGGCCAGTCCGACAGAGAGCACAAATTGCAAAGTGTGTGCAAGGGATTGCTTATGGTGAGGCACCATGGTTAATCTGATCTGGATAAGGAGAGAAAAGAGGTGATGAGGTGTAACAAATGCTAAAAACATAGAGGAGTCAGTGGTGGTCTCAGTGGGAGAAAAAGGTGTGAGGGTACTTTAAACAGGAGCAGGGAATATAGAGGTGGTTGGAAATTGGAATGCATGAAACTAAAATGTTGGAGGTGGCATAGACACTGTAATAACAAAGTCCACATTATGACTGTGGAGTGGGAGGCTAAAGTCATGTCCATGAACACGGACATGGCTGTGGGAGCTTCAGTGAGAGGCTAGGGCAGGTGAATTATCTTATGTGGAGATTGACATCTCACATCCATTGAGATGACTGATGGTGGAGAGGAAAGTAGTGATCTATGTGCTTAAATTTTATCAATGAGGGACAGTGGAACATGACAGTTAGTTGACTGCAAGAATAAGGGCACTGGGTGGCACAGACTGTAGCATGTGCTTTAAGACAGCAGGGGTTTTGAGAGGAGGAAGAGGAGAAATACCCTGGAAGAGATAGTATGAAGCAAAGAGGACACAGGCCTTGTTGTAAGCATTTAAAGTGCATTGGATTGACAAGAAGCAACAGGTATTTCAGAGAAGAGATTGGAAATGAAGAATTTCACTGACGACAGAACTTTGCAAAAGGCTGAGTGTAAGAGCAGGAGGTGACACAGCAAGGTAGGAGATTGAGTTAGAACACCAACACACCAAGATATATGGAGATAAGAATTTAAAGATAAGATGGAAGACCTAGATATCCTGGACTGCTGGGGGCACCTAGACATTCTCTGTCTGTAGGAACATGAAGTCAACTATATCCTCCTAAAGCAGGAACCACTCCAGCTCTTTTCTGTGTTCCCTACACACTCATATTAGACAGGGGGTTGGTGATGGGGATGACTGAATGAACTAAGGAGTGAATGCATGACTCACAAAAGGTAGAGGAAGATTGGTGCTGTGGGAGGAGTGGAGGGAGACATTCATTTGGAAAATCAGATGGCAGGAGCCTTTTTATTGAGTAGTAGAAGAGCAAAGCAGAAGGACCAGAATCTGGAGTCAAAAGACATGGTTGAGTTCTCATTCTGCAACTTCCTAGCTGCAGGTCTTTGGGAAAATGACTCCTTTATACATAACTCTGACCTCATCTATAAAGTAAACCTTTCCTCCTTAGGAGATTGAGCTTCAAACTGTCACCTCTTTGAGGCTCCTGTCCCTTTACTACAACACTAATTTCATCCCACTTGGAAATTGTGTAGAGCTGTACAAGTAAAAGGGTGGACAATAAACAGGAGAAATATAGTAGGTTCCACATACTCTAACGCCCAGCCCTTGGCCTATGTGCCAACACTCACTCCCAACTCCTTGAAAAGCTACTATTAAAAGAGTTTCCCTTTGGTTTAGAAAGATGTTTCTTATAATGCATAGCACATTAAAATAATAACAACTAACACCACAGAGAGGAGTGTGGAACACCCAGTGAGAGTAATACAGATAAGGAGCCAGGGTCTAAAACAAGACACATAGGGTTACCTTGGGATGTGATACAACAAGGAACATCATAACCTCCTGCTTAGGTAGCTGGGCAGAATCAAGGCTGCCACAGAGCCTGATGGAGTAGGAGGAACAATGCCCAGCCATTCCCACACATGCTCAGGAGCAGGGCAGCTATGTACATGTTGGAGAGATGCTGTTTGTCTTTGACTCGCCCGTGTTCTGAGTGAGCCCTTTGACCCAGTTTTAGAAGCAGACTGAGCCACGGTGAGCAGAGGCGGGGCTTAGGGAGGCAGGAGTCTTGGGGCTTTATAAAGTCCTGCCGGGCACCACTGGGCATCTCTTTCAAGGTTTCTGCTGGGTTTCTGAACTGCTGGGTTTCTGCTTGCTCCTCTGGAGATGCAGCGTCTGTTGACTCCAGTGAAGCGCATTCTGCAACTGACAAGAGCGGTGCAGGAAACCTCCCTCACACCTGCTCGCCTGCTCCCAGTAGCCCACCAAAGGTGAGTCACTTTCTGAGAAGCACCTTGTAACTAGTAAAAGATAGTTTTTCCCTGCTATTGGGGAAAACTCACTAGAATCCCACTCAAAATTTGGCAAGGCTTGTGCACAGCAGCCTTAGACAAGCAAGTTAACTTTAAAGGGTCTCAGTTACCTCATCTCTAAACAGACAATCCCTTTCAGCTGTAGAGTGAGAAGAGCCCAAACCTCTGACACATGCTGTGTTTGTGAGCAATGGCAACTTTTACTCTGCCAGCTGCATGAAGCAGTAGAAATATCAGTACCAGGCCACAGCTTTCCTCTCTACACCACCATTCCCACCTTCACCCCTAGCCTCTGCCTAGAACCACAGGACCTTGTGCCAACTGCAGTGTTAGTAAAACCAGTGACTTTATATCACTGCAGCAGAATCAGAAATGGACTGAGGATGAGAAGCTGTGTTTGCCTTGTGTTCCAATTTTATGAAAAGGGGAAATGTGTGTTTATGTGTGTATGTGTACATGCTCTTTGCAAGAAGAACATGCACACTCCTTTTCTTTGTAAATAGTCCCTGAACATGGCTCAAGTGCTTATGTTTTCCATTGTCAGCGATGATGGTAACACAGCTATCGTTAGTGCCTCAGGCTCCCAGCCACCTATGTGTTTCTGTCTAATCCCCAAACCATCCACTACACATTGGGACTAGTTCTTTATTTCCTTACATTTTTACTCTATATTCTATGACTACTAAATATTTAGAAAAATGATTTTGACCTAGTGTCTTTCCTTGCCAAATACCCAAGGAACCTGGGTGTATAGATGTGCATGGTAGAGGCAAATGCACATAGCTTTCTTATATTTTTCATTATGCTACCATCATCTCACTCTCCCCATGCACTGCCAAACCCTGCATGTGGGTTAAATGTCCCAGCTCAGGATTTAACCTGTTTCTATATTTGTGAAGAAGAGATTGATGTGGGTTTCTTGTTTTAATAGCAATAGTTGGCCATCAGCCAAAAGACATACATCAATCCTCCCCAACATTCTGACTCCCTTGGTTCAAACTCTTGGAATCATTCCCATTTCCCTTCTGGTATATTCACAGTTAATCCCATTATGCATGGCTTGAACTAATATTGCTTTTCATGAGTCACCTTTTCTCTATATGTCTAATCGCCTTTAATCCAACCCACATTGGCTCTAACTCCAACCTAAAAGAGACTTTCATCTCAGCATCTGCTTTGCTGTCTTCAAAATTCGGTAAGACTTGTGCCCTCCACTTACTGTATTTCTCACATATTGTCTCCCTGCTCCCCTATACACCTGCATCTCCAGGGTTCCTTACTTGTTCAGTCACCCCCTGCCGTGGCCACTGCCCCTTCATTCCCCTCCAGTTCTTCACTGGCAGAAGTCTGTCATCCATCAAGGTTTGCCTCAAATGCGGTCTCTTCCACGAAGCTTCTCTGATCCTCCAACCCACTGAAATCTCTGCTTCCTTTGAACTCCTGTAGATTTTGCTCACATTCCTTTTTGTGGGCCTGACCACATTCTGCCTTGAAGTTGGGTTATATGTGTGCTTATCATTCCTCACACTGGTCAAGGAGGTCTCAAGAACCTCACCCTCTTCTTTTCTTTGTCCAACCCCTTTGTTCAACCCTCACAAACCCTTCCCAGCACAGTGCCTGAAGTGTAGTAATTAATTTTGAAACACAAGGGAAGGAGGCAAGATGGAATACAGAAGTAAAGGTGTGGTGCATGTTCTTGAAGTGGGCAACACCAGGAGAAAAATGATTTAAAATTACACAAAGTGATCATTCTTTAGAGAAAGCACAAGATGAGAAGGATACTCTTAACTTCGGTGGGCTGAAGCTTCTGGAAGCCTCTCCGTGTTAATTTTCTTCAAGGCTTTATAATCCATTTCTAGAAATAGCTCCCCACCAAGACAGCTACAAAAGTTACCAACTGACCCATTCTAAGCTTCTTCTTGCAAGCTTTGATTTCTAACTGGGAAGAAAGGGAGGGAGCCAGCCCAGAGAAGTCAGAGCGAGAATGAGGCTGAGAGAAAGGCAGCCAAGCTGGCAGGACAAGCGCTGGCTTAACCATTAGCTCCCGGGTACTGGGGAAGCTCCTCCGTAAATATTTGAGAGTACAAACTCCAGTTATTTGGAGGGAGTCAAATAAATAGGGAAGATAAATAAACTCCAAACCTCTCCTGTCAGATATAATGTGTATTTATCATTCTGCCTCACTATCTTGTGATCATATGATCCACTTTTGCCTCACAGCTGTCCTTAGAAGTGACCTTGCTGCTGGGAGAGGCTCTAGAATTCTACCAGAGGCTCAGAATCCCAAAGATGATTGATAGACACATTCAATCTGAGTTCCAGCTCCCGTAGAATGGAGCTAAATTTATAAGCCTGGCACCCAGGGCAGTGAAGGGACAGAGTATTTCTAACACGTGAGAAACTATGAAGTTACCCTGAGTGCATCACTTTACCAGTGTGTGCCTTGGTTTCACTAACTATAAAATGAAGAATGTTGCTAAAGTGAACAGAAGGTATAAAGTACTTTTGTATGGGAGCAGTACAGAGATCACCAAGTTCACCTCCAGTATGCTCCCATACAAAAGGGAACACAGATTTTCGCCAGGGATATTAAGAATCTGGGTTAAAGAGAAGTGAATTGGTCCAGAAAAGAAATAGATCATCTCTCCCTTCTTCTGCTGACTCCTTCCCCTTCCTTTTTTCCTCTGCTCTCGTTTAGAATTGCTCTTTCTGCTGTCTGTGTTCCCTGCATATTTAGCTGTAAAATGTCTGCTTCTTTCACTGGGCTGTGCTCTCTTTATGGGCACAATGCATGTCTTATTCACTGCTGTGTATTTGGACTAGAACTGTGTTGGGTGTGCTCAATAAACATTGGAAGGCCCTATCAGAAAAATCAGCTAGCAGAAAACTTACTTAAAAGTAGGAAAACAGTGGGTATGTTCTTGTGTAGAAAAAAGAAAGGAGAAAGACATGTAATTAGAGGTACACTTTTAAAATGAGTAAAGATTGTATAATTATGCCCTATAAGGGCTTATAACATGTAGAAGTAAAGTATATGACAATAATGGTTCAAAAGGATGCAGAGAGTAAATAAAGTCAACCTAAAGTTTTTGCAGTGTTCCAAAAGTAAGATAAGTATTAATTTAAGTAAGATTACAACAAGCCAATTATGCATGTTATAATCTTTAAGGTCACCAGTAAAAGGAAAAGAGGGTATAAAATGAATAATAAATATTTGCTTACTCTAAAAGGATATGGGAAAGGAGGAATAAAAGAACAAAGAACAAATGAGACAAATAGAAACAAATAAAAAAATAGACTTAGTTCCGGCTGGGCGTGGTGGCTCACGCCTGTAATCCCAGCACTTTGGAAGACCGAGATCAGGAGATCGAGACCATCCTGGCTAACACGGTGAAACCCTGTCTCTACTAAAAATACAAAAAATTAGCTGGGCGTGGTGGCAGGTGCCTGTAGTCCCAGCTACTCAGGAGGCTGAGGCAGGAGAATGGTGTGAACCCAGGAGGCGGAGCTTGCAGTGAGCAGAGATCACGCCACTGCACTCCAGCTTGGGTGACAGAGTGAGACTCCGGGTGACAGAGTGAGACTCCGTCTCAAAAAAGAGAAAAAAAAAGATTTAGTTCCAACTATATTAGTAATTACAACAAATATAAATGGATGAAATACTCAAATTAAAACACCACTATTGTTAGACTTATTAAAATTTTTTTAAAGGACTAAAATATATATACCGATCACAAGAGATGTATGTTAAAGATAAAGACGTTAAGAAGTTGAAAGTAAAAAGGGACAGAAAAAGATGTACCATGGAAACAGTAAGCAAAAAGCTAGTGTAGCTATATCGACGTCAGGAAAGGAAACTTTATGCCAAGAATATCACAAAGATGAAAAGGGATATTTAATAAGTATAGAAGGGTCAATTCAATGAAAAGATAATAACAATACTAAATTTGTAGTCATCTGATAACATAGCTTCAAAATATAGAAAATTAATTAAATGATTGCTATGTTACTGTCTTTTGAGGAAATTGTCTACAGACCATTAGTGGGAGTTTGACTGTTATCTCCATCACAGGTTTTCTACAGCCTCTGCTGTCCCCCTGGCCAAAACAGATACTTGGCCAAAGGACGTGGGCATCCTGGCCCTGGAGGTCTACTTCCCAGCCCAATATGTGGACCAAACTGACCTGGAGAAGTATAACAATGTGGAAGCAGGAAAGTATACAGTGGGCTTGGGCCAGACCCGTATGGGCTTCTGCTCAGTCCAAGAGGACATCAACTCCCTGTGCCTGACGGTGGTGCAACGGCTGATGGAGCGCATACAGCTCCCATGGGACTCTGTGGGCAGGCTGGAAGTAGGCACTGAGACCATCATTGACAAGTCCAAAGCTGTCAAAACAGTGCTCATGGAACTCTTCCAGGATTCAGGCAATACTGATATTGAGGGCATAGATACCACCAATGCCTGCTACGGTGGTACTGCCTCCCTCTTCAATGCTGCCAACTGGATGGAGTCCAGTTCCTGGGATGGTATGTACGGCCACGAACCTTATGTAAGAAAGGTGCTGGAATTGGAGGCTGAATATTACCAGTTTTGCTTTTCAGTTCCCCAGGTGGCTTCATCTAGTGAAGGAAGGACAATATATTCACACAGCTGCTGCTATCATCCCACAATAACCACTTAGACTTATATAGCTTTACAGTTAGGTAGCATGTTCACATAGCCATTCATTTAATTCTTACAACAGCCTAGGAAGTGTGTATTATACCAGATTTATAGAAGAGAACATGGAAGATCTGATAGCTTACACATAGTGAGTGGCAGAGGCAAAAATGCCAAACCACATCTGACATATTTCCTATTTTACCGTACCTGTTTCTCTTAAACATGTCCTAAGTCTCTGAGAGATTGGTGATGTTGAAAGATGTATGCAAGTTTAGATGTTCGGGAAAAAAACACCTTCATAGAAACAGGCCCAGAAAACCACAAGATAGACTGTGAGTATTTCTACTCTTTCTCCCTTAGGTGGCTCCTTGCATATTGCTTTTTGCTTAACATATTAACATTACCTTGTATCTTACTTATATCTTCTCCCAGTGCTATATTTGAGGACTAACCCCTGTTGTTACAGCAAGAAATGATTCAAGGGAAACAGTACAGTATGAGAGCTTGAAGCCATAGCTCTATCAATAATCATTGATAAATTCCTGAACCTCTTTGAGCCTCAGGGTTATTTGCCTATCTGCCTTGCTTAACTTATAAGAGGACTGAATAAAATAATTCATAGAAATGTGAAATTTTCATAAAGATGTGAAAAAACAGTATGTTGGCAGTAGTTAAGACACTCTATATTTACTAAGTTTGAAACTAGGATTAAAAACCTTAGAAACCATGATAAGCATTAATTATAAAATTAATCAAAAAGCCTTAATATTGGCAGAGTCCTCAGAGATCATCTAATTCAATATCTTTTGCTTTAGAAAAAAGAGGTCAAGAGGAGTGTAACAGTTTATCTCTGTACATGCAGCAAGACCGTGCAATTACAAAAGTTCATTCCAGGCTTTTCCAACTGCCCTACCTGGCTCCATCATTAACAATTCCACTGACATGGGATGGTCCAGTCTACATCATCAAGTCTGTTCTTAAAGTGCCTCTCCTACTTGATACTTGTATTACTACCTCTCTAGTAACCCCTACCACCATTACCACCACTGATATGTCCAACCAATTATTTAGTTGAGGAGTAGAAATGAAAAATAAGGGGCATTCACCAGCCTTTAACCAAAAATCAAAGAGCCTATTCTTGAGAGCATTGTCAGCCTTAAGCATGCCATTTCAAATGCGTAGATTCTTCTGAGGGGCTGGGTATTCCACAGATGGGGTTGCAAATGCATCTTTTAAAAAAATGTGGTATCTAGGTATAAAAGTAAAAATTTAAAAAACAAGTTATTGAAATGTGAATCTTTAGTTTGTATTTAAAACAAAAACAGCTAAGCTTGAGCCTGGACACTCGGACTACATACCCTGCAGGTGACAGTAACCACCAGGACCAGAGGATGCCAGTGTGAATGAGAACTCTGCTTCTGACCTAGCCAGTCATTCATCTGGGGACCCTCAGGTGGGAGGGAGTGGCTCTGAGACTCAGGGAGTTCTGAATCACTCCAGAGAAAAGTGGAGGGGATGAGGAAAGAGAAGAGTATTTCTGGCTCAGATTGGCTGGGAGTCCCCATGTTTTCTTGTGTTTTTTTTTTTAAATGAAAATAATTAAAATTTATATTTGGAAAAAAACATACACATACACAAAAGTATATAAAGCAAAGAAAGACTCCTCATTTGACCTGTTACCACTTCCCAAAATTTAACACTGATGGTTTATATGTATTCTTCCAATATTTTTTCTAAGTACCTGCAAGTATACACATATCTATTCCATTTTAAACATTGTACAAAATATTCCTCATCTCTTAGGTCTTAGAGGTAATTCTGTATCAACATATGTAAGGTCTATCTGATTCTTTTTAAAACCACAATATTCTTGATGGATATGCCAAATTTTATTTAATTAATCCCATATTGATGGATATTTAGTTTTTTAGCAATGATAAATAAAGTTTTAATGAACATTGTACAATAGCTTTGTATACTTTTGGCATTGTATTGTAAGAATAAATTCCTAGAAGTGGAATATCAGGATAGGTTGATTTAAAAGTTTGATAAAATGTGCCAAATTCTTCTCCAAAATGTTGTACTAACTTACATTCCTACAATGTATATATTATCAAACTTTCTAATCTTTGTCAATTTAACAAGTAAAATTATAATGTTTTTGATTTGCGTTTCTTTTACTATAAGAAATCTTGAATATTTCTATGTTGTTTATTGGCCTTTTTTTATTATATAGCTTGCCTTTTTTTATTTTTTATTTATTTATTTTTTTAGACAGAGTCTCGATCTGTTGCCAGGCTGGAGTGCAGTGGCGGTGATCTCAGCTCACTGCAACCTCTGCCTCCCAGGTTCAAGCGATTCTTCTGTCTCAGCCTCCCGAGTAGCTGGGACTACAGGACCCCACCACCACACCCGGCTCATTTTTTGTATTTTTAGTAGAGATGGGATTTCACCGTGTTAGCCAGGATAGTCTTGATCTCCTGACCTCACAATCCTCCTGCCTCGGCCTCCCCAATCGCTGGGATTACAGGCGTGAGCCACCGTGCCCGGCCTAGCTTGCCTTTTTAATGAAACTTTTATAAATGAAGATAAATTGATTTTTGTTGATTGTAAGTATTGTAAATACTCCCCCAATTTGTCTTTTGACTTTGTTTCTGATAGAAGGCTTTGATTTTTAGATAATCAAATTTACTGGCCTTTTCCTAAATGGATTCTAAATACTTTTCTATAGTTTCTAAAGTTTTCAAAATGTGTGCGTGTGTGTGCTTATATACAGGTAGAAAAAAGTATTGTTTTCCCTTAATTTTATGTATATAAAAATTATATATACTTAAATATATATTTATATATATTAAATATACCAATTTACTTATACTAATATATTTATATATACTAAATATATACTTACATTTATATATTTATATAAATTATTTGTATATTTATATATATACACACACACACATGCACATAGCATTGGGGAAGAAAACAATACTTTTTCGTTGATGTTGGAGTTGGGATTGTTATAATTCTTAAGAGAAGGTCCCTGGATTTCAGTGAATTTGGGTTGGAGTCCTGACTCTGAATCCTTACCCTACCATTTATTAGCTATGTGGTTTTTGGGCAAGTGGCTTAAATTCTTTAGCCCTCAGTTTCTTCATCTGTAGGATGGGGATAACTATATCTGCTACATAGATTTATCATGAGGATTAAATTATATAGAAATGTGGCTCCCAAAGCAGTGCTGTGGGTGAATACTGGGAGCTTCCTCACAGGTCAGAATACTAAAATTACTACCATATCTCACCCACAAACTTGAGTTTTTGGGACAGTACTTCTTACAGATGAAAGTGGAACACATAATAGTCAAGACCACAATTATTTATTGAATACTAGTCTGATTATCATAAAGTTAGTGACTACGGATCATTTACTCAATATAAACTATTTTCACAATGAAAGTAGTGCCACACAATTCAAGGCACGTGGTTCAGGATCCAGTCAGAACTGGGTTTGAATATCAAAATCCATATTAACTAGCTATGTGACCTTACACTAGTTACTCAGTCTCTCAGGAAGGCAATGTCTTCACTTGTGAATGTGGATGTTACCTACCTCATTGGATTGTTTCAAGAATTGTTTAAGGTTAACTAGTGTCCTACTAGTGTTTTAAATGTTAGTTTCCCTCCCTGTCCTTTACCTTCTATGATTTAGGATATAATTTCAGGATCATGGTGTGCTATAAGGAGATGGGTACAAACCCAAACCTGAATTGTCTCCAAAAGTGCGAATTAACACATTTTTCACTGAAGTCAGAGACAGAATTCTGAATAAATGAGCGTTTTACAGAGTGTCAGGACACTAAATTTTGACTTTACATTTCAAATGTATCATGAATTGCACTAGAACATAAGCTCCACAGGACTGGGATTTTTTATTTTGTTTATCACTCTATATCCAGGACCTAGAATTGTGCCTGGTACACAGTAGGCACTCAGTCTACTCTAGATTTGGTAATGATGGTAAATATTTCTTGTTTCTCTTTACAGGTCGTTATGCCATGGTGGTCTGTGGAGACATTGCCGTCTATCCCAGTGGTAATGCTCGTCCCACAGGTGGGGCCGGAGCTGTGGCTATGCTGATTGGGCCCAAGGCCCCTCTGGCCCTGGAGCGAGGTTTGTAGTAATCCATTACCAAGAGGCTGTGCATGGCATAGCCAAGAACATAGATCCTAATCCCACATTGGCACACCTGCTACTCAGGGCTGAGGTATGCGTTTGAGGATGGTATTGCTTGCCTCTAAAAAGGGCTGGTCTATGGAGCAGAGGGAGGAGAGGAGAAATGGGAGAGGGGAATCCGCGAGGCTTCCTCTCTTGCATCATCAGGCATTGGGATAACGATGCATGGAATGAGTGGTGCAGATGATGGTGAGGAATCTTAGGGAACTCTTCTGGCAATTGAAGATTAAAATATATAACTGGATATAAAGTGAAAGTCTTTCCTTTGAGACTGTTGGCTTCTATTCTAGGTTTTGTTAAGCCCATGTAGGTGAGGAAAGGGAAATATACATCTCATTTTTGTAATACCAACAACCTGTCCAACTCCTTTTGAATATGCAAGGGATGTTGAATGGGCTTGAACTTGGGCATGGGACACAGATAATGACCAGAAACCTCCTTTATATGGTTCTCTCATCTTTTGTGCTCAAGGTAGGCTGCATTGTGTAGTCTCTGAAACACTTTGTGTGCCTTTCCAGGGCTGAGGGGAACCCATATGGAGAATGTGTATGACTTCTACAAACCAAATTTGGCCTCGGAGTACCCAATAGTGGATGGGAAGCTTTCCATCCAGTGCTACTTGCGGGCCTTGGATCGATGTTACACATCATACCGTAAAAAAATCCAGAATCAGTGGAAGCAAGGTATGAGATTCAGAGGGCAGAAAGTGGGGGCTCTATTTACATAGGCCAAGGGTTTGTACCCAAAGGCCATGAGATGGTCTTTTCTCTCCTGCCTTGAAAATAATGTCAAGAGAATTGTTTCCTGTCCTCTTTCTTACACTCTTCCCTGGGTCTATGCTAAAATCCATTTGGAAGTCATTCAACTTCAGGTGTAAAATTGCTTCTAACTTGAGCTAAATAAAAGAAAGTAAATAATCCAGGGCAAGGCCCCCAGTGTGAAACCAAGGGATGTCAGCCACCTGAGAAGATGGTGTTAAGAGGCTGGGCAGTCACATTCGACAGTGGTTGGCATTTGTTTCTGGTTAAGTCAGGCATGGTTTGGCTCTTGGTTTGTGGTTTACCATCTTTTAAAGTCTCACGTTGAGAAATCATACCTATATTTTCTATATGCTGAAGTGTTATCAGTGATTTTTCTCTTCGTGATGCTACTGCAGGTTGATTTTATTTTCACCTTTAGTTTTGGAATTTCCCTCCTGAGAAATATGTACTGCTTTCATAAGCAGAAAATAAGCAAATAAATCTTCCTTTTAAAATACAGAAAAGCAGGGAGTGGTGGCTCACGCCTGTAATCCCAGCACCTTGGGAAGCTGAGGCAGGAGGATTGCTTGAACCCAGGAATTTGAGACCAATGTGGGCAACAAAGCAAGACCCTGTCTCTAAAAAAAAAAAGTACAAAAGTTAGCCAGGCATGGTGGCATAAGCCTGTAGTCCCAGCTACTCAGAAGGCTGAGATGGGGGAAATTGCTTGAGACCAGGAGCCCATGCAGTAAGCTATGATCAAGCAACTGCCTCCAGCCTGGACTACAGAGTGAAACAAACCCTGTCTCTAAAAACATATAAATAAATAAAAATAAAATACAGTTAAACCTACTTTAAAGACATAAATAGTATTCTTGCCTGCTCAGGCATGCCCAGATGGGCATCCGCAAAAGACAGATTGCAGTGTGGGAGAAGGCATGGATGCCTTGGGGGTGTCATAAAGAGCTACCTCTTGTCCCTTTCTACTGCAGTGGGTGGGACACCACCTGCCAGAGGTGAACCTCATGGGCAAGAAGTTGCTTTGGGCCTCTCTGCCTCAGTCTGTCTTCTGTAATTGGTTATTTGCTCCTAACTCCTCTGAATTCTTGTGGCATTTAAATTTTACTCCTTATTTGCATATGTAAGGTGACAGATGCTGCTTTGGATCCCAGCACTAAAATGTAATATTTCCTAAGGGCAGAGATTGCATTGCCCTCTTCTTCAGAGTGAGAGAGACAGTCTGTAGAGTAGAGTCAGAGACATCTGAACCTGAATCCAAAGCCAGCCTTTTCAAAGTTGGACAGATGACAATGTTTTGTAGACCGGTTCCTCCTCTGGCAAATGAAGAAAATTATATAACACAAGGTTGATTTGAGCCAAGTATCATAGAGGCTGGTAATAGTAGATACAAAGGCTTTGTTTCTTTCCCTTCTTTCCTTATTCGTAGAGATTGCTTAGTAAGTGCATGTAAAATGAATAAATAAAGCTCATATGTGTTTGCAGGAGGTGGGAAGTAGTTCCCTGGGAGGCCTGGAGAAACTCGGCACAGTTAAATCTCAGGGAGGATATCTAAATGGCTCGCCCCTCATGCCCCATCCTTGCCTTCACGCTTCCTCTTCCAGCTGGCAGCGATCGACCCTTCACCCTTGACGATTTACAGTACATGATCTTTCATACACCCTTTTGCAAGATGGTCCAGAAGTCTCTGGCTCGCCTGATGTTCAATGACTTCCTGTCAGCCAGCAGTGACACACAAACCAGCTTATATAAGGGGCTGGAGGCTTTCGGGTGAGTTCTCTTCTTGGGGAGCCTAGAGGCTGGTGAGGTGTGAGCAAGAAGGAGGCTTCTTCATGCCTTAAGTCTAGACCACCAGCACCCCTGTGGGGGACAAATGGCAATCCTCCAGCAGAACAGGAACAATCCCAGGTCCTTCCACGGGGTAGTGGGTTATTGTCTGGGTAGGGCCCTCCATGAGTTATTGCAGGGAAACATGGGGGATTTGGCAGCACTGCAGGATCAAGGGGCAGTAAGAAACTACAGAGGATAAAGAAAGAAAGAGAGAAAGGGAGAAAGAGAGGAAGGGAGAAAGAGAGTAGCTAAATCATTCAGTCAATAAACATTTTCTGAACATGTTATGTGCTAGACATCGTATTAACCTCTCAGGATACTAAAATGAATGTGACTCCATGGTCCCTGCCCTAGAGCATCTCACAGCCTATACAGACACAAACACACAGAAGCAAATGATCACACTACAGGGTAGCAATTTGAGAAGTGTCAGGTCCCATTCTCATTTGCCATTGTCTTAATTCATGTCCTGCTTTTGCTTTTCTCCCATCTATAAAATGGGGATGTTCCAGCTCATCCCCTTAGATGTGAAAAAGCAGAAAGAATGCTGTTTATTGATTCACTACACTAATACACTAATATTTACAAAGAAATGTCTTCAATACAGTTTCCACTGGGAAAGGAATCTTTCCCTTTCTTCTTGGTACCTGTTTATTTCAAATTTTGGTCAATTTTATCAACAGTAGAATAGGCTACCAAGTGTAGCCCCTGTTACTAACTAGTACTCCTAACCCTGCCACTAACTAAAACATCAAAATTAGCACAAACACTGCTTGTAAGACCAGCCCTATCGAAACAAAAAGTATAACATATACCAAAGATACTAGCTTAATATCTTTAATATATAAAGATATTATCAATAATAAAATAAATACCCTAATAGAAAAATGAGCAAAGGATATGAACAGAAAATTTTCTCAAAGAAGACATGTATATGATCACATTTTAAATATGCATATTCATTAATAAAAAGTTTACTCAAGTTACCATTTTCTCTAGATAGTCTTTTTAAAATGTGAATACCCAGAATTGTCAAGCCTGTGGGAAAATGGGCAGTAGTGGATGCGTAAATGGATCAGGTGTTTTGAGGAGTAACAGGAGAGCATGAAGCCAAAGCCTTAAAGATGTGCAAACTTTGGGCTCAGTAATCCCATGTGTTTAAAAGAACACCTACCTATTCGCTGTAGTGTTTTAACTAGTGAGGAACAGGAGCAGGAAGATGGGTTAAAGTGCGGTACATCCTGTCATGGACCATTCTTCAGCCTTTACAAATAATGTTATAGAATGTCATGGAAAAAAAATATATATATATATACACACACACACTAAGTTAAGAAAGTATGCTAACCACAACACATAGCATGATTTTCTTTCTAATTTTCTAGTAAGCTCTATAAAATTAGGGATGGATTCCACCAGAAAAATAAGCCCTAAGTACTCTCTCTGAATGGTAAGGCCATTAGTGGTATGTTCTCCTCTGTACTGTTCTGTATTTCCAAATATTGTAGGAAAAACATGCGCCCCAAAGTCCTCTCCAGAAGCTGTTACTTTTCCCCCTTGCTCCCTGCCTCCCGTCCCCTGGCCTCTCACATGGCTACCTCTGGCTACCTCACAGGGGGCTAAAGCTGGAAGACACCTACACCAACAAGGACCTGGATAAAGCACTTCTAAAGGCCTCTCAGGACATGTTCGACAAGAAAACCAAGGCTTCCCTTTACCTCTCCACTCACAATGGGAACATGTACACCTCATCCCTGTACGGGTGCCTGGCCTCGCTTCTGTCCCAGTGAGTACTGCATCTGGCTCCATGTCCTCCATGCACACCCTCAGCCTCCGCCCCCGTGGGCTGCAGGGTCAACAAAGTTGGGTTTCTCTTTTGGCTCAGAAATTTAAAAGAAAGGAAGGGGCCTGGTGTAGTGGCTCATGCCTGTAATCTCAGCATTTGGGGAGGTTTAGGCGGGCAGATCGCCTGAACCTAGGAGTTCGAGACCCGCCTGGGCAACGTGGTGAAACCTCATCTCTACAAAAATTAGCTGAGCATGGTTGTGTGCACGTGTGGTCCCAGCTGCTCGGGAGGCTGAAGTGGGAGGATGGTGTGAGCCCAGGAGTGGAAGGTTGCAGTGAGCCATGATTGTGTCATTGGACTCCAACCTGGATGACAGAATGAGATCCTGTCATAAATAAATAAATAAATATAAAAGAAAGGAAAGGAGGGAGAAGGCAGGAAAAGGAAGGAAGATGAAAGAAACTCGTACCAAAGGTGTATGTATAGGCAGATTTACAGTCTGTATCAGACAGTGGTCTCCAAAGTGAAGTACATGATGTCAAGGGATGGGCAAGATCTGTTTGGGCACATCAAGAAAACAGTAGCTTTGGTATGCATATTTTTGTCTCATTTATTTAAAATCTCTATACTTAGTAGAGCATGGTGGTTAAATGGGTCTGACTTTAGAGCCCACAACCTGGGTTCAAATTTTTTTAACCAATTATTAGGGTTGACTTTGGATAATACTTAACCTCAATGCACCTCACCTTCCCCAACTGTAGCATGTGTGCAATCACAATACCTGTGTTCTACTGTTTTTATGAGCATTAAGTATCTAAAACAATTAAAATAGCAGTGCTTAGCAGGTGCTCAAATGTTGGATGTTATTTCTATTCATTTTCTGTTTTGTGGGTTTTATAAGGAAGTACTGCATCTAACATAAGAAAGGGCTCATGAAGTGGCTCATGCCTATAATCCTAGCACTTTGGAAGGCTCAGGCAGGAGGATCTCTTGAGCTCAGGAGTTTGAGACCAGCCTTGGGAACAGAGGGAGGCCCCATCTCTACAAAATTTTTTTAAACAATTAGCCATGGATGTTCACGGTGGCTCATGCCTGTAATACCAACACTTTGGGAGGCCAAGGTGGGAAGATCACCTGAGGTCAGGAGTTTGAGAACAGCCTGGCCAACATGGCAAAACCCCTTCTCTACTAAAAATACAAACATCAGCTGGGCATGGTGGTACGTGCCTGTAGTCCCAGCAACTCGAGAGGCTGAGGCATGAGAATTGCTTGAACCCGGGAGGCAGAAGTTGCAGTGAGCTGAGATCGAGCTACTGCACTATAGCTTGGGTGACAGAGTGAGACTCTGTCTCAAAAAAAAAAAAAAAATTAGCTGGGTGTGGCAGCTTGCACCTGTAGTCCCAGCTACTCAGGATCCTGAATCCTGAGGTGGGAGGATCACTTGAGCCCAGGAGGTAAAGGCTGCAGTGAGCCATGATCACGCCACTGCATTCCGGGCACTCCAGGCTGGGCAACAGAGCAAGACTCTGCCAAAAAAAGAAAAAAAAAACGGGCAGGAAAAAGTGCTTATGGGTGAACTTGATCAAATTATTACTCACAGGGGATGATCAAAAAGTTATGACTGCTGAACCATTACCAATCAACATGGGAGCCTGAAGGGTGAGTCCAGTGGTCTGATCTCCATCTGGAGACACCTTCAGAATGCACTGAATTTACCCTGTCCTCATGAGAGGGGAGAAGCTCTATGTACACCAAAAATTATCTTGTGTTTTCTCTGCCTTATATATCTTGGATATTAGCTGCTTTCCTTTTGGCAAGGTTTCCTACACAAAGGCCTGTCCCTGGGGTCTACCAGAAGTCCCTCTTTATGTAGGGTGCCTGGAACCCATTTCTAGTTGCATGAGGTAGACAGGGAGAAGATCGGGATGATAGGCTGTTGTTCTATTTGAAGTGCAGAATATAATATATATATACATATATGTGTGTGTGTGTGTGTGTGTGTGTGTGTGTGTGTGTTTTATTTGATTTCTTTCCCCACAGCCACTCTGCCCAAGAACTGGCTGGCTCCAGGATTGGTGCCTTCTCTTATGGCTCTGGTTTAGCAGCAAGTTTCTTTTCATTTCGAGTATCCCAGGATGCTGCTCCAGGTGAGTGTCATCTTTCTAGTAGGCCTTCCTGACAAGATTCATCTGGTAGAATAACCATCTTCTTCCCCACCATTACTGAGGCTGCCATCTTGACAGAGTTACGTTATTATTAATAGCAAAGTAAATCACTGAAGGGATTTAAGCATGGAGTAAGTTTGTTTAATTTATGTGTTTAAAGCACTTATTTGGCTACTACTTAGAGACTAGATTGAAAAGGAACAAAGCTGGATATGGGGAAACCACTTAGATTGTTCCAGTAACTAGTTCAGGCAAGAGGTAATGGTGGTTTGATTGCAACTGATTAAAGAGAAGTTGATGGATTTGAGATACCTAATAAGAATTTATTGATTATTTTGTGATTGATGTGATTAAGGACATGCATTTAAGTACTATGTGGCATACACCTTGACCAAATCAGTGTGTCTGCCTGCATGTTTTGCTAACAAGTATGCTTGCTTATCATTTCTTGGTATTCTAAGCCACACACACCACACGTTCCTCCAGGGTGTAACCTCCCACAGAACCTGGCTCTCTGTTGAACTCGTGATTGGCAATAGTGATAATGACAATGAAAAAGGTGTAACAATCTTGCTTTTGCTTCCCAGGCTCTCCCCTGGACAAGTTGGTGTCCAGCACATCAGACCTGCCAAAACGCCTAGCCTCCCGAAAGTGTGTGTCTCCTGAGGAGTTCACAGAAATAATGAACCAAAGAGAGCAATTCTACCATAAGGGTAAGAAAAAAGTCAGGAAGAGAGGAAGAGAGACCCCATTCCAGTAGCTGGGAGCCAGGGATTTCTTTGGAAATCTAGAATTTAGTAGTCCAGGGTCAAGACTTTTACGAGATATGGTTGGGAGAAGATTTGCTAGAAGATCTGTTGTCCAAAGGGGCAAGAAGTGGGTGGGGAAACAGAAGATAGAGTTGGGAAGAGGGAGGCAGGATGCAGCTTCCCAGTATAGAATATAGCTAAACACCCAGAATGTGTAGTCCCATGGAAGCCAGAAGTATAGTCTTTGAAAATACCATCTGCAACAGTTGAAAGAGTACAGACTTTAGAGCTAGATATCCAAATCTAACCCTGAGCTGTGCCACTCACTAGCTGTTTATCTTTGGAAAAATGGTTGAACTTTTCTCAGTTGTCTTATTTCTAAAATCATACCGATTTTGCAGGATTTCCAAACAAATTAAATGAATTACTCTATATAAATATGTTATCGACAAATATTACTGTCCCCTCCAAATTGCCCTCTTTCTCCACCAAACATAAAAACAAAAAACAAAATATTGCTCCAAAAGCAACAAATGAAAGGAAAATGAAACCCAAAGGTAATACTAGAGTGATTAGTTGGTGGTTTTAAAACCATAGTAATACACAGTTTTACCATGATTTCTACAGGTTTTATATATATTCTCAAGCAAAACTTGGGATGCATGTTGTTTTGCAGCATGGTCTCAAAAGGAGACAGAATATACGGAATTGGAAATGTTCCAGAAAACCTAGACCTAGTGGTCATTGATCTCTTCTGGACCAGTGGATATGTTATAGCAAAGAAAGACAATGAAAATAAAAATGGAGCAGGGCACAGTGGCTCACGCCTGTAATGCTAGTCCTTTGGGAGGCAGAGGCAGGTGGATCACTTGAGGCCAGGAGTTTGAGACCAGCCTGGCCAACATGGTGAAAACCCATCTCTACTAAAAATATAAAAATTATAAAAATATGAATATAATAAAAAAAATAAAATTATGTAAAAATTAGCCGAGTGTGGTGGCACACACCTCTAATCTCAGCTACTCAGGAGGCTGAGGAGAATTACTTGAACCCAGGAGGCAGAGGATGCAGTGAACTGAGATCACACCACCACACTCTAGCCTGGGTGACACAGAAAGACTCTGTCTCAAAACAAAAAAAAAAAAAAGAAGAAAAGAAAAATAGGACCTCTGAGACAAACGTTAACGGACAAAGCACTGAAATACTGCAATGAATCAGAACCAGAAAATTTAGAGTTTAGAAGGACGTGTCTGTTAGGAAACAGGAAGCTGGGAATTACGTCTCAAAGTAGGAACTATTGGCAAAAGGATGGGATGAAGATTTCAATGGAGGAAGGCTATGTTTACTGTAGGAAAATGTTGTACTCTTATAATAAAAGTCTTAATAGACTTTTATTAAGGCCTTAAGTGCTAGATTCAAGATGGCTGCCCCTCTTGTTCTGTGGGTCCAGTGTTCTATTTGGTGGACTAAGGGTGACCTTGCAGCCCCTTACAGCCCAGCCAAGAGAGCTTCACTGTGAAGGGGCAGACATCTTCATTACTATTTTCTCTTCCAAAAACTCATATAACTCTTTGTGAGTACTGCCTCTTCTCCTCATTCCACAGTGAATTTCTCCCCACCTGGTGACACAAACAGCCTTTTCCCAGGTACTTGGTACCTGGAGCGAGTGGACGAGCAGCATCGCCGAAAGTATGCCCGGCGTCCCGTCTAAAGGTGGTGAGTGAGAGTTTGCAGAGTTGGTGGCATAAAACCCTAATGTCTTCCTCTGAGTAACAACACAGAGAGAGAAGGTGGGGACAGGTGCAGGGAGAAGAAAGTTTAATGGAAGAGGATTGGGGTGACAGGAGAAATGGGAGAATTATCTGTGGAATTTTTAAAAGGAAAAGCAAGTATTCAGAATAGGAATCTTGTAGTTTGGGAACATTAACCAGGCCAGGGAGGGTTCACAGCTTTCAAACTAATCAGAAGTGGGGATTTGTACCATAAAGACCAATTAAAACTCTTGGGGCTCTTTGCCTTGGAAAGGCAAAAGCTGGGGGAGAAACATGTTCTGAAATCTTGAATGTGAAAAATAGGAGCTGGATTTGTTTACCTGATCTGCTGAAGATAGGAAGCTCTCCTAGAAGCTTGACAGATTAGCATTCAGAGCATCCGTTGAGTGAACAGGCTGTGAACCTGAACCTATAGAAATCATTACTCCAGGGGGATGAGATCAACAGATCTGATGAGCAACAGAACAACCAAGATGAACAGCCCCAAAACCTCAGAAATGGTACACACCAATGTGTGGGAGACAGATTCATAAGGAATGGGGCGGTTGAAGATTCTGTTAAAGCCAGATACTTCTGCTGGAGGGAGTTTTAGGCTAAGGGTCATGTAACAATTCTTATATCATGGGATTCCTTCTGGGGAGAAGCAATGAGGTTCAGGAAATTCGTGGACACAAGGATAGGGAGAAGAGAGCAAGGTGAAAGAGGATTGCGGTGACAGGAGAAATGGGAGATATTCTTTATGATCGTTTTTAAAGGAAAGCAAACATTCAAAAATAAGAATCTTATATGAACCCAGGTAGCTGCCTTCAGTTGACCAAATAGGTAGGATAAGCAGAATGATAGAGTGAGAAGAGATTTATTTTACAACCCATAAATTTTAATTAGTGCAGTCTCCATGCTCAAGTTTTTAAGATTTTCCCCTCCTTTTGGTAGATGGAGAGGGAAGAAGAAAAAGGTGTGCCGAGGCAGGGAAGGAGCAGAGGAAGGGAAGGAAGAAGTCAGTGGGTGGCAGAGATGCACAGATACAGCCACCTGAGAGGAAGCAGAGGTGCGGGTGGAGGGGCCCTGGGTTCATTCCTTACCGCTGGGATATTGGCAGGTGCTAGGCTGTTGCAGCCCAGATGTTGTTAGGGCTAGGAGAGGTGGACAAGTGGGCTGAGGGCCGCAGGATGCCTTTGAGAGGACGAGCTCAGTTAGCAGCCCTGAAGACTGTGGTACTGCCCGGGAGCCTGTGTGCATGTTGGAAATACGGTTCTTAAGGGCAGGTCAGTAGCAAAGAGGGGCTGTTAAATGTGTCAACTTAGTTCATTCATCAGAAGAAGAGTGGGAGAAATAGGGAGGGAGGGGGGAAAGGGAGAGAGAGAGGTTGGGGAGAGAGTCAGCGGGAGGGGGAGAGAGAAAGAGAAATTTGGAATTTTTAAAGGAGAATTTCCACGTCAGCCTCCCTCCCTCTCATGGTAGACAAGCTTCTTGCAAGTGCTTAGGCAGAATTATACCTGAAAAAAAAAGCTGGAACTCTTGACCTTTTCTCATGTTGATTATTAATATGAGCAGTGAACTTCCAACAATGAGATTTTAGCAGAAATGAAGGGCTGCTGTCAGTGCAGTGCTCATGGTGGAGCTCTACAGGTCTCTGCAGCGCCCTAGCCTGCCTCTCCTGCTCTCCTATCACAGGCAGATGTGCGACGGGGACCCTGCCTACCCCCAGCCTTGGCTCCAGTAGCATTGGGCACAGATCCCTCAGGTGTCCAGGCTTGGCACAGGGTGCATAGTGGGAGCACCCTCAGGATGCAGTTAGGGGAGCCCCTCTGCACAGCCACACCTCGGGCAAGAAGCAGGTACTGGGGGCAGGGTGCCCAAGAGGAGACCCATGATTGAATGACTTTTTGTTTATTTAAGTTCTGCAGATCCATGGAAAGCTTCCTGGGAAACGTATGCTAGCAGAGCTTCTCCCCGTGAATCATATTTTTAAGATCCCACTCTTAGCTGGTAAATGAATTTGAATCGACATAGTAGCCCCATAAGCATCAGCCCTGTAGAGTGAGGAGCCATCTCTAGCGGGCCCTTCATTCCTCTCCATGCTGCAATCACTGTCCTGGGCTTATGGTGCTATGGACTAGGGGTCCTTTGTGAAAGAGCAAGATGGAGCAATGGAGAGAAGACCTCTTCCTGAATCACTGGACTCCAGAAATGTGCATGCAGATCAGCTGTTGCCTTCAAGATCCAGATAAACTTTCCTGTCATGTGTTAGAACTTTATTATTATTAATATTGTTAAACTTCTGTGCTGTTCCTGTGAATCTCCAAATTTTGTACCTTGTTCTAAGCTAATATATAGCAATTAAAAAGAGAGAAAGAGGAAATGATTCCTGCGTTTCTTGGAACCCAGAATACAAACCCAGCCTAACATGCAGCAAGCCTGCTAGACCTTGTGGGTCAGAGGGCTGGGTCCTTGCCTCACAGGCTGCCTCTGTCCCCTTGCAATTCCATTCTATTTCTGCCACATGCCAAGTGCTATGACAGGTACAAGGCAAATAAGAACGGTAGAACACAGCTTCCCCCAGCCCACTTCCCTGTTCTAAAGACACCACATAGACAGAGAGCAGCAGACAGGGGCCAGCAGGAGCTGTAGTTCAGATCTTCTTGGTCATTCCTTGCCGCTGTTATTTGAACAAATAAACACAGCGCAAAGGTTAACAAGTTTTTGCCTTCTATAGCCAAAAATAAAAAAATAAATAAATTTTGATGCCTGGCAGGAAATTATTCCATTACAGGATCTTTCCCCCTTGGGGGAGGGCACTGCTTCTTCTAGGGTCCTCTTATAAAATAGCAATGGTTCAGGCAGATGGGGATTGAGCTGAGGACGGGAGTGGGAGGAGAGGGAAAGTATCAGGGTGTTGTCATCACTTCCTTTTAGAAAGTTTCCTCAGTCACCCCCATGAGGAAAGGGCACCTTGGAAAAGAGAGAGGATGCTTTCCATTGGCGGGGAGCAGAGCTGGTGGGGGCAGGGGAGGAGGAGGGGAGGAGGAGGAGGAGGAGAAGCAGGGGAGGCTTAAGGCTCCCTTAAGCCTCAGGGAGCGCTTAAGAATGGCCCCACAGGAATGAGAAGCTGGGTCTGTTCCCTTCACTGTTTTGCTCAAGGCTGTTCATGTCACAACAAATCCCAGATAAGCCCCAATTTGCTCAGAGAATCCAGCATTAGCTGACTGCCTTCCCAGGCCTCTCTCAAGGTGCCTGCAAAACTCTACTCATCACACCAGCTGCAGCCGCTGCTTAGCAGCCCCTCTTTGCTACCCTCTTGCTGCCTGCACCTCCTCAGCAAGATGTTTAGGGGCCCTCAACCTGGTTGGCATCCCTAGCAGAACAACATGTGCCTTTCGGTATCTGTGTGCAGGGGAGAAAACCCAGCACTAACCTTAGCTCTGGAGACAAGAGGCCTCGGGCCTGGCCTTCTATCCACACAGAAGCTCACTGTGCAGTGTTGGTGCTGAAACTCTCTCCATCAGCCTCAGTCAGCCTCAGCAACCAGAACTTCCCATACTTCCTGCATCAGAGGCCAGGCCTGTCTCCACTAGGGAGGCATTTGAGCACAAATGGAATGATATTAAACATTCGACAACCAGGTTGTCAAGGGCTGACCAATTGAATGGACACTGCCCACAGCCCACACACCAGCTGGGCATCAGCACTGGCTCCCTCCAACTTCCTTATTCACCAACTTTTATACTGAGCCCGAGGCCTTCCTCTGGCAGCTCTGGGACACTGATGCCTGCCTGCTCTGAACAAAGCCCTCTCCCCCATGTAAGGTCAGCACACGAGGGAATGAGTTGCCAATGGCTCAGTCAACATTTTCACCCTAAAGTCTACAGATACCATACAAATAAAGACTTTCCCTGTGGGCAAAAATTCACACAGGGTGACCTAGGGCAGGAGAGAGGACGGCAGATTGGGCAAGTGTTGGGCTATGATACACTCATTCAAACGGGAATACTCAACATGTGATGTTAAAACTGATGCAAAAGATGGCCCCGCCACTGACCATGAGACAAGCCCAAGCTCTAGGGGGACACACTGATCACAACTTCAGGAGTCAGCACATTGAGGCAGATTCTGTGCGTGGCCCAGCTTTTGCCCTGCCTCCACCCTGAGCTCACAGCCAGCCTTCTGCTGTGTGTGCACAAGAATGAACTTCTACTCTAAAGGGGCAGTGAAGAGATGCCACATGCCACAAAGAACATGAGGGAGTCCATGGCACCCTCCCTGTAGCCCTAGCTGGATTTTTCAAAAATTTCATTGTATATATTTGAGGGATAGAACATGACGTTGTAAGATATATATATGTAGTAAAATGGTTACTGTAACGGAACAAATTAACATATTCATTATTTTACAAAGTTACCCATCCCCCGCCACCATGGCAAGAGCAGCTGCAATCTACTAATTTAGGAAAAATCCTCAGTACAATACACTGTTATTAACTATAGTCCTCAGGTTGTACATCAGATCTTTTGACTTACTCACCCTATGTATTTTCTACTTTACATTCTTTGACCTGTATCTCCCTAGACACCCCCCTCAACTACTTTTCTAGTTCCTATGTCAATATATTTGACCTCTTTTTTGGGGGGGGATTCCACATATAAATGAGTAAGTGCAATAATTTTCTTTTTGTGTCTGGCCTATTTACTTAGTCATCAGGGAAATGCAAATCAAAACCACGGTGAGATACCACCTCACACCTGTTAAGATGGCTATTACCAAAAAGACAAGAGATAGCAAGTGTTGGTAAAGATGTGGAGAAAAGGAGAAACTTTCTAGACTGTTGATGGGAATGTAAATTGATGCAGCTATTATGAAAAATATTACAGAGTTTCCTAAAGAAACCAGCTGAATTTTACAACGAATCCTGCCCTTTAAGTTTGGGAGAGGTCATGTGGACAGCCATGGGAGACGTGATACGATAAGATCGTCCCATGCCCTCTTTCATGACCCAGTCTAGGAAGATATTTTGAGATGCTCAAGTAATCTGCGTTTCTAGTACTGTTCCGAAGACCTTAGTGCACAGAACATGATTTGTTTAGGGGCTTATGAGGAAGGAGGCTGAGAGGCTAAACATTGAGCTCAATTTTTAACTGAATTTTTAACTTCATAAATTTCAGCCTGTTTTTCTATCCATCAGTGCACTCAAGTGACCTCAGTGGATGCCATGTGAGGCACAGGTATATTTCCAGTTGGAGAGAATGGGTTGTCTGATGTCAGGACACCCAGTGTCTAGATCTGGCTGAACATAATTGCAATGAGGTCATGTTGAGAACTATTTGGTTCATGGGGTTGGTTCTATGTAAAGAATTGAGACCTGCCTGTCTGCTCTCAGACTAACATAGGATGAAGAAACCAACATTCACCAAGTGCTCCTGGCACTTCCCGTAAGTCACTGTTTAATCCAGTAAATTCTCATTGCAGTTCTGTGAGAGGCACCATTAGCCCTCCCACAGATGAGGAAACAAAGGTCTAGGATAATTAAACACTGAGTTCCCAGTCAGACAGCTGTCCAGAGTTGACCATGACATTCACAACCAGGCCCATTCCCTTCAAGGTGAGCTACAGCAAGGCCAACCCCTCTGAGTTCACTGCAGACACTAACACAGCCCTTACTGCTGGAGTTCTTATTGATGCTTAGCTCCATCACAAAACTAAGGAGGCCAGAGTGCTGGACTCGCCCCTGCCAGTGCCAAGCAGCTGCCCTGTGTCAAGCCTTCTTAGCCAGGCCAGGAATCTCAGAAACAGACACTACTGGGCACACAGTAAGAATGGATCATCCCTTATTAATGGGGAAAAAAATTCCCTGAAGTGAATCTTTTGGGTAGAGTGCCGTTCAGCTGTATTTTGCATGAAAATCATCTTTCAAAAAAAAGTGACATGTTCACCAACCCACACTGACCTTGCTTTGTGAACTTGCCAAATAGTCTCATACCCCCATAATTTTACACTTTCTTTCCCTTATGAAATCCTTCTAAACATCTCCTGAGACACCAATATCCTCAGCTCAAATTACTTCCTCCTTTGGACTCTAGAGAATTTCCTATACACCTCTGTTGTAGCATCACTCACTGCTTCCAGTCACCTCTGCATGCTCTGTCCCTCCCACCAGACTTCTATGGAAAAAGGGTCAGGTTTGAATTCTCCTCTTAAAGTAAAGCACCTAGCCCAGTGCCTGGTACATAATGCTGGGCTTGTGTGTTGAATCTTACTTATTAACGTGCATGTATATTCCCAGATGGAAGGGGTCTGAAATACCGTAGCACTGTGAAATACATTGAGCTTTGCTCCTGTAAAAGTGCCTCTGAGTAACCTTCGGCAGACAAGAGAGGGATCACCTTCAAAGAACTCAACCAAGCCATTTGCTCATCCCCATCTTCCCCCACACCCGCTCCGCTCCCGCAGTCTAAACCAAACCCTACGTCTGCCTTTGGACGCCCTCTGGTGGCGCTTTAGGATAATGACCACACAAAAGTGCAGAAGGAGTTGGGGGTAGGCTCTTTATTAGACGGTTATTGCTGTACTACAGGGTCAGAGTGCAGTGTAAGCAGTGTCAGAGGCCCGCGTTCAGCCCAAGAATGTGGATTTTCTCTCCCTATTGATCACAGTGGGTGGGTTTCTTCAGAAAAGCCCCAGAGGCAGGGACCAGTGAGCTCCAAGGTTAGAAGTGGAACTGGAAGGCTTCAGTCACATGCTGCTTCCACGCTTCCAGGCTGGGCAGCAAGGAGGAGATGCCCATGACGTGCCAGGTCTCCCCATCTGACACCAGTGAAGTCTGGTAGGACAGCAGCCGCACGCCTGCCTCTGCCAGGAGGCCTGGAAATAGAAGAAACTCCTGGTTGGCACAGGGGATAGGGGAAAAAGGAGCGAGGGATTGGGAGCAGAATCAGAAGTTCAAAGCTTTTGTGATCAAAGGTGCAATGAGCGGATGATGGTCTCAGAATCAAAGAGCTGAGATGGGAGAGCAACAGGGCATCTGCTCAGCTTCCATGGATATTCCTGACTCTCTGGGAACACCATGACCATCAGCTGTAGCTCTTGACTTTCTGATTGCCAGTTTTATCCAGCCAACAGCAAGGGAGAAAAGCAGGGAAGTTCCCTTGGGCAGCCAGAAAGAATGGTGAAATTAGGCCCTTCAGGGTTTGAAGGCACACCCTCCGCCAAACATGGACGTGTGCCAAAACCCCTAGCAGCCCAAGCCCCAGCTGACTGGGGCAGGTCCAAGACGCCTACCATGGCTGGAGGCTTTGTAGGTTTTGCTGCAGCTGGGCTGGCCACCAGGGACAGCCACAGGGCCAGCAGGTAGGAGTAAGAAACCTGCACTCAATGTCCCTGAGCTCCTGGGCTATGGCTCCACAAGCTGGTCCAGTGTACCTAACATGGCAAGCTGAGGATCCACAGCTGGGCAGGAATAGAGGCTATGGCCCCACCCCTGCCATGCTGCTCTGTGACCCTGGATAAGGCACTTTCCCTCTTTGAACTGAGTATCCACTCCCTGAAGGTTCTGAAAACTGGCATCAGACCCTCTGTATGGTGCAGATCCAGAGACACCCTGGGACATGAAGAGGGGCTAAAGGAAGGTGGGTAGAGTTCAATTCCAGGGCAGACCCCACCCCAGCCTCAAGGACACCAGCCAGCCCTACAGGGCCCTCCTCACCAATCATGGTAGGCAGCATTGCAGGGTCAGAGGTCTGAGTCCGGAATAGGAGCAGGGGCAGGTCCCTGCGGAGAGGCACTTCTGGCCTGAAGACAGCTCCATTGAGCCCCTGCAGTACAGGCGTAGTGCCTTGGACCAAGCCCACAGCCTGGTAAGGGGCGCCTGCCAGGGCCACGGCCAGGAGGCATTCCCCGAAGCCTTGCTCCCCTGGTGCAGCAGGGCTGTGGGAGGTGGTGACCTGTGTGGAGAAGGCAAGGTGACTGTTACACCTCCTGGCTGCACCACGTCCACCCTCCTCTCTTGGCCAAATCACCCATTGGTAGGATGTAGGGCTCCAGCCTGGATAATGTGCTCAGTAATTCAGGACCAGAAGGGAGAGGGCAAATGGGCCAAGCTGTGTGCCCTTCGGCATCAGCTTCCTGGAACAGCCAATGATCTCCTTAAAGGGAGGGCAAAGAGATCTGCCAGGCACAGGCGAAGGCTTGGAGGAAAACAGGGAGGAAAGAAAAGCAGGGAGGCAGGGCTGTGAGGAGACTCCACTCTGGCCCCTCCTGCTCTGACACAGCCTCCTGCACGGCATCAGTGGCATGACTGGCATGCAGGAGTGGAGGGGAGCAGAGGGGTGAGGACATGGCAGCTCTACTGCCTATCCCTTCTGCCAGCTCCCACTGGCTGAGCAACAGGCTTTGAAACAGACTTTGATCTAAACAGGGAACCAGAGGGGAAGGCGCCAACGGGAAGCCGTGCAAGGCAGCAGGGCTCCTAGAGCTTGCAAGTGAATCAAGAACCCGGGTGCTACGGCATGAGGAGCCCTGAGGGGAGTTAGGCAGAGTCAAACATGGCCTGGCAGCCATGTCGGGCAGAGTCAAACACACTAGCTCGTCATTTTCTTTGGCTGTGAAATGGGGACACTTCTACTGCCTCCATTCCCACAGCACTCATACACAAAGCAGTGCCATTAGCAACACTCGGGGCCAGGCAGTATCTTCATTTTGCAGTTGAAGAAACTGCAGCTACCCCTCACAGGTAGACAGGCCGATGCAAGGCTGGGACCTAGGCCTCCGCTCAGAGAACGGGCTCTGGAAATGTGGGGGAGAAGACTAGTGCTGACAGGGATGGGGAGGCAGCGTGGGGGAGAGGGGCGCACATTGAGGCCAGCCTCTTTCACCAGCAGCTTAGCGTTCACCAAGTTCACATCCGCCTGCTTGGAAGCCTCTTTCAGGAGGCCGACAATGACTGCGGGGCTTAGGCAGTTCCCAGCATTCTTCAGGGATGTTCCTGGGGACAGAGAGAAGCTACCATGAGGTCACTGTTTGTTGAGCACTACAGGAGGGGGCAGGAAGCCACTGGCACCTAGCTCTGGACTATGGGCTCCTCGCTGCCCTGGGGACCCCAAAGGCAGCTTGCTCCAGGCAGGTCCACTCGCCCTTCAGTGGGCTCAGAAGAGGCATAATCTGGGCCCAAGCCAGGAAACCCAGGATGTTTTAACCACCCTGAGAAACTCCTCTCCAAAACTCAGCTCAACTCCACTCCGCTCCCCAACCCTGCACCTGGCTTGGCCATCCTGGCCTACCTATTATTCTCCCAGGGGACACAGGAAAATTCCCTACTCTTACCCCTTCCTGGCACTCAGAGCCTTGCCAGCCTCAGGAAATCAAAGCAGAAAGAAGTAACCGAAGCAACTGCTGCCCAGCTCCCTGCCTTGTTTCCTTCGGCGCTTGGACACCCAGGCCAGTGGGACCCCCTGGCTCTGCCCTTCCCTGGTATTGTCAATGCCTAGGGTTTAGCTGCCCTCTCCCTGCAATCTCTGCCCAACTGTGAGACACCCAAGAGTCCATGGGGAAAGATACACGTCTACAGGGTTAAGGAAACTGGAGCCCTCCTTGGTCACTCAACCACATCCGCACAGTACTGGATCCACTGCAAAGGTGGCCACAGCCCACTCAGCAGCCCGAGGGGTGGTCAGAGGGCACTGTTCTCATTCCCACTCCACGGCTGAGCAAACTCTCTCTCGAGGGCTGTCAGACGGCCCAAGGTACCACCTTAGTAAGTTACAGAGCACAAAGTGTCCTCACCGCTCCTGGCTCATCTGCCCCTAACTCTCACTTTACAAGTGAAGAATCCAAGCCTCAGAAGGGAGAGTCACACAGCAGGGAAGAGACAGGGCCAAAAACCAGAATCCAGCATCCTGTTGCTTAATTAGGGCCTCCCTCCAGCCATCCTACGACCTCTCGCATGAAACTCTCTCTCTCGTAGAGGTTTCTCTTGCACCCAAAATATCTAGGTCTTAAAAATGCTACATAAACATGATTTATGAATATTCAGTACATCTTTCCAACGACTTTTTTTAACCCCTCCCTTTACCACCCTCCCACCAGTAGTAAGGGAGCTATACTCAGGGCAGGGTCCAAGGCACCCTCACTGCCTCTCACTAACCCTGTGTCCTGCAGCAAATACACCCAGCAGGGCAGATCCCACACTCCCTCATCCCCTCCTCCCCCTCCCTCTGCAAGGTCCCCAGCTCACCCTGTGTTATCACCTGGATGGTCCCTTTGGGGGACCCAGCCCAGGCTCGCATCAGTGTCCCCAGAGCTTCTGCCAGACCAATCCAAGGCTTGGTGTGTGGAGAGAAGGCACTGGTAAGGGCCTGGGCATTCACCTGCAGAGGATGGAGGAGCGGGGCTGTGGTCAGGAAGAGGCATGGCAGATCCTGAATCAAGATCTGGCTGCCAAGACCCAGCTCCACAAGAAAGACAGTATAGGGTCACTCCTGCCTTGGTGCCTGGTGGGTGACAACTTCCATCAGCCACTAACAACAGGACAAGGACTTGTTCCTACAAATGAAGAAAGCTGTGGAGCCAGAAATGGACACAGAATGCCACAACCACTCAAAATTGCTCCTTTCAGCAAACTGTGTCTGCCCCAGCCCCCTCCATGGGAGACTTGTTTCTGCACTGGGGAAGGGATTGGACAGCACAATAAAGGTGAGTCTTTGACACAAAACATATGGGAGTCGCAGATAACTTGGATGAGGAGTGACGGGTCTTCTCTGGCAGTCCCAACTTGCCTTCATTTTTATTTTCTATCTTGAATTTTTTTAAGTGTTTACATTGTTACTAAACACTACGATCAATTATCACAAAGTTTTGATGATCGTGCTTCAAATATCAACGCATGCGAAGTCCACTGTGAGGCATGTTGTGACACTGAGGGGACACAAGCCCCATATCCCCCAAAAGTTATGTCTAGGACCTGGCTGGCTGCCCCCTGCCCCACCCAGGGGCCTGATAACAGAACCAGCTTGTTCTGGGCCAAAATTTCAATTCCATTTTGTGGTTCAAAATGCTCTGGTTCTGAGTTAGGCATCTGGCCACTTTTATTGAGATAACTTGTAAAGTCAACCATCTTAGAAAGATGCAAATCAAACAGGCAGCTACAAGATGTAATTAGAAGGAAACACAGATGCTTCTCTTTCTGTTTTCATAAAGATATCATTGGAAGAATTTTTTTTTTTTTAAACAGAGAAAGAATCATGGTATGGGAAATGACTGCTGAGGCCGGGCTTCACGGGAGCCTCTCCAGTGTGGGAGGTGACAGGTCTGCAGGCTTCTTGCTGCATGGCTCCTGGATCCTCTCCAAGGAGTCACAGACAAGAAGGGTGGTGGGGTGGAGCAGCTAGCTGCTGGGAGGAGATCTGGAGCACCATGCTGCCACTGCCGGGGCTGAGGGCCTGCAGCAGCAGAGGAAAGTCCAACTAAGAGGGCCCATAACGCAGGCACCTCGGCACATCTCTCTGTCCTCTGTGTGGGCCTGCAGAGCCCAAGCCCGGGGAGGTGTCCATCACAGGGCTCCCAAGTAAAAGGAGGATTCTCAGTCTTCCCTGGTGGACAGGTGGGAGAATTCCAGGGAGGAGTCAGGCACTTTGGGACACCAACCTGACCCTAATGTTATTCTGTGTCTGAGGTTAGAACAGAATTGAACTGGGGAAAATGCAGGGAAGAATTAGGAAAATATATTTCTTATGTGACAAAAATGTCTCTTTTTCCAAATGGCTACTCTAAGACTATTTGCTGATGTGGGTGAACAGTTCAATTTGCTAAGGGTAGTTATTTTGACCAAGAGGTTTCACCTCCTAAGATGGGGACACTGTGTGGTCCATTTGATGGAACTCTGTGTCCTGCAGCAGATACACCCAGCAGGGCAGAGCCCATACACCTCTCACCCCCTCCTCCCCATCTCTCTGCAAGGTCCCCCTCCCTCCCCCACCCCCTCGCTCTGCCAGAGCTTATATTCAGGAGTCCCTTTCAGGAAAAGCTCTGGAATGTCACTGCTACCTAATGGTAATGGCAATAAATTGCAAGGCTGCGATGGGGAAGGCAGACAGCTGCTTTCTGAGAAGGCTGAAAGGGTAAAACCCTGAAGCCCAGATTGGCTGGCAATGGTGATGAGCTCAAACCTCAGCCTGGGAAACGAGCAGCATCTCCTGGGAGGAACGAACCTGCTCAGAGGCCGACCAGGTGCAAGATGAGTGAAGTGTGCTCTGCCCTGAGGAGCCCACACAGCATAGAGGACAGAGGATGCAGACAGGTCAGAGTCTCTGCTGACCTCCTCGCATGCTGCTGGTCATAGCCCTGCTGACTTCCATGGACTGTGTGGGGCTGCTGGGCAGCAGGAGGCACCCTTCTTTCCTCAGGATGGAGGGGGCAGAGAGGCCTGGAGGGCTGGGCTCTCAATCCAGAGGTGGGAGGGCAGAACCAAAATCCCCGTCTCTCCTGCCACAGTGCTGTCCTCACCAGCGAAAATCACCCAGCTGAGGGTCAGCCAGGACAACCAAGAACACCCAGCCCATTTTCCTGACCCTTTGACTCCATGGCCTGGGCCCACCCACACAAGCTGCAGAGAGGCTTAAGTCATGTTTTTTTGTCCTCAGGGAACTTAGAACTTAGGTTAAGTAGAAAGATTAGGGAAAAAAAAAAACACCCCATGGAACTGAACCTTAATAACAAGAAAGAACATGGTTCTCAGAATTGAGAAGGGGCTGGAAAGGCCAAGCAAGACTTCAGAAGGAGGCAGCAAGCCCCTGGAAGGAGAGCTATGCCTCCCTCATGCACCCGTGTCTCCCAAGAGCTATGACAATGTCTGGTACCCAGTGAAACTTAAGGAATATCCACAGACTGAATGAATGAGACAGGACTTGAAGTGTAAGTCAGGTTAAGCTCGTAGGAGACGCACATGCCAGGAAGGGCTTGATGGAAGCAAAGACAAGAAGTGGGGGTCTTATGCCTTGATTTGGGGAAAGCAAGGGGGTCAGCCAGCACAGAGGGCTCATTTGGGAGTAGGTAGGGCAGGCTGTCAAGGCAGGGTCTGGGGAGCTTACAGGGTGCAAATTTCTACATGGCCGTCCCCAACCACATCCCCACCTGCTGCGGCTGCGTCCAGCTGGCACCCAAGCAGCACTCCTTCACTCCCACGGCATGTGGAGAACAAAGGAGCCTTTCTCTAGAGGCTGGGCCTGGGAAGGGCCACAATCTCTGCAGCAAGACTACGATATAACAGGCCTGAGCCGGGCTCTCTGCTGCCAAGGCCTCTGCTATCAAGGCTGGAGACGGGAGGCTCCCGCCCACCTGCTCCGGAGAGTGCTGACTCAAGCAGATTTCCCTTATCTTCAGCTCCCAGGGCTGAATCTATTCACCCACGCTGCCACCAGCCCCTACAAGATGCCTTCCTTCCTCTCCTCCCTCTGACTCCTGGCCCCCAGCCCCAGGTGGTGATACTTACAACCCCCGTGAGAGATTTCCCCTTCACCATGTCCACGAACTGAACAGCAATTTCCTCCCCACAGCGGCTCTGAGCCTCCTTGGTGCTGGCACCCAGGTGGGGACAGCTGATGACATTCTCATGGTCCACCAAGGCCCGGTCCCGTGGCGGCTCCTGCCCAGAAAGAGATACCTCTAAGTTGGCTGCCATGGACTGGCCACACCCTCTTGGGCCACCCCAGGCAACAGGAAAGTTGGAGGGAAGGCAGTCAGGAGTTCTGGTGCCTTCCACTTCTATTTTGTCAGGGTGGTCACTGGACTCAATAATGGGCTTCCACATGAATGTTCCATCTCAGCAGAGTGGACACAGCACAAAGTGTGAACCAGATTCAAATCTCACCTTCACCACTTAACCACCTAGGTGCCTTGGGGGTGAACCTTGATCTAAGCCTCAGTTTCTTTATCTGTGAAATGGGTTGATCCTATCTCCCTCATAACATTACTGTGGGGATTATGCACCTTTAACATGGGAGGCCCTTGACCAATAGGAGCTACTGTTGTTGTTGTTACTGGGCTTTTCCCCGAAACTCACCCCCCTGCATCCATGCAGCACTTGCTGTCGATGTGCCTTGCTGGACTTTTAGCACAGTGTCCTGCTCTTCCAAGACACTCCACGCAGGTAACTGCATCTTGGCTCTCATCAGGACAGGTTGCCCATCTGTGGCACCTCCACCCCACCCTCCAGTGTCTTTTCCACCCTTCTGCTCACTGAGAAGATTGCCCTTGGGTATGTTATTTAGGCATCTTCCGGCCATTCTCCTCAGGGCTCTGTTGGTCCCATTGAATTTTGACCATTTAACCCTGTGAGTCCTGGCCACATGTAACCATGTAATCCTGTGAGTCCCGGCCACATGTAACCATGTAAGTACCACCAGCAAGTGGTTCAAGGATGCTGAAGAGAGCAGGAGAAGGTGCTGTGTTAGGGAGGATGGTGATACAAAGATGGACAAGGCTTGCCCTGCCTTCAGGGAGCTTATGATCTAAGAGCTGAGAAAGATGACCAAGGTTACAAACCAAAAGGCACTGTGTGCCCTGGGCTGGGAGTACACAGTGAGTGCTACAGGGGCTCAGAGAGGGCCAGTGACCTTCCAAGGACACACAGCTAGTAACCTGCGAACCACAACTACCTAATCCAAAGTCCATGTCCTTTCCCCTTCCTCACCAGGGGAAGCTCCAATGTTGGGGACAGGATCTTTCAGGAGAGGAGCCAAAAGGATTCGAGTGCAAATGCACTCTTCCCTACTGGATCTGGTGTGAGGCTGAGCCTCTGCTCCAGCTGGGAAAGCAGCCCACCCCGAGGACCCTGAGGGAATACTGCCAGTATCCTCGGGCTTCTGTCCACCCAGCAAGAGAAGAAGGGAAAAAGAATGCCCATGGACACTGAAAAGGACATTTTCTTGGCAATGGGACTGCATTTCCATCAGGGTCCCTCAACTATACACTAAAGCCCCCTCTCTTCCTGCTCCAGACCCTCAACTTCAGAACTGATTTGTGGCTTTATCTTTGTCAATATGTTAGCAGTCTGAGAAGCCCGGAACCAGGAACTGGGTCCCCTTTAAAGCCCGAGTTTTGCAGAAAACCACATAGCTGCCTCCATACCAGGCTCCGCAAGGACTCCTCAAACCACAAAGGTGTGTTTTTGGCAACACAGTTTTCTCCTTTTACCATGGATGAAAGAGACAATAAGCTAGAGGCTTTCTGTAAAACGCCAGGCTTTCCCTGCCATGGGCCTCTCTGCTCCCTATCTCTCCCGTCCTCCTGACGCTGAGGCTGCCAGGCACTTACTTCCGTAAACACGTCCAGTGCAGCCCCGGCACACTGGCCAGACTGCAGGGCCCGGAGCAGGGCGCCTTCGTCCACGATCCCTCCACGGGCACAGTTCACCACACGCACCCCCTTCTTGCACTGGGCAAAGGTGTTGTCATTCAGCAAGCCTGGAAGAAAGCGAAGCATCTTCCTGCTGGGGCAGCACCAGGATCCCCACGCTCATCCCTGGCTTCCAGAGGTCTTCCCTTTCCTTGAGCCAGCTCTTTCCCAGAGCCTCTCTCCTGCTGGACGGCAGCCTCTTTGCTCTCATCTCTTCCTCCTCAGATGCTCTGGGGCAGGAGTCCCTGTTATGGATCTGGGCCAGACTCAGTTTAGAAACATCTTAGAAATTCTTGAGATATTACTGTTTCAAGTGGGTCTGGGAATCAGAAAGCCCTGCAGGGGCTGCAGAAAGCATCCATGGGGGTCACTGGTTGTCCCTGTGCCCAGCTTACCTAGACCCCAAGCACTTCTAGCTGGCTCACCCTCCCCTATCCAACGTAGGGGTGTCTAACAAAACACCAGCCTCTGCAGGACCCAGGTGGACCTCTCCCCACAGCTGGTTACCACTGTCTGGGGAAGGCCCAGATGGAGGGCCCATTTGTTAACTGGTCTGTGGCTTCTGTGACCAATCCACAATGTAAGGACACACCTACCTGTCGTGGAGGGCAGGAGAGGAGTGTGCACAGTGATGAAATCACAGAGAGGCCAGATCTCCTCCAGGGGCAGCTGCTGAACACCAAAGGAGGCCGAGACCTCTGGGGAAATGATGGGGTCATACCCTATAGTCTGGTTGGAAGCAAGAGAGAGGGAGGAAGTGTCATTCTTAATTATTAGTATTGTTATTATTAAGAATGGCAAACATTTTTTGAGCATTTACCATATACTAACTACCATGCTCAGCTTAATTAATTCTCCAGTTAATTTACCATACACTAAGTACCATGTTCCACATACTAAGTACTATTTACCATATACTAAGTACCATGATCAGCTTAATTAATTCTCATGACCACACAATGATGCTGGGACTGTTCTTGTCTGCTTGAGAGCTGAGGGAAGCAGGGCTTCCACAATGAGGAGGGGCACAGCCAGAGCTCAAAAGAAGGTGCGTCTGCCTCCATGCTGTGATCACACACAGATGCAACAATAGCTCATATAGGTCTGGACAAGGTGGAGCTTGGAAGTCCTTAGAAAGCAGGGAGTCCTGAGGGAGGGAGGGCAGTCATGTAGGGAGCGGACAGCCAGGAAAGGGAGAAGGAGAAATGGCAGCTGCAGCTGGAGGGTCCAGTCCAGGAAACAGGTGCATCAGGTACTAAAACAGAGTGAGCAGAAGCGAAGGAGGAGGACAACAGGGGTACAAGGCAGGACCCAGAGTGGGAGCAAGACTGCATGCCCTCTAAATCAGGAAGCCTGACCTGTGTCCTCCCCCAGTCACTGCCCACTGTGTGGAAAGGTACAGGTCAGTTCCCCTGGACCTGGGTCCTCAACCCTAAATAAAGGAGCTGGGCAGATGATTGCAGCCATCTCTCACTCTCACATTCAATCACTGGGAATTATTTGAAGAGAAATCCCCCTTAACCCCGAGACAGAATGTAAAGAGTGAGCCCAGGATTAGACAAAAACAAAGAATACACAGCATAGTACTTTAACAGCGGTTGTCTCTGGGTAGTGGAATTATTTTTCTCCTTTTTGCTTTCCTGTGCTTTCAAGTTTTCTACTACATTATTCATAAATTACTTTTGAAATTAGGGATACAGTATAGATACTTTAGAATATAATGGGAAAGATGGGTGCCATTGCTCACACCTATAATCCCAGCACTTTGGGAGGCTGAGGCAGGAGGATCATTTGACCCCAGGAGTCAGAGACTAGCTGGAGAAACATAGTCAGACCCCCCCCCCTACAAAAAATTTAAAAAACTAGCCAAGTTTGGTGGCATGCACCTGTGCCACCCAGAAGGCTGAGGCAGGAGGATCACTTGGGCCTAGGAGGTTGAGGCTGCAGTGAGCCAAGATTGTGCCACTGCACTCCAGCCTGGGTGACAGAACAAGATGTCTCAGAAAAAAAAAAAAAAATAAAACAAAATAAAAAAGAACGTAATAGGAAAGAGGACTTCAAATTCAGTAATTCTAGGGCAGAAGCTAAAATGGTTATGATTAAGGTGAAGCCTCTGGATCCCTTTTTTCATCATTAGCCTTGTGGAATAAGGAAAGCCAAGTGGCCCCACACCAACCATCAGGCAGGTTTTGGGGAAAGATGCTGCCTCTCCCACGCCCTATAAGAACCTCCAGCTCAGAACGCTGGTGGTCTTTTTCAGACACTGCTGCTCCCCTCGGCTGTAACCTACTCATTTCTGGTGGGGAGGAGAAAGTGTCCAGGCGAGGAGATGGGATCCCTGCCATCGTTGTCACAAGTCTTCTTCGTCTGCTGGCCCTGAGGCCGGCCAGAACAATGGCCCTGTTCATCTCTAATCCAGATGTATTTTTTTTTCTCATATGGAGTGGGGAGAGGAAGGGAACACCAATAGAGATCACAAGGTCCAGCCTGACTGACGTCTACTCCATGCTCAGGAGCCAAGAACAACCTGGGGGCTGGCAGGAGGAAGGACCCTGCAGGCTGAACCTGGCCCCCTCCACAGACAGGTGACTGGGGCTGGAGGGAGGGGGTTGGGGAGAGGAGCAGGTGAGCATCTTCCTCAGGGGTGAGCGAAGCACTGACTCAGCTTCCTTCTTTCACAGAGAGTATCTCATTTATCTGCAGATGACTGCAGGGAAGGAATCTGGCTGAGCAAACCTCTGTTCTCATTTTCCATTTGAGATAACCAGGGCAGAGAAGAGCTGAACTCAGCTGGGGGTTGGGGTTCCGACACTAGGAGACAACACTGAGGGGATGGAAAGGGTGACAACAGGCCCAGGACACACGTGCCTGTCAGGGTCCTGGTGTGTCCTGGAAAGGGTCAGATGTCCTAATATACAGACATTGGAGCACCTCTGGGTACCCACCATTCAAAGACTACTCCCGGAGAGAAGCCTTGGGGAGAAACATGAAGGGGTTCCCTCACCTCAATCCCAGCCCCAGGGCAGACTCCTGATGTTGAGGCAACAGAGGAAGCCTCACTTTCTAAGCAGGACTCCAGGGCAGCTGGTGGCTCCTACCTGCCTGAGGTCACAGAAGACAGCCCTGAGAGGCTGGTATGCTGGCTGCAGGGCCTTGCTGGCTCAGCAGAGCAAAGAGGAGAGCAAGGAGGCCTCCCAGTTAAAGAGGCTCTGAAGAAGAACCCTCACCGTCACGTGCTCTCTCTGCCCCACAGCTGAATTTTTAGTTTAGCATTGGAACTCTCCCTACCACGGCAATGAAATCTTAAACAGAGACCCAAATATAAAAATAGGTCAATTCAAAGCTGCAGAGGTAAAGGCTCAATGTGCCACCACCTGCTGTCTCCCTGGGCCCCTCCTTGCTCCCACCTGTGTCCCTAAGGCACCTTGCCAGAACCCGAGGCTCTTGAGTTTGAGAATCACTGCTCTGGGCAGTAAGCATTCCAGGTAACACACTGAGATAGGAGCTGCCCATCCTGGAGAGTATCTGTCTTTGGAATAGCTAAGCATACCGGCATGGCACAGGGACTGTTTACCTAAAATGGATCATGAATAAAGTTAAGTGGTACTGGGCAAAGAATGCCAGCCTGGAAGGCTGAGCCGAAATTCACCAGTTCATAGTTGCATTATCTTCAGCATATCATAGAACCTTCCTGGGCCTCAGTTTCCTTATCTGTAAACCTGGGATAATAATTCTGACCCTGCAGAGTCATTTCAAGCACAGGAACCGACACAGTAGACCTCAGCAAACATTAGCTGGACCTGAAAAAATCGGTGATAACTGGTGCCTCAGGTTCAACATCCAACCCTCTGGGCTAAAGTTGGATTCATCACAACGCTGGCTACAAAGAAACTGTTAAGAGATGCTTGTCTGTTCCCTCAAGGAAAACCTTGATCATAAAGCACAAGGCTCGCTTCTTGATTGGTTTGTGCCTCTTAACACATTCTAAGGAACACACCAGCATGAATGAGCTGAGTCTCTGAGGTCACGACCTGTCATTCAGCAACACTATTGAGAAAAAGTCTCTCGCAGACACAACAGTATAGAGCGTTAAGACCTGTATGACTCAGACCACAGGTAGGCTGCAGGTCAGGCCACAGTGTGAGGAATGTCACCTCCCTTGCTCCGGAAGCCATACTTCTTTTAATGCTGCCAAATGTCAGGTTACCTTTTCTATCAGCTATGCCACTGACAACCACACTGCTCTTTTGTAAACCAAAGCCCTGCTCCCCCAGAAAAGCTTTTGACAAATGCTTCTACATCTAAAACTTGTCTAGCTGCTTTTTGGACCCACAAGTAGGGTGCAGAAATGTATTCTAGCTAAATTTCCTGTGAGGGTGCCCAACCATTCTAGCCTTCATATGTCTTTTTGGACCTGATTCTGCACCCTTAAGTATTAACTACCTCTCCTTGCTTCCTGCCATCCACAAATGACACATGGTTCAGGCTGTTGATGAGAATGGTGGGCAAGGTGGAGCACTATTGCATACTATCTCCCTCCAAACTGAGGTGGCCCATTCCACAACAGCACCAAGCACTAATCCCTTCAATAGCACCAAGCTCAAGGGGCTCCATCCGAACCCCGAGGGAATCATGAAAGATGTCTTACCAAAGTCCATATCTATACACAATCTAAATACCCATCATTGAGAGAATGGCCAAATAAAAAGCAATTTATCTGCACAATAAAATTCCACACAACTGTTTAAAAATATGCTAGATTTAGTTGTTCTGAGATAAACATGTTTTTTTCTTAACATCACAAACAATATTCTATTGTTTGCAGCCAAAGAATCCATCCACAGGCATGGAACTGTATGCATTCTGTGCAAATGCATAGAAAAGTCTCGGATGACATGCTAAACTGATGTTTACCGTGAGGAGACTAGGGTTCAGATGGTAATCAAGTATAGCCTTGTCCAAGTTTTAATTTATATGAGAATGCATTCCTTTATTACATGATTAAAACATAACTTTAAATAGTCCGGGTATCTGACATCTAGGGATTTCCATACTCTACCAGTTTAATAATGGTTTCCAAAAAGAGGATGAGGCTAGTATGAAATAACTTGTGTTTAATAAACACTTATCCTCATTTCCTGTCTGGGTGCTTATACATCTCTTTCACAATATGTTCAAGAATCTTCCTTTCCCTTTAGAAAATCTTGTTCTCCAAGACCGGTAGAACTGATGAGCTCTCCGCCCTAAGACAAAATTCATCCAGACTCAAAAGTATGATAATGACGTGGTTGAGGTAAGCAGCTGAGCACGAGAAGAGGCCACTTAGACTCTCCGGAATGATGAGGTCCAGGCAGCTCCGGAGGGGCTGAGGTGGGAGACGGAATGATCCAAGCCATGTTTCAGGGGTTTACAAAGAGCATGTTCTGGAAGCAAGACAGTTAAGAATGACCCTCCAGAGACATCTGGACAGAAGAAATGCAAAGTGAAGGCACTGGCACCCTCCACACCATGCTGGGAATGGGAATAAAACATTCAGTGGGTGACCTGCTCTGAGGCACAGATTAACACTGAAATGAGCAGGCCGTAGACATCTCTTTCAATCAAACACATGCACGAGAGGTGTCAGCCATTTCCTGACACTGATGCTCAAGGTCCCAGGTACCCATGCACCTCTTGGAAGCATCCCAGGGTAGAGAGTTGGGCAGTGCCAGATGGACAGACAAGCTTACCTAGCACCTCAATCATTCAGGAATGAGGTGGGGCTTTTCATCTGGTTGAAGTCGCTGCCGAAGTCTCCATGATGAAGAATATTGCCAGGAATATTGATGTGTAGTGGTGCCACGGAGAAGGAAGCCTGGGGAAGGGGAGTCATGGGGAAGAGGACCCCCTGGGGAAGGGGGCAGGAGCCTTGGAACGGCCACTGGTCTGGAGCCTGTCTCCCAGTTACTGCTTCATCAATGAAATGCTCACCTATTTGGCTATGAGTGCTCTTAGTTTTACTTAACTCCTGACCTCTGCCTTTTATATCAAAATTCTCCATGGACTAAACCTTGACCCTTGATCCCTTACAAAAGAGGATGGAGGAGGGAGTGCTCTTTGTGGCTTATGGCATCCCACCATCCCTGCACAGAGGGCAAGGCTGTGGTTTGTTTACATGATCAATGATCCTGCTGGGCTACATCTGCCTCTCTCAGGAGTCCAGGGATCAAGAATACACCTGGCCCTTCTCAGTGCAGAGGCTTAGGAAAGATATCTGGCTGACTTAAATAAATAAGATGGGGAGTGGAGGCAGGAGGGAGAGGATAATATTCAATGTGTACAATGGGATGCTCACCAGGCTCTAGGCTACTGTCCATTTGCTATGAGTCCTTAGGCATAAGCTTACAAATTCTAGATGTCAATGTAAAATTAAGGGTTAATCTATTAAGATCCCTTCTAACTCTAAGAAGGTAGGAGGGATGTAGAAAAAGGGAGAGTTCCATAGCAGCTCTATGTAAACTTTTCTAGATTTGACATGATCTGGTTGTCAAAACTGATCTCCTAATGTTTAAAGACTTCCTGGCTGCAGTTTGACCCCATAATCCCTGTAATTCCCTAAAACAGAAAGTGAACAGAGAGATGTCCCATAGTAGCCTTAGTGGGTTCATCTCTTTGGCCTATCTGGGAAGCCCTGCAGATCCCCTCTCTTAGCTGAATTGCCTCTCTCATTTGCAAGGTCTCCTGGATTAGCCCAAGTGGGTGGCACTGCTACTGATGGCAACCAGAGGGTTGCAATCAGGCTAAGGGAGTAGCCAGAAGCCTACTGAGCTCCCAGAGTAGGAAAAGGCAGAGACCTGGGGGAAGACAGGAGTTAGGTGTGATTTCTGAGACCGGTGTGAGGTCTTCCAGCCACCATAGGCTCTACAATCATATCATAGTGTACATACAAGCACTTTTAAATCTTTTCTGAAATATGGAGGGAAACTGGAAGGACAGATGGACAATGGATGTAAGGCTCTACTGTGAGGCCATAAACTTGTTCCTGTTTTCTAAATTATCACAGGAAAGCAGACAAAACAAAAGCAGGAAGGAAAGAAAGAATGGGCAGGACACAAGCACCCTCCCTGTGAGGCAGGATAGGTAATCAAGGAAGTGCAGCAACCTTGGTGATCCTATAGTCAACACAATAAGCCTCGGTATTCATATTCTAACTGAGCTCATTCAAGCAAAGCTATCTTCAGTAGGGAACTTCCCATCTAGACAGCCTGTGCACTTTGATTTTTCCTGTCCTCAAACTGACCCCCTGGCTCATTATAATAGTAAAAAACACACTCCTGGGTGGAGATTTAAGATGCTAATAAGACATGTGCCAAATGAACAAGAATGTACAGCTACTACTCATGTGCACCCAGAGGACCACCCAAAACATGCTTACTAGTAACAGCTCTTCCCACCTCCTTATGAATAATCATGTAAAACTCCTATAAAGGGAGTTTCTCCAGCAATAATCAACACTGCCTCATTCGTTTTTGTTTTTGTTTCTGTTTTTTAAGACGGAGTCTCGCTCTGTCGCCCAGGCTGGAGTGCAGTGGCATGATCTCGGCTCACTGCAAGCTCCGCCTCCCGGGTTCACGCCATTCTCCTGCCTCAGCCTCCCAAGTAGCTGGGACTACAGGCGCCCGCCACCACGCCCGGCTAATTTTTTTTTTTTTTTTTTTAGTAGCGATGCGGTTTCACCATGTTATCCAGGATGGTCTTGATCTCCTGACCTCATGATCTGCCTGCCTCGGCCTCCCAAAGTGCTGGATTACAGGCGTGAGCCACCGCGCCCGGCCAACACTGCCTCACTCTTATGAGCAGCCCACCCTGAATTCTCTCTCTCCCGAGGTGTACTGTCTACTCTGCACTTAACTTTCAAAATATTCTTTTTCCTTTGCAATAAACTCCTCAATGCTGCACCGTGTCTCTTGTTTAAATTCTTTTAAACTAAGAAGACAGGAACCAAAGTCTCAAAAGAGCCATCAACACCTGGTTCACTGGGACTCAGGGCTATTCACTCACCAGAGAGCTAAAGGACCCCCACCAAGTATTTCCAGCTTTTGAGTCCAGATCAGCAGGCCAGTGTTCTCTCCCTCCTTGACTTTAACACTTATTTAGATGGGGGCTCCAAGAGAGGGTCAGACCCTCCTAGAACAAAGCTTCTGGCTTCTGCCCAGACATGCTGCCTTTCCCAAAATTGCTGCAGAAAGTCCCACATCACAGGGTTCCAGCAACATCTTACCTTCATCCCAAAGGACTGCATCCGGGTAGCTACCTCTCTCCCAATCCTGCCCAGGCCAAGAATTCCCAGGGTCTTTCCATTCAGCTCTGTTCCCATGAACTGCAACCAAACAGGCAAAAGGAAAGAAGCTGAAGTCAGCAACATGAGTGGACCCCGGGCCCTGAGCCCAGGTGGGGCGAGTCAAGGCCGCTGCTCACCTTCTTCCGCTCCCATTTGCCGTCCTTCATCGAAGCCGTCGCCTGGGGAATCTGCCTGCAAGGATAGACACAGGTTCAGAGGGTCCATTCGGACTCCCGCCAGCCCAGGAAGGAGATGCAACATCAGGTTTGCACAGTCACTGCCCATGACAGCCACTTCCCCAAGAACTGGGTCTGGGGGTTCAGGTTTAGGAACACTGATGGGGGATAAAGGGAAAACAGAAGAGAGAAACCCTTGGCAAGATCTGACTTAGAAAGCCTGGGATTTCTGTGACCAGCCAGGCATCTGGGAGGAGGTATGGATTCCACCTCAGCCACTGAGGCATCAACCAGAGTGAGTTTTTTACTTTAAGCGATCGCCAATCCTCCAGGGTCTGTAGGGATAACTGAGTGGGGTACTGGGCAACTCTGATGACATCGAGTACTCCAGAAGCTCAAGGAATTATTTTGATCTACCTATCTCATCCAGCACCATAACCTATGACGTCTTCTACTATTATGAAGAGGACACCTAATTACCTATGCTTCCTTGAGAGTTTCTTAACCCCGAGGGTCTTAGACTAGTCTGGACCCTAGAGTGGGTGGGTGGATGCCAAAGCCCAGACACTTCCATTCTGTCCTGAATGCGTGGTCCCAACATTTTTAAACATCCGCACCACCTTCCTGTCCCACCACCACCAACACACACACACACACACACACACACACACACACACACACACACACTCTTCACAGCCTGTCTCCTCCTATTAGTCCAGATGGAAGTCTGAGTCTACATCTGTGTTTTCTGGAGGAGACAGAGGAAGTGGCAATTAGGGCAACATTAGAGGTCAAAGGGCGATATATGTCCTGTGGGCATGGGTCATCAACACATCTCTGGAGGCAAAAAAGGAAGATTTGAGAAACAATGTTTAAGGAGCACTTTATTTTAGACATCCTAAAAGAAATGTTTAGACACACATTAACTCCTCTAACATTCACAGCTGCACGGAGGGAGGCACTGGAGGTTAAACAGTTCTCCCCAGATCACCCAACTGGAGGCACTTGAACAGATTCAAAGCCAGCAAAGTCAACCCCAGCACGGCCAGCCTCCTGAGTACTTAAATGTAGGCCTTTAACCTGATGCCAAAAACCTCAGAGTGAGCGAGCGTGCAAAAAGAGAAATCTCAAGCTGCTACTTCCGTGCTTTCACTTCACTAACTTCTAACACAAAAACATTCTCTCATCTCTACACATCACTAGGACATTGATCTCCATCTGAGGGTAAGGCTGAAGGTGGAATCTGTCCTCCATCACAGAGGCGCACGATCTTATGGGTAAACTCAGAAGAACTTCAGTACCAAGCCACATGGGGGACAAGCTGCATTCACCTCACTGCTCTGACCCATCAGGCAGGTAATAAGGACAGGGACTTGCCTTGAGGAACTGTTCACTTCTTGGGAAAGCTTGCCTGATAAAATGCCTTTGACCTAGTGAGACAGAGCCCCACCTGGCCCCTCTCTCCTCTCCCTCACATCCTATTTTCTTCCCACCAGACTCCACAGTGCTATCTAAGATGTATGCGTGCGGCACCACAGAACACAAGAAATCCCTAACCCTTTTCTCTGGCTGCTGCTCCCAGCTGATCATGGAGCCTCTCCAGGTTTCAATGCTTTGGAATCCTCATCAGGCCAGACTGGAGAGGACTCTAATGTGGGCGAGGGTCCTCACAATAATTAAATGGTTGCTGGCCTGACTTACTAGAGGAGGAGATGGTAAAGCAGGCAAAAATGGTGAAACCTACATTTGTTGATTCTCTCCTTCCTTCCTTTCTGTGTGCTGTTCTTCTGCACCTCAGGAGCCCCCGCCATCTGCTCAAAGTCCCTACTGTGAGGCCCAGCCACGCCTGCTCTCCACCCACATTGCCCAATCCTGTAGAGTCTACATATAGGCACCCACACTCTCCTACCGTCCTCCCTGCTAGGAACAGTCTGATGAAACGAACGCATTCCTTCCCAATAGGGTGTGCGTGTTTCCTAGTTTTGATGCACCTTTGATGAGTGAGGTCATGGTGAGCAGTTGACAATGGGGAGCTTCTTTTAAACCACAGCATTTCACCGATTCCTTTAAACAAAGCTGGTCCTGGAAAAGGAGGGAAAGTATTGCTGGCTCCCAATCCTTTCCTTCCACCTCCAGAAAAAAAGTGAGGTAATTAATCAGAAAGCCACATTGAGATCTTTTCCCTTACTCAAAAAAAAAAAAAAAAATCCCTGAAGGTAATAGCTGAAGTGAAACCAGGGTGCCAGGCTTCTGTACTTCTCCAGGGGGAGAGACACTCAGCCTAGATGTTCTGGGAGAACCCGGCTGCCAGCCTGGGGGCCCCTTCTAGGCTGAGACCCTACTGCTGTGTAAGCTATCCCTGTTTCTCCTTTCCCCCCACTGCCTCCTTTCACCTACCAGTGAATATCAGTGAATACCAGAGAGCTCAGATGGAAACTGCAGGGAGGAGTTAGAGCAGAGGTAAATTCCCCCAGATCCTCCTCCAGCAGGAGGGAAAGCAGGTCTCGCCATGGGAAAAGTAATTTCTTGGTCCCGGAAGGTTTCAGGCCTGAGTAGAGAAACAAGGAGTCCTTGATGCCTAGGTCCGCTGGTTTAGGGAATCCATGGAGCTTCAAAGGGACCTAGAACAACTTCCTACCCTGTTTATTGGGAGCCTTGTTCTTCCCCTTGACCACATAAATGCTTGAATTGCCTGTTCAACAGAAGTGCTCCATGCAATCAGTTTTGCCAAATTACTAACCAACACACTGAGACTCAAGCACATTCTGTGCCACAACCATTTGATTTCTAGGCTGCCCCATCCACTCAAGAGGCCTGGAACTCCTGCTAGAAGAGCAAGAGTCTTGCCCATTTGAGTTCCATTGTGTTATGAACCCACAGAACACACAAGGACCCTGAAGCAGGTTCTTACTCCATTCTATTACAATACAGATTTGTAAGGGCAGTGACAGAGATAAGCCCTGAGGGCCAGGGGAATCAGTGAGGGACATAGCCTAGCTGGAAAAGCCAGAGAGCTTCTTGGATAAATTAATACTGAAGCTTAATCTTGAAAAGTAAGCAGAGGGTACCTAGACACTGTCCATACCCTGCTGCCTGGAACATCCTTCCTTGTTATCTCCAGGCAGCAGGGTATGGAGAACATTTGCAAGAGTTGGAGGCTAGAGAAGGCAGATTGTCTGCAGCATGGAGAATAGAACATGAGTAAAGAGAAGTGCACCTTTGTGCACTAGGGAACCTGTGTAATGAATGTTGAATAGAGGACCTGATGGCCTTAAAGGTTCTTTGCAGTCTGCATGTCGCCTTCTTAGCAGTCTGCAAGTCGCTGAGACGAAATGTTTCTAAGTTTTTCTGGGTCCATTTGCTTGGCAAGTGGTAATAATTGGCATATCGGAGAGACTAGCTTTGCTGAGAAGTCAGGGACTTACCTGGCCAGGCACATGATCATTCCACAAGTGAGTTCTGCGGCACTGAGGCTGTTCCCATTGGGGGTGCTAAAGATCAAAGAAAAGGGGGACATCAATGGGCACAGACCCAGTATTCCCACTCCTTCCCCAAGAGAAAGCCTTGAGTGCAGGCTGTGTTCTCTCACTCCTGCTCCATGAACTGACCACGCCACTGTCCAGAGTTCTCTGATGTACTCTCGCCCTAAGCCAAGGGCTGGAAAGAAACCCCCTTCCCCTGGCTTTATGTTTCCCTGCAGAGGGACCTCCATTAGAGAAACATATCTGGCTTCTCTCTATCCAAACACTCCTCCCAAGGCAGAGAAGTGTCTCACATGATCAGATTTGTGTGTGGTTCAGCCCTTTTCTTTCTCCTATTTCAGGATCTACCTGCCTCCAGAAAGCACAAATTCCCTGCTGCTCCTACCATTGATCTTACCAAGGTCAGAGTCTCTCGAATTCAGGGCTCAGTCCAATGCCTACATATCTTCATCAAGTTACCCAACCTGGCTTTTTTTTTTTTTTTTTGACAAGGCCTCGCTCTGTCACCCAGGCTGGAGTGTACTGGCATGATCACAGCTCACTGCAGCCTTGACTTCCCAGGGTTCAAGCAATCCTTCCAGCTCAACCTTCTCAGTAGCTGAGACTACAGGCTGGTGCCAACATACCTGGCTTTTCTTTCCTTCTTTTTTTTTTTTTGTATTTTTGTAGAGATGGGGGTCTCACTTTGTTGCCCAGGCTGGTCTCAAACTCCTGGGCCCAAGTGATCCTCCCACCTTGGCCTTCCAAAGTGCTGGGATTACAGGTGTGAGCCCCCACACGCAGCCCCAACCTAGCTTTTATTAGTAATCTCCACCTGTCTGACTACTCTTCCTATCTCTCAACAAGTTCTGAACTGAGAAAGCCTCCTCACACCCTAAGTCACAGGGCAATCCAGACCCTTCCCATTTTATAAACAAAAAAATAGAGGTGGCAACCCACAAAACTATTTTTCTTTTCTTAAATGCTTTTTAGGTTTTTGAAAGAATTTCATATACGTGTTCACCCTGATTATTCCCCTACTGGGTCTGTCTTTTTCATCTCTGGAATGAAGGTTAATAAGGTTACAAGAAGAAAAAGTCAAGAGATCCTGTATAAGATAAACGGACTCTCAGAGTCTGTCTGCCTGCAAAACCACCTGGCTTCTCATCCTCCCACAGCAAACAGGCTGTATGGGGGCGCAAGTAGAGGTGCAGAGATTGGGGCCTGGCTGCCTCTGGGTCCAAGGCAAGAATGTGGGATGGGTTATCGTTTAACATTTCTGCTGTTGAATATTGACTTCAGTCAGGTGACCAATTAACCTCTACCCTACAGGGGGAAGTGCAGTGCAGGGGAGGGGAAAGGTCTTAAGGACAATGAAGTCCCCAAGGGAAGAGAAAAGTCTTAAGAACAAAGAGGCCTGGGGATGGCCTTGCCATACCATCTAAGTGACAGAACGGGTACAGTACAGCACTGGCGTGCTGATGACCTCTGCCCCTGTGTTTCTGCAGAAACAGCTTTAAATGGGACCCTTCTCCTCTTGCCCTAGAGCACTGAAAGAGAAACTAGTGTCTTAGTTCCAGAAGGTGGCAGGGAAGTGGGGAGGGCAAGGATTCTAGTCATTAGTCTGCTAGCAAAGGTTGTGCCTCTGTACAAGCACAGTAAAGTAGAGCTGACAAAAACCTGCCACAAACAGCATTAATAGAGGCAGAGGGGGCTGGGTGGGAGCAGGAAATGCAGATGAACTCACTGACCTTCCGATTCCTGAACCAGGTCACAGAGGTGCAAGCAACTGCGCATGGGGTGGGCTCGTGAAACATTTTGAGATTATGCAGGGACTCTCAATTTCAAAAACTGTGTAACACCCTGATGGCATTGGTGATATAGTGGTGAGCATAGCTGCCTTCCAAAAACCTTGAAACCACTATGCTGTGTGTGTTGACCATGCAGGCCCTAGACCAGGCATCCTCCTGGAAGCCCTTCCAATGGACTCAGCTTTCTCTCAAGTGAGTTTTTTCTCCCTAGGTGTGGTCAGTCTCCGCACTCACCCCCCTACCCCCAAACCGCCCGCAGCCTCCATGACTTACTTCATAACCAAGATGCCCTTCCTTGTTGCGGCCTCCAGATCCACATTGTCCACACCTGTGCCAGCCCTGCCCACCACCTGGAGTTTCTCAGCTGCGTTGATGACATCAGCGGTCACCTTGGTGGCAGAGCGAACAATAAGGCCTTCACAGTCCTGAAGCAGAAAAAACATTTGGGTCCAGAAAGTCATTCTGTGAGAACTCGTAAAGCCGCAGGCACATCATTGCTTACTCCTGAGTAAGAGATGCATTTCCGGAACCTTAGGAAGTCACTGATGACTGCCAGTTCATAGATATCTTTGGTATACTCACTAGGGAAATGTGGGCTAGGACTCATGCTGATTTTTACTTAGAGTGGAGGAGACTGTGCCTCTAACACACCAACCGCTTTGTTTGGCATGCTCAAGAAAGGGCAGCATTGGCCCATGGGCTCTGGGCACCTGGCTCATCTCTCTAGACAGCACCATGATGCCTGCAGCCTGGATGTCCATCAGACACATGCTGGAAGTCAGGGGCCATCTCCTGTTCCTCTCTGTATACCCTATCATTCCTGCACATTGCTTGCTCAAAATGGGAGTTCCTGCCTGCTGGCTGATTTTGATATATCCAAAGAAAGAAAGGCAATGTCATCTGTCCACACATCTGATAGGTTCTGCCATTGGTCAGGCCTGGGTTCAAATCCAAGGCCCCTGCCTTCCAAGCTATGAATCAGCTTCGGCCTTCTCAAGTGTGTGAGGAACAAGCGAGAGAGAACAGGCACAGCACCTAGCACAGTATCTGGCGACGCTTAATGAACATCACTACCTCCATTAGACACTGAGCTACTGAGGGCAGAGGTGGGATCAAATTCTACTTTGTAAGCCCCTGTCCCTGATACAGGGAAGGCACTCAATAAATGTTGGTTGGCCGAATGAGTAAATAATGAATGAAACGAATGTTGAAAGAAAAACATTTCCTAAAAGAGAGACCAAAGGAAGAGGGGCAGGGGAAAAATGAGAGCAATTAAATTCATCTAGACTTGCTCAGACACCCAGGCAATATTAGACTAAAAATATACATATGCAAAAAATAAGACACTGAATTCATCATAGCCACTATACGTGAGCTAAGTCAGATCCCCAAGACAATCTTCCTTATGCTCACCCAGAATCCTGTGGTATGTGGTTCTTTCCAGAATAAGAATATTCTTGCTCAAACACAGAATGAGAATCCCTAAGAAATGGGGCAGGTGAGCAAGTCCACACTCTGTCCCAAAGTGGCAGACACCAGGCCGGTAAGAAAGCAGCAAGTATGCTTTCAAAAGCACCAAGCTGGGAACCAGGAAGACAGAGTTCTAATCCTAGGTCTGCCAACAATGTGTGGGTCACTGCGGTAATTCACCTCACTCTATACCCCTAGTCTCTACCTGTAAAATAAAAGAGATGGAGCACATGGCTCCTCAGATCCATTTTCCCCGTAGAGCTCTCAGCTGGATCCCATGAAAACCTTCTTTTACCTTCATTCCCACTGCATGGATTCTGGAGATAGAGAAAGGTCATGAGAAGTTGGCTTCTAGGGTAAGGGCCCACACTGTGTTTGTTGTGCACGAGCCTAGAGCATAGGAGCAAATATGGACAAAGTAAATGTAAGGAGAGCAGTGGGTAATTTTATCTCCACTAAGAAGAGAAGAGGAATGATGCTTAGGCTGCAGCATAGAATATTTAAGCCTTAAGAGCTTCTAAACACTGGAAGAATTGTTCAAGAGCAATAGTAGAACGATTCCTCTGGAGGTGTTTATGCATCACACATCCTCACTGCTTGGGGGCTGTGCCTACCAGCAGAGAGAAACATGCAGGCGGCCTGGAAGACACTCCAAATCCTTTTATGTCTGAGGTTCTGAAGCAGAACGTCAGAGTGGGAGATTTGAAGAAATGTTCACCAGCATCTGGTCCAACTCCATTTTACAGAGGAAAAACTGAAGCCCAACAAAGTTAAGCCTGCCTACTTTCCCTTCCCCTCCCCTGTACTTTTCTTCCTTCATTTTATCGGATGCCCGCTATGTACGTATCTGGCATTATGCTAAACTGATTATGACCTGGGTGTATACAAGTCACATGGGCACCCAGGGCTTAGAGGAATCAAACAGAAGCCACCTCAGTGCTGACTGCCCCAGTGCTGAGGCCAACACCAGGTGAGCACCTGGAGGTATTCTGATTTCCCCCCATAGCAGCCTAGTTAAATATCAGCCAAGCCAGGCAGAAACAGGATACTGGCATCTTTTCCACATTCAAGTCCACCACACAGGCTCCAAAGAAAAGGATTTCCCTGCCTGGACACACTTTACTGACTTTTCAAGGTGCAATAAAGTTATCTTCCAGGAAACATTTGCCAACAACCCTGAACTGTCACTCTCCCTACACCCCACCATTTTTGTTGTGATCACCAATATAATATGTTTCATATCTAGTTGTCCTCTCTTAGACCTGCAGTTTTGGTCTCCTTAGTTATATTTTCTATGCCTAATGCAGGGATTTTATATTAAAACTTTATCTACTCTATACCATATATCCATAGTACCAGCCTCACCAGCACATAAACCATTTATTGAGCACCTGCTGGGTACTAGGCATTACACCAGTTGCTTTACATTATTCTCTTCACAACTCCAAGGAGAAGGGGTATAATCATCCCCAGTTTCCAGATAAAGAAACAGAGGCTTTGAGAGGTAACCTGCCCAAGGTCACTCTTACAGATCAAAAACCAGCCAAGAACTGGAAAGTCATTGCCACTGGCTAACTCTGAGACTGTAACTGAAGAAGAGTTGGTAGACCTGCCAAGATGTCAAGAAGATAGGGCCAGAGCCAAGGCCATGGCCAGTTAGGTGCAAAAACCAAACTGTAAAATCCCTTGGAGAGATTTACTAGTAACAATAGCTACCATTTTTTGAGCAAGTACTTTACATCCAGCACTGTGCTTCACAACAATCCTAAGACAGATATTACAATTATCCCTATAGTACAGACAAGCAAACTGACACTTAAAGAATTTAGAGAACTTGCTGAAGTCACATAGCTAGGATATGGCAGAAGCTGGAATCAAGTCCAAATCTGTTGAGTTCCAACTACCTTCCAAATACAGCATTTAGACACCTAAACCAGGAGAGACATTGCCAGAAATCCTGTGGCTTCTCCAAGATGGCAGAAGCTCCCTAACAAAGGTCCCTGGATCTTCTGGTGACCTGCTCCTCCCAGCCAGCCTGCCTACTGGGGGATAATAGAAATAGGCACAAATGCCTCTGTCGAGAAGAGCAAGTTGCCTGTGGCCTGTAGGCAAGCTCACAGTTGATACTTCACAATGAAGTGTTTTATACACTTCCATTGAATAAATGAATTCAGTGATGAGAGGCCGGTAGAAACCACCCTCATCAGTCCCCCATCCTCACACCTTCACCCTCTTTCCCAAATAACTTTAACACTTCACATGCCTGAAAATTGCTCATCAGAAATCCCTTCCTTTGACTGTGATAAGGAGGCATAAGGTCTACTTCTAAGAGTGCTCAAGGATTTTCAAAAATCTTATTAAAAGAAGTTGAAAAAAAGCAGGAAAAACGTTCAGAAATTGACAAATCAGTCAACAGAACTAAATAGACACTAGACAAACAGAATATGTGAGAATTTAGAAAATAAAAAGCAGAACTCAAATTGATGCGGAAAGGAAGAACTAAACAAGAAATAATGTTATGAAAATTCAAGAAGAAAAATAATAGATTGCTACCTCACTTCAGATTTTTAAAAATCCAGATGAATTAAAGAATTTTTAAAAATATAAGCATTAAAAGAAAATGTCAGGGGATATTTTTATGACTCGGATTGGGAAAACCTTTCATAAGCAAGGCACAAATCTTAGAAACTCTGGAAGAAAATATTGACAAATCCAGTTACATTCAAATTTTAAACTTCTGCATGGAAAAAGATCCCATAAACAAAAGCAAGTAGTGGTCCTGATATGTGGAGAAAACTCCTTTCACCATATGTAACAGAACAAGGATTCATCACCAAAAGTGATAGAATTCCTACAAATCAACTTTTTTTTTTTTTTTTTTTTTTTTTTTTTGAGACAGAGTTTCACTCTTATTGCCCAGGCTGGAGTGCAATGGCGCGATCTTGGCTCACTGCAACCTCCGCCTCCCGGGTTCAAGCGATTCTCCTGCTTCAGCCTCCCGAGTAGCTGGGATTATAGGCATGCACCACAAATCCACTTTTTTAAAGGATAAAGAGCACAATAAAAAATAGATAAATATATAAATAGGCAATGCACAGAAGAACTACAAAGTGGTCACTAGTTTCACTAGTTTATAGACTCTTCAACGCTAGATATCAAGGAAATATAGATTTTTAAATATGATATTTTTGGGCATCATTTTGGCAGAAAGAAAATGAATAATATTCAGCATTGGTGAGCATGGAGGGAAACAGGAGTGTACACTGCATGACCTTTTTGGAGGGCAACTGGGCAGTGGGTGGGTAAGCACATTTTTAGTGGTCATTTCTTTGCAGCCAGCACTGACACCTTAGAAAATTGGTAACACACTGAGGAAACACAACCTCCTTTCAAGTGGTCAGCTCAGGACCAAAAGTCAAAGTTCAACTGACAAGAAGCAGGCATGGAGCAAGAGGAGAAGGGACCACCCAGAGTCATCATCTTATCACCTTGTCTCTCTAGCATCAAGTTCCAGAGCCCACATCTCAGGCCCAGTCCTGCTCCAGAGGCTCTACCAATCACTCCCTTGGGCCTTAAGGGTCCATCCTTCTTCAATGTTCTCTCCAAAGCTGCCAAAATGCTCCCCAAACCTTGCAAACCTGCTCCCCACAGGCAACACTAGCTGGAGAGCATGCAGACTCCCCAAAGTCCACCCATTCTTGTAGCCCCTGAACAAGCACAGAAACAGCACTATTGTTTCTTTCATGAGCATGGACTCTCTGGATGGATCTCCCTTGTAAAGATTTATGCTGTAGTCTCTTCACTTTTCCCTCAAACCAGCCTTCTTTGGTGCCAGGGAAACTAAGAGTCCCCAGTCAGACTCCTACAGATGAGCATCAGGTCTCACCTCTCCCAAGGGCAGAAACTGTCACTCAGGAGACCTTGGTCCCACATTAGAACCAGACATCCCACATCAGTCAGAGTTAATGAGCTTCCAAGGCCTCTTACAACCTCAACTACCCACTCTATCCACTCATTCAATCAGCACATATTCACAGACAGCCTGAATCCAACCTACCTCCTGCTGGACCCTCAAAGCCCCTGCACCCAAGCCCCTTCCCTCCTCACGCCACAACGCACCCCCTTCAAAGACTTTGCCCCAAGCTGTCTGCTCCTGTCCTCTACTTATGGAAACCACAGCCCTAACCAAATGCACCCATCTGCTCACATCCTCTGCAGTTTGCGATTAAAACTTCTCCAGTGTCCAGAGATCCTCCCCTCTCTTTGTCATTCCTTGGGTGAGGAAGCAAGTCTCTCTCTACACAGCACCAAATTCTGATGTTCACTGCCCTCTGCGTGTGGCTTCTGTGTCTGCACTGTGGCGGGAACAGGCACTTCCCACACTTCCTACAAGTCCTCCCGCTCCCCTGTCCTTAGCTGCTGTTCAGCTAGAAAACTGCTTGATTTATGGCTGTTCGAGACAAACTGCTAACTCAGCAATGGGAATCCATTGCCATTCCTCAGGTTCACACATGCTTCCTTTCCCAAGGGGACAAGCTTGGCCTAGGAGGTAATTCTAGCATTGCCATGCCTCTGACTTAAATCATAGGGCAAGACAATGAAACTATCCAGGTCATGTTCCCCAGCTATAGGGAAGGCAGGTCTACCCTGTTTTGCACAAGATGTGTGATCCTGATTAATTTGATGGTTATTTAACTTTTGCAAACTAAATCCTTGTGTAAAGGCTGGGAACTTCCTATTTTAAAGAAATTTGAAAAGAAATTTGGCATGGAAAGATTTATTCCCTTCTTAATCTTTCTTCAAGTACTGATATGAAGGTATGGATGTGCTTCAGTAAATTAAATACCATTACCAGTGTTTAGTTTAGTGGTCCTGACCAGCAATGCTACTTAATGAAACAGAAGAAAATACCAGAATGCATCATATGTAAAAAGAGTAAGTATTATTTCATAAAATTTGTGTGTGTCTGTGTGTACACATATGTATGAGTGTTTAAGTTATGACATAAAACAAATTTCTTATTGTGGGTCACAGTCAAAGTTTAAAAGCCACTGATACATGGTAATATTATTTAAATATTTTCCGGCATATTAGGTATATTTAAGATGTGAGTTCCAAACAAGATGCTTTATTATTTTAAGCCAACGTTTTCCAAACTTTTTTGACTGAGGTTCATTGTAAGAAACACATCTTTGTTGGTGGAGGGGTGGGACAGGGTCTAGCTCTGTTGCCCAGGCTGGATTGCAGTGGCGAGATCATGGCTTACTGCAGCCTCAAACTCCTAGGCTCAAGCGATCCTCCCACTAGAGCACCAGGTTGGGAAGAGTGACAGCAACCAGGGCCTCAGCCCTCCACCCCATCCCCCAGTAGCTGAGACTACAGGCTTGTGCAAGATGCTTAGCTAATGTTCGTATTTTTTGTAGAGACAGGGTTTTGCCATGTTGCCCAGTCTGGTCTCAACCTCCTCAGTTCAAATGATCTGCCTCCTTTGGCCCCTCCCAAAGTGTTGGGATTACAGGCGTGAGCCACCGCGCCCGGCCAAGAAACACATTTTTAAGTTGTAATTTCATACTCACATGCCACACACATACAACTACACAACATAAATGAAACAAAATTCATGAAACAATACTTACAACCTTACTATCTATCTGCATTGCTGTCTGATATTTCCTACTTTGTTTTTTAAAATGCTCGTCATGACCCCTTAAACTGAACTATGACTTGCTCCAAGTCTGAAAAGCACCACTGAAAGGGCAGGGAGGAATGATTGTACTTCCTGACCAGGGGGTGAGTGAGAGGAGACCGCCTGCCCAGAATACAAGGCAGTGGGAACCAAGGCCAGGCCCGGTTCTAGCAACGCTGCCGAAGCTTCCTTCAGCATTAAAGAGACTTCAGTGGGGGAGGGCAGGAGACACTATGCCAGACACCTCTTCATGCAGAATAAAAAGGCATAGTGTAGAAATGAGGACCCTTCAGTGGGCTGACCAAGGAGATTAATTGGCATTCTGAACCAAATGTGTTGCAAAGACAGACAAGAAAGCTGAGCCCTCCCAAACAGTCCAAAAATGCCCAGCAGTCAAGTTAGCCAACAAACACTCCTCCTCTCCTGCCAAGAGTTTTCAGCGCCTTTAAAATGTTCTCCAAGTTTCAGCACCAGACTCCCAGCATCCACCCAGCTGATTCCTGACTTCATGGAACAACCCCTCATTATGGATGAGGCCTCCCATTCCTCTCAATTCTGCCCTCATCCCTCCCTATCCCCACCCCCTCACTGGGGTATCAGGTTTCTAATTTCCTTTAGAGAGGTGAAAGCACTTGATTGCCACCCTCTTCCCAACCTGGTGCTCTGGTGGAGGTGAGAGTCAGAGGCTGTTCTGCAGGACACCCCACTGCCTTTCCTGGTTGTTCCCCAGAGCCACTGATACAATTTCACACAAGAAAGGAGGTGACAGATGTGAGGAGCCTGCCACCCGTCCAATCCTACTCAAGTCCTAAGCCCTTGCCCACCAATTCTGTGCATGATGATTGGACCTTTCTCTGGCTTTTCCAGAAGGGGAACACGCAAAGGTTAGGGAGCTGGATGGTCTAATTCGGGGCTATGCTCTTGTGTCATCTGCTCAACTGTCTCCTGCGTATTAGCCATGCTCCCTAACCAGCTTACAAACTTCTTGAAGGCAGGGACCAAATTCTTCTGAGTACAGGGCAGAGCTGGATACTTGGATATAGTGTCATGCCATGGTGACAAGATCCACGCCAGCAGATACAAAGGCAGACAAAGTGAGCGAGGCAGTTTCCAGGACCACGTGGTTGTGGCACAACTAAAGCAACAACAGCAGCCTCTGCGGTCTAAGGGGTCCTCGGAGGAGGAGACGGCTGAAGGTGGTGGACAGGGCTGAGGCGGGCAGAAGGCGGTTGTGCGATTTGGAGGGTGGGGGAGAATATACTGGATCAGGTGAGGTAGAGACTGGGCAGCTGGGTCGACTACAGAGGTCGAAAGTGCAGGCACTGGAGTGAAGAGTTCACAAAATAAATATTCCGGACAAGGCCACCAGGCCCAGCAGGCCTTTTCAAACACGGTGGATAAAGATTTGAAGTAGATTAATTATATATCACAACAAAAGGAGATAAAAATTTGCTAAGACTATAAATCATCTGGGAGCGTTTGGGATCGGATTCTAGTCGAGTCTGGTCACTCCCAACCAGCGATAAACCAAAGGTGGGGAGGAGGCTAAATCTGGACCCCAGCGCTCCCCGCCCGCCTCCCTTTCCTCCGAAGGCTCCCAGGAGGCAGAGGGGCGGCGAAAGCACGGAGCAGTCTTGCATCAGACGAGGGGCGGGTACGTGTTTGCTGCCTTACGAGGGCTGCCTTCCCCTCCAGCTGCCCCAGCAGCCACCAGACTGGTTGGGTCTCCGCCAGCTTCCCCCCGCCCCCCGACCCCCCCAACCCCGCCACCGCCAAGGCAGGCTAGAATCGGCGGGGCGGCCCAGAACTTGGTTGGGAAGAATCGCCAGTCCCTGGGTTCCCCGCAAAGAAGCCACTTTGGGGCCCCTCTCCCGATCGCCCCGCGCGGAGGCGGTTGGGGGTTGGGGGAGAGGCGGCGCGAGGCTGCCAGAACAATTGCGCGCTAAGGCGCTGGGGCGCCGCGCTGGCATCCCGCGCTGGCATCCGCGAGCAGCCTGCAGGACCAGTTGGAGCAGCCCGCACTTTGCAATGCTAGCGGAGGCATGCCAACGTGAAAGACGCGGTTGCAAACTAAAAGAAAAGTTTGCATCTCGCCGCCGTTTGTTCTTCCCTCTTTCTGCCTCCTCCCGCCCCCGTTCTTCTCTACCCCCCAATCTCAGGAGGCCCCGGAACTAATTGATACGGGGTGCATGCGAGGGGGGCGCGCTGGCCTGGGCGCAGCCAGCCTTTTTCCATGGAGGTTGCCCTAGAGACCTCAATTTTCTCTCTCTCGCCTTACCTGCAGCTCCGCTATCAGCTCCTCTTTGCTAAGGTTCTGCTTTTCCACCACCTGCAGCCCTCCATCTTGCAAGATCTTCCGGCAGCAAGGGTCCAGGCTGTCACTGATGAGCACTTTCCGCAGATTTGCAAAAGCCATTGCTGGAGTTGGCCTCGGAATCGGCCGCTGTGAGTAGAAGTACCTAAGCCAAGAAGCTGCGGTTCGGCCTGGCGCGCTAGAGTAACTGGGCAGTATTCTCCAGCTCCCGCTCCCCAGTCATCTCCTCCTCCTCCTCCTCTTACAGTCTCCTTTTGATTGGACGGAAATACTCAAACTCTCCGCGACTCCGCCTCCTCCTCGCGGCTCTGAGGTTGCCAAATCCCTGCCCGCTTTATTATCCTCCCGCGATGAATTTCTCCATCTCAGCCAAAGCTCTTACCTACACCTGGTGAGCATATAAAAAGCACAATTTACGCTGACTAGCTGATGCATATCTGAAATGAACGGAGAAATACACCTCATCCTGAGAGAAAAACTTCATTTTCACTTTTCCTCCTAAGGATTCATTTATTAATTCCTTACGAAATTTTTTTTGAGTGGGTAAATGTGCAAGGCACTGTGCTAGACGTTGAAGGGAATTCGACTATCAAAAAGAAAATGTCCAACAATGATAGACTGGATTAAGAAAATATGGCACATATACACCATGGAATACTATGCAGCCATAAAAAATGATGAGTTCATGTCCTTTGTAGGGACATGGATGAAATTGGAAATCATCATTCTCAGTAAACTATCGCAAGAACAAAAAACCAAACACCGCATATTCTCACTCATAGGTGGGAATTGAACAATGAGAACACATGGACACAGGAAGGGGAACATCACACTCTGGGGACTGTTGTGGGGTGGGGGGAGGGGGGGAGGGATAGCATTAGGAGATATACCTAATGCTAAATGACGAGTTAATGGGTGCAGCACACCAGCATGGCACATGTATACATATGTAACTAACCTGCGCATTGTGCACATGTACCCTAAAACTTAAAGTATAAAAAAAAAAAAGATACATCCTCTTTCCTCTGGTGGCCTAACATCCTAGAGTACCAAACACACAGACTTGGAAAGTTACGTAGTGAAAAGCAATAGGAAGCTTTCTGAGACACCAAGGAGCTGTGATTAATTTCAAATTAGTGATGCAATGAGAATTATGAGTTTATAAAAGAGCGGGGACCTGGTGCATTTAAACTAGGCATACTTTGTTAAAGTTATTTATTTCCTTTCCCTCCACTTCCTCTCTAATTATGAAAAAGAAGAAAAGGAAAACGGGATGTCAGTGTGGTTTAATTGACCAAGGAGGCACTTCTCAGCTCTTAACTCTTTTATATTTAAACCCCATAACCGACGTGCTCTCTCATGCCCCATTTTACAGAAATGTCAGAAAATTCAATTTGGGATTAAAGTCACCTAGAATCAGAAGCAGAATCAGAGATGCTCATAGTTGAATTAGAATTCAGCTTTATGGACATATCCAGTCCAACTAACCATTGTGTGTTATGTCATCCTGAGCTATTCATAACTCAAGTGCTAGATCCTTATCCTACAGAACTATGCAATATCAATTCTATAAAGTAATGAAAATTCTATACAGATAATTCCTGGGCACAAATCAGATTTTTAGACACAATGTCCTCAGTGGGTAAAAAAAAAAATTGTCTATCATGTTTGCTTGTTCGGATGAATTGTTATTCCTACATTCCAAGACTCATGAGTATTCAAATTCTCTGTCTCTCTTGAAGTGCCCAGCAGTACCCTGGAGTCTAGGGACAGACAGGGGACCTATCCCAGGAGGCTTAATGGAGGGTCTTGGGAAGCATCCATTTTTGTAACTGCTTTCCTTCAACTCCTCCCAGGGCTCACTAACTGCTTCCTTTCAGTGTAGAATCTAAACCCTGCTATCATTAACATGTAATCCCACCCTTTCACACCAAGTCAAACTTCTTGGATACTGTCTGAACGCACAACCCAGAGGGCCTCCTAAGCCTGATCACCTGTTTTCTTTATTTATTATTTATGACCCACCTACTTTTTAAACAGATCCAAGCCACACAATAAAAGACACTTCTAAACCGTTAAGAAAATAATTAACAGATTAAGAGTCCATTTCCAAGTGAAAAGGAGGGTGTGTGATAATTGTTACATAAGTCAGAAATGTTCCCTCCTTTTAAATTTCTATAGAATTAACTTCAAGTTATCTCACAGTGCCTTAAGCAATATATTTATGAACTTTTCATGTCTTGTTCCCCATGAACTCTCATTTCCTTAAATCAGAGACACGATTTTGTATACCCCCAGTAGTGCCTAGCACCATGCCTTCCACATCACAGAGGCTCAGAAGAGGTTTGATTCAAAAATTAATTTATCCAGTACCTCCTATGGGCTAGGCCCTGTGACACATAAGACACAGCCTTCTTTCCTCAAAAAGAAAAAAGAACAACATTTTAAGAAGAGTACCCCGGCATGGTGGCACATTGCTGTAGTCCTATCTACTTGGGAGGCTGAGGCAGGAGGATTGCTTGAGCCCAGGAGTTCGAGGCTGCAGTGAACCATGATTGTGCCACTGCACTCCAACCTGGGCAACAGAGTGAGACCTGTCTCTAAAAAATAATAAAAAAAATTAAAAAGGTATAGTTTAAGAATTATAAATAAAGGTGTGCTGGAGGGCTTTGGGAGCAAGGAGGAGAACCATCTCCTGAGGTGCCAGGAGGATTTCCAAGCAAGGTTGCCTTTCAGCTAACCTTTTGAAACTCATTCAAGGCAGCTACTTTGAGAGGCTCAAGGATACAGAGATAGGTAAAACATAACCTGCCTTGAAGCTGCTCATGGTTAACTGCCTAATCTTGAGAGCTGAATATGAATTAGCCGGGGGAGAAGAAATGACATTTCCAAAGGCTTAGAGTTGTGAGGAGTTGCAACATGTTCATGGCTTCTCTACCATGGCTGTGGGGGATGCCAGTGGGATACCAGGAGGTGAGACTGCAGAGGGGCCAGGGGCTGCTCATGAAGTGTCTTGCCCTGAGGAGGAGTTTAAACTTGACTCCAAAGTTAGTACAGAGGTACCGAGTGATTTTTAGAAGCGATATCATCAAATGTGTTGCTGGTCGGGCTGAGACCTGATACTGCCAATACAGATATATCCCTCACCACTACACCCCAGAATCTCCAACATCAATTGCAAACTAAGGGTTTTTCTTTGATAACTGAGGGTTGGAGTTGGGGAAATTTCTCCCTCTCCCTGTGTTATTGCATCCATCCATAAAACAGGAACTTTGGCCAGCTTGGAAGTAGTAGGAAAACAGTTCTGCCCTTCTCCTCAGACCCCTCCTTCTCTCCCTTCCTCTGGCCCCAACCCCTTCAGAAGAGAAAACCACTCTGATTAGTGAAGTTTGGGGAAAAGGTCCTAGTGCGTGCCCAGGCCAGCCCCTTTTGGCTCTCTCTTTCGAAGCTGGAAGCCTAAAATAATGTACACACTCCTGCTTCCTTGTGTGTAGTGAATCTGTCAAGGCAAGACCTACCCCTACCTAAGGTTGCAAGATGTCCAGCTGTTCCGCCTGTAACTCTGAGGATAAAGTTAATGGGGTTAAGGGGAGGAGAGTAGGAACTCTCTTTTTCTGCTTGGAGACCAGCTGTGATATCCAAACTCGAATCATAAGAAATAAAATATGTAACAAACCTGCATGTCGTGCACATGTACCCTAGAACTTAAAGTATAATAAAAAAAGAAATAAAATGATATTTTAAGATGCAGAAAATGAACTGTCATCCGTAAAACAGGCATATCTTGATTTGAATTTCAGCTTCTCAAGTTATGAACAATGTGATTTTGGGCAAATTACATTGCCCCCCTAAGACTTAGTTTTCTCCTATGTAATATGGAATGAATAGTATGATAGTGCTTACTTCATAAGGCTTTTGTAGGGATTAAATAAGGCAAAGCATACAAGTGAGTGTAATCTCTAGTGCTTGACTTTCCTTCATTCATCCACTCAATCAGTGTATATTTATTGAAACTGTAATGTGTCAGGCACTGCTGAGGGGGTTGGAAATGAAGCTTTGATTAAGACCGTCTCTGCTCTCATGGAGCTTACATTGCGTTTGAGGATAGAAAATAAATAAATAAACAAAAAATTGAACTGGATAATCTCAGGGCATATATAATAAATAATGTAAAACCAGATGATGTGAAAGACAGGTTAGGGGAGAGGAATCATAGACTTTATGATGAGGAAAGGCCTTCCTGAAAAGGTGGAGCTTGGGTTGAGACTGAAATAAGAAGAAACTGGCTATGCAAAGAATTAAAGAAAAAGAGAATTCGAGGCAGAAGGAAAAACAGAACAAGTGTGGCACATTCAAGAAACCTGCCCAAATATTTCTATAGTACTGACTATGTGCCAGGCACTGGAATAACAATGCTGAACAAGTCACATGTAGTCCCTACTCAGAGGGAACTTTTTTTTTTTTTACAAATTTAAAGAATTTTTTAATTCGTAAGAAAATTTAAAAATGTTTCTATCCCCAAAGAGAATGAATCAAGTTACATATGAATACGACAAAAAGAGAAAAACAAAGAACAGAAGAGAATGAGAGGGGAAGAAAGCAGAAGAAAGGAAAGGAGGGAGAAGAGGACAAAAAGAAATGGCTTAGCCAAGCATATCTTCACTGACAATCTTGATTAAACTTCACTTTTCTCCCCGTCGACAATTCCTTACATTTGGCTATTACCATAAATACACTCCATAGAGAATCATTCAATAAATATTGTTTGAACAAGTGGACAGTCATCTAGAAAATAAAGTCAAATCTGAATTTTATGCCAAGACAAATTTCAAATAATTTACATGTGAAATGTAAAAGCTAAAAACATAAACGGCACAAAAATCACGGAAGAATTAACTTTTTTTTTTTTTTTTTTTTTTTTGCTGGGGAGGGCAAGGCAGCCCCATCCTTCAGTACTTATTTATTTATTTATTATTTTTTTTATTATATTTTAAGTTTTATGGTACATGTGCACAACGTGCAGGTTTGTTACATATGTATACATGTGCCATGCTGGTGTGCTGCACCCATTAACTCGTCATTTAACATTAGGTATATCTCCTAATGCTATCCCTCCCCACCTCCCCCCACCCCACAAAAGGTCCCGGTGTGCGATGTTCCCCTTCCTGTGTCCATGTGTTCTCATTGTTCAATTCCCACCTATGAGTGGGAACATGCGGTGTTTGGTTTTTTTGTCCTTGCGATAGTTTACTGAGAATGATGATTTCCAATTTCATCCATGTCCCTACAAAGGACATGAACTCATCATTTTTTATGGCTGCATAGTATTCCATGGTGTATATGTGCCACATTTTCTTAATCCAGCTGTCATTGTTGGACATTTGGGTTGGTTCCAAGTCTTTGCTATTGTGAATAGTGCCGCAATAAACATACGTGTGCATGTGTCTTTATAGCAGCATGATTTATAATCCTTTGGGTATATCCAGTAATGGGATGGCTGGGTCAAATGGTATTTCTAGTTCTAGATCCTTGAGGAATCGCCACACTGACTTCCACAATGGTTGAACTAGTTTACAGTCCCACCAACAGTGTAAAAGTGTTCCTATTTCTCCACATCCTCTCCAGCACCTGTTGTGTCCTGACTTTTTAATGATCGCCATTCTAACTGGTGTGAGATGGTATCTCATTGTGCTTTTGATTTGCATTTCTCTGATGGCCAGTGATGATGAGCATTTTTTCATGTGTCTTTTGGCTGCATAAATGTCTTCTTTTGAGAAGTGTCTGTTCATATCCTTTGCCCACTTTTTGATGGGTTTGTTTGTTTTTTTCTTGTAAATTTGTTTGAGTTCATTGTAGATTCTAGATATTAGCCCTTTGTCAGATGAGTAGATTGCAAAAATTTTCTCCCAGTCTGTAGGTTGCCTGTTCACTCTGATGGTAGTTTATTTTGCTGTGCAGAAGCTCTTTAGTTTCATTAGATCCCATTTGTCAATTTTGGCTTTTGTTGCCATTGCTTTTGGTGTTTTAGACAGGAAGTCCTTGCCCATGCCTATGTCCTGAATGGTATTGCCTAGGTTTTCTCTCGGGTTTTTATGGTTTTAGGTCTAACGTTTAAGTCTTTAATCCATCTTGAATTAATTTTTGTATAAGGTGTAAGGAAGGGATCCAGTTTCAGCTTTCTACATATGGCTAGCCAGTTTTCCCAGCACCATTTATTAAATAGGGAATCCTTTCCCCATTGCTTGTTTTTGTCAGGTTTGTCAAAGATCAGATAGTTGTAGATATGCGGCATTATTTCTGAGGGCCCTGTTCTGTTCCATTGCTCTATATCTCTGTTTTGGTACCAGTACCATGCTGTTTTGGTTACTGTAGCCTTGTAGCATAGTTTGAAGTCAGGTAGTGTGATGCCTCCAGCTTTGTTCTTTTGGCTTAGCATTGACTTGGCAATGCGGGCTCTTTTTTGGTTCCATATGAACTTTAAAGTACTTTTTCCCAATTCTGTGAAGAAAGTCATTGGTAACTTGATGGGGATGGCATTGAATCTATAAATTACCTGCCCATAGGGAACTTGCAGTCTAGTGTGTGAGCATGTATGTGCTATGTGTGTAGTCTGTGTCAGAAAAGCCTCAGAGACGGTAACACTTAGGCAGAGATCTGAAGGTGAAGACAGCCAGTGAAGACCATTTAGAGGAAAGAGAATAATAAAAACAAAGTCCCTTGGGTAGGAAAGTACATGGATTTTTCTAGGAACTGACAGAAGGTCAGAACAGCAATGATATAGAGAATGTGGGTGAACATGGCAGAAGACAAGGTGGGAGACATCAGCAGGGGCCACAGCATTGAGACCATGGGAATAGTCTCGACTTTGGGAGATGCAAGTATCAGAAACCCAGTGTAAACTGGTTCAAGGAAAAAAGGGAATGTATTGGCTCAGTTGTCCAAAAAGATCAAGTGTGGACAAAAACTTGCTCAGATAGTGTCACTGGCAATCCATGTCTCTCTCACCTGTCTGTTTTCCTCTGGCTTGCTTCATTTCCAGAAAGGCAAAATGTGGCAAGAATGTCACAAGTTAGTAAAGAATATAAAATTCAGCCACATAGTCTAGCAGTTTAGCAATCCTAAAAGATTGCACTGGTTTTCTTTTTTTTTTTTTTTTTTTGAGACGGAGTTTCGCTCTGTCGCCCAGGCTGGAGTGCAGTGGCGCGATCTCGACTCACTGCAAGCTCCGCCTCCCGGGTTCACGCCATTCTCCTGCCTCAGCCTCCCGTGTAGCTGGGACTACAGGCGCGCGCCACCATGCCCGGCTAATTTTTGTATTTTTAGTAGAGACGGGGTTTCACCGTGTTGCACTGGTTTTCTAATAATTGCCACAAAATGTCCAGACCTTATCCTTATCAGATCCCCCTGGGCCACATATCTGTCCTTGGATTAGTCACAGTGCCCAGGAGGATGAATATGCAGATTTGTCAGTCCTGAATAAAGCAACCACTTCAGATCTGAGGAAAGAATTCATCTATCTGAAGTATACACTAAAATTGTAAGAAAAGTGGGTCCCCAGAGGAAAATTCAGGAAGCTGAAAGAAGGGAAATGGGGATTGGAGGACAGGCAAGGAACACCAACATTGACTACTCCACCATGGTGAAGAAGTTTAGATTTAATTCTAAGTAGATGAGAAACAATTGATGGGTTAATTATAAGGAGGGGACTAATACTAAGTTTTTTTACAGAGCACTCTACCTTAACACAGAAGCTACATTTCACAGTGTTTTCATGTTTTCATTATCACAATGACGATGATCATGGTGAGCAGGGAGGTGATTCCCTTGTGGGGCACATGAAAAGACAGGATAAGACACACCTATAACTTGAAAAGGCAACTCTCTGATAGTGAAAACTAAGAATCAATGAATCATGAAGGAAGTTAACCATCCAAGAAAGTCACCTATCCTGAGAGAAGGCAGATGCCGAAAAAGGGTTTGAGGAGACACCAGAACAAAAGAGACTATTTCATAAAAATATAATTGAACATTAAAAAATCCTGTAACATAATGAATTATAATTTTTTTCTTCGGAAAGAATATATTAATAGAAAGGGCTGGTTGGCATATTCAACAAAAATGAGCCAAGGAAAGTCTTGGCTTTTACTCAGCACTGTTCCAAGAGAAAGAAAGGAAGATCGTGCGTGTGGCAGACAGGGGTCTTGTGGTCATTAGTGAGTTCTACTTTGATGTGGTACAGAGGGAATTCATCAGATGTTATCATAGTCTGTACAAAAACATGCCTCCTGATTCTACAACTCCCTTTCTTTGCCACGCTTCTGAGTGGTTGTTTTCCAGATATCCTGATGCCAGTAAAGAGCTGCTGGGTGATCTGTTTCCCACCAGTTACCATTGTCTTTAAGTCTTGTGGCAAAAGGAGAAAACAGGCAAGGCTACAAAATGGTTTAAGGGCTCCCTGTCTGCAGGGAAATGCTGCTCAGGCACCCCAGCCAGGCAGTACAGGAGAGGGAAACTGGTGCGTGGTCACTAGATGGGCAAGCTCCACCCTCACACCACTGAACATGGTGGCTGTTTTGGTGTGTATACTAATATCATGTGAGTTGGTCTGAAACTCTGCTCAACACGAAGGGCTCTGATAGAATCACATTCTTAAATTTATTGATCTGAGCTGTTGCCTTGGAAGTCTCATAATCAGAGAGCTTTCTCATCTCAAGTTGAAGTTCTTCCCTTCAACCATTGTGCCTCAAAACCTGCTATGGTCACTGAATCCAACAAGAATCTAATGAAAGCTACAAACCCTCTGAACTTCTAAGCTGTGTATTCAGTTTTGAGGATACATATACCTCCTGAAACCTGCTCATGGGCCTCCTAGGATCCCATGAACCTTTTATTGGAATTCCATATGTTATATGGTTTAGGCATTGTAACAGATGCAAAATAGGCCTAGAAGTATGTAAACCAAAAACTATCTGAGACAGTTCTCAATCAATTTGGAAGCTTATTTTGCCAAGGTTAAGGACATGCCTGGAAGACAAGAACCTGGAAACGGAGAAACAGTCTGTACTTTGTGCCTTTCTCCCAAGATGATTTTGAGGGCTTTGATATTTAGCGGGGAAAAGTGGACTGGAGGGGAAAAAGGGAGGGTATGGTAATCCACATGCTGCAAGATAAAGGGAGCAGGGAGGGGAAGAGTCAATTCTGTTTACATCTGGCACCCAGTTAGTAAATGCACAACAGGCAACACAAATCCTTGATTTCTATCTGTCATTAATATGACATTCAAGCCTTTTTGTGTTGCTGTTTCTAAACTTAATATAATAGTTTAGAGATTGAAGGACTTTAGATTATATTTTGAAAGATTCAAAGGACTACAACACAATTAGAAACACCTTCTTAACATGGTGGCAGGAGGGAGACAGAGAGAGTGAAGGGGAAAGTGCTACACACTTTTAAACAACCAGCTTTTGTGAGAAGTCATTCACTGTCATGAGAATAGCAAAGAGGAAGTCCACTCCCATGATTCAGTCATCTCCCACCAGGCCACTCCTCCAACACATGGGGATTACACATCAACATGAGATGTTGGTCGGGGCACAAAGCCAAACCATATCATCCTGCCCCTAGCCGCTCCCAAATCTCATGTCCTTCTCACATTTCAAAATACAATCATGCCTTCCCAACAGTCCCCCAAAGTCTTAACTCATTCCAGCATTAATTCAAAAATCCAAGTCCAAAGTCTCATCTGAGACAAGGCAAGTCCCTTCTGCTTATGAGCCTGTAAAATCAAAAACAAGTTAGTTACTTTCAAGATACAATGAGGGTACAGGCATTGCATAAATGCTCCCATTCTAAATGGGAGAAATTGGACAAAACAAAGTGGCTACAGGCCACCTGCAAATCCAAAATCCAGCAGGACAGTCATTAAATCTTAAAGCATCAAAATGATCTCCTTTGACTTCACGTCTCACATCTAGGCCACAATGATACAAGGGGTGGGCTCCCAAGGCCTTAGGCAGCTCTACACCTGTTGCTCTGCAGGATACAGCCCTGGCAGCAGTTTGCACAGGCTGTCATTGAGTGTCTGTGGCTTTTCCAGGAGCATGGTGCAAGCTGTTGTTGGATCCACCATTCTGGGTTCTGGAGGACAATGGCCTGCTTCTCAAAGCTTCACTAGGCAGTGCCCAGTGGGGACTCTGTGTGGAAGGTCCAACCCCACATTTCCCTTCTGCACTGCTCTAGCAGAGGTTCTCCAGGAGGGCTCTGCCTTTGCAGCAAACTTCTGCCTGGACATCCAGGCATTACCATACATCCTCTGAAATCTAGGTGGAGATTCCTAAACCTCAACTCTTGACATCTGTGTACCTGCAGACCCAACACCTTGTGGTAGCTGCCAAAGTTTGGGGCTTGCACCCTCTGAAGTCATGGCCTGAGATGTAACTTGGTCCCTTTTAGCCACAGCTGGGACACAGGGCACCAAGCCCCAAGACCACACAAAGTAGAAAGGCCCTGGTGCCCTGTGTCCTAGGCCTTTGGTTCTGTGATGGGAGGGGCTGCTGTGAAGACCTCTGACATGCCCTGGAGACATTTTTTCCATTGTTTTGGCAATTAACATTTGGTTCCTCATTACTTACAAAATTTCTGCAGCCAGCTTGAATTTCTCCTCAGAAAATTGGTTTTTCTTTTCTATCACATTGTCGGGCTGCAAATTTTTGGAACTTTTATGCTCTGTTTCCCTTTTAAATATAAGTTCCAATTCCAAACCATATCTTTGTGAATACATAAAACTGAATGCTTTTAACAGCAGTCAAGTCACCTCTTGAATGCTTAGAAATTTCTTCCACCAGACGCCCTAAATCTTTTCTCTTAAGTTCAAAATTCCACAGATCTCTAGGGCAGGGGCAGTCTCTTTGCTAAAACATAGCAAGGGTCACCTTTATTCCAATTCCTAACAAGGTCCTCATCTCCATCTGAGACCACCTCAGCCTGGACTTCATTATCCATATTACTATCAGCATTTTGGTCAAAATTATTCAACAAGTCTCTAGGAAGTTCCAAACTTTCCCACATCTTCTTGTCTTTTTTTGAGCCCTCCAAACTGTTCCAACCTCTGCCTCTTACCAAGTTCCAAAGTCTCTTCCACATTTTCAGGTATCTTTATAGCAGTGTCCCACTCCTGGTACCAATTTACTGTAATAGTCCACTTTCACACTACTATAAAGAACTACCTGAGACTGGATGATTTATGAGGAAAAGAGGGTTAATTGACTCATAGTTATGCTTAACAGGAAGCATGACTGGGAAGCCTCAGGAAACTTACAATCATGGTGGAAGGTGAAAGGGTGAAACACCTTCACATGATGTCAGGAGAGAGACAGAATGAAGAAGAAAGCACTACACACTTTTAAACAACCAGATCTCATGAAAACTAATTCACTATCATGAGAACAGCAAGGGGTAAGTCCACCCCCATGATTCAATTACCTCCCACCAGGCCCCTCCTCCAACACATGGGCATTGCAATTTGAAACGAGATTTGGGTGGGGACACAGAGCCAAACCATATCATCAAGTATCTATTTCCTGGAATGATTAACTGATTAAGGATGCCTGAGGCCAAAGTTGAGCAAGATAGAAAATGTATCCTATCCCCAAGCCAGCTCAAGCGGCTGGATTTTTAGTCTTTGGAGTTTGGCACTATAGGCAAAAAAATTTGAAAGAGCTATTTAAGGAGGTGTCCCTGAGGCATAGGGAATGCTGCTTAGGTGTACCTATGTAGTAGAGAGGAGAGAGGTGAGGGAATGCATTGTACTCCACTCTTCCATTCCTTCTTTCCACTGGAGGGAAGTTCAGATTTTCCCTCTGAAGGTTCAAGTCTGATTCTGTTGAAGTTAATTGACAATAGACAGAGCAACAGGGAAAAAAGGCATGCAATCTTATTAACATGCATACACACAGTGAAAAAGCAGGAAAATTATTATCCAATAACCTAATGGGAAGAGATGGAGAATGTAGGCAATTCTTTTGAGGTATAGTAAATGATTATTAGAGAGAATGAATGGACTCAGGAGACAGAAATTAACTGGTAGAATGCGAATGAGCCTGAGAGATAGACTAAAGTGAAATTAATCAAATAATCACACAAATGAGAATATATTTATAACCTAGGATAAATGTACTGCAGAATTGGTTCTTTGAGAGTTTTTAACAAAAGGACTTAATCAAGACTTGTGGAAGAAGGAGGAAGAAGAGAATCAAGGTTTCTTTGAGGGAATGAAGATCCAGATGATATCTGAAGAAAGCTGAGATATTAACTAGCCCTCTGAACCTTTCGTGGGGAAGAGACACAAAGGGGGAAAGAGTGCTCCAGGCAGGAGGAAACAGTGCAAGTGCAGATCCTTTGGGGTGGGAGAATGGGAAGTGATCATGGAATGTTCATGAAACTGAAAGAAGGCCAATGTGGCCAGAGTCCAGAGAGGAGGGTATGCACAGGTATGCACAGACTGTCATTCTAGTACCTCCAGGACTGGTGACTGTGTCACTGACAGAGATTGTTGTATCATCACAGTGACCATCAGCAGAGAAGCAGAAAGGAGGCAAACTCAGCTATGTAGGCAAGTGGGGCAAGAACCAGGAAATTCAGACTTTCACTGTTAATATAATGTAAGAACGTGGATGTTACATCCAAATGCAAGGATCTTCTGTAGTTTGAGGTGTAGTCCTCTGTCACAGCATTGAAGATTCAATCATTGTCATCAATGCATAGAGAAGATGCATTTTGATCCCTTGATGCCACTAGGATCTTAGGCAGGACTGGGTTGGAAGAAGGCCCTGGCACTGTCACTCCTTTGATAATTGCCATGCACATAGAAAGTGGAGTTCAAGACAAAATGAGCATCTCTAAGAAGACACTAGGTAGAAAGTTTCTTCCCATTCCATTTCTGTCATTCCTCAAGATGAATCAGAAAGACCTATGGAGAGCAGAGGTACTTGCTGCAAAAGGTACTTTCCTGCAAATCTTTACCATCCCACCCCCGCACCCCCAAAAATTCCAGGCTCTAAAGTCAGGCTTCCTCAACACATATCAAGTCCAAGATACTTCTATAGCTCAGTACACATGAGATTTCAGAATACAAACATATATATATATATACACAAATATTATATATATGGATGAAATTAGTTATAAATTCAAAGTCCCCATTTATTGTTTGCGTTGATTGTACTGGAGGCATTAATCTTTCATCTTTTCCAAGTTCTTCTAGTTTTATTGCTTTTCCAGACAGCAAACTCTCCTCTCCATTCCTTATCCTGATCTTGGAATTACTCTTCTCTCTTTTTAGGTTGCCTTCTCATACTTTCAGGCCGCAGTTGCCCTCTTTCCAAGCCTTCATGTCCTCAAAGAGGCAGCATCCTTTTCTAACCAGGCTCCAGAGCCTATTCAGTGACTTTTGATAAAACATTTAACATTACATTTTAGGGCAATCTGGAATAATTCCTTGACTAACCTACTATCATCTAGACTCATTCTTCTGTATTGGATCCCTAATCTCTTACTTGTATTTTGGGGAGTGAGAAGGCCTGGGGCAAAAATGGGTAGCTACCTGCAATTCTACTATCAACTTTGAATCTGTTTTAGTAAAAGATCTTAGTAACACATGCTCACTAAAGTACAAATGACTGATATAATTTTAATATAACTTCTCTCACAGTTATTTGTATGCACGTTTCATCTATTCAAATAAGATCTTATATTTATGTATGAATTATATATTTCATAAAATAACAATAAATTGGTAATGTAGAACAGACTGATATTAAGAGCACTATTTCCAAAATGAGAAAATTGAGGCACAAAGAAGCTGCATAGGACTTCTACTTCCAGCCAAATAGAGTAACAGAGTCCAGGTTTACCCTCCTACCTGAAACAACTAAAACAATGGACAAAATGCATAAAGCAATTGTCATTCGGTGACAAAAGACAGAGATGTCTGAGACACAAGAAATACACAGGGTAAATCCTATGATTGCCCCAGCTTACTGTACAGAGAGAGTTTCCAGGCTACAGGGCAGGAATGAGGAAACCTGGTGGAGTCCACTGGTCTCCCTGACTTAAAGAAATCAAGCTGTGTGATAGAGAATGCTGCAGGGAAGAGAGGTAAAAATCGAGATAATTCTGGCGATCAGCAGAGGAACCCCTTAGAGTTTTCAGCTGAGACTGACCATAGCATGCATGTGTTGACACTACTGGAGGCCAAGGAAAAACCTGCAAGTATTAGAGGGAGCAATCTCTAAAGCTCACACAGGCAAGGAAACATTCCTATTCTCACCAGCCAGACTGAAAACTGAAACCCTCATAATTTATGGGCCACTGGGCCTTGCCTCAGTAAAAGGGAAAAATTAGCTCCAAACTAAGCATGGCTTACCTCCCGTCTAACAAAGCTTGAAAGAAATTCCTGAAAGGATCAAACTGTTCCCAATTAACTTGACTATGTCCCAGAACAACTTGAGAATAGAAATATATGTATAAATACAATGAAAGCCAGCATGCAACAAGATAAAATTCTCAATATATAGAATTCAATTTTAAAAATTACCAAACATGCGGTTCCAAGATGGAAGAACAAGAACAGCAATGGTCTGCAGCTCCCAGTGTGATAGACCCAGAAGATGGGTGATTTCTGCATTTCTAACTGAGGTACCTGGCTCATCTCATTGTGACTGGTGGGACAGTGGGTGCAGCCCACAGAGGGCCAGCTGAAGCAGGGCAGGGTGTCGTCTCACCCGGGAAGCACAAGGGGTAGGAGGATTTCCCTTTCCTAGCCAAGGGAAGCTGTGACAGATTGTACCTAGAAAAACGGGACACTCCTACCCAAATGCTGCACTTTTCTCAAGGTCTTAGCAACTGGCAGACAAGGAGATTCTCTCTTGTGCCTGGCTGGACAGGTCCCATGCCCACAGAGCCTTGCTCACTGCTAGTGCAGCAGTCTGAGATCCTACTGCAAGGCAGCAACCTGGCTGCGGGAGGGGTGTCCGCCATTGCTGAGGCTTGAGTAAGTAAACAAAGCTGCGTGAAGCTCAAACTGGGTGGAGTCCACTGTTGCTCAGCAAGGCCTACTGCCTCTAGAGTCCACCTCTATGGGCAGGGCTTAGCTGAACAAAAGGCAGCAGACAACTTCTGCAGATGTAAACGTCCCTGTCTAACAGCTCTGAAGACAGCAGTGGTTCTCCCAACATGGCATTTGAACTCTGAGAATGGACAGACTGCCTCCTCAAGTGGGTCCCTGACCCTTGTGTAGTCTAACTGGGAGACACATCCCAGTAGGGGCCGACAGACACCTCATATAATAGGGTGCCCCTCTGGGACAAAGCTTCCAGAGGAAGGATTAGGCAATAATATTTGCTGTTCTGCAGCATCTGCTGGTGATACCCAGGCAAACAGGGTCTGGAGTGGACCTCCAGCAAACTCCAACAGACCTGCAGCTGAGGGGTCTGACTGTTAGAAGGAAAACTAACTAACAGAAAGGAATAGCATCAACATCAACAAAAAGGACATCTACACCAAAACCCCATCTGTAGGTCACCATCATCAAAGACCAAAGGTAGATAAAACCACAAAGATGGGGAGAAACCAGAGCGGAAAAGCTGAAAATTCTAAAGGTCAGAGCACCTCTTCTCCTCCAAAGGATCGTAGCTCCTCACCAGCAACAGAACAAAGCTGGATGGAGAATGACTTTGACAAGTTGACAGAAGTAGGCTTCAGAAGGTTGGTAATAACAAACTTCTCTGAGCTAAAGAAGCATGTTCTAACCCATTGCAAGGAAGCTAAAAACCTTGGAAAAAGGTTAGACGCATGGCTAACTAGAATAAACAGTGTAGAGAAGACCTTAAATGACCTGATGGAGCTGAAAACCATGGCACGAGAACTTCATGGCACATGCACAAGCTTCAATAGCTGATTCGATCAAGTGGAAGAAAGGGTATCACTGACGGAAGATCAAATTAATGAAATGAAGCAAGAAGATAAGTTTAGAGAAAAAAGAGTAAAAAGAAATGAACAAAGCCTCCAAGAAATATGGGACTATGTGAAAAGACCAAATCTACGTTTGATTGGTGTACCTGAAAGTGACAGGGAGAATGGAACCAACCTGGAAAACACTGCAGGATATTATCCAGGAGAACTTCCTCAACCTAGCAAGGCATGCCAACATTCAAATTCAGGAAATACAGAGAACACTACAAAGATACTCCTTGAGAAGAGCAACCCCAAGACACATAATTGTCAGATTCAACAAGGTTGAAATGAAGGAAAAAATGTTAATGGCAGCCAGAGAGAAAGGTTGGGTTACCCACAAAGGGAAGCTCATCAGACTAACAGCAGATCTCTCTGCAGAAACTCTACAAGCCAGAAGAGATTGGGGCGAATATTCAACATTCTTAAAGAAAAGAATTTTCAACCCAGTATTTCATATCCAGCCAAACTAAGCTTCATAAGTGAAGGAGAAATAAAATCCTCTACAGACAAGCAAATGCTGAGAGATTTTGTCACCACCAGGCCTGCTTTACAAGAGCTCCTGAAGGAAGCACTAAACATGGAAAGGAACAACTGGTACCAGCCACGGCAAAAACAGGCCAAATTGTAAAGACCATCGATGCTAAGAAGAAACTGCATCAATTATTGGGCAAAATAACCAGCTTAACATCATAATGACAGGGTCAAATTCACACATAGCAATATTAACCTTAAATGTAAATGGGCTAAATGCTCCAATTAAAAGACACAGACTGGCAAATTGGATAAAGAGTCAAGATCCATCAGTGTGCTGTATTCAGGAGACCCACCTCACGTGTAAAGACGCACATAGGCTCAAAATAAAGGGATCTACCAAGCAAATGGAAAGCAAAAAAAAGCAGGGGTTACAATCCTACTGCCTGATAAAATAGACTTTAAACCAACAAAGATCAAAAGAGACAAAGAAAGCCATTACATAATGGTAAAGGGATCAATTCAACAAGAAGAGCTAACTGTCCTAAATATATATGTACCCAATACAGGAGCACCCAGATTTATAAAGCAAGTCCTTAGAGACCTACAAAGAGACTTAGACTCCCACACAATAATACTGGGAGATTTTAACACCCCACTGTCAATATTAGACAGATCAATGAGACAGAAGGTTAACAAGGGTCCAAGACTTGAACTCAGCTCTGCACCAAGTAGACCTCATAGACATCTACAGAACTCTACACTCCAAATCAACAGAGTATACGTTCTTCTCATCACCACATAGCACTTATTCTAAAATTGACCACATAGTTGGAAGTAAAGCACTCCTCAGCAAATGTAAAAGAACAGAAATCACAACAAACTGTCTCTCAATCAAATTAGAACTCAGGATTAAGAAACTCACTCAAAACTGCACAACTACATGGAAACTGAACAACCTGCTCCTGAATGACTACTGGGTAAATAATGAAATGAAGGCAGGAAGAAAGATGTTCTTTGAAACCAATGAAAACAAAGACACAACGTACCAGAATCTCTGGGACACATTTCGAGCAGTGTGTAGAGGGAAATTTATAGCACTAAATGCCCACAAGAGAAAGAAGAAAAGATCTAAAATTGACACCCTAACATCACAATTAAAAGAACTAGAGAAGCAAGAGCAAACACATTCAAAAGCTAGCAGAAGGCAAGAAATAACTAAGATCAGAGCAGAACTGAAAGAGACACAAAAAACCCTTCAAAAAATCAACGAATCCAGGAGCTGGTTTTTTGAAAGGATCAACAAAATTAATAGACTCCCAGCAAGACTAATACAGAAGAAAAGACAGAAGAATCAAATAGATGCAATAAAAAATGATAAAGGGGATATCACCACCAATCCCACAGAGATACAAACTACCATCGGAGAATACTATAAACATCTCTACACAAATAAACTAGAAAATCTAGAAGAAATGGATAAATTCCTGGACACACACACCCTCCCAAGACTAAACCAGGAAGAATTTGAATCTCTGAATAGGCCAATAACAGGCTCTGAAATTGAGGCAATAATTAATAGCCTACCAATCAAAAAAAGTCCAGGACCTGATGGATTCACAGCCGAATTCTATCAGAGGTACAAAGAGGAGCTGGTACCATTCCTATCAATAGAAAAAGAGGGAATCCTCCCTAACTCATTTTATGAGGCCAGCATCATCCTGATACCAAAGCCTGGCAGAGACACAACAAAAAAAAGAGAATTTTAGACCAATATCCCTGATGAACATCGATGTGAAAATCCTCAATAAAATACTGGCAAACCGAATCCAGCAGCACATCAAAAAGCTTACTCACCATGATCAAGTTGGCTTCATCCCTGGGATGCAAGGCTGGTTCAACATACACAAATCAGTAAACATAATCAATCACATAAACAGAACCAATGACAAAAAACACATGATTATCTCAATAGATGCAGAAAAGGCCTTTGACAAAATTCAACAGCCTTCATGCTAAAAGCTCTCAATAAACTAGGTACTGATGGAACGTATCTCAAAATAATAAGAGCTATTTATGACAAACCCACAGCCAATGTCATACTGAATGGGCAAAAGCTGGAAGCATTCCCTTTGAAAACCAGCACAAGACAAGGATGCCCTCACTCACCACTCCTATTCAACATAGTGTTGGAAGTTCTGGCCAGGGCAATCAGGCAAGGGAAAGAAATAAAAGGTATTCAATTAGGAAAAGAGGAAGTCAAATTGTCCCTGTTTGCAGATGACATGATTGTATATTTAGAAAAACCCATCATCTCAGCCCCAAATCTACTTAAGCTGATAAGCAACTTCAGCAAAGTCTCAGGATACAAAATCAATGTGCAAAATCACAAGCATTCCAGGCTGGACGCGGTGGCTCACGCCTGTAATCCCAGCACTTTGGGAGGCCAAGGCAGGCGGATCACCAGGTCAGGAGATTGAGACCATCCTGGTTAACACGGTGAAACCCCGTCTCTACTAAAAAAAAATACAAAAAAAGTAGTTTGGTGTTGTGGTGGGCACCTGTAGTCCCAGCTACTTGGGAGGCTGAGGCAGGAGAATGGTGTGAACCTGGGAGGCGGAGCTTGCAGTGAACCGAGATCACACTACTGCACTCCATCCAGCCTGGGTGACAGAGTGAGACTCCATCTCAAAAAAAAAAAAAAAAAAAAAAAAAATCACAAGCATTCCTATACACCAATAACAGAGAAACAGAGAGCCAAATCATGAGTGAACTCCCATTCACAATTGCTTCAGAGAGAATAAAATACCTAGGAATCCAACTTACAAGGGATGGGAAGGACCTCTTCAAGGAGAGCTACAAACCACTGCTCAATGAAATGAAAGAGGACACAAACAAATGGAAGAATGTTCCATGCTCATGGATAGGAAGAATGAATATTGTGAAAATGGCCATACTGCCCAAGGTAATTTACAGATTCGATGCCATCCCCATCAAGCTACCAATAACTTTCTTCACAGAATTGGAATAAAGTACTTTAAAGTTTCTGTGGAACCAAAAAAGAGCCCGCATTGCCAAGACAATCCTAAGCCAAAAGAACAAAGCTGGAGGCATCACTCTACCTGACTTCAAACTATACTACAAGGCTACAGTAACCAAAACAGCATGGTACTGGTACCAAAACAGAGATATAGACCGATGGAACAGAACAGAGGCCTCAGAAATAACACCACACATCTACAACCATCTGATCTTTGACAAACATGACAAAAACAGGAAATAGGGAAAGGATGCCTTATTTAATAAATGGTGCTGGGAAAACTGGCTAGCCATATGCAGAAAGATGAAACTGGATCCCTTCCTTATACCTTATACAAAAATTAATTCAATATGGATTAAAGACATAAATGTTAGGCCTAAAATCATAAAACCCTAGAAGAAAAGCTAAGCAATACCATTCAGGACATAGGCATAGGCAAGGACTTCATGACTAAAACACCAAAAGCAAAGGCAACAGAAGCCAAAATAGACAAATGGGATCTAAATAAACTAAAGAGCTTCTGCATGGCAAAAGAAACTACCATCAGAATGAACAGGCAACCTATAGAATGGGAGAAAATCTTTGCAATCTACCCATCTGACAAAGGGCTAATATCCAGAATCTACAAAGAACTCAAACAAATTTACAAGAAAAAAACAAATCACCCCATCAAAAAGTAGACAAAGGATATGAACAGACACTCCTCAAAAGAAGACATCTATGCGGCCAACAGACACATGAAAAAATGCTCATCATCACTGGCCATCAGAGAAATGCAAATCCAAATTACAGTGAGATACCATTTCATGCCAGTTAGAATGGCGATCATTAAAAAGTCAGGAAACAACTGGTGGTGGAGAGGATGTGGAGAAATAGGGCCACTTTTACACTGTTTGTGGGAGTATAAATTAGTTCAACCATTGTGGAAGACAGTGTGGTGATCCCTCAAGGATCTAGAACTAAAAATACCATTTGACCCAGCAATCCCATTACTGGGTATATACCCAAAGGATTATAAATCATGCTACTATAAAGACACATGCACACGTATGTCTACTGGGGCACTGTTCACAATAGCAAAGACTTGGAACAAACCCAAATGTCCATCAGTGATAGACTGGATTAAGAAAATGTGGCACATACACCATGGAATACTACGCAGCCATTAAAAAGGATGCGTTTATGTCCTTTGCAGGGACACGGATGAAGCTAGAAACCATCATTCTCAGCAAACTATCACAAGGACAGAAAACCAAACACCACATGTTCTCACTCATAGGTGGGAATTCAACAATGAGATCACCTGGACACAGGGTGGGGAACATCACACACCGGGGCCTGTTGGGGGGTGGGGGCCTGGGGGAGGGATAGAATTAGGAGAAATACCTAATGTAAATGACTAGCTGATGGGTGCAGCAAACCAACACGGCACATGTATACCTATGTATCAAGCCTGCACGTTGTGCACCACATGTACCCTAGAACTTATAGTATAATAATAGTAATAATAATAAAAATTACCAAACATTCAAGGAAGCAGGAACATGTGACCCATGATGAAGAGAAAAAAAATCAATAGGTGGAAATCAACCTAGAACTTGACACAGATGACAGAATTAGTAGGCAAGAACATAAAAACTATTACGATAACCATATTTCATATACTTAAAATACCAAAAGGAATATTGGGCCGGGAATGGCGGCTCACGCCTGTAATCCCAGCACCTTGGGAAGCCGTGGCGGGCAGATCACCTGAGGTCAGGAGTTGGAGACCAGCCTAGCCAACATGGTAAAACCCTGTCTCTACTAAAAATACAAAAAATTAGCCGGGCGTGGTGGTGGGTGCCTGTAAGCCCAGCTACTCAGGAGGCTGAGGCTGGAGAATTGCTTGAACCTGGGAGGCGGAGGTTGCAGTGAGCCAAGATCGTGCCACTGCACTCCAGCCTGGGCAAGAAGAGCAGAACTCTGTCTCAAAAAAAAAAAAAAAAAGAAAAAGAAAAGAAAAAAAGAAACATTGAACATGTTAAGTACAGACAGGAAAGGATATATAAAAGACTCAAATCAAACTTCTAGAGATGGAAGCTACAATGCCTAAGATGAAAAATCACTGGATGGGGATAACAGCAGATTAGACATTATGGAAGAAAAGGCTGGTGAACTTGAAGATCTATCAATATAAATGACCCAAAATGAAACACATCGAAAAAATGATAAGAAAAAATAAGCGGAGGATCAGTGAGTTGCTGGAAAATATCAAGTGGCCTAATATCAATGCAATTCGAGTCCCCAGAAGAGATCAGGGGACAAAGTAGGAGAAAAAAATTTGAAGTAACAATAGCCAAAAGTTTTTCAAGTTTGTTGAAAATTGTAAATCAACAAATCCAGAATCTCAGTAAACCCCAAGCATAAAATATAGGAAAAAAGACACCAATGATCACATAATAAAGTTGCTAAAAAGCAAACAAAAATTAAAATAGGGACAAAGGAAAAATCTTAAAAGCAGCCAGCGACCAAAAAAAAAAAACAAAAACAAAAACAAAAAACAAAAACAAACAAACAAAAAACCATGGTAAATATAGAAGAATAAAGATAAGAATGATTGCAGATTTCTCATCAATGCAAGCCAGTAGAAAGTGGATTAACATTCTTAAAAGTACTGAAAAGGAAAAAAGAAACTCTATCAACAAGTATTCTATAACCAGCAAAAACACCTTTCAAAAATAAAGATAACTTTCTCAAACTACAAATGCTGAAGGAATTAATCACCAGCACACTTTCACTATTAAAAAAAAATTTAAAGGAAGCCTTTCAGCAAAGTAAAATGATACCAAATGGAGATCTAGATCCACACAAAGGAATGAAGAGTCCCAGTAATGCTAACTATGTGAGCAAATACAATGATGACTTGCCCAAAGTCAGAAAGTGGTAGAGCTGGGACTTGAGTTCAGGGCTTTTGACACCAAGGTCAATCTTAACCCACTCCACTGCAGCTGCATTTAACACTGCCATTAATTTAAATTAACAAACACTGATTACATTCTTATTCTATACAAAGTTGGTACAACATTGGTAGTGTTGGGGGGGAATCTAAGAGTAAATGAAGTACATGCTCTGCTCTCAAAGGAGCTTATCTTCTATTCCGAGTATCAGAGATAAAAAGGAAAGGGAAATTTAGGGAAGAGTGTGGGAAGTTCTGAATATGTCCTGAGAGTGCAACTCCACCATCAAAATTAGAATGCTAATAAAGTGAGTCCACTTTCAAATCAAGAGCAGGGCCATTTCATCCATTAAGGATTACAGGTCCAAGAGCCCAAGATCTGTGATGGTCTTAAAACACTACTCATTGATAATTCAAGCTGAGTCTGGCATTAGAAGATTTAAATAAAAACACAACACCTATTCTTTCATTTGACAAACATTTATTGCCATGGACTGTAAAGAATGCTGATAATGTAAAAACTGGAACAAGACACAGTGTTACTATGATCAGTATTATCAAGCATCAACAAAGTGGAATGGGCCACATGCAGCTGGTTAGCTCAGAGGAGGGCTAGATCACTGGGGGCTAGCATTCCTGGAAGGCTTTATGAGCTGAGCCTTAAGAAGGATAGACTAGAACAGGCAGTGAAGCAGGATGAACTGGTCCAGGGGGTTCTGAGCACAAGTGTGCAAGCAGCAATGTGCATAGGAGGTTGGTGGAAGTGAAGAGAAGGACCCTAGTCTGCCTGTTGAAAAAAGGAAAGAAATGAGATTAGGTTCAAAGAGTAGGCTATGGAGAAGCTTTTAATTTAGAGATTGACAGGGGGCTCAAGCTATTAATAGGGGAAGAAAAGACAAGCTAACAGGTAAATTCTAGAATCAAATCCAAGATTACATATTCATTAGTAACTTGCTTCAACTAACTATAACCAGTTATTAGACAATGTATAATTTATACAGCAAGCAGTATGTTTTTTATTCTGCAGGGACAAACAGGGACTCTAAGGAAATTAGATTGGCAGATAAAGTATAAATTGGCAATCTAGTAAACAGAAATCATCCCAACAACTCGACTCCATGCTGACTTAACAGACTGAGATGTTATCCATTCAGTTAGGCCACAGTGGCTATATGATCTTTGATCAATTACTTCTCCTCTATGTGTCTCAATGTCTTCATCTGAAAAACAGAGTTGTTGTAAACATGTCCTGAAAAAAAAATGGATGTGACAATGCTTTGAAAACATAGTTCCTAAACAACTGTTATTTGTTATTATTATACAGTAATAAGGACTAAGAGACATAATTCCACACCCATTCATCATTTATTATTCTGAATAAGTTTGAGAAGTATATGCTTGATATAAAGAGGGCAAACATACTCAAAGATGACCATTTTTTTTCTGTTATTTTATACCATTGTCGTTGAACCTGTTTTTCTTGCAGTCATTTTATTTATTGATCTTTCCTTTGCTACAGTGTCTCTTCTTGCTTCGTCCATGTCTACAAGATTATAAAATGTACCTCGAATTCAAGTCAAAGAAATGAAAGAGTTGAGGTGTGTGGTATGAACATTTATCTAACTATTTATTCACACTAATTGTTCAATTAAAATATTCCAGAAATTATGCAAATAAGAAAAAATCTACATCCTTAAGGAGCTCACAGTAGGAGGGCCACATAGTCATGTAAATAAATAACACTATCACAAAAGAATGTCAAAAGGGCTTTGGAGGAGGGTGCTCCTAGATGCTCTAACAGAAATCAGATTGGCTAGCTGGGAGGCAGGGCTGTGGAAGCTTCCAATGCCAGGGACCACTGGAGCAATCTAGTAAGTAAATCATGCTTTGTGCAGAGGGAATGGGATGCCTAAAAGGATCGATACATGACAAGCCATAACATATCCAGGAAACTGCAATAAGATTAGCAATTTCAGAGTATAGGTTCTAAGGGAGTAGTGATGAGTAATAATACAGGATAATGGACATCAGCCAGGTCAGGAGGAGCTGTGCAGAGGAGTATGCAGAATCAGGGGGAAAAAAGTACAGTAATGAAGGAATAGATTGCACAATAAGGTGGTGAGATTTTATCTATGATATGTAAGAGAGATTCCAGGTGTGGATGTGTTTACAGCCATTCGATTATTACATATTGAGGAGCCTTTTATCCTATTTGTATTGTGTGGTCCTTCTACTTCTCTTACTGGCCATCCCTACTGAACGTCTTTTGACCATTTCAGTGTCAATTACCTTTGTAACAAGAGTAGGATGGGGAAAAAGATCAATTAACTTTGAACATATTACTCTAATAAGCATGTGAACAAGTGAAATAGCTCTACCACTGATCATTCAAATGAATCATGTGAGGGGGTAGACCAAATAGACGTGAAGGCAATTTGTGTGCAACAGTGCCCAACAAGGGCTAGCTGTTATTATGTATGTTTTGTGTCTAGCTGCTTTCAACAGAGAAATGATAACACAGGCAGCATTTTCAATCCACTTAATACTCAAAGAACTATTACCAATAAATCTGGCAGCACAATGTAGGGAAGCAGGAAATTCACTAAAAAATCAGAAACATTGGTTTGTGAACAGCTCTAGAATGGAATGCTGTAAATAGTCATGAGTTTGGTGTAGAAGCAGAGCAGAGACAAAGAGAGAGCTTGCAAGTTAGCATCTTACCCAAACCCATAAATAATCACCCAGAGAGTGGAAAAACTGGTTTGTTGAAGTTTGGAGGACATTAATAATGCTCTGTTTCTCCAGTGATCTCTTCCCACAGGGGAACTGGCATGCTTGGCAAGCAGCCTCATTACTCACAACCCTGCTTCTGCTGGGCTGGCAAAATCCGAAGGTATCATTAAACACATATAGCGGGTAGTCTTCCCCAGACCACTCCAAGAAATCGGGTCCATTCAACAGTCAGTAAACATTTATAGAGTCTATATATGCTTGACACATAGTAAGTGCTCAATAAATGCTAGCCTCAGTTATTATAGCTCAATGTCTAGCATATGATAGGTACAGCATGATTGTTTATCATGGAAGGGATCTAGAAATAGTTACCATGTCCCTGGGACAAAACTTCTGCCACTCCATGTTCCTTCTAGGCCCTTCTAGGCCCTGCTAGGTTCCTTTTAGCAGATAGTGCTGGCTGATCACTAACCCTGTTCTTCTCCAGGGCACACTACCCTGTGGGCACAGATAGATCACATTTTCTACCCTTCCTTGGAGTTAGGTATTGTCACATGACTAAATTCTAGCCAATAGGGTGTAAGCTGAACTGATGAGGGCCAGTTCTAGTCCTGGTTCTTAAAACCTCTGTTGTAGTTTACATTTCTGTAATGATACAGTAAGATTCTGCAAGACCAACTCCTTCATACAAAACACTTATCAAATCTGGACATAAGGCAAAAAGCAATAATTAATGTACTGGAAAGTACTAGATAGAGACGAGTATACTCTTTGCTCATATCCAGAATATTTAAAGAACTCTTACAACTCAATAATAAGATGAACAACCCTATTTTTGAAATGGGCAAAATATTTGAAAAGGCATGTCATAAAGGAAAATATACAAATAGCCAATAAACATGTGAAAAGATGCTCACCTCACTAGTTAGGATCATGCAAATGAGAAATAAGATTCTACTACACATCCATTGATATGGCTAAAACTAACAACACTGACAATTCCAAGCATTGACAAAATTTGGAGCAACTAGAAGTCCCAGACATTGCTTGTGACAGTGCAAGATGGTCAGCAATTTTGGTATATAGTAGGGCCGTATCTTACAAAGTTAAACATCCACTTGTCATGTGGCCCAGTAATTCCACTTCTAGATATTTACACGAGAGAAGTTAAAGTATATGCACACAAAAGGGCATATATGCAAATCATAGCACCATTATTCATAATAGCTAACACCTGGGGCTTATCCAAACGTCAAAAAACAGTGAATGCATAAACAAATCATTGTGTATCCATACGATGAAACACTACACAGCAATAAAAATCAATGAAGAACTAATATAATGATCAACATGGATTATGCTGAACAAAGGAAGCATAACACAAAATACATGTTGTGTTCCATTTGTACGAGATTAGAGAACAGGCAAAGTTTATCTGTATTCACAGAAAGTTGCCTGGGGCTAGGGGTTTGTAAGAGGGGATCAGATGTAAAAAGGCAACAGGAAATTTTTAGGATGTTATAAAGCCTACATTTTTATTTTCATGGTGGTTATACAACTATACACAATTAGCAAAAGTTAATCAAACTGTACCATTAAATTGGGTGAATTTAATTTAAAAAAACCCTCACACAACCCTGTCTCTCCTACTCATCTGCTGGCTGATTATGGTGCCCAGAGAGACCTTGAAAACCATGTGCTGATGATGGTGGTGCCCCAATCCCCTGGGTCTCTTAATGAATGTGTGGGGCAGAGCTCTCCCCAACATTGCTGATAAAAAAAACCCATACTGGACTGGTATATGGCTGAGAAATAAATGGTTAGAGTTTTGTGTTCTTGAAATTTGGGGGGTTACAGAAGCAAAAATTCCCTTAACAAATATATATGTCTCCAAAATAAAACACACAATCAAGACCACTAATTTGTCCTTGCTCAACTCACATTATTTAACTAGAAACAAATCAGTGATAACATAAACGTCCAAATTAAGAGAAAAATTAGGTAAATTATGGCATCTCCTTCCTATATAATATTATATAGCCACTTAATAATTATGAGAACTCTCTAGTAACCTGCAAACACACTCACAATGTGAAATGAACAAAGCAAAACCCATAATTCTATCTATACTATTGTATTAGGATGCCCAGACACCTCAAACTGCGTTCATGCAAGACTTTGAACATATTTAGGCCTGTCTGAAGAGACTTACCTGGCGTATGTTTGCATGAGGTACTGAGGAACCTATTGAGTAAAAATTCATTATAAGGAAAAGAGAATCAAGTATCATAAGCTCAGCTTAGGAACAGAATCAGCAAAAAAAGAAATAGGTCGTCCTAAAAAGACTGTCAGCAATTTAATTTGCTCTCTCTCAAACTGTGGACTCACAGATGCTCAAAGGAGTATGGACTGCAATAAAAAGCCTGTAAAAACCACAAGGGCAGTTCCATCAAAATCTCCACGTTTGCACTACTTGATAGACCAGGTCCCTGATTCTAACACAGTGGACTTGCTGATCACAAGCAAGCTGACTGAGGAGTCAAATCAGCCTTTGCTTGCTGCTGGAAGAAGAATGGAAGAGGGCATCACACTGGGGCAGAGGAACCGGGCAGCTTTTGAAGTTTCTGCAGCAGCACCAGCAACAGGAGACATGCTGAAAGGGAGATGCTAAAAAGAAGAGGAAAATTGGAGATGACACATGATAGCTGGGAGGATTAGTTCCTGAGAATTCAAGAACTAGTTAGGAAGGATGTGAGGAGGACTGGAATTTCTGCAGAATGAGTAGGGCTAGAATCAGAGAAATATTGTCTGATTACTGCTAGTGTGACCTGATATCTACCCTCAGGCTGGCCTGGCCTGTATACACATAAAATCTGTCTGTGCATGTTTTGCGTGCATGAGTTCTTTTCATTATGTGTTTGAAAAATATAGACAAACATATAAAGTGTAAAACAGAACATACAAAAATTAAAACAGGCCAGGTGCAGTAGCTCATGCCTATAATCCCAACATTTTGGGAGGACAAGACTGGAGGATTGCTTGAGGCCAGGATCTCAAGACCAGCCTGCACAACATAGTGAGACCTCATCTCTGCAAAAAATAAAAAAATTTGCCGGTATAGGGGCACGAGCCTGTCATCCCAGCTACTCAGGAAGCTGAGGCAGGAGGATCATTTGAACCCAGGAGGTTGAGGCTGCAGAGAGCTGTGATTGCACCACTGCACTCCAGCTTGGGCCATAGAGCAAAATACTGTCTTGAAAAAAAAATTTAAAAGATTGTAAGATGATAGGATTATAGATAATTTTTTCTTTTGTTTTGATTTCTGTACATGTTATCATTGTTTTTTTGCAGCTCACTGCAGCCTCGACCTCCAGGGCTCAAGCAATTCTCCCGAGTAGCTGGGACCACAGAGGTGCACCACCACGCCCAGCTAACTTTTTAAGGTTTTTTTTTTTGTTTTTTTTTGGTTTTTTTTTTTTTTTTTGTAGAGACAGGGTCTCACCATGTTGCCCAGACTGGTCTTGAACTTCTGTGCTCCAGGGATCTTCCTGCCTCTGCCTCCCAGGATTATAGATGTGAGCCACCATGCCCAGCCTCATTGTTTTAATAGAATCAAATGTGATACAGAATTCAATCCTCCAGTTATTTGTTCTAAATTACTGAATAATTGATTCCTTCTGTTCTCATAGCATAGGCATTACAAGAACAGGAAGAATAAGACATTGGATTCTCTTACATTCTACAATAAACATAGATCTACTACAAAGAATATTTTGGAATTCAACGCAGGTTTATTTTTATTTATTTTTTCTTTTGTATCCCATATATCATCTCAATAGCAATTTACCATTCTCCTGGAGTTTGATTATGGCCCTTTTTATAGAAATAAATCTGAGGCAGCAAATAAAGGAAACTTTTCCTTGGCCAGCAGCGACATTGTGAGTAAGCAAAGCTTAGAATTTATTACATATCATTTCCAGTCTTGAAGCCCTGGCTAACCAGTGACTTACCTTTATGAACAACTAACATGAATCTCTTCACTCAGAGGGAAAGAAAGGCTCTCACAACCTTTAGAGATGCTACGTGTTTATAGCCAATCCTATTTAGATGAAGTCTCAGAAAATAATTCCCTGACCATTCATTCACTCATTGGGCATATATTCACTCATTCATCCAACTCATATTTCTGGGCCTGACATTCTGTTAGATGCTGGGGATAAACGGCTCCATAAAGTAAATGTTCTGAGGAAACATACAGAAATAACTAGGTATCCAAAGTATTTCATGTGTGTTGTGGAACATAGTTGAGAGAGACATTAACTTTCCCTAGGGGAAAAGAAAGGACAGTGGTCTGTCTTCCACAAGGCTCACCAGTTTTCTGGGCCACAATATCTGTTCTTATTGCCCATCCCTCACTGCTAGGATGATGCTATGTATTTAAGGTCATTTGATGGCAGCATCCATTTCCAGGTATCAGTGGTTTATATTATTTACTAACAAAATATAGTACTTAAAAAATTGAAGATTTTTTCTTACACACATAATGATCTCACCATGAGCAGTCTTAAGTTGGTAGGCAGCCTTACTCCATGAGGTCATACAGGACTCATGTCTTTCCACCTTACTGTTGCACCATCTCCTTTAGTACCACCCTTATTTTTATAATTAAAATTGCTTTTGTTGTAAGAATTTATTGTTCTTTCCCAAACAATGCCCATTTTTTTCCCAATACAAGTACACTAAAAGTATGTGCTAGAAAAGAACAGTGAAGGCAGGTGCAGTGGTGTGCACTTGTAACCCCAGCTACTTGAGAGGCTAAGGCAGGAGGATCACTTGAGCCCAGGTGTTTGAGGCTTCAGTGAGCTTTGATCATGCCATGGTACTCTAGCCTGGACAACAGAGTGAGACCCCTATCTCTTAAAAAAATAGAAAAGAACAGTGGAAAGATATTAAATGTCTTCATTTTCCTTCAGAATAAGGGTATAAGAACAACAGATTATTTTTGGTCTTAAAGGGGGCTTACAGTCTGTGATGGTTCATTTTTTGTGTTAACTTGGAAGATGTTATTGGATGAGATTAACATTTAAAACCTGGCGTGTGTTTATGGATGAGATTAACATTTAAATCCGTGAATTTTTGAGTAAGCACATTGCTCTCCATAATGTGGGTGAGCCTCATCCAATCAGTTGAAGCCAAATAGAACACAAAGGCTGGCCTCCCTGAGCAAGCAAGAATTCCCCAGCACACTGCCTTCCAGCTTTATCTGCTCCACTGGCTCTCCTGGGTCTCTACCTTGTCAGCCACTCTGCAGATTTTGGACTTGCCAGTCTCTATAATCACATGAATAATTCCTTATAATAATCTCTTTCTATTTGTGTATATTCACATCTTATTGGTTCTGCTTCTCTGGAGAATCTTGACTAATAACAAACCGAATGCTACTCTGTATAACAACATGCTATTTAACACAGAATCATTGAATCAAAATCCTTTTCTTATTGACAGGGAATACAAACAGGAATTGAACACTGTTCTAGACCTGGAAAAACTGAGATCAACTGGGATTAAATGGTATTTGGATAAATCCGGTGTTTCTTTTTTACCTCCTTAAAATTTTGCAGGTCCAAGTGGATTGTATTGCATGAGACAAATAGCCTTAATTCCATTACCTTATGAATTTTCCTAGACAGTTGATTCTACCCATTGATGTATTGACTGTAATTCTTCACTCTTGGGCATACATTTGGAATTCCAGAAAAGCAAGACCCAATTATATTAGGGCCAAGTCTCAACAGGAGCCTGAGTCTTGTGGTTGTCACCTCTTGCCACTCTAACACTATTCCATTCTGGACAATTTCCTCACTATCTCCTTGTCCACAGAGATTTCACTTGAGACTCAGGATTCATATTGAGGTGGCCTGAGTCTTACAATGTTTTCAACCACTATTTATATTTCAACACGTATAGTGTTTATTGTATGCCAGGCATTGTCATAAGCACTTTTATAGAATGTATTCATTACTCATAAGAACCCTAGGAGGTGTGTTCTATTATTAGCATCCATAACATAATAGAAATTATATTTACTCTCTAAATGAGTAATATAGAGATTTAAAGACAATTTAAAGAAATTTAAAAAGCCAATTTTAGGCAGCTGACCTCATAGCAGCGTTGAGATTTGAATCCAGGCAATCTGGCTCCAAATTCAGCTGTAACCACAATACTCTGTTGTCTTTCTACTTGCTTTAAGGAAAACAAGAAAATATCCCTGGCTTATCTGCCGCTGGCCCAGGAAATGCTCAGCACTGACTTCTCATATTTGTTATATTCTCATATATATCTTCTCATATTGTTATTTAAAATATTACCAAAGATGAGGATGTTGGTGGCATCCCTCTTGTTTCCACCTGGCTCTCTACCCGCTGAAGGCCTCTAAAACCCACTACTAGATCCATTTGGTCCCCACTTGCAGGTTCAGCTCATCTTGATTCAGAGATGAACTGATCCCCAAGAAGCGTGTTAAGAACTATAGGGTCAAAGCTCATTGACTTGGAATCAAGCCAACTTACTGCTAGCTCTGCTTAGATGTACTTTGTTTATGGATTATTTCCTTAGGTTATTTTAAATTTTACTTATGTATTTATTCATTTATCAAGATGGGTTTGCGCTGTGTTGCATAGGATGATTTTGAACTCCTGGGCTGAAGCAATCTTCCTACCTCAGCCTCCCATGTAGCTAAGGTTACAGGCATTTGCCACTGTGCCCATCTTCCTTATTTTAAATACAATGCCTGTACCACAACATTGGTAACTGGGTGCCTGCTTTTCCCTTGTGTCACTTTCCCACCTTGACTCCCGGCTTCAAACTCTACTTCCTGTCTTGCTCTTCTCAATTCCAGAGATTAAAATCCTGGCCCTGAACTGCAGTCCTCTGGTTAGGTTCCTGCTTCCAGCCATCTCTAATGCCACCTGCCATCCTGCTTGGCTTTTTTGGGGGCTCTGCACTGCCCACATGCCTGGTTATTTACCTCCTGCATCTCCCTGGACATCGTTTTGTTACCTACTACTGGAGCCAGTCCCAACCTGATAGACTGATCAGGTTTGGAGGTTTTAACCTTCTCTTGGTTGATCCATCACCAATGCCAAAAGAACCCTGGTTCTGACCCTAAGCCCACTCCTAATCCAGTTGGAGACAGAGAGATAAAGATGAATGGAGGAGATGGCAATCAAGCAAAAAGCTAGAGGTGGGAACATTGAGTGATCAGTTATGATCTTAATAAGCCTGGATGGCACAGAGAAGCTGTGATAGTATTTTAAAAAATGTATTTGGTCTTCATCCTGGGTTCCTGGCACAGAGCTCCTAAAACCCTTTGAATTTCCTGAGTGATAGGATTATCTTTTGTTATTCATAATGAGCCCTGTTAGATCACACTGAAACTTATGTTAACAAGGTAACTTGAGATGGGGTCCCTAGATAGCTTCAGAATAGGATGGTCACTAAAAAGACCAAGTGATTGGAGGGTTGGAACTTTCAGCCCCACCCTCTGACCTGTTGAGCTCTATAAACTCTTGAACAATAGATTCAGAGAGCTACTGGGTGCTGGGAGGTGACACACCCAGAGAGGCCATTGAAGCTCTGTGCCACCCTCACCCTACTCCCCCATACCTTGCCCTCTGCGTCTCTTCCATTTGGCTGTTCCTGAGTTGTATCCTTTATAATAAGTCAGTAAATGTAAGTAAACTGTTTTTCTGAGTTCTGTGAGCTCTTATATCAAATTATTGAACTTGAGGAGGGGATCTTGGGAATCCTTGATTTATAGCTGGTAGGTCAGAAGCATGGGTGGCCTGGCCCAGATGAGACTGACATTTGAAGTCAGTGCAGTCTTATAGGACTGAGCCCTTAATCTGTGTCTGCACTAACTCCAGATAGTGTCATAATTGAATTTTTGATACCTGTTACAGGTAGTTAGGCGTGAGTGGGGCAGGAGAGGGCTCTCCCCCACCCACCAGGAATGGCAGGTGACGGTTTGATGATTATCACGTTGCCTCTCTAAAAGCGATAAATTGGCAGCCAGCCTCCAGAGAGAGGCCATTTCTTGATGGTCCATACCCATTGCACTGAAGTGTTGATTGACAGCAGACACCAGAGAGGCAATTTCCCAGGCCTGCGCATTAAGAGACAAAATGGTGGAGTATGACCTTCTGGTGGCACTCCACCAGAAAAGGGAAGAAAGTCTCAGATGGGCATGCATACAACTTCCTAAACACACTGCATGTGCTCAATTCCCAAGGGTAAGGAGGGCACTGTGCATGCAGGCAACACACCCTAAGGGAAGAATCATGGAAAGGGGGCGCAAGACGCCAGAGTTTGCCAGCCTATAAAGTCCTAGGATGATGGTTAAACCAGGCACTTGACCTTCTCAGTGCCCACTTGCGTCCCTTCCGAAAGCACTTTCCTTTCCTGCTCTAAAGCTTTTTAATAAACTTCCACTCCTACAATGAAACTTGCCTCAGTCTTTTTTCTGCCTTATGCCCCTCAGTTGAATTCTTTCTTCTGAGGAGGCAAGAATTGAGGTTGCTGCAGACACATATGAATTTGCCACCGATAACCAGGATATCTTCCACTGGTAACATACCCAGTTGATGTCAGAGAATTGATGAGCATCAGAAACCACCCCAGAGAAGCTATACATGGTAAGGGCCCTAAATTCCCAAGGGAGCATAAACAGGGTGTCTTAGAGTTTTGGTTCAGTTCTACTGGAAGGCGTGATGTACTGAGAAAGAGCTTAGGGTCAACCAGCCACCTTCAAATTAAATGAGACCTACAGGCTCTGAGCAGTTGCCTTGCCCCTCACTGATACAGCAGGAGTTCTTACCTGGGGTTCAGGTATGCCTAAGGGTCTATGCACAGACTTTGGGAAATTGTTTGCTTATGAGTGCTTTTTTCTTGAGGGAAGGCTGAGTTGCTTAGATCAGATTCTCACAAGACCTTGTGACTGACAACTCTAGAAACTTTCCCACAACTGTCAGCAAGGCAAAGTTAATGGGCTAAACATTTTACATATATATAAGTATGTGTACATCGGGGTTGAATGTAGACCCCAATGTATTAAATCCCTCATAATTATAGCTTCAACACAATCCATATTCACAATATAGTATATAATACATTAGGATGTACATTCAAACCTGTTCTTTTTAAAGCCCAACTGGCAATGTGATTCACTAGCTTCAGCATGTGGTGCTTGGTTGGAATGAGCTTAATCAGTTTGATAGCATCATAGACTTTAAGTTAATGAAAACAGAAAGTTTGGAAAAAGACAACACCGTGGGGGAATGATCAGAATGCAGAGGTCGATCTAGTTTTGATGCATAAAACAAAACATGCTGCAGAGATTTGTAGCAGAAAGAGGCACAGGAAATAGCTGTATTCAGGTGACTTTCGGGTGGGAGTGGGGGCTGCTCTGGTAGATACCTTACCTAAAGAGAAGTCTTGTTCTTTTTCCTAAACAGAAACTGATTAACCTGAAACTTCGAAGAAAGAACACTCCTGACCTTGTGGTTCTTGCTGACCTAGGATCAGCAGTTGACCTTATTTAAAAATTAGCCATGTAGAAATGTGGGCAGAGGTTAGAGTCACAGTGTGTCAGAAACGTTGGGAAGAAGCTTAGAAATCTTCTTTTTTTAATTTTTTAATTTTTTTATTCTTGAGACAGAGTCTCATTCTATCACTTACACTGGAGTGCAGTGCCAAGAATATGGCTCATTGAAGCCCCAACCTTCTGGGTTAAGCAATCCTCTCACTTCAGCCTCCCAAGTAGCTGGGACCGCAGACCCACGCCACTACACTCAGCTAATTTTTTAAATTTTGTAGAGACGGGGTCTTGCTATGTTGCTCAGGCTGGTCTCCAAGTCCTGGGCTCAAGTGATCCTCCTACTTTGGCCTCCCAAGGTGCTGGGATTACAGGCATTAGCCACTACACTCAGTCCAGAGAGCCTCTTTGATGGGTTACTAATTGTTGGCCATAAACACAAGTGCTTTTTGGCCCATGGAGTGTTTCAAAAGTAATTGGAGCCAATATTGGCTCCAAACTAAGGGATTTCACAAGATAATAAAGATTTCTATTTCTTTTGAAAAGACTGAAAACATTGCAACACTGGCCTCTAGTGCCCACTTGGGACCACTCAGTGACAGCAGTCCCCCTTAGAAGGTGATGAGTTTGCAGACTATCCTGGGGCCCACTCTTAGGAGACTAGGGATTGTGTTATTGGGGAATTGAGAGGAGCAGAGCTGAAAGACAGGAAAGAGGCCGGGCGCAGTGGCTCACGCCTGTAATCCCAGCACTCTGGGAGGCCGAGGCGGGCGGATCACAAGGTCAGGAGATCAAGACCATCCTAGCTAACACAGTGAAACCCCGTCTCTACTAAAAATATAAAAAATTAGCCGGGCGTGGTGGCGGGCGCCTGTAGTCCCAGCTACTCGGGAGGCTGAGGCAGGAGAATGGTGTGAACTCGGGAGGTGGAGCTTGCAGTGAGCCGAGATCGCATCACTGCACTGCAGCCTGAGTGACAGAGCGAGACCCCGTCTCAAAAAAAAAAAAAAAAAGAAAGGCAGGAAAGAATCGCTGAGATTTTTTAAAGCAGAAAAAAAGGGGTAAAGAGGAAGTACGTAAGTTTACTTTGGGGTCTGGCCAGTGTACTTTCTGTTTTACCCAGGGAAGTGTCAAATTACATATTAGAGCCTTTGTGTACCTCATGGCACCTCATTTGGGCAGAGGGCCGAGTCCACTCCTAGCAGAAATTCAGTAGGCTCCAGGAAAATTCTACTGGGCTCCCTGTGTGTCCTTGGGGAGCCTGTTGGGAATCTCCAACGCTCTTTGGCCTGGAGTTAGTTTTATTTCTCAGTCCGGCATTGCACTCACCCTTCACAATCAGGACAGCTTATTCCTGCTTTTCAGCTCCTTCTTCCCAATGCCAATTCATACCTGACTTCAATATTCACTCCCAGCTTCTAATGGACCAATGTTTACTACTTCAACAAACAGACTCTGGTTACCTATAATGTGTCAACTGCACAAAGTGCTGGGGCATTGAAGACAAGACATGATCCTGCCGGACAGAGGCATAGTGTGACTAAAATGTTTGTGGGGAAGGCTGACCATCTGATTGGGTGATGGAAATCTGTCCACCAGATGGCGCTCAAGAGATTCCAGTGTAACAAAACAACTAGAGAAAAATTAAAAAGGGAAATTTGCCCCGTGGAAGAATAAATAGCACTATGACTTCTATTTCACGTGTACTTTTATGTTCTATTAAGCACCTAACAGTTACATTCTCCAAACCCCTGGATTCTGGGTATCATGTTCAGACAGGGAGGAACACAAGCTTCCACACCCGGCCTCCCTCCCCTTCGACCACCCGTAATCTCCGAAGACAGAGCACCGCCCCGTGAGACTAGGAAAGAACTGGCTATTGGTGAGATGTGCTCTCGGGAGGAAATTCCTCCATTTGAATGAAGGGCTGATTCTTACCTGAGTTCCCTCCCAACTGGGTGTCCTTGGGAAGGGAGGTCTCTCCTGTCCTAGATTCTGTGGCACTGCTCTCTCCCTATCTGCTCATCTTCTGTGTAATTTGATTAGAAATATTTATTTTTTTATGTGCAAGCTCTTCCAACTGTTTATAGCTTTTCACATTTTTTTCTGAATATAATAAGCTCGTTACAAGAAATGCGAATAGATTAAAAATTTAGAAAAAGTATAATTCCTCTATAATTCAACTCTTGGAGATATCCACTGTTGAAAGTTTGGTGTATATTCATCTAGAACAGGGTTTCTTAATCTCAGACCTGTTGGTATTTGCGGCCAGCAAATTCTTTGGAAAGCTGCCCTGTGGATTGTAGAATGATAAGCAGCAACCCTGGCCTCTGCCCACTAGAGGCCAGTAGTAGCCTCACCACCACCACCACCACCGCCTAGTTGTGACAACCAATAATGCATCCAGACATTGCCAAATGGTTTCATATTACACATACGTTCGGGCAACTGGCTTTTCAACTTACATTTTTGTTGTTGTTGTTGTATCTTAACAATAGATTTTGGTCATCTTTCCATTTCAGAACATCTGGACCGATTACATCCTTCAGTCTATTGTATCATGATTTATTTAACCTGGTATCTTCTATGGATGATCATTTGGATCATTTTTAATTTTCTTACTTTTACAAATGTAGCTTGGTGAAAAAAAATATTTAAAACCCAAACTGTCTGTAGCCACTTGTAAGGGAAGAAGAAAGGCATATTTCATAGCAGAGGGAAAACAAGTATCCATATTGCTTCCTTTTACTTGTAAATCTTGGTGGGTAAAAGAGAAAAGGAAGTCTGAAATGTGGAAACCTCCACCCATTTTCTGTACTGTTAAAGCTTGAGGCCAAATTAATGGTCCCTCCAGTAGTCTAGATGTTATCAAAGCTTTAGACATGCAAAGAAGGTCCAGGAATGGAGAGGGTTAGAAAGCAGAATTGTTCTGCATACCGAGAGACAAAGTAGCAAACAAACGGAAGGAGCGGTGTTTGCCTGTTTCTGCTTGCCAGGGTAATTTTACAAAGCCCCTGATTGTGAGGCCTGCAGCTCTCCAGAAAGATACTTTGACAAAACAGGATAGAGCACATCCCCCATGCCTCTTGTCTGAGTCACTATATTTCTTAAAAGTTAATTGACCCTAGCTAGCCCTTGCCTTTTCTTACACACGATAACATCTCATGGGCTTAGTCACTATGCTTCTACTACCTATAACCAAATGTGCTTTAGTAAACTGTAATCAAATGTACTCTTGCACCCAAACATAGATGTGATTTTGCATATACTTAACCTCCACCACCTACCTACCAATGGGCTGAAACACTGCTTTAGAGGAGTCCGACAGACCTCTCTGAAAGACTCCTCCTGGGCTATGGGCCTCAGTCTATAGTCCTCAGTAAGGACTGTGAATAAAACTTATTTTAATTCTTTAAAAGCTTGATTTTATTCCCCTTGGGTATTTTGACTGTCTCTAAATAGTCCATGGGAAAGCAAATCCTGAAAACACAGAACTGATAAAATGTCAGGAAATGCTTGAGGTGGAGAGAGAAGGTCAAGTGACAAGCAGGATACCAGAGCCCATGGAGAAATGTGGCCAGTGAGAAATTCTTCATGGGAAAGAGGACAAGAGGACAAAGGGCCTTTATGTATGAGAAAGTCTAATATTAATTTTTGAATGAGTCAGTTTGTGTGGTTGTAAAAAATCCACATTCAGATGGCTTGGGAGGTGTTTTTGTTGTTCTGCTTTGTCTTGTTTTATCTTGAAAAGATAGGTAAGGAAAGGGTATTGAATTTCACATGTACATTGGTTCAAGTCAAAAAGACAAGACAGGCTAAAAGAGGTGAGATGCAAGTGGGCTTGAGACAGAACCAGAGCTCTGAGCAAGATAGAAAGAACTGTGAGAAAATAAAACTGCCATAACTCACAGAAATCACAGGGAGGGCAATGTACATCTGACAGGGTTAGGATTCCCAGGTGAACTTCATTTAAATCTCAAGGCATAGGGTGACTGTTGGCTACTGACTCACGCAAATGGCACCGCTATGACATCCTTCCTGAACGTACACCTTTAAGTTTTTGTACAACTTTTTTTTAAATTCATAAGTATGTATTGACTTTCTACCATCCGCAAATGTAGCAATGAGAAAGCTAGTCAATTGTCTGAGATCCATAAAGATGATGTTTGCATTCTTTTAGTTAAATTGCCGAGTCAAAAAACATGATAACTTAAAAATTTGGAAAGCCATTTCGAAATGTTCTTTCTTATCTGGAGATTTGATTTTCATCCAGGCGTTGCTTTTATATTTTATATTTACTAATGGTGTGATGTGTTTCTCTATATTTAATTCTTATCCATTAAAATTGTATATTGATGTATCATGTGAATCCCTTAATTGATTTTTCCCCAAAACATCCAACTAGTTTTTTAGAGCCACAATTTATCCAGTAGTTCAACCTTCCACCACTGATTTGTAGCGCTTCCCTCATGATATTTTAACTTCTCTGTTTTAGTATCTGCTTCTGAGCTATTCTTTTTATTTCATTGATTTGCCTATCTTTTCTTATGCCAGAACCACAATTATTGTTTTAGCTATTATAGCTTTATGACTAAAGCAAGTACTTCCTCTTTCAGGAATAAGACAAGAATGTCTGCTCTCACCACTTCTATTCAGTAGTGTGCTGGAAGGGCAAGTAGGCAAGAAAATAAAACAAAATGCATCCAGATCGGAAAGGAAAAAGTAAAACTAACTCTTTCTATTTGCAGATGACATGATCTTGCATATAGAAAATACTAAGAAATTTACTTAAACTATTAGAACTAATAAATGAGTTCAGAAAAATTGTAAGATTTAAGATTAATAAACAAAGTGGTCCAGGTATATTAGCTTGTGCCTGTAATCCCAGAGCTTTGGAAGGCCAAGGCAGGATGATCTCTTGAGGCCACAAATTTGAGAGCAGCCTGGGCAACATAGCGAGCTTATGTCTCTTAAAAAAAAAAGGAAAGAAATAAAAATAAAAAGATTAACACACAAAATGAATTGTACTTCTACATGCTTTATTAAAAATCTGAAGAAATTAGAAAATAATTCCAGTGACAGCAGCATCAAGAAAATAGGAATTATAAAATAGAAATAGGAATAAATTTAGTAAGACAAAAGTAAGTCATTTTTGTTTGTTTGTTTTTTATTGTTGTTGTTTTAGAGACAGAGTCTCTCTCTGTCACCCAGGCTGGAGCACAGTGGCATGATCATAAATCACTGTAGCCTTGAACTGTGGGGCTCAAGTGATCCTCCAGCCCCAGCCTCCCAAAGTAGGGTAAATCTTGTACTCTAAAAATTAGAAAACATTGTTGAAAGAACTTAAAGAAGATCCAAATAAATGGAAAGACATACATGCTCATGGATCAGAAGACTAGATACTGTTAAGATGACAATTCTCCCTAAATTGATGTACAGATCCAACACAATCCCTAAAAATCCCAGCTGGCTTGTATGCAAAAATTGAGAAACTAAACACAAAATTCATGTACAAATGTGAGGCATCCAGAATAGCCAAAATAATCTTGAAAAAAAGGAAAAAGTTATAGGATCCCCACTTCCTGATTTTAAAATGTACTACAGAACTATAGTAATTAAGACAGTGTGGTGCTGGCATAAAGATAGACTTATAAATCAATAGTTCAGAATCGAGAATCCAGATATAACCCCTTATAATTATGGTCAATTGATTTTCAATAAGGGAGTCAAGACAATTCAATGAGAGAAAGAATAATCTTTTCAAAAATTGATGCTGGAACTGCTGGGTACCTACGTGTAAAAGAACAAAGTTGGACCCTTCCTCATACCATTTATAAAAATTTATTAAAACGGACCAGAGATCTAAATTTAAGAGCTAAAACTATAAAACTCTTAGGAGAAAATATAGGAGTAAATCTTTGTGACTTTGGTGTAGGCAAACCCTTCTTACATACAACACTCAAGATATAAGCAACAACAACAATAAAAATAAATTAGACTTCTTTAAATAAAAAATTTTGTGTTTCAAAGAATATCATCAAGAAAGTAAAAAGATAGCTTAGGTAATGGGAGAAAATATTTACAAATCATAGTTTGTAAGGGATGGTAGTGAATTATTGTCATTTTATGTTGTCTCGGCATCCATTTTAAATACTAGTTGGGCTTTTTTGTACCAGGTGGCTCTCAATTCCTATTGGTGTGCTGCCCTCCTCCCTCTAGGACCTGTGAGTAATACGCTGCTTCTGCTACTTCATGCATTTTGTTGTGCTGCCTCTTACATGGCTCACCTGACTGACACACCCAAATCTAACTTTTTTACTAGCCAGGGATCTCCTAGACAGTGGCCATCTTGGTAGGAATAAACTGGACACAGATCAGACAGCAACAAAAGCATCTGCCAGGATAAAGAAGTATCTCATGAAAGGACACTGTAAGCAGCCATGACCAAATTCCCTACAGCCCAGGGCTAGAGTTTATATAGTCTCTATCCTAAGAGAGATGTCAAGACTAAATTAGAAGGCCCTGGCATGGTGGCTCATGCCTGTAATCCCACTACTTTAGGAGGCTGAGTAGGGTAGATTGCTTGACCCCAGGAGTTTAAGACCAGCCTGGGCAACATGGTGAAGTTCTGTCTCTACTAAAAATACAAAAATTAGCCACCTGTGCTGGAGCACACCTGTAATCCCAACTACTTGGGAGGCTGAAGCAGGAGGATGTCTTGAGACTGGGAGGTTGAGGCTGCAGTAAGCCATGATCACATCACTGCACTCCAGCCTGGGCAACAGAGTGAGACCCGTCTAAAAAAAAAAGAAGGCTAATTTAGAGGAAAACATATAATGAAATAATAGTTCATTAAGTGTATCCATAGCACATAATGAACCCTTACTACTCGACAATACAAGAATAAATAACCCAATTTGGAGATGAGACCTAGATTCCCTTAGATAGCCTGTCTTGCCCTCTCTTCTGTCCAGTGCTGCCAGATCTCTGACCAGCAATGCAGTGTGGTCAAGTGAGAATGTCAAGAGCTGTTATAGAAGCAGAGATCTAGTTGAAGCTACTCTATCTAATGTTTACTCATGAAATCTTACCTGCCTAGCCCTAACCTCATGGAAAAATTGATCACCTGTGTTTTGGTGCCCCTCTATCTCATTCACACATCTCTTGAGGCATTTGTAGCATTTTCTTATACATTCGTATTCACATGCCTATGTTTTTCTTAGCAGCCTGATAACCATTAACATGTGTCTTTATCAACTGGCACAGCTCCTGGCACTAAGGGGAAGCTCAATGAACATTTGTGGAATGAAAATCTTTATAAGTGAAGTACTGTAGCCCAGAAAAGACTTGGATGGAAAGCCTAAGAGGGTCTAGAACCTTGAAGGAGACACACCAATAGAGAGGGGCAGTTGGAAGTGGGGGCGGTAGACTGGATCCAAGGACCAGGAGAAAGGTCTGTTAGGCAGAACATATGTTCAGGCAAACAACAGGTGCTGATCCAAACAAATAGTTGGCATCATGAGGGCTGAGCCAAAAGTACAGGGTGTCTCTAGAAGAGGAGGGTGTAGTTCCCAGGAGGTGGCAAACAGGCGCTTGTCAGGGATGCAGGCAGGTGGCTGGCGTAGGAAGATGTGATGGCAGGAAGTATCAACTTACCATCCCCAGCATCTAGCAGGTGCCTAACAAAAATGTTTGAGTGAATCAATGGCCCCTGCCCTCCAGAGGATTACAGTCTGGTTGAAGAACAAGGATATGATACATAATCTTTGAAATTAAGAGCTGTTAAGAGGAAGTCCCTCAGATAACAACTGGATGAGTATGTCCTGAATTCTCTCCTTGCAGCCAAACCAAAAGTTTCCTGCAAAGCTTTATGATACTTAAGTGATTTTGAGGAAAATACCAATGATAACATAAAATTCTTAAAAGTTTTCAGGTCACCTTTTTCCTGTTTCATTTCATGTCCTTCCTCATCTACACAGTCATGTATTTTAGTTTGTCGTTTCTTTCTTCTTTTCGAAACGTGGCCTCACTGGTTGGGCACGGTGGCTCACGCCTGTGATTCCAGCACTTTGGGAGGCCGAGGAGGGTGGATCACTTGAGGTCAGGAGTTCGAGATCAGCTTGGCCAACATGGTGAAACCCCGTCTCTACTAAAAATAAAAAATAAAAAAAATTAGCCAGGTGTGGTGGTGGGCATTTGTAATCCCAGCTACTTGGGAGGCTGAGGCAGGAGAATTGCTTGAACCTGGGAGGCGGAGTTTGCAGTGAGCCGAGATCACACCATTGTACCCCAGCCTGGCATCAAGAGTGAAACTCCATCTAAAAAAAAAAAAAAGAAAAGAAAAGAAAAGAAAAAAAAGAAAACAAAACAAAAACAAAAACAAAAACAAAAAAAGAAACATGGTCTCACTATGTCACCCAGGCTGGAGTACACAGACACCATCATGGTACACTATAGCCTTGAACTCCTGGGCTTAAAGGATCCTCCCATCTCAGCCTCCAGAGTCGCTGGGATTACAGGTGTGCAATACTGCACCTGGCTCTGTGGTTTCTTTTCTTTTTTTTTTTTTTTTTGAGACGGAGTCTCGCTCTGTCGCCCAGGCCGGACTGCGGACTGCAGTGGCGCAATCTCGACTCACTGCAAGCTCCGCTTCCCGGGTTCACGCCATTCTCCTGCCTCAGCCTCCCGAGTAGCTGGGACTACAGGCGCCCGCCACCGCGCCCGGCTAATTTTTTGTATTTTTAGTAGAGACGGGGTTTCACCTTGTTAGCCAGGATGGTCTCGATCTCCTGACCTCATGATCCACCCGCCTCGGCCTCCCAAAGTGCTGGGATTACAGGCGTGAGCCACCGCGCCCGGCCTGTGGTTTCTTAACTGTCCTTGTTATCAGCCCTGAAGAATGAAGCCCATTTTGCACAACAGCACAATTTCGTTTTAGCTTTTTTTTTAAAGTTATTTTCAGGCCAGTAGGGGAGATTCTTTCCTTCAAGCCAACTGAGACCAGTAAGTGTGTAGAACAGAGAAAGTTACTGAAAGAATTTGAGACTCCCTCATTCCCTTTCAATCTTTTCAATGCAAGTATGGTAACACGTTGGGGACAGCTAGGTCAATGATTCATTTAAAGGCAAAAATGACTCTGCAGAATTCAAAATCCCTAGGCCAAGGATGACATTAAACAGAGAAAACCAATCATGCATATTTTACACATTGATCTCTAGGGTAGAAATCAAAGAAACTCCCGTGCCACTCCAGATTTGTTTTATGGTCTACAATTTGGTTATGATAGATTTCTTCCACTTATAGTCACACAGTGGCCCCTAGAGAAATGGTCTATGAGAAAACAGTCTTCCTTTGTGAGAGTAAATATATGAAAAGCCTTGCAGTCCCCCTGCTAATAGTGCCTGCAGGTCTCCAGCAATTATATTCTCTACTTTGGGATGTGTAGATTAAATGAAAGGTTCTTATGTTATGGTAGTGTGGCCAGACATCTAAAGAGACAACATGCATCTATTAGAAAGGGTATAAGCAGCAAGCCTTACTGTAGCGTATTAAAGAACCAGCTAAGGAAGTCCAGGCTTGGCGGCTCATGCCTGTAATCCCAGCACTTTGGGAGGCTGAGGTGGACAGATCACTTGAGTTCAGGAGTTCAAGATCAGCCTGGGCAACATAGTGAAACCCTGTCTCTACCAAAAATACAAAAAATTAGCCAGGCATGGTGGCACAGACTGTAATCCCAGCTACTCAGGAGGCTGAGGTGGGACGACTGCTTGAGCCTGGGAGGTAGAGGTTGCAGTGAGCCGAGATTGGGCCACTGCACGCCAATCTGGGTGACAGAGTGAGACCTTGTCTCAAAAAAAAAAAAAAAGAACCAGCTCAGGAAGAAAAGGAAATGTTCTTGTATAGCTACACTTCCACAGCTATAGTTGTGAGCCTACGGTCACAGCTCACTGCAGCCTCAAGCTCCCAGGCTCAGGTCATCCTCCCACCTCAGCATGCCAATTAGCTGGGACTACAGGAGTGTGCCACCACGCCCAACTAATTTTTGTATTTTTTGCAGAGATGAGGTTTCACCATGTTGCCCAGGCTTGTCTCGAACTCCTGGGCTCAGGCAATTCTCCTGCCTTGGCCTCCCAAATTGTTAGGATTACTGGTGTGACCCACTGCGCTTGGCCAAAACTTAAAGTTTTATATATAATTCACACCCACTAGAATAGCCAAAATGAAAGTGTTGAAGAAGGTGTAAGGCAACTGAAACTCTCAAACATTATTGGGGCAATATAAATTGTATGACCACTTCAGAAAACTGTTAGGCAGTATCTTCCAAAGCTGAGCATACATAGGCCCTATGACATAGCATTTCCACTCTTAGGTATATGCCTAGCAGAAATGCACCATATAGTTACCAAATTTCACATAGTAGAAAGTCCATGGCAGCACTATTCAAAAAAGCCTCGAACTAGAAATAACACAAATGTTCAACAGAAGTAGAATGGATAAATAGATAGTGGTATTTTCATAATGGGATTCCATACAACAATAACAAAAAATAAACTACAATCTCATGTAACAATAAAAATGAATCTCACAATGTTGAGTGAAAAAAGGCAAATGAAGGAGTTATATATGTTGCCATTTATATAAAATTGAAAAACAGACAAATACAACAACTAGTGTATGGTGTTATAAATCAGGATACTTGTTACCCTTGGGAGGGGGCAGTGACTGGGAAGGGCATTAGGTGGGCCTCTGGGATGATATTCATGTTCTGTTTCTTCATCTAGATTTTGGGTACATGGGTATGTTCTCTTTGGGAAAATTCAGCGAGCCGTGCACCTGTGATTAGTGTGCTTTTCTCTATGTACTTTTACTTCAATAGAAAATTTACATAAAATGGTTTAATGTAATTATAGTCTGTATGTTTACTAGGCAGTTTTATGTAATTATAGCCCAGGATCATATTTGCAATAATAATCCAAATCTCAATCCTTCATGCTGCCCATAACTGCTGATCAGTAGGCTTTTATTTTTTCAGTGTTCAATTCTCCAGCTATATCTGAGAATTCCCAGAAAATACATAATTTTGGGGAACCATCAGTTTTTGGTGATCTCTTCGTCATGTATAATCAGGGGCTCTGTGGACCATCTCCTCTGTTGTCCACTGTTACTTTCATCATTTCCCGTGCTGGCCTTGCCACTGCTGTCCTTCTCTTGACATCTCTTTCTCTCTCCCAGTCTCCCGTGCCCTCTTCTCTCTGGCCAGTATATCCACATGTCCAGTTCTTTCAGAGAGGACTCCCTCAGCTCTGCCATGTGAGCTCTTAGATACAATTCTAGCATTTCTACCACTGCCTTACCCTCCCAGAGCTCACAGGTAGCCTGGGACCAAAGGGGGACTGCATGGAAGGGTAGCAAGTACCACTGGGCATTATGCCTGGAGCTCCTGCTCCTCTGACTCCAGACGCTACTGCTCAGTTGACCTGCTCTAGATACATTTCTTTATTCCTGGTCATCTGCTCTCGGGGGACCAGTTGAGAGTCCCTAGTGTCCTGCATCCTTCAGGGTTCTCCAGTTCTTTAGATAGCTCAGTAGACCTCTGAACCTCAATTACAGACAAGGCTCTAGTCCTTTCTAACCAGCAAATACATCACCTGAGCCTCTTGTATCCAGGACTTTACCAGTTTTGGAACTCAAAGTCCCACGAGCCCCTCAGTCCCAAGCAAATCAGGATGATTGGTCACCCTACTAATCTGGTTTCTGGGTCCCAGAATGGGCCCCACCAGAGACAGCTGGACATCTACTTCATTTTTCCCAAATCTCCATGGCAGTTAGGAGGCTTATGTGCCCAGAGCACACACAGGACCTTCAGGAACAGTGTTGCTCATGTCCACATGCAAGTCTATTGGTAAGGCCTGGACAAGCAAATTAAGAAACTGAGAATTAGAAAAAAAAAAAAAAATGAACTTGGACCCACAATCAGTTGAAGATTCTAACCTAAATGTGGCAAACCTAATTCTTCCTGGTCAACATATTTAGCCAACACATCTAACATTTCTAGCCAGTTCTTGTCTTCTGGCTTTCCAGTTAGGTCCTTACATAAAGACAAGGCTCACAGGGAAGTCAGCCCTATGATAAGGATTATCAGAGATCAGCAACAGAGGGAGGCAACTGGACACTGAATATCCTGGAGATCCATCAAGGAGAGAGCCCAATTCTTTAGAATGGGTGTCAACCAAGGAGAGAAAATTCTCATTCTAATGGGCTGCAGAGTGAAGTAAATAAGAGATTGATCCAGTAAAATTGCATTCAAGTTGGAAATTTGTTTTGTCATTAAAGCAGAAGAATAATGAAATACTAGCTAGCCCGTTGTTCTTAGATAACACTCTGTGAGTAGTGTTGATCTTAATGGTCCTTAAACATGTTCAGGTGAAAAATAGGCTGAGGTGAAAGTGCTCTTCACCAAAAATAAAACAAAATAAAAATTTGATAAAATACTGCTATGTTAAATGTTCACTAAAAGAATATATTAGTGCTCACACTAGATTTAGTATAAGTAAATGGTAAACAATTATAGATAGAACTGAGAAAATTTTCCCATTAACTTTTTTTTCCCTGGAGAAATGCCATTATTTGATTCAAATTCAGTTAAAAAAATTATGGTTTACAGAATAAGTAGAGGCTGAGTTTGAGAACTACTGCTTTAAGGAACAAGACTCCTTAGGAGTTGTACTTGGGTTTGCTTCAGATCTGTCTGTTTTCTTAAGCTAATAGAATACTTCCTACTACAGTCTTGGTGCTCTTAATTTACCTTACAAATTCTATTATTTATACAGTTCAAGGAGGAATCAGATGGCCAATTTATTGAGGTTTCACTCTGTGGAACAAAAGCTAGTTTCCCCTTCCTCAACATGGTCGGGCTTACTTCTTATTCTCATGCTTCTAGTATTCGCAGGCGATGACAGAGGGCTCCTGGGTGACTGTGTATACTTGCTGCAATGCAGAGCCCAGGGATGTGGTCCCACAGCCAACAAGCCTCATTCAGCAACTAAGGAGGTGATTTATTGGCGGGGGGAGAGGGGATGAAGAAGAGCCAGTTGCAAATGAGTGTCCTGTGACTCTAAAGGACGATGTTGTTGGTAAAGAGCCATGAAGGTCATCCTGTTGGCTAGCTTGGCTTACCAGCTGGAGGGCTGCTGTGCCTAGAGCTTAGCAAGCTCAGTTACAACTCTTTTGCAGTGGGAGAGGCTTCAGTGAGAAAGGCTGATGATATCTTACTGTATTTCAGCGTGATATGGTGTTGACAACAGGTCCTACATAAAATTGTGGGGCCTGGCAAAGCATCCCACTATTGGCCCTGGTAAGCCTTCTCCACTGTGTCCCACCTCCAACACCTAGCCTGCTCTCTCTAAATTGCTTTGACTTATGAAGTGCAGACTTGGCCCAATTTGTAACTACTTCTTTTTCAATTTCCTCAGGAGCAAAATTATCTCACAATGCAGTTGTTGACCAAATGAGGTAACACAACCAGGCATGGTGGCTCATGCCTATAATCCTAACACTTTGGGAGGCCAAGATGGAAGGATGCTTGAGGTCAGGAGTTGGAGACCAGCCTGGGCAACACAGCGAGACTTCGTCTCTACTAAAAATAAAAATTTATCTAGGCATAGTGGTGCACACCTGTAGTCCCAGCTACTCAGGAGGCTGAGGCAGGAGGATCAATTGAGCCCAGGAGTTCAAGGCTGCAGTGAGCCATGATCATGCCATTGCACTTCATCCTGGAGGACAGAATGAGACCCTGTCTCCAAAAAAAAAAAAAAAAAAAAAAAAAAAAAAGAGAGAGAGAGAGAGAGAGGTAGCATGAGAGGCTTGGAAAGAGTAAGTTAACTCTTTCCAACTGCTCACAAGTTAAATTCATCTTGGTTAATCCTAGTTGGAGTAGTGAAACAGAATTCAACTGTGTTTCGTAAACCTCCATGAGGGGGCTCCCTTTCATTCCAAATTCAGTGTGTGGAGTTCAGTGCTTTTTTCTTATAGCCTTAAGTGAAGGGATGGAACAGAGCACGTTGCCTCATATCCCCTCAGCCCAGAAATTGGACATGGTTCTCACTTAAGATTATGACTAGCAAAGGTCCTTTTTCTGTATGCCTTTAGCAAATAATCCTCTTAAGAACCTCAAAAACTCTGTCAGTTTTGAAATCCATTTTTATGGGGCAATATTATGGCCGCACCACAGACAAACAAGTGATAATACATGCATAAGTCTCAACTACAACAGAGTGTGGGAATGGAGATAGAAGCCACTTCATGAGGGGACAAAAGAAATTGTCAAAGGTTGGAATGCTTATGGAAAATCTATTTTGTGCTAGGTGTTTTATAGATGTTTAATTTAATCTTCTGTAACAGAGATTGGTAAACTGTGGCCCAAAGATCAAATTCAGCTAGCTGACTTTTTGTAAATAAAGTCTTATTGGAACACAGGCTTGCTAATTTTTGTTGACGTATTGTCAATGTGCTTTCACCATACAATGGCAGAGACTGCATGGTCCATAGACTAAAATCTTTACAATCTGGCTCATTACAGAAAAGGTTTGCTGATCCCTGCTCTATAGCTGTGTGAGATGGGAAGTATTTACATTTTAGGGATGAATAAACTGAAACTCAGAGAAATTAAGTAGCCCAAAGTCACACTGCTAATAAATGGCAGAGCTAGAATTTGACTCAGGCTGACCTTATTTCCAAAGCTCTCACTCTTTCTGCTATTGTTGCACACAAACCTCCCCAGTTTATTAAGTGCCTATGTAGGCCTGGTGTTTTACGTTGAATCTTATTTATTTTAATGAATTCAAACTGCTGTGCATTGTTTTCAAGGATCTGCACAATCCAATTTCAGCTTGACTTTCCTGCCCCATCTCCTACTCCTCCCCTAGTGGGCCTAGCTAAAGTCAACCTGGTGCTGTTGCTGTTCCCAAACACACCTTTCACTTCCTCTCTCTGTGATTCATTTCATGATTCCACTACCCAAAAATAAACAGCTCTCTCAGTTTTCAGAACCGGCCTTCTTCCAGGAATCCTACCTTGACCACCCGCTGAGAAGTGCTCTCTCTCCCTCTTCTGACATGAAGAGCAGTTATTCTTCCTGGTGGTTTAGTGCTGATCATATGCTGCCTTCGATTATCTTTTTACAGGCATGTCTTATCTTCCAAAGGAGGCTGTAAATTTCCTGAGTGTGAGGACTGTGCACACTCCTCTCCACACCCTGGTAGAGTGTGTCATCTGCATTGGTGTTGTATAATGGTAGGTCAATTTGATGAATGAACACTCTTCCATTGAAATAAACCTGGCTTGCCCTTCCACACAACTCAACATGTAACCGAAAGCACAAGACCAGCACCTGGATGTGGGGTATAATGCGTGATGAAATGAAGAAAAATGCAGGAAAAAGTGTAAGGAAATAAGCATCTCACCTCTATTTTTAACTCTTTAACCTGCAGGGTAAAAAAAAAAAATGTAGCATTAGCTTTCCTTTCAGCCATGTGAGCTAACAGTGCCTTTCCTAGGACAGCAAAGTGATTTCCACCATGAGATCTGGAGGCAGGCCTGGGTTGGAAAATCTCTGCTATTTATTGGCTGTGTACCTTGGGCAAGTTACTGAACCTCTCTAAGCTTCAGTGTCCTCATATGTACAATAAAGAAAGTAATAACTGCCTAATTGGGTTGATGGGAGAAGCAAATGAGGAAATACCCTTAAGACTTTTAGTTCAGTCTCTGGAATATATTACACTCTTAATAATTACCAGCTATTATTTTTCCATAGCACCATCCCTAGATGGGCACCAGATCTAAATATTTAAGACCAACTGAACTCTGTCCACCTACTGCTGTGCATTAACCATCCTTCCTGACTGTGTCATCAAACAACACTACTACAAGGTGGCCCATTGCAATCTGAGGGCTTACCAAAGAAGGGGATGATGAATACCCTACCTACAGCATCTATATTTTAATGAGACGTGAGAAGCAGGAAAACAAATTTCATCTCTTTCCCTGCTCTCTAAACACTACTTATAGCAGACATGTGGTTCCTTCTCTAACTTTAGGGTTTTTTTGTTTGTTTTGTTTTGTTCTTTTTCTTTGGCTTCTGTCAACTCTACCTGACATGTAGTTCTAAACTGGAGATAGAATTAAGAAACAGTCATGTGTCCTGGTCTGCTAATGCAATGTCTCAGGGTCTCTTGGGTAAACTCTCTTTGATAACAATATCTGCCACCTTCTAGAGAACCCAGTACCTCTGCTTTGCTCTACTGTTACCTTTAGCCCTGCCCACCCATTCCTTTCTTCCCTATACTTTCTCAGCTGGTTATCAGTTCAGGGCACACCTGAGTTTTCAGATTTAAGTACCAACTCTACAATAGGATGAGGAATTGGGGTTGACGTAAGCAACACACAGATAGAGAAGCTACTGGTATTAACCATTAACCAGCTTGCTTAGCTGAACTCTGGCTTGACAGCTCGTATCTCTTTCTCTTTCCACTTGGTCTAATTTTTCAACATTGTTCTTAATAGCTGTCTGAACTCTTACAATAGTTACTCCCCTGGATTCTGTGCTTACAAAGCCTGTCACATAATCCTTATCTCTAGAGATCCCAGCCTGGTATAAACTGTCGTTCTGGTTTTCTAGCCTCTTCACATGGAGGAATCCCAAATATCCTAACAGATGTAGCTAAGAATATAATCCCAGGTAATCATCCGTCTCCCACCTGGCCCTGCATTCCATTTCCCCTCCAAAAAAGTCTTAAGATATATAATAACTCTCCATAATGCTTCCATTTATTTTTAATGAGTACACAGGATGACTGGTTCCTTTTTCAGTTGACCTTTTGAAGCTGTTAAACTGGTTTCTCTATATCAACAGCTGAAACAAATTGCCATGAATAAAATCTCACAGGGGAAAAACGTGAATGGAGAACATACTGGTATAATTTAAGCCCATAAGACACAATTATACAGGACAAAAGTCCCCATTGCATGGACATGGATGGAGGGAAACATTTTATAGCCTAATCTGGGAAATCTCTGTACATAACTGTAAGTGTTGATAATTAAAGCAACTATTAAAGAATCCATTGCTAATGGATGAAGTGCCTCCAGAAGCAGCCAAGAGAAACTGAAGCTATCATAGTGAGTCCTACAGTAGGAAAGGGATACAAAGTTTGAAAAATAAGAGAGCTAATATAGTTAAAGTTGTGAACCAGAAAAGATTTCTGGTTGAGAAGAGTCAGGAAGTTAAGCTGGGAAGTGAGTGCAGCTGGAGTACTAACTACACGACAAGGGAAAGTCTACTTCGGGGATCAGGCCCAGCAAGAGGCTCAGTGAGGTTGTTGGGAGGGAGGCTTACAGAGCCAGGGCACTGAGAGCTGGCCAAGACTTACCTCTACTGGAAGAGCACCAGCTCTGTGTCCACTCTGGGTTGTTGTCTACCTCTTAAAAAGTTTCTGCTTGATGAGAGCATGTGGCTCCTGAAGAGTCCCTCTGAGTTTTGTAGAAGAGAGAGGGGGAGGGCTACATTCCTGGAGGGACTCCTGAACTGCTCTGTGTGCAGCACAGCTGGAAGCACTCGGTGGGACAGGCAAAGCATGAGGCAACATCCCTGTGCCAAAGAGCTTCAAACTGGGGAGACAGAACCAATAGATTGCATGAAACATCCCAAGAGCCAATTAAAACAGTATAAAATGAAACGAGTATTTTGTGGTCCAGTTTATCAGAATGATAGGCATTCATTGGGGGGAGGAATATATAGTAGGGAAAGGGGAATTTAGAGAGAGAAAAAAAACCTGTAAAATGGAAAGCTGAGCCCCAGCCACTGAATAGAAGTCTTAAGAGTGAGATCCAGTCCCTAGATAATTTGGTGTCCCTCCAAATTAATATCCTTTTGCAGCAAGAGATGTGAAAGTTGATGATTATTCTCATTAATAAAATAAAATATCTCTTTATGCTCAAATAGGGGATTTGCTATATGCACTAACTAGAGCAGAATATTCTACTTATTTGGAATTGTTCTTTGCTTCACAATTTTTCTAGTGTTCATAACTAGAAAGCATTATTCACTCACGCTCACAAAGGGCAAAGATAACTTGCTTGGTGTAGTTACACAGGCTTGGTCAAAATATTTTTTCTGAAAGTGCTATGAGGATAGCGAGACCACTGGTGGCATACGAAAAGTGAACTTTACTTTTTAATCTAAATGCTTAATGGTAATTCCTTCATAGCAAAAATGTATTCACACATCACTTGCAGAATCTATACACAGGAATATGTTTTTAAAGTTTCTCCTGTATTAGTTATTTATTTATTGGCTCTCATACCAATAAAACATTTGCCACATTTCTATAGTTTTTGTTCTCCAGTTTTCATTTCAATTGTCCAATTAGATAATCTCAATGGGAGATATACTAAATGAATTAAAATTAATAGTCTAAAAAATATCTTATTCCCTGTGCTATGCCACACATTGTTCAGTTTCAGAATTCAACTGCTAGCTTCTGATCTTCTTAGGATTGGGATAGGACTCTAATTACACCAAGAAACATGCATGTATATATCGCAGATAAATCTGCAGCCCTAGGAGTGTTTTTACATTTCTATCCAAACACACTTCCTTCTTAAGTGGGAGTAAAAACTAATTTACATTTCATCACTTGTGTTGTAGTGTTGGTAAAAACTTGAGTTAAATAGGACTGAATCTCTGATTAATTCCAGTAATATTTTAGTGCATCCATGAATTGAGGCCTGGGGCAGCTGAGTCTGCCCTTAGTCTGGTCCTCACTTTGTAACCATGCTCATGTCACTGAAACTCTCTAAACTCATTTTTCGCATCTGTAAAATGTGGATATTAATATCTACAGAATCTACTTCATAGGGCCACTCAAAGCTCAAATGAAATAATGAATGTGAAAACATTTTTGCAAAGAGGACGATGTTGGACATCTGTAGGCTATTATTTCACTAGTGAAGGAGAATATGAGATTATTAAAGAAATATTGCAAGGAGAATCCTGTCTTACAAGACTCCTTGACTTCTTGTCAAACAACTCTCTTAAATCCATGGTTCATAATATATGAGGGCATGGGGTGTTATTGGAGAGAGCAATGGCTTGCCAGTGTGTGACACTAGGTCAAGTCTCCAGCACCGTACTAAACTGAAATGCGTGAATTTGGGTAAATCACTTAACCTCTTCAGTTTCTTCATTTGTAAAATTAGATGTTTGGATTAAAACCCTTATGTATTCTAGATAGCATGGATAGCATGCTTTTCAGATCGAGATACTTAGGATTTGCTGAAATATGCATACTGCAAGCCCAAGCACCTGTCTTCTTCTTCTTCACTGATGTATCCTACAGTGTCATACACTAGGCCTGATATATAGCAGTGCTCAGTAAAAATATATGTTGAATATAAGAATGACAGTTCAATCACTGTATCAACTGATTTATGGGGTAATTTTATATAATTTAATGTACTTTTATTTCTTTCAACAAAGGTGAATGGTTAAATATCAAATTCCATGTAATTAATAAGAGCTACTTTTCTGAGACTTATTACCTAAGTAAGTCCACAAGTCCAAAAAATGATTCTGATTTTGGTTTGAAGAAAAAGACCAGCATGCCTTAAAAGGGATGTAATATTTAAATTCAGGATTTTCTGGAACTTGGCTTTATTGCCTTGTCTATGCAATTTCTTCTAGCAGTAAAATGTTAAGATCTAAAACAGCCAACTTTATTTTTACTCCTTCCCACCCTCACCCTCACCCCCTCATCCTGGACCCATTTTGGCCTTCCAAAATGCTCTGTAGATCTTCTGAGTGACAAGTTGTTTCTAGGCTCAGGATCTTTATACTTAAGATTCCTTTGATCCCAAATCACTTCCCTCCTTCCTCTGTACCTGGCCAACTCCTCCCCCTTCCAGGCTCAGCTAGAAACTTTGTCAGAAAATGTTTCCTGGCCCCTAAGACTATGGTAGGTGCCAGTAGCACCCTGGACATTTTTCTAATGTAGTGTGTCTATATCAGGTCATTTATCACATTAGATTGTCATTAAGAAATTAACGTGAAGAAGGTCAGAGCACAGACACTGGAGCTACACTGTTTGGGTTCTGAGCCAACTAGAAGATGAAATGGGGAAGGAAGGTAAATTGGGTGAGGGTGGTAACAATAGTACCTGCCTCATAAGGTTGTCAAGAGTATTGAATGACTAAAGGGTTCATATACAAAGCATATTGAACAAGGTTTAGCACACAGTATTAGAATCAGCAAATACCAGAATATCTGAGATTCTGATTCTGGCACTAAATATTATTATTACCTGTTTGGTCAACTCGAGTCTATAAGCTCTTTGAGAGGAGAAACCATATTTTATTCACTATTGTATTCCTAGCACTGTAAATGCTCCATAAATATGTATTGAATAAATAGATTTATCTTTTCTCCTTCACTGAAGCCATATCTCCTTAGTTGATCAGAAACAATAAACCTGGTGATGAAGCCACAATGCTTCCAGAGAAAAGACGAGTAGGTGGGGCGTGCTAGTCAAGTCAGTTAGATGCCAAAGCAGTTTTATTGAGAATAGGAGAAAGTTTTGGTGACACCACTTAAAAAGCTGTGACTGGTGGTACGTTATAAGAAAATTAGCATGCCAATGGAAATGAAACTGAGACTACTGAGTGTAGACACAGTAAAAGAAAACAAAGCAGTTTACTGCCTCATTCAGCCTACAGGGATGGAGTCATTTACTTTTAGTCTATCTACTGGTATAGAGAGTCTGTATGTCATTACCGTGATACTGTGTCCACTATCCACACTCCTCAGCATGGTTCACAATGGCATTCTGGGTCCGTTCCTACTTCTCCAGTCTCAGGCAATGTTCTTCATTTCAGCTGCCCTGTCCCACCTTTCACAGCATTGCAGGTCTTTGCCCTTACCTGAAGTGCCTAGCTCCTTCCTCAGAAAACCTACATCTACGCTTAAGACTTGGCTCAGGCGTCACCACTGGGGAAGTGATTTCTGACACCCCCAATTTCTTCAGCACCCATTATCTGCTATGCAAGCTCAGTGATAACAGCTCTGTCTCCTTGCGTGGTTATCATTCTTTCACTGGACTGTGCTCACGGCTTGAGTCTTCATTTTGGTGTCCCTCGCGCTGAGCACTGTGCAGGGAAGAGAGCAGGTGCAAATTAACACACTATGTTTTCTACTATTGAATGAATAAATGGATGGAACCATATTTTGTTCACTGTTGAAGGGATGGATGGATGGGGCTTCCTGGCTTTCGCTTTCACACTCTGACTCTGAATGTTCCCATTTTTCCTTCTGATTACGTGGACTTAAATTCAGCCTCTGAATCCGACTGCTGAACGATCTTGGGTAAATACAGCCTCTCAGAGCCTTATTTTCCTTATTTGTGAAATACAGATTATGTGAATATTAAACACATTAGATGGTTCCTGGTTTATAATAAATTTCATGTAAATGATCAGACTATCTGCAAGTAACAGTTTTGTATCTTCATTTCTAATCTTTATACATTTAACTGTCTTTTCTTGTTGGGTTGGAATAGATTTCCAGTACCAAGTGGAAGAGTAGCAGTGATATTGAGTATCCTTTTCCTGTATCTAATCTGAGAGAGAGAGAGAGAGAGCATCAAAAATTTCTCCATTAAATCAGATACAGATTTGTTTAAAAAGCTTAGTAAACTAAATATCTTTCTAGTTTTTGGAGTGTGGAGGTGAGTAAAATCTACACCTTGACCTATGTTATCTACTTTTCCTGTAACTCACAATTGATTTTCCTTCTCTTCCCAACCTTGAGGGATTAGAGGTTCCAGGCTATATGAAGCCCAGCAAAGAAACAGTGTCTTTGCCTTTAGCTAGGAGAAACATTTGTAGAAGGCAGGATGTTTTAGAGCCAGTCTTCAGCCCAGCTAATCCCAGTGATAACATCCCCTCCTCCTCCCTCCACTTCCTTTGGGAAATACTTTCACTTTCCCCTTCCCTAAATTCTCCTGTAGGGAATAAGATATACTTCAAAATCTGAAAATGTTAATGAAATATGCACTTTTATACATTACGTTTCAATAAAAATTTACTTTGAAAAAGTATATCTAAGACAAGTTGTCCACAAATGAACAGTGATGTTCCTCACAGCTGCTTTAAAAATATTCATTAAGTGTATACAGCAAATTTCTTATGAGTTCCTACTGTAAAAGCTGAGCACAGTGTTGGACTCTTGGGACAAAATTAGGAATGATACAGACATAGAGATCCCTACTCTTGTGGAGTTTCCAGCTAGTTGCAAGAGAGAAAAAAGCCAGGTAAACAAAATTTAAAGCGTTTTGAATAGAAGAAAACAAAGGACTAGCAGAAAATAAAGGGGGCTACTTCAGATAGAGTGGCCAGAGAAAACTGCTATAAGCAGGTGACATTTAGGTTTAAGATGAGAAGGAGCTACCCACAGAAAGGCTGGGGCTGGAGGTGGAGTGTTGACTCCAGGCATAAATGGGGGAAAGGCCCTGATCTGGGTGGGAATAGAATATAAGTTTTAGGACTTAAGATGAAGCAGCTAAATGCCACCAGGACACAAAACAAAACATAAAATTGGAAAACCAAGCTGTGTGTTACCTACTAATAAACCAACCAGGCTAAACAATCACTTTAAGGAATGAATTTGTTTGTTCGTTTGTTTTTGATAGAGACCAAGTCTCACTTTGTCACCCAGGCTATAGTGCAGTGGCATGATTAGAGCTCACTGTAGCCTTGACCTCCCAGGCTAAAGCAATCCTTCTGCCCCAGCCTTCCAAGTAGCTGGGACTACAAGAATGCACTACCATGTACAGCTAAATTTTTTATTATTTTTTTTTTGCAGAGATGGGGTCTCACTATGTTGCCTAGGCTGGTCTCAAACTCCTGGGCTCAGGGGATCCTCCTACCTTGGCTTCCCAAAGTGCTGGGATTATAGGTATGAGCCACCATGCCCAGCCTTTTTTTTTTTTTTCCGAAAGAACCAATACAAGAATGAAAACATGGCTGAGTTCTCCTAATAGGCACTGAGTGATCCATGTGTCCCCATCATTTATGTCCTAGAAAGTGGTCAGTTTACCACACATAGTCCTAATTCTCCAGCCTGGATTATGGAGTTAGGGAGCTGGCGGTGGGAACCACAGTGTCTCTAATAAGGAAAAGAACATTTCACTGGAAGCTGTTTTTCATGTGAACCTACCCCTTTTCCCCTGTCTTGTTCTCACATCCCTCTTTCCTGAGTAATTTGACCACGAAAAATTCCAAAAAACATTAAAATTCTGAGTTTGCTCAGAACTATTTCTGTTGAACTAGGCAAAAATCCAATTCAAATCAGATAAATAAAATGGTGGGGGAGGAGAATTTAATGGTTCCCAGAACTAAAAAGTGCAAGGATAGATTTCGAAATGCTTGGAATGAAGAGCTCAAGTCAATTTCTCTTTTTCTGTGTCTCCCTGTCTCAGCTCTTCCACTCTCTGTATTGACTCCACATTCAGGCTATACATTCCAGCATGTTCAGCTTAATGTTATTTTTTTCAACTAGCAATTCCAACAGAGAAAGAGGGCTTCTTTGATTTTATCTTCTGGGTCATATGCCCATCTCTGACACAATTACTGGTCTGTGAGCTATGGGAGGCACTGATTGGCCAGGCCTGGGTTATAGATCCAGCCTCAGAACTGGGCGATGAAGTGGTAGAGGTAGGGAAAGATAGACCCTCTTCCAGACAAGACTAAAGTTGAAGGAGGGGTTGTTCCTCAGAAGGAAAATTAGAGTGCTGTTACAAGAAAGTGGGAATGAATGCTGAGCCGTCAAAAAATAGCAGCCACACTTGACAGTTCATCTCTTGGCTTCCCTTCTTCCATACAGTTTTTAAAATGCCCCCACTTAATAGCATGCAATTATTCTACATATGCATGAAAATGCATTCACCCACAATCCAAAAGGTAAATGCATTTTCACATGTCTAACTCGTTTCATTTCTCTTGTTTTTTCTTTGTGTCTAGCTCCCAGTCCATTACCGTTAAGTGATTTTCATTCTCTCTTTCTGACAACATATGACAAAACTACAAATCTGATTACTCCCCACATAGTCAGTATAAAACAGTAGAGGGTAAAATTGAGTAACTCCTACAGGAAAGCAAGGAAAGGGTAAATAATCAGTATGGAGACTGTACCATAGGATGTGTTACATTCTGCTAATTAGAAATAGCAAGAATTATCTGCCTCACAGGAATTGAGTTCTTTGGCCAATTTAGCTACCTTCAGCTTTACTCTCAGAAAGGATTCCTGTTGACTATTTTCCTCCATGATCACAACTGTAAAGGGAATTGAGAAGGATTCCCGTTCTTGGGACCGAATTGTTTTAGCCACCCCCCGCCTTCTCTTGTATTTCAGAGGTATGGAGTCTATCTACGCTCTAGACCCTGTCCTGGGAGTTTCTGTCTTTTAAGGAAAAGCCTTAGAGATGACTCATTTTAACAGTCTTCAGTTTAACAGCCACCATCTTGGCCTCTGCCTAGGGCAACTTGAAATAACTATCTGCAGATGAGGAGGACTAATGGAGTGGCCTTTTGATGCAAGATGGTGTCCTAGTAGATAGCTCTTTAATTAGGGTGACCTGCTTTAGAGCTGTCACCTAGGTATAATTATTAATAGCACCCATACTCACACTCAGAATTGTCCCATTTTGATAAGAAATGATATGGTCACCCAATTAAAATGGGGTTAATTCTTCCCTTCCTCTGGCAGGAACAGCACAGCAGGAGGAGTTTGATGTAGACTCAGGAGACAGTCTATTATCAGTTTTTTACTTATGCCTTTGCTGTCACTGTGTAAGAGGCAGAGGATTTTAGTTTTCTAACGTGGCATGGCTCAATATATCTGACTCCAGACCATTTGGGTTTGCTGGCTACTGGTAGAAGGGGAATCTTTTAATCACACTGTAATTTTTTCCTCTCTGCTACTACATAGGCCAGTTTCAACATTAGCATGGCTTTTTCTTTGGAACATTTATAAAAACTATAAGTAGACCAAACTCTCTAAAACCCTGACATTTGTCAATCAAGACCTCTCAAACTCCACCCTGGAAATGCTGGGGTCTGAGACCTCTCACTCAGTTTCCTGGCTACCATATCACAAGAATTTCCAGTTCTCTAGCCTGGCACAGAGGGATCTTTCCTACTTTCACCATTTCTCAACTCAGCCAATTTTACATTTAAGGATCTGCACTACAGCATCCCACTTCCAGCTATATAGAACTCTTTTGGCTGCAAGAGATAGAACTTAACCCAAAATAGCTTAAGCCCAGAAGGGAATGTTTTGGCTCATGTAACTAAAAAGTCTAAGGGTACCTTGGCTTCAGGCATGATCAAACAAGTCATAAAAATTTGCTTATGCATACATCCCTTCCCACACCCCTTTTCTCAGCTTTGTTTCCTTTAATAGCTTATCCCTCATACAACACTGAATTGGCTAATTGGCGGGTCTTGATCACTACCTGCCAATGAAGTGGAGGTGAAGATGGGCTCTGCCCTTCTCTAAACCACAAGACCTAAGGGTGGAAATGGGGTTTTTTCTCAAAGGTGCTGTTACCAAAAAAAGGGAAAGGGATGCTTGCTAGGTTAAGAAAAACAACAGAGGTCCATCCATTTTATACTTGAAAGCTTAAAAAAATGTAAGCAAATCTGTCCAGACTCAACTCTCTGAAAGATGAGGATGAGAATCATTATTTACTTTGCCTCAAAGTGGTGAAGAAGAAAAAGAAAAGGGCAAGGGTAAAATTTTTTTTAGTTTAAAGATGAAATGAAAATCCACAGGCTTGAAAGTTTGGACTTTCCTGAAGTTGTGGTGTGCCTTTCCAACCTATTGTCAACTTGGAAAAGACTTAATCTTCAACAGTGGAGGAAGCCTCCATTCTCTCCTTTCATTCACTTGTCTGTCACCTTCCCCTGAGGGCCTCAAGGGCAGGAGAGAGCATATGACAAGGAGGAAAGAAATGCCATTTCCTTCTGGTCTCAGACTCTGCGTATCTTAGCTGGGAATATGCAGTTTGGTCATTTCAATCTCAACATTTTCAACACTAAGTTGCAGGAATTAGTTAATTCAACAAGTATTTGTTGAATAAGAATCCCTTATCCTCTTTCGTTCCTCTTTGTTACCCTTTGTTTCTCTCCAAGACTTTTCTCATCAGCATTTAAACATCCTCAAGGCTCTCTCATCTTAAAAACCGAACAAATAAAACCCCTACAAACAGAAGAATGTCCTTTGATCCGACTTCCTTCTCAGCTACCACCCTGTTCAGAACCAAATTTCACATACTACATGTCTTCTTTACCGTCTGTATTTCCTCCCTCCCAAGCCTTCCTCTGGCCACTCCTGTCCACTCCTGCCACTCACTGGAACAGAAGGCTTATGGAAAGAGCCCCACTTTTACAGAACACGAACCCCAGTATAAGGCAGCATTATAGCCCTTAAACACTGTGAAGTAATTTTGTGACATCTGTCTTTTCAACTGGAGTGTGGGCTTCTTGGGGGTAAGACATAGCTGGTAGTTACTCAGTAAAATATCTTACTGTTGAATGTTACATGTCTACTCCAGACATGGAGACTAGCATGAATAAATGTTAAACAAAACTTTGTTGAAGTAACAAAATAACTGAGATTGGAAACAAAAGGATGGGACAGGTTTGGAATGGCGTGAAATAATGAGTGAAAGTTCAATTATTCTGAGCTCAAGTTAGAAGTGTAGGAGAAGGAGGAGAGTGTGTTGTATTAAAAGCAAGGCAAAAAATAGTTTCAATGGGCAATGTTATATGTTAAATGCTACAAGCAAGTATATCATGTTTTTCAGACTGAACACTATTAGAGGCTACTTGATTTGCAAAACAATAATCAATTCTTTGGGGTGGAGATGGGGAGATTAGTTTCACTGGAATGTTACCAGGTTGAGAATATGAAGGAGCAGTAATTTGTAGGGTCCAGAAAATGCAAGGATCACAGCACAATTAATTTAGGTGGACAGTCAACAGAGTGGGCATACAGCAGGACCTTTAGGGTGGGCATACAACAGGAACTTTTGGGAGGTGAACAGTCCTATCTGCATGCTTCTCATCAATTCTACATTTTAATCCAGGCCATCTTATCCGTGAGGTTAAGGATCTCTAGAGAAAGAGAACTCTAGCATAAACTTTACTTAAATGTAAGCTAAACCCTTCACCCAAATGTTTTAATCATATGGATTTAAAATGTGAAATGACAAGTGGAAGTGACACGTAATTATGACCTTATTTTTTGAAACAGAGTCTCAATCTGTCACCCAGGCTGGAGTGCAATCACGGTTCACTGCAGCCTCAAACTCCCAGTCTCAAACGACCCTTCCACTTAAACGACCGAGTAGCTGGGACTACAGGTACGCGCCACCACACCCGCTATTTATTTTATTTTACTTTTCGTAGAAACAGGGTCTCACTGTGTTGCCCAGGCTGGTCTTGAACTCCTGGGCTCAAGTGACCCTCCCACTTCGGCCTCCCAAAGTGCTGTGATTACAGGCATGAGCCACCAAGCCCAGAGACTTTTCTTTCTTTCTTTCTTTTTTTTTTTTGAGACGGAGTCTCACTTTGTTGCCCAGGCTGGAGTGCACTGACATGATCTCAGCTCACTGCAAGGTCTGCCTCCCAGGTTCATTCCAGTCTCCTGCCTCAGCCTCCCGAGTAGCTGGGACTACAGGTGCCCGCCACCACGCCCGGCTAATTTTTGGTGTTTTTTTTTTTAGTAGAGACGGGGTTTCACCGTATTAGCCAGGATGGTCTCCATCTCCTGACCTCGTAGTACGCCCGCCTCGGCCTCCCAAAGTGCTGGGATTACAGGCGTGAGCCACCGCGCCCGGCCTCCCAGAGACTTTTCTATCTGATTACTTTTCAAACACATTCTAGAGCATCCTAGAACTTGTCCTTTCCTAGTTCAGTTTATTACTTTCTGCTCATGCTCCAGGAGAGAATATAGCTTTTAGTCATTTAGTCTCTATGTGGTCCTTCCTTGATTTTCTAAGGGTCCTGAGTCTGTGGTCCCAGAAATAGACAAAAACATGTGCAGGGCATCATAGACTCTTGCTAGGCTGGAAGTAGAGTTCCTCTCTTGTAGCCAATGTCCTCTTCTCCTCACCCTTCCACTCCCGAAATACACACACTCAATATACAGTGGCCAGCACATCTGTTTTATGGGACCAAGAAGCTGAATCCTAAAGGTTAATGAAGGAAAGATACGCAGAAAGTCCAGCACTTTCCTAATTCAGCAGCACACAGGTTTTCACGTCTAATATTTAATTTACGTAATTTATTTTCAATCTCAATTTAATTGCTTTTCTTGAAAAGATGTTTGGGACAAGGTCAACAATGAGGGAGGAATGTCACCGGGTCGGGATCTGGAAACAATCAGCTCTGTATGGTTTTAAAGATGAAGCGCCAAGATCTTAAGGAACCTGAATTCCTGGTGAGCAATCAAGTTCTTTAATCGGCCCCCAGCAGGATGTCAACGGCGTAAAAGACAAAAAGAAAATCTATTTTAAAAGATAGATTTTGTGTTTTTAGATTAATTTTTAAAAAGCGAACCCACCACAAACTTCCCAGTTTTTAAAGAAAAGGCCTCTCCCACCGCAGAGCCCTCCCGAACCATGGGACAGCTCAGCGGCAGCGTCCCACCGGCTGCCCGCAACCGGTGCCGCGAGCTCGGAGTGCAGCGCTGGGATCTCGCGTGCTCCGGGACAGCGGGCTCCTTGAGCGCCGCGGGGCGGGGCGTGGGGCAAGACCCGCCGGCCGCTCCCTTCCCCACAGCGCTTAGAGAAGCAGCGAGCGCCTTTCCTCCTGTCCCGGAGTCCTAGCCTGGCCCGAGCTACCTCCAGGGCGCCCGCTGCTGCGGTGGCAGGAAGTCCCCGGGAACTACAAATCGAGGCATGCTGGGAACATTCTCCCGCTCCTCCCAGGAAATGTCCTTTGTCCAGCCCTACAGGAAGCCCCAGTGAGGAGTCAGCCGGGCAGCCAGCCAGCGAGCCAGCCAGCCAGCCAGCCAGCCAGCCAGCCAACCAGCCAGCCAGCGGGCCACCCAGCGGCCGCTGCAGCCGCCGCCGCCGCACAAGGGCAGACGCGCTGCGGTGCGGGGCTCGGGCCGGGGCGCTCGGTGCCCTAGCTCCTCGCCGCGCCAGCCGCCTCGCAGGTAGGAGCGTGGCTGTGGCTGGGCTCAACCGCCTCCCGGGGATGGGGCTGATCGGGACCAGACCCGACCGCTGCGGGGATGGGGTGTGTGTTCGAGTGCGGTGGCGGAACGGCTGGGCGAAGTTGTGCCTCGTAAAGTGGACCGTTGTCCGCTCCCCTGGGGCGCAGGGCCCCGGGCTTATGGGGTGCTCTCGCGCCCCCAAAGCCAGGACTGAGCTCCCTCAGGGGTATGTGGCGAGGGGCGGGGAGGAGGAGGCTGAGACTTGAGGGAGGAGACAGCGATGCAAGAGGGAATAGGACCGTCCCGCCGACCACCGAAGGGGGCATCAGAGACCCTCGGAGAAACCAAGCCCAGGGAGGAGCTTGGAAGGCAAGGAGAAGGTGAAGGGCTTTGTGTGCAGCTGTGGACCTTGACGGACTGCGCTCCCCTTGCCTTGTCTGTTCGTGCCTCCAGCCCCACTGGGGCTAAGGGAGGGTGGGGGGCTCCGAGAAGGGCAGGAGAGAGGCGGCAGGTCATCTTGGGTCCTAGTGAATGAAATGTGTGCCTCCCTTTTCCTCTCTTCTCCATTCTAGCCCACTCAAATGAGCGGCTTTGGGGCTGCCATCAGACCGGGCAAATGACACAATAAGGACGGGTGGGTGGAGAGATGGGCAGCAGCTCGCAGCCCAAGAGGGGTGGCCGTCTAGCCCCGGGAGGCATTCCAACCACACGTGTCCATGTAGGTAGGTGGTGGGGTGGTGGGCAAAGCTGGAACCTGCACCTCGCGGGGATGCCGAGGCTCAGGATTGTGCATGGAGGCACGGGTGAGGCGCGTGTTGGGAGGAGTGGGTGAGTAAAAGGTTGAGGGGGAGCAGCGACACAGAGGCGCTGAGTGTACCTTATGGCCAATGTACATTATGGCCATGCATCGGGAACTGACTACCACTTCCTCTGGGACTTTCCACGATTTTCCTTTTTCCTAACCGCCTCCCCCAACCGCCCCCGCCCTGCCTCCCCCACAGGAGTGAATCACCCACCCCTTACTACATGAACCCTGGGCTGAATTGAAGTTGGTGATGTATCCCTGTCCTTGTAGTGGGCATGTTTGTCCTTAACCTGTAGGATGACACCAATACTCCGCATCCCCTACTGCGTTACCCTCCTCCCTCAAGACTGAGCGTCTGGTAAATGCGGTTGGATAATGGCTAGCGAGTTAAATGTCTTTGAGTAGCTGTGGTGGATGAGTGGGCAACTTTGAATACAGTCCAAGTGTGACTGTTGTAACTGAACTCAGCATGCCTAAGGGGCCACACTCACTATCTCTCCTTTCTCCCCTCACCTGATTTTTTGTTGATGCCCCCAACTGTTTACCTTCTTCTCTCAACAAGCCAACATGTGGATATTATTTAATGTGGAATACGTTTGAGGAACCAAATGAACCTTTAAGAATGCCACTTATATGGCCAGGCAGGAGTATGCAAGGCTCATGGTCGAAAGAATGATGCTGTAGGACATGGAGAGAGCCCTGAGCCTGATATAAATGGCTTTCGAGGTGAAACAAAACATTTCTTCCTTAGCTTCTTTGGGAGAGATGAGGCATTTGAACTGAGATAAAGAATGGAATCGAGAAAAAAAACCGAGTTGTTTAGGATGAGGCCATGAGGATAATGAAGTGAAGGGAAGAGGCTCTGTGAATTTAGATGATTTCTAGTTAGAACATATTGGCCGTGTGTGTGTGTGTGTGTGTGTGTGTGTGTGTGTGTGTGTGTTGGAAGTGGGGGTTGTTGTTAAGGGAAAGTTGATGTCAAAAGTTCAGCCATGCCCAACAGAGAATAAGATGGCATCCTATTGAACAAGATCATAAATATGAAGTCAGGCTGCCCTTTACATTACACAAAGGAACACATAGATGGCTTTTCAGAACTACTGGGATAGAGGGGTAAATGGATGCTAGTCAGACAGAAGAACCGGCTGGATTGATGCGGCTGGATTGAAGTGGTAAATAGTGACCTCACATCAGCAGCATGACTAAGGCTCATGGAGTTGCATCACATTTCCTCTCCCTCCCCCACCAAAACTCTTTGAATTTCCTCAGAATCTACATTTTTTGCCTAATTACTAGTGTCCTGTGAAGGGAAGGAGAAAGGGTAAAGGTTGGTTGTAAGGATGATAAACTAAGGCAAGAAGGAGCTTGTCTGCTTATGTAGAAAGAAAAAAATAGCTACAGTGTCAGTAAGAGGTCTGGAGCTTGAACCTATGTCAGTACCATATGGGCTTTTCTTTGTATCTAAGATTCTACTTCTTTTTTCTTTTCTTTCACCTGCCCCTTAACAGGTTTCTCAGTACCACACACTATGTAGAGTTAATATAATCAACAAAAGTAACTCCTTACTTTGGGATTTAAAATTCTTCACAATTCAGTGCCTACCTACCCCTCTCCTTTACTGGACCTGTGCCACCCCAATTTACCTACCCATCCTTCGAGCAAATAGCTCCCCAGTCCTTGAAGATGCAACAGACATTCTTCTACCTCCGTGACTGTCCGGTTGAACCCCATGCTTGCTGGACATCCCTGTACCTGTCCCTAATTATTTTTGTACATATCCTGGCCCAGCTGATTAGCTCCCTTACAGAACTCTTCCCAAACTTTACAGTCAAAATTAATCTTACCCCTTGGTAATTTGTATTATTTCAATGACACCTGCTTTAGGTGTTAATATCTAACAAGTGCCCAAAGGATGTTTGATTTGAAAACATGAATAAATCAAAGAAGGAGTGAAAGGATAAAAAAAATCTTAATTATCTTGCCTTTTCTTTAGAAAATGGGATGGAGCCTTTCTCATAGACCTGTGATGATTCATTGCAATTGTGAAAATAAAGCACCTAGGACATGTCAGACTGAGGCTTTTCCTTTTGCTCCTGGGTTAAGAGACCCTAAAAGTACCTATCACAGTGTCTAGTACAAGGACATTCACAAAAAGTTTGTTGAATAAGTTATTTGCCAGCCTACATTTTAAACTCTCAGGCAGAATATGGAGTGGATTAATCCCAAGCAAATAATCAACAATTTTTGTCATTGTCCTAGACTGAAGAAGGTAACTGTTTCCATTCAATTATGAAGGTGCAAAGTGCTCATTGGAAAAGCAGCACTACGAAGACTGTCCTGCTATAGCCAGACATTTACCATGCCATTTTTATTTTTATAGCCCAAGCAATCTATGAGGATTAAAATGTAGCATATAGAAATAGAAAACAAATCAGACTTTCAAATTTTCCCCAAAGACACTACAATTTAGTAGTCCCTCACTTATCTCGAACTGGGCAATTTTTCATGCTTCTTTTTATGTGATTACAATAATAGTCGCCACTTATTGAACATCTGTATATCAGCTACTAAACTAGGTGATTTACATGTCTAATCTGATGACTTATTTAATCTGATGACTTACATATTGTTATCTCCATTCTAAAAATGAGGAAACTAGGGCTTGGAGAGAAGCTAAGAAGCTTGCCTGGAGTCCCAGATTCTGAACTGAGTGTAGACTGGAATTTACGTCTGCTGACTGTCAAGCCTGTTCAGAATTTGCTTTCCATGGGAGAAAACTGACAGTTCTTTATTCCTTCTTCTCCTGAAGTCCTCCACTTCCCAGATTTCCTACCAGTAATGTTGTGCTTCTAAAAGCATCCTCATGGATCTTATTCTGAGAAGTACTGTTTTCTTCATAGATCTGTTATTTTTATGTCCTTAAACTCTAATGACCATCAGTTGGAAAGGCCAGGTTCAGAACCCCTAATAAGACCTTTGGGTAAAGAACTGTGTGTGTTTGGAATTCTTTTCTTTTTTCTCCCAGTCTGTCTGAATTCCTCTTGCCAGGCCAAGTCTCACTTCTTTTGGGTAGCCTTTTTCAACTACACCAGGCCACCCTCAGCCTCTCCCCTAATCTCTTGCATTGTTTGAAATTCTGCAGTTCAATGTTTTCTTAATGAAAGTAGACTTGAGTGGGTTCCCACACGTGACAGGGACTTTATGTCCAGAACACAACCTGGCATATGGTAGACTTTCAGAAACTGAGTTAATGATGAATTGGTAATGACTAAAATGCAGAAATGGAGGCACGAAATATTATTTGCATGTTGATAGTTTGCTTATATTGTAGAAGAGGGATAGAAAGAGAGGATAATTATTTTCTTAGTTAATTTTCACCCTTTTCATGTAACTTCCAAAAGAGGAAAGTACCTTCTGGAAATATGCCAGAGCAGACCACTGTAAGCTGAGTTTTCTGAGCTTAACTAACACTGGCACTGAATGATTATAGTGTTTAATAATTTCGGGTAGTGGGGTGGGGCATTGTTTAGTACCTTTCCCTTTGCTGTCATGCCAAATCTCTCAGATGTCATGCACATCTGAGAAAATCAGAGGGGTTTCACTGGCTGCACTTATTGGGGGAGAAGAAGGCTGGGGAGAGGAAGGAAGATAATTCATTCTGTTTTCATCAGAGCAGCAAGATTTGTGTGGGGTATAGATTTGGCATTCATTACATCATGTATTGATAAGGGATGGTTAAAAGATCAGTAGCTTCTCGTCTTTGGGTGGAAGAGAGTTTCACCTATCACTAGATTGAACACATTTCCTTAGGTTGACTAAACCTTCTTTTTCTCTGACCTCAAGGGTGCAGAGAACTTTGAAAGCCCTGGTATAAACACAGTGTGCTATGGGTTGTTAGAAGCACATTAGTCATGTTAAAGGAGAATAGGAGAGTTCTTGGGATCACTGAATCTATTCAGCAAGTCATGTTCTGTGCATCCATAGGCCAGCAACAGTGTTCCAGCAGGTGTGTGAGAGGGTCACATGCGATACTTCAGATTTCTCCTTCCTGTGGAGGCTAAATTTGCTATGGGTAGTTAAAAGGAAAGGGCCTACTTTTTATTCAGAGAGTTACTTCAGATATACATGGTCTTCTGAGAAGTTTATCAGGATCTTACCATAATTATAAAACAGGAATAAACTTTCTGGGTTTTATTTGCTAAGAAATGTTTTGCTTTGGCTCATCATCTCAGAGCTATTTCATGTGCTTAGCACATCTTTGATGCTTGATGAAGTTTAGCAGGGCACTATAGGAAGACTTTTCCAGTTGTTGAAATTTTTTGTCCCCCATACCTGGAAGCCTTTGTGAATTTCAAAGAATCACTTTATTTTTGTTTTGCTAGTTTTGAAAATCTTCAGGCAGGTATTGACAATGATTTCTGATAATAGAAGGTGGTTTAGAAAGTAGAGGTGGTTTAGAAGGTATTTAGAAATAGAAGGTAGAATAGAAATTTCATTAGAATGTAATCTTTACAACAGAGAATCTAGAATAATGGGTAGTGCATGGTAAGTGTTTGATAAATATTTGTTGAATGAATGTGTTTTTTTATTTCATTTTAATTTGTTCCTAAAATGATGGCACAGACAATTTTTTACAATGAGGTGTGGGTAAGGTTGTATGCTTATAAATTATATAAGCTGGGGAAGATAGCTTACATATATGTACATTATGTACATATATATATAAAATTTCAAAAATATTTTAGAGCAGTTTTAGGTTCACAGCAAAATTGAGAAAGTAGAGTTCCTGTCTGCCTCCGGCCCTCACACATGTACAGCCTCCCCCCCTCTCAGCATCCTGCTCCAGAGTGATACATTTGGTACAACTTATGAACCTATATTGATACATCATTATCACCCAAAATCAATAATTTACTTTAGGATTCACTCTTGGTGTACATTCTATGGTTTTGACGAATGTATAATGACGGGTATCTACCATTATAGTATAGTGCAGAATAGTTTCACTGTCCTAGACATCTTCTGTGCTGCACTTATTTATCCTTCCCTTCCCCTAACTTCTGGCAACCACTGATCTTTTTACTGTCTCCATAGTTTGCCTTTTACAGATTGTCATATGGTTGGAATCATACAGTATGTGACCTTTTCATATTGGCTTCTATCATTTAGTAGTATACGTTTTAAGGTTTCTCCATGTTTTTTCACGCCTTGATAGCTAATTTGATGTTGTCGTGTTTTGGATTTTGGCCATTCTAATGAGCGAGTAGTGGCATCTTGTTTTAACTTGAAATTCTCAAATGACATTGATGTTTGTATTAGTTCATTCTCATGCTGCTATGAAGAAATACCCAAAACAGGTAATTTATAAGGAAAAGAGGTTTAATTGACTCACAGTTCTGCATGGCTGGGGAGGCCTTGGGAAACTTACAATCATGGCAGAAGGTGAAGCAAACATGTCCTTCTTCACATGGCAGCAGAAGAGAGAAGTGCCGAGCAAAGGGGGAAAAGCTCCTTATAAAACCATCAGATCTTCTGAGAACTCTCACTATCATGAGAACAGCCTGAGGGTAACTGCCCCCATGATTCAATTACCTCCCATCTGGTCCCTTCCATGACACGAGGGGATTACGGGAACTACAATTCAAGATGAGATTTGGGTGGGGACGCAGCCAAACCGTATCAGTGTTAAAAATCTTTTCATGTGCCTATTTGCCATCTGCATATTTTCTTTGGTGAGGTGTCTGTTCAGATCTTTTGCCCATTTTTAATTGGGTTTTAAGAGTTCTTTCTATATCTTGGTTAACAGCCTTTTATCATATATATTTTTTTGCAAACATTTTCTCCCCACCTGTGACTCTTTTTCTTGTTATTTTTTTTAGTATATGAGCTTTCCCCATCTTTTCCTTTTTTAGGGGGGGATGTGTGCCAGATTTAATTTAATATAAAACTAGTTTACTCCAGAACTGAGAAACCAAAATGTGAAATTAACTGGAAGACACACTCCCCTTTTACCACCCCCCTTATAACAATAAGCATCAGTTGAATTTAACCAGACTGCAGCCACAGCCTACACTAGTCTGGGGGGCAGTTGCCACAGGACATCTTTTGTTTCTGTTTCTCTACTTCCTAATATGTGCTTGTGTTTATTGATTGAATAGGTGGTGTGGTAAGTATTCCTGGTCAACACTTCCTGTATGGCATGTAATCTTTACTAACTTTCTTAAGAGCCTTCATTTGTTTCCCAGCCTAATTCTGGACCTTTAGGGAAAGGGTTTTCTAGGCTGATGATTCTATGTAGGTGAGAAGAGAAATCAAGAAATCCATGCCTTTCTTGTTGTAGTAAGAAAAACAAAACAAAACATGAAACTCTTGAAAACTGCCAGAGAATAAAACTTTAGTCTGAATAGCCACTCTTAATGTTAAATGCAAATCTCCCCGGTATTTGAATGCACTCCCTGCCCTGCCTTACCCAGCAACTTCTTTAGTCTCATAATTACTTTGAAGATTAAATGTTGGTCTTTCTTCATTCGTCATTTAATTTCTGTGACTGCTAGTCCCAATTTTCCTTGGGTGGGAGAGAAGTAGTTGTCCTGTCATAGTGGGACAGTCTGGTAGCATTCCCCACAATGAACATAAACAGCACTGTGCCACCTCTGTTTGCACAGCTGAATCAAGGGTTAAACCCTTGGAGTGGAGGGAGGACCCACACAGGGGCATTTGATACAAACAAAGCATGCTGGCATTTGGGCCAAGAGATGTAGAATTCTTTTTTGAGAATGGTCTGCCTAACTTTTGAGGCTAATTGCCATTTCCTGTCATGGCTACCTATTTAGCAGGGTAATTAAGCATGTTTGGCTCCTGGTGCTAACAGGTTATTGGATCCAGTTGGGAGAGTTAGGTTGTCTCTATGACTCTACCTTACCTGATGTGATTTTGCCAAATCACTAGATTTCCTAGTCTTTTTAGGTCTTCCTTTTGAGACCGAGGGGAAGAAATAATTACTCCTGATTTTATCCATTTCAAGAACTATTTGAAGGTCCATTGTGTGAGGGAATTATCAAAGTGAATAAAATGTTTGTTCCCATAAGGAACTTACAGTTGGGAGGTGGTAGGAGAAAAAGGAGAGCCAAAAATAAGATATGAATTATTGTAAGTATGATTCTATTTAAAAAACTAATATTAGGCAGAATAAGAAAAAGTATCTTAAGTCATACAAAGTGAAAAAATAATAATAATTCTATCTGAGCACTTACTATCCCTATAAGGTAGGTTCAGTTGTTCTCTCCATTTTATAGATGAAGAAAACTAAGGCCAAAAGAGGTTGAACAATTTGCTTAAGGCTAACAGCTAGACTGGATTCACACAGGTCGTATGGCTCCAGAATCTTGTTTGGTTTTTGGTTTTTTTGAGACAGGATCTTGCTCTGTCACCCAGGCTGAAGTCCAGTGGTGTGAATACCTTCTGGGCACAAGCAATCCTCCCACCTCAGCCCTCCAAGTGGCTGGGATTACATGTGTATGCCACCACTTCTGGCTTTTTTTTTTTTTTTTGGAGAGACAGGGTTTTGCCCTGCTGCCCAGGCTGATCTTGCACTCCCGAGCTTAAGCGATCCACTGGCTTTGGCCCCCAAAAGTGCTGGGATTACAGGCGTGAGCCACTATGCCTGGCCAGAATCTGAGCTTTTAACCATTACAGGTGCTGCTGCCTCCGGAAAAGGACAGACTGTAACCCATGCTTTGAGGACGAAAAGCATCTCAGGAAGGGAAAACAGGGTGCCTTCTGGGGAATTTAAAGCAACCCTTTTGGGCTGGGGTTAGGGGACAGAGGTTAAGATGAGGTAAGAGAGCCTTAGGCTACATTGTTAATGACTTGGAGTCTGTGCTTATATGACCAAGTCACTTAGGGGTTTCTGAGCAGAATAATAAAGTGACAACATTTTAAGATTGATGCAGTAGTGACATGTAGGTGCATGTTAACTAGTAAGAGTGTGTACTGCAGTGATAGTGGCAACTGAAAAAAAGAGAAAAGTGAAAAGAACATGGCAACTGATTTGATTGAAAGGGGTGAGGGATGGGTCAAAGTTGAGTCCATGGTTTTGAGCTTCTGAGTAAGAACAAAGACGGCTTTAACAGAAATGGACACTGCCAGGAGGAGCTGATTTGTAGCAAAGATTCAAGAAAGGAACTAATACTTGTTTTTAAATCTGACATGGGCCAGATACAATACAAATGGAAATTCATTGAGTCTTTATAGCATCCTTTCAAGGTAGCTTGTTTTCCCCTATTGTGTAGATGATTAAACTAAGACTCGAAGAGGTGAAATAGCTGTCCCGGGGCACACCATATGTCAGTGGCAGACTTCTACTTTAACCCGTGCTGTTGACTCCTTCGCATGTGCTTTTCCTGTTTCTGCTGCCTCCTGTCCCTTGTCACATGGGACATGCGGGACAGCACCTCAGGACTGGAAGGGACATTCAGCCTCCTCAGTTGTAATGCTTGGGGCATCATGAGAAATGTGGATCTGGAGTGCAGGTCAGGGGTTGGGTGAGAGGTTCAAATTTGTGAGGTCTTTGGATAGAAGAGCTGTATAAAGCTACAGGAAGAGGCAAAACCGTTGAGGGAGAGGGAGAAGAAATGTAAAAAAGACCCTTGAAGGCTGACCTATTTTAGGAGTTAAGAAGAGGAGACAGGGTGGTCAGTGAAGTATGAGGAGGACTAGGACAGTGCAATATTGTGGGTGCTAAGCAAAGAGAATTTCCAAGGAGAGTGTCTCAACAAGATTTCTGGGCCATTTACTGAACTCCTATTAAATGCCAAGCACTTTACAGTGTTGATGGTGAGATCAAAGCAGAAGAGGAGACCACGGCATGTGGAAGGTAGAAATACATAGCTGATAATTGATGTGGGTCTGGATCACTAACTAAATGTTAGCAATTAACACTGTCTGCTGAGGTTGTCCCATCTGGAAGCCCGAGTTCACTGGGAAACTGTGAGAGTGTGGTGGTGATGTTAAGTTTTTAACTAGGGCTCACTAGCACTTATTCCTCCTTTTCCCAATAGCCTGTAAGATTTATTTGGCCAAAAAATGGCATTGCAGGAGAAAATATAATATAGTTTGATAATTGGTTTTAGTAATTTAAAAATGATACTGCAGAATGAGGCAGTCTCCCCTTTTAATGAGTTTCATAGTTTGAATAGAAAAATGTCTTTAAAGATTTTTTTAAATGGTATAACCAGTACTATTGAGGCTTCATGGTCTTCCCCTCTCCTTTCTCTCTCTCTTTTCTCTCTCTCTCTCTCTGTCTCTTTCTCTCTCTCTCTCTCACACATACACACACACAGACGATGACTTTTTTCAAATAGTATACAAAGGACTCAGTATTATTCAGTGTTTACTCTAACACTCCATTAACTCAATGCTAATTCAAACAACTGCTTTTTTTTTCTAGCCAACAAGATGTTCTGTTTTTCTCTAGTAAAAACAGCAGAGAATCCAAAACCTGTTAAGTCAGCCATCACTTCTGAGGATCACATGAAGTTAAGTTTGAAGAACATTTTCTATGTTTTTTTCTAGAGGAAAAATAACTGAAACTACAATAGGAAAAAAATTATCAGGAGTCAGGAAGAAAACAAGAAAAATGCAGTTCAGTGAAATGTTGTCACTAAAGCCAGAGCACTAAACTCATGAATATGACAGAGCGGGTTGGGAGAATGTGGTGCAAGGGAGATTGTACCTAAAAGGAATCCAGTAATCTGAAGGGTGGCCCCATCCTCTACCAACTTGACACCTTTGTGAATTCAAGTTATGAGATTTGCTCATTATCTGTGGATACATTCTCTACAGCAAAATGTACTTGGAGTGGTGCTGTCCCTGCCACCGGGCCCACATCTATACAACTTCCCATATGGGGACTGCAAAGCTGTTAAAGCTCAGGTTGGAGCTAAGAAACTGTATTTGTAGTAATGGGTCACATTGGATGAACTGAGTCCTTGATCCCATGGTGCAGTTAATATGAACTAGGCCTCCCTATGTTGCAGTTTTGTGTAACTCTCAGAATGCCCTTCTTTATCTGGGTATTTGCATGTTATTCTTTGCAGGCAAGATAACTTTGCTAACACTTTGAAGATTTGTTAGGAAAGAGTTGATGACTTTGTCCAGATTGTAATTCTTTTTCCTTTGAGAGGAGAAGGATTAAATAACAAAGCATTTTGTGTACTGGGTAGGTTATGGTTTGATTAATGTGATTTTACTCACTGCCCAAGTAAGCAGCTGATAGGAGCCATAAACCTGGGGTCAAGCTTATAAATTAGATACGTCCAAGAGAGGCAGGGTGTTACAGTCTTGAGGAACAACTTCCCTCCCTCTTAGTGCACCTGTCACATAATGTGAGTGGCTAGGAAGTGAAGAGCAGGTGAACTAATGATGCTGGGAGACCCAAATCACAAGTGTGAATTAGCCAAGCACCAAAGGTTATGTTGGATTGAGTAGCAAGGGGAGATTGAAACCAAGGTTAATATGCCAGTGATTTAGGCTCGTGTCTGCCCTTAACTGGTGTGTTCATGGGCAATTTACTTAACCTTTCTTGGTCTCCATTGCCTGACTCATCTGTAAAATAGGGTGTTAGGTGAGATCACCAAAGTGGTGATCTCAGGCAGGTTCCATTTGCTAGGTCCCTCGCTCTCCATATGTGTTTGAAATTTACTGATATTTTTGTCTGTGCTACTCCCTGCTTTTGGACTTACTGCCATTATCTTCTCTTTTCCACCAGCACGCCAAAAGATCTTGTGGCATATAGTGGTGAAACTGCTCTTATCCCCCTTACCCAAAACCACTCTGTATCATTTTTGAATTGTTATGATAAGGAAATGTATCATGAGTCCTTTGTAATAGTGGTTTATAACAGGGTTTTTGTTTTCGTTCCACGGATCCTTTCAGAGTCCAAGAAAAAGCTATGGGCCTTCTCATCAGGAGAAAGTGTCTACAGACACATTTCCGTATGGTTGCAGGGAGTTCACGGATTCTGAAGGCCCTCAGGCTAAGAACTCATGCTCAAGAAAAATACCATTACTCTATTTGCAAGTTTGTGTAGTACTGTTGCTCTCTTTGGGAAATGCTAGGAACTAAAGGTAAGGAACCCAGACTGAACCTGATGAATGACTTAGTAACGTGATGTTCAAGTTATGAATGAGTCCCAGACACGCAAGCCTCCTTCTTGAGATAGATGCATCACTTCCTGGAGGAAAGCTGTGTCCTGTGACTGGGTGTGTGCATCCTAGATTTACTGTGCACCATTGGCTGAAACAGAAAATATCTGTGAGCTTTCAGTTCTCATGTAAAGTAGGAGCATAATATCTTCTAGTTGCTCTCTTCGTAGTGTGATATGAAGCAATTTGACTGGCATCCTCAGAGTTTCTCTGAGCACTGTCTGACAACACTATCTAAATTTAAAAGTTCTCAGTTTGGGCTAGTAAAGTACTGTTCCTGTCAGAGTTCATCTCATGGAGATCACATTTTCATAAATCACTACTGTGTTATCTTCCTTTTCATCTGTACATGATCTTCCATTTTTCATCCCCTTAGAAGGTGATTCTAGGGAGGACCAATAATTGATGTACTTAATCTACTGGACACTCACATCCTTTCATTAGTTTGTCTGTCCTGGGGATAAAGCATTCCCCTAATAGAATTGTCACAACTAGGACCCCTAATCCAGTTTATTCCTTCTTGGTTTGGAGTGTAGAGTTGCTGCATTAATGGTGGAAATAAACAAGTTCTGGTGGGCAGGATCATTTTTTAGTTGTTTGGAAATATAAAAGTAGATGAAAATGGAAACAGAATCTGATTCTATTTTGAACATAACAGCTATTCCTTTATCTCATTTTTAAAAAGAGCAAAAAGCATCAAACTTAAGTTTCTATTAGTATCTTTGCTCCACTGCCCCTTCTCCCACTTCCCATGAGCTCTGTTCAGTATTAAGCCTTGTAACCACTCTTGTTCTGGCATGATTTATAAAAGCAGGCTATTCCTTTTATGGAAATCACTGATATTTTATTATGTTCTGGCCAAAACTTAAATGAACATAAATAACCCAAAATTTCAGAAAAAAATATAATTATCCATTTCAAAACTTTTTATAAGCTTTCTAGTAAATATATAAAAGTAGATAAAGTAGTGTAATAAGCCTATATATACCACCATCCAGCTTCAACAGTGGTCAATATATGACCAATATTGTTTCATCTGTACCCCAGCCCCTTCCCCTTTGTCCGGGAGTTATGTTGAAGCAAATTCTAGACATATCATTTCACTTGTAAATATTTCATTATATATCTCTTAAAGATATAAGAACTCTTTGTACACTTAATCTCAGTACCAACACCTGACAAAATGAAGTTCCTTGATATCAAATATCTAATTAGTATTCACAGTTCCTCCGTTGTCTTATAATTTGTTTCTGTAATTTGTAAGTTTGAGTTGGCATTCAAATAAGGTCAGTATATTGGGGTTGGTTGATATTGTTTATGTTTTTTGACCTACAGGTCTCTCTACTTTCCCCTTTCTTTGCCATTTTTGTCACTGTTGCATTGTTATTGAAGAAAGTGGATCATGTGTGTTACATTCTTTCCTATGATCTGGTTTTTGCTGATAATCTGTTATTTTTAAGGAAATAAGAGTAACAGGTATGTAATTATTTCAAACCTGTTTTTAAGTGTATGCAAATGTTTTACTTCATGCTGAAAACTAGCTGTGGAAGTTAACACTTAATTAGGCAGGAAAATTCAGGCATCAGGTGACTTCTTTACATTTTTATTCCTGTTTTTTCTTTTTGGAAGATATCTTGGCAGATTATAGGGAGAGGTGTCACTTACCCACTGCTGAAATGCACTGGGCTGGAACACGCCAGCCATTCTTCATCAACAACACCAAACAGTTATTTTGGGCAAAGAATTAGAAGAGCGGTTGTTTTGTTGTTGTTGAATATACAGTGGGAAGCTGGGGTGATTGAATGTGTGCCTCAAGTCCTTTGGCCCCAACACCCCTCTCTCCTTATTTGCTATGATAAGCATTCTCTTGAGGGCTATTCATTACAGTGGAAATATGATCACAGAATCATCTGGGTTGGAAAAGACTTCCTGAGGTCACCTGGCCCCATCTGGCAACGTTAATATGGGATTCCAGCATCAACTTTCCCAGAACAAGGCTGTCTGTTAACAACTCACATAGCTCACATAAACCCCTGGTGCAGTCTTAACCTGTTTTCTCTTTTGTCCTTCAGTGAAATAGATGATTAAATTGCATGTCTTTCTGCTGTAGGAGTGTTACACAACTAGGACCCCAATCCAGATAACACACACATGTGGCTGTGTAGATCTTTAAGATTAATCTTGATTTTTCCCTGCCATCCTCTATAGCACATATACCCTGAGACTCTATTCAACTATCTGTATGTAGTAATGATTTTCATGAAAAATGTTTAAATGCGTAAATATGATGCAATTACTGCAGACTACACCTTTAAGCTACAGTATGTATGATGGTTAATTTTATGTGTCAATTTGGCTGGGCCACAGAATGCCAAGATTTGTGGTCAAACATTATTCTGGGTGTTTTGTGAGTATGTTTTTTAGATGAGGATAACATATAAATCAGTGGACTTCGAGTACATTGCCCACCATAATGTGGGTGGGCCTCATCCAATCAGCTGAAACCTGAATAGAACAAACAGACTGATCTTCAGAGGAATCTTCTGCATCTGCTCTCTTGGGTCTCCAGCCTGTCAGCTGACCCTACAGATTTTGGACTTGCCAGACCCCATAATGGCATGAGCCAGTTCTTTATGATAAATCAATCTCTCTCTCTCTCTCTCTCTATACACACACACACACACACACACACACACACACACACATCCTATTGGTTCTCTTAGGAGGACCCTGATTAATCAGTGTGCAAAAACAAAAAGAAAAGACAAGTATATGTCCTCAATTTATCTGGCTATTTTTTGAAGATGTGTTTTATATTAAAGAGATGCAAAGATCACTGGAGACACCATCCGCAAAATTGAGAGTCTGGCCACAACTCTTCTAGTAAAACCTGACTTTCAGTCACTTTCCCTTTCTAGCCTTAGTTTCATCTCTGTAAAAGAAGGTTAAACGAAGGGATTTCCAAGGTCTGTGATTTCCTGAAATGCAAACATGGAACATTTGAGCCAGCTGCTGAGAAAGTGTCTAGAGATAATAATTCTGAGGGCTGCCCAAAGTTTCTCTTACTAAACAAAACAACTGAGGGTGTAAAACAGTAGTGGTGGTGGAGCACAGGGAATAAAAAACCATCAACAGAAGGATTTCCTGTATATAAGGAAAATATACAGGAAAATGGATCACCCTGATTTATGTCGCGGAAGATTCTAATCAGTTAAATGTAAAATATGGATAGTAAATGCCAACGGGAAAACCTGTAGCTTTTGTGACTTCTCAGCTGAGGGCAGATAGTCTAACTTTGAGGGCACTTAGGATCTGTGTCTGCGTTGCACTAATTCTTATTTCGTGCAGGAGGAATAGGGTGGTGGTGGAGGATTGGCATTTGTGATAAGCTGAGGCTGTCAAGCCAAACTGAGGGGCCCTAGCCCAACCGATGGACAGGAAATGTCTGACCCCAAGGGCATTTGTGCTATTCCTGATCACAGAGATTGGAAGGAGCCTCAAACTGGTGCTGACCCATGGGGATGTAGGTTGGTTTCTCTGTTGCCTTGGTTTTGAGCCTTTTTGTTTTTCCACCTTGGGCTTCCCTCTCCAGGTAAAAAAAGCAGTAACCACAAGGCAGAAACCATATTATTTTAGCTCCTCTTGTCTGGAGAGCGGGCAACACTTAGGTGCAGTAATCTTTTGGCTGTCCCTGTCTGGAATTAATGTTCACCCTCACGCAGCAGTCTGCCACTTGGGTGGCTGGCATTTTGGGTTGGGCAGTCTGGGTTTGTGCCTGGCCAAGCCAGCTGAGGGGAAGTTCGCCTGCCACGTTTGGTTGTGGACACATTCTGTGTAAGGTGCTTACCCCTTGCTCAGTAGAGGCATCCCCTGCAAATATGGCGAGGTGGCTTTCTTTGCCCTTTGGGTTCCTTTTGACCATAAACTTAGCAGTGAGGAGGCAGGACCTTGATGGTCATATCCCCCGAGAGGCTAGCTGACTTTTTACCCAGTTGGTGCTGAAGATGGACAAATGATTAACCCCCTGGAATCTCTGGTTAGACCCCAGTTGTGGTCATGAGTTCAGCCTTTTGAACCGCAGGCTGAAATTGTTTTTCCAGCGCTCTACCCAATCGGGTGTCCCCGCCTGGACTCTGCTATGGAAGCGCTCCCTTGGGAAATAGTGGTGGGCAGGGGGGCGTGGGAAGAGGAGGGAGGAAGCCTCCAGCTGCTGCTGGCCGGCCCTGCGTTCCTCTGAGGAGGTAGGGAAGGGACCCTCGAGATGAGTGGGAGACAGGAAAGGAGCTGCAGTCTGGAGGCCCGAGTGGGAGCCGCTCCTGGCCCGCCGCCCGCCGGGCCGCTTCCTTCCCCTGACATGACAGCCCTGCCGGCCTGGCTCCCCGCCACCTGGCAGCGGCCGCCGCGGCACATGACTCCTCCGCCCTCTGCCCTGGGGGCTGGCGGGGCCCAGGCGGGGCCCAAGCGGGGCCCAAGCGGGGGCTGGGAGTGATCTGCTCTGGAACTGGCCGTCCCTGCTGGTCGGGGCTGCCAGGTGCGGCCCGCGCTGCTTCGCTGGGAACTGGCCTTCCTCTTCCAGTCCTAACGCGCTTGGCCATTTGTCCCTTCTAGGAGCCAGCGGAGGGGAACACCTGCTGTCTCTACCTGAGAGAGACGCCGCCTGGGGTTCACCTTCCCTGGCCTCAGTGTTCTTTACACGTCAAACGGGTCACCCTGATTTACCTCTCAGTTACTGGAGTCAAAGGAGATGGACCCGCTGCAGTGCATAGGAAGGTGCTTAGGTCCGCTCCAAGGAGACACCGCCTCCGCGGTGCCATCCACGCCAGGGGCCGCGTGACAGCTTGGGGTCCGCGCAGAAGGCTGCCTCAGCGAGGCGGCAGCTGCGCCCCTGCTTTATCTTTTAGAGGCTGGGAGACTTGGTGCTATTTCTGGCCTTGGTTTCTATGTAAAATCCAGGTTGGTGGGGGAGTTGTGTACACTCCTCTGCCCTAACCTCTTCATAGGAAGTTAGGTTAAATCCACAAAGTGGTGGGGACCTTGTTCAATAGGGATAGATTTCACAGGTAGCCCCAAAGTGGGGGATTTGGCGAATGTGCCAATAAACTTGGTTTAAATTCTAATTCTGGCTCTGCTACTGGCTTCAGTTACCCTCCCCGATCTTCCCACCTCATTCCCTCCCTTCCTCTTTTTTTTTTGAGATGGGGTCTTGCCCTGTTTCTCAGGCTGGAGTGCGGGGGAAGGTGGGGTCAGTCTTGGCTCACTGCAGCCTGGAACTCCTGGGCTCCAGTGATCCTCCTGCCTCAGCCTCCCAAGTAGCTGGGACTAAAGACATGTGCCACCACACCCAGCTATTTTGTAAAAAGTTTTTGTAGAGAAGGGATCTTGCTCTGTTGCCCAGGCTGGAGTCTTTTTCTCTTTTTAGAGACACTTTATCACATTCACCTCTGCTCTGTAGCAGTGTCTTCAAAGTGATCTTTCTTTCAAGTGGGGTTGAGTTTGTCTAGAAGGCTCTTGAGCATTTTCCCAGTGATAGGGTGATAGGCCTTACTTTTTTGAAATTGGGGTAGGGGAAAGAGACATGAAAATATCACAAGTTCTAGAAACCAGGATTTGAGCAGTCTTGTTGAAGTTGCCCAATCCCACCTTGAAGTGATCTGCATCCAAGAAAAAGGTTTTGTGATGGTGGTGGTGGAATGTTTGGGGATTAAGAGTTTGCTGTGTGGATTAACAAGCTGGAGCTGGAAATGTCTAATGAAACTGACAATGATGCCTTCCTGGATCAACTCACCTGTGTGTCACATGACAAGCTTGAAGAGGACTCAGGAACATTCAAACCCAACCTTCTCATGGAACGGAAGCCCGAAGGGGGCAAATGCTTAAAGTCACACAGCACAATGGTTGTGTTGGCCAAAAACCAGAGTTGTCTCCCTCAGTGATTACAACCAGATGTAGAATTAGTTTTGTATGCCCACCACTCTATTGCTTTTCCCCCTTAAACTTCTATTCCTTCTTATTGGGGGAAGGAGAGCTCCCTTACAGATGGTGTACGTTAGGGTTTACTGAACCAGGCACCCACACCCTATTTAGCTTTAGACCTATACTCTGTTTACAGGATGGGCAATCAGCAGCTGAAAACTAATTGAATTTGGAATTAAACCTTTCTCCCTCTACCTAGCTCCCTTCAGCAACTAGTCACTCCCTGGTTCTTGTATCCACATGGTGAGTTGTTCATTAATAGAACCTTTAGCAGCAAGGCTAGGGGAAGCTGTTTGTACTTGCCAAAGGCCATTCTCCATGAACGTAGCTGGGAATAGGTGACCCCCAATTTAGAATGGGGGTGTGTATAATTTTCTTAAGAAGTTGGCTGAAGTTTCATCATAGTAATAACTACCATTTATTGTGTCTCTAACATGCCAGCAGCTTTTACAAACATTAATTTTTGTGGCTCGAGAAACAACCCTGCAAGGTAGGAGGCAGCATCCTTGTTCTTATGGATGCAGAATCTGAGATTCAGCAAGGCTAAGAAACTTGTACAAGGTAAAGTGGCTGGCAAAGAGCAGAGGATTCAAACCCAGGTCAGTCTGGCCACAAAGTGATCACACTGCCCTGCTGCCCACTGGATATCCAGCTCCAGCCTTGCCTAAGAAAACATGTTGCTAGTTTTTGAGAATGAATGGGAAAGGAGCTGGAACAAAATATGCCTGAATATCTGACACTTTATACCATGGTGTCTGGTGTTTTTGAATATTAAGTTTTCTAGATTGAGGTTATCACAACTCTTGCCCTTGTCTTCCTTTTTATTACTTCTAGAGTAATTGCAGGTTTAACATCTTCTATCATGTTAAAAACAAAGTTATTTTTCTGATTAAAAAATACCTGTTTATGTAGAAAATACAGATGTACAAAGAGGACAAGTCTCAAACTATATACCAGCTTCTGGTTAAGAATGTGTGTACGGGAGCTAGACTTGCAAGGGTATGTATCCCTGCTCTGCAATTTATGATTTGTATGACTTTGGACTAGTCACTTCTGTGCCCGTTTCCTATCTGTGAAGTTGGAAATATCCTACTTTATTAGGTTAACATCAAATGAGTTAAGAGCTGCAAAGCCCCCAAAGTGACTGAGAAGTTTAGTATTTTAATAAACTTCTGGTCTTCCTCTCTGATCTGTGTATACATGTGTAAATATACATGTTAGTATGCATATAAGCCAAAGTGAAATATTTTTCAAACCAGCTGCTTTTCATATAATTACATCGTGATCATCTTTCCTAACTTCTAAATAACCTTCTCCATCACCTGACAATTGCCTAAAACCCCATGATGTGCTGGCGTGAATGGAACTGAATCCGTGTTACTGGGCATGCAGATTTCCAGTTTTGCACTAACATAATGCATTTTAAAACAAATTTGAGTAGTTGTTGTGCCATGAATGGTATCTGGGTGACAGGAACTTCAAGCTCTTTTCAGAGCACACCTAATCCTCCCTCCCCTAGTCTAAATGAAAATAAGGATCAGGAACTACTCCCTTCGGAGCTCAGAACCTGCCTTAATTCTGAGGCAGCACTGTGAACTTTTCATACGTCAGCCCTAAGTGGGGAACTCACTCTGGTTCTCCCCTCTCCCTGCCTTCAAATCTAGAAAAACCATGTTTCCACGTTTAATATCTGATGTCTCGGTTCCCAATAAATCACAAATCAGAAAGTTCTGTTGTTCCATTATTGCTATGTCTGAGGTGCCCCATAAGAAGCCTGTCCATAAAAGGGCTTAGAGGGGAAGCCCTGCTCCCTGTTTCCCAGATCGGACTCCTAAATCCTGTCCTTCAGGATGGAGTGCTGCAATCCCTTTTATGCCATGCTGGGCACTGTACCTCTGCTATTTTAGTTTTATGAGATTCTGATGACATGCTTATTTGACTTTATTGACACAGAACCCTCCTGCTGGTCTCAAGATTGGTAGAAACCATTGATTAATCCCCTCTTAACTCCCCCCGCCCCCCGCCCCGCCAACGCCTGCACTGTTTTCCACTACTAGCAAATCAATAGGTCATGTTTAATGACACTACTCTTGCCTAGCCACTTTCAGGTGTATTATATATGCAGACTCAAGGGATGTATTTGTCCATTGCGTCTGAGCTCCAAAGAGGCAAGAGTGATGGGCAGAAGTGATTTGGGGTCAGTAGTCATGGAGTATACCTCTTAAAAGGTTTACAGCTTTAATGAGATTTTTCTCCTACTGTCTTAGACAAGAAATCTCCAAATGTTGGAAACTTGGTGCTTTAAACAGTATACGTTCTAAAGGAATTCAACCGCATTTCAGGACCTGTTGACTGACCAACCTCAGACACAGCCATATCCGAAGACATTAAAGGAGAGGGCTTGATGTTCCAATTGAGGGAGCGCATCATCGTCTCTCAGAAAGAGTCTAATATGGTGATGAGTCTGCCAAAATTACAGAGGGGCTAGCGTGTCTTTGGGGTGTGCTAGAATGGCATCAGGACTTAAGAGGAAAAATGTGTGTATTACACGCTTGTAAAACTCAAAGCATCAGTTACTCTCTGCAGTATTTTCCAAAGTGCTTTTTCATTAGTTTCCTTCTAACACCCTCCCTGTGAGAAAGGTTAAGTAGCCTTACCCTTCTTCCACTCATGAGGACACTGGAACAGTAAGAGGTTAATTGACTTGCTTTGGGCTCTCTAGTGAGGCTGACCCAGCTGGAATTTCCAACTTGCGCTGCCTGGAACTCCAGCTTACCATTCCAAAGGCTCTGTAGAACCAGGGCCACCTCAGAGAAGGCCTCCACAGAGGCAGGAAGAGCTCCCAGCCAAGCAAGAGGCATCTTGCTCAGCCATGTTCTTGCTGTTTGGGGACTGCTGAGGCAGAGAGCTAGTCTCTTCAAAGTTACAGTCCAAGATCCTCGACCTAGAAACTGTTTGGCTGCCTGGAGCTAAGCTGTAGGAGTGATGGATGGCAGAAATAAATTATTTTTGGCTCAACTGCTCAGTCTTGGCAGGGGGCCCTTTAAATTTGAAATGTTATCCTGACGTCTACAAAAGGTTTAGGAATCTGATGTCATTTTCTCCCTATGATTCACATGTTGGCCTTTTCTGTAGAGGGGTTACCAATTATCTCTGGTGTATGTTCCTGTTAAGGGTTCTCTACAATTCGGATACTGTAAAATATGTAATTAGGATGATAGAGATGGCTTCTAATATAGAGGGTCCCCTGTACCTCTTTTTCTTGGCCCCACCAGGCCTACTTGAATCATCTTGGCTCATTCCTCCCTGCAAAGTAGATCCTCACTACAAAAGCCAGGTTGGTGGTGCTGTTGGTGACATGGTCTTAGACAAGAAGTTACTATACTTGATGCTTCTATTATTCTTGTGTCTTGATGTACTTTTCCTCTGGCTCCTTAAATTAGCCAAAATACTTGCACGATAACCAAAATACTTGCAAGGTTGCTGTGGGCTGGAGGCGAGCAAGCTTAATAAGAGTATGAAAAGCATGGAACTTTGAGGCAGCCCAATTGCTTAATCCCCACTCTACTGCTTATAAGTTTATGTAGCCTTGGGCTAGTGGCCTCTTCTTTTTGAGTTTCAAGTTTTCTCAGCTGTAAAAATGGGAACATCTAGTTCACTGTTAAACTATAAAACCACACTAATAGACATCCATATCATAGCCAGAAGATCAAGATTTGGTCCAGTGAGAGTTGGCATCCAACCTCATAGTGAGGTTGTCACTGTTCTTCTGCCACCCAGTCCACCCTCCTTTGCACTCACTTGTTTACTTTAAAATGTGGAGTGAAGTGGAGGTTTGCCATCTGGGGCTTGGAACTCCATACATTTTATTAGAATTGGAAATTAAGGCTGGGCGTGGTGAGGGGATGAGACCGGACTGACGTGACCTTTCTTTGTGTTTTTCTGGAGCAGGGATTCCTGGTCACCTCCCTTGCTCTTTTCTTCCTGGATGAAACAAGAAGATAATCAGGGTGTCTGTGCACACCAGGACTCAGAAGACAAAGGGATGGGTTCTGATTTTGAGGACTCTGAGGACAGGGAAGGGGACCCAGAAGAAAGAGAAATGGGCTCTAATCCACATGACACAAACAAGAGAGAAGGCCATCCGGAGCCGGAGATGGGCTCCAACCCACAGGACTCAAGGCACAGGGAAGCAGTGCCCGACATCTGCACAGGTGAGGAGAAAGCTGGGATTTCTATGCAAGTTGCCAAAGTTACACTTACTTCTAGCTCCTCTAGAATCATAACTAGCGACAGCATTCTCTGTAAGGGAGTTCCATAGAGGGGACCATTAAGCAGGATTCTGTACTGACTTGCCTCTCTTGTGTTAGCCTGAAGACCATCCTTTTTTTCAGCCCAGTCTGAGGTGAGCTGTGAAGAGGCTCACTCACTGGCGCAGTACTTTTTACAGTGTAGAGAATGCTGCTATAAATTAACCCCTGGAACAACACTACAGTAGAATTACCCAGCTAGTAATAGAATCTACCTCACAGTGTTATTGGGAGAGTTAAATGAGTTGCTGCATATAGAGTTACTAAGCACAGTACTGTGCAAATAGGAGGTATCCAGATGTTTACAGTTACGTCCTCATCTCCCTTTGCAGATAAGTCATCTCACTGGTAAGTGACCTGCCTAGGTTCATGTGGCTAATTCCCAAAGTGCCCATGGCCTCTGCTAAATGCCTTACTCTTACTGACCTGAAAGAGTGAATGCTGGGCCTCCACCCACCTCCTTGTTTCTGTCTTTGGGCATTCATTACTTTATCCTGCTCAGTGCATGCTCTGGGGACAGAAATGAGCTAAAATACTTTATGGCCAGGACTGAGAGGTTACATTCCTTCCCCTGTGACACAGTCCCAGACTCCCTGCTGCCCTCCTCCGCAGTGCACAGAAGCATGTGCAGGAGGGCACATGTGAGGCCTTTCACATCTCAGCAACTTCCCTCTGCTTGGGGATACGCAGCCAGAGACCAACAGGTGTGTGTCCTGGATCAGCCTCTAACCTGGGCTCACCAGCTCTAGGCTCTGTAATCTCTTTCTCTATTCCCCACTACTATCCCCCTCCCCCCACCCATAGCAAAGTCCTGAAGGTGAGTTCAGTTTTTTGTTCCATCATAAGCTGTTTCAGACTGACCAAATGTACTTTAAAAATTAGTCCTGAGGGCTGGGCGCAGTGGCTCATGCCTGTAATCCCAGCTCTTTGGGAGCCGAGGTGGGCAGAAAACGAGGTCAGGAGATCGAGACCAGCCCGACCAACATGGTGAAACCCCATGTCTACTAAAAATACAAGTTAGCTGGGCGTGGTGGCATGAGCCTGTAATCCCAGCTACTCAGGAGGCTGAGACAGGAGAATCGCTTGAACCCAGGAGGCGGAGGTTGCAGTGAGCCAAGATTGCGCCACTGCACTCCAGCCTGGACGACAGAGCAAGACTCTGTCTCAAAAATAAAAAGAGAAAAAGAAAAAATTAGTCCAGGGCCTGGTTAGGCCAAGTGGTCTTTCTCAGGTTGGCAGACTGTTCTTGTCTTTTGAGACTAGAATCTTAAAAGGCATTGGTAGCTCTTGGAGTGAGTAAACCTTTTCTCCTGAGATCTTACGTAGTGTCCCACCTGGCACAGACTTGAATATCCTGAACACAGGCAGTCAGGCCTTCAGATGGCTCTGCTAGGCAGTGCCTCGGGTCCAGCTAGGGGGGCCTGGGCCCGAGGAGGCTGCCTGAAGAACTGGTGGGCAGAGGGGGCAATGAGTGCACTCTCCTTTAGGCCTTTCCCTGGAGGATCCAGTTGAGAGAGGCTAAACTCTCAGGGGGTCTTGGAGGGGCAGGGATCCAGAGTGCCTGAGGGAGGGGATCACAGTTTTATTACTGAGGTTTCCTCTGGGCTTATCTTTTGAATGCCAAGTATAGTAATCCCCCACTGCCACCTTTTTCTGTTGCAGAGGGGCAGCTGAGTGAGGAAGAAGGCGTTTCTGTCCGTGGGGAAGAGGATGACCAATCCGGTGTAGCTGACATGGCGATGTTCCCAGGACTGTCTGAGTCTGACAGCATATCCCGGAGCCTCCGGGAGGACGACGACGAGAGTGCTGGGGAGAACCGGCTGGAGGAGGAAGAGGAGCAGCCGGCCCCTCCCGTACTTCCCTGGAGGCGACATCTCTCCCTGGGGAGTCGGCACCGAGGTGACAAGCCCGCCCACCGCCGCTTCCACCGGCTCCACCACCCCATGGCCGTGGACCTCGGGGAGCTGGATAGCCTGGTGGCCAGCATCATGGACGCGCCCACCATCTGCCCCGACTGCGGGGAGAGCTTCAGTCCTGGCGCCGCCTTCCTGCAGCACCAGCGCATTCACCGCCTGGCTGAGGCCGCTGCCGCCGCCAGCCTGGAGCCCTTCGGCCTGGCGGGCGAGTGCGACGCGATGGTGGGCATGATGGGGGTGGGTGTGGCGGGGGGCTTCGGGGCCGGGCCCCCGCTGGCCCGGCCCCCGCGCGAAAAGCCCTTCCGCTGCGGGGAGTGCGGCAAGGGCTTCAGCCGCAACACCTACCTGACCAACCACCTGCGCCTGCACACGGGCGAGCGGCCCAACCTGTGCGCCGACTGCGGCAAGAGCTTCAGCTGGCGCGCCGACCTGCTCAAGCACCGGCGCCTGCACACGGGCGAGAAGCCCTACCCGTGCCCCGAGTGCGGCGAGGCCTTCAGCCTCAGCTCGCATCTGTTGAGCCACCGGCGCGCGCACGCGGCGGCCAGCGGCGCGGGGGCGGCGGCGCTGCGGCCCTTCGCCTGCGGGGAGTGCGGCAAGGGCTTCGTGCGCCGTTCGCACCTGGCCAACCACCAGCGCATCCACACGGGCGAGAAGCCGCACGGCTGTGGCGAGTGCGGCAAGCGCTTCAGCTGGCGCTCGGACTTGGTGAAGCACCAGCGCGTGCACACGGGCGAGAAGCCCTACATGTGCTCCGAGTGCGGCGAGACCTTCAGCGTCAGCTCGCACCTCTTCACGCACAAGCGCACGCACTCGGGTGAGCGGCCCTACGTGTGCCGCGAGTGCGGGAAGGGCTTCGGGCGTAACTCGCACCTGGTGAACCACCTGCGCGTGCACACCGGCGAGAAGCCCTTCCGCTGTGGCCAGTGCGAGAAGCGCTTCAGCGACTTCTCCACGCTCACGCAGCACCAGCGCACGCACACGGGCGAGAAGCCCTACACGTGCATCGAGTGCGGCAAGAGCTTTATCCAGAGCTCCCACCTGATCCGCCACCGCCGCATCCACACGGGCAACAAGCCGCACAAGTGTGCGGGCTGCGGCAAAGGCTTCCGCTATAAAACGCACCTCGCGCAGCACCAGAAGCTGCACCTGTGTTAGGGGCTGGGTCCGCGGGAGGCTGCCGTCTGGGGAGCCTGTGGGGGGTAGATATCCTGGGACTGACCCAGGGGAAGGAAGTGGGGAAGGGGCGGGAGGGACAATCTGAGAGTGACTGGGGAGCCTTTGGTGTTTGGGGTTTCCTGAAGTGGGAGGAGTGTTGAGTAAGTTGGTCTTTCCCGGTGCTATACTTGCCTCCTCTCCACGGAAGAATTGTTCAGGAGATGCGCTTGGGGTGATGACTTCCTTAAATACACGCTGTAGGGGGTGAAGAGCTTGGAGGACCAGGCACTTTGAGGAAGGGCAGTTCGTGGGCTGGGGTGGGAACAGGATGGCGGGCAATAGACTAGGGTAGGCCGCGATGGCCTGTAGAAGGTTGCGGGGAGAGGGTTTAAATGAGGGTTATGGGGCGAAATAAAACCAAGTATAAGTGATTCTATCTTGGTCCCACCAAGAGTTTGCCCGATCTCCACACATCACCTGTTGTCTCACAAAAAGTAGGGGAACCTTGTCAGTCACATAGGACAGGATATTTAATGTACTTTTCCTTTCTCTGAGCCACAGTTAGCTGCTATTTTGAGGCATCCAAGGGGAAGTGGGCTGAAAAACGCCACACTCATTTCAAGGGGCAATGTCTGGGGTTTAGAAATTCATTTATAACTGGTTCTCTGATGTGGGAAATCCTGATTCTGTCCCGGGTTCTTTGCTACTTCCTTGAAAATACTCTAGCTTCATGCTGGGTCAAGGTGGTTTACCTGGATGACCCCCCTCCCCCGCCCTCGCCCATCCCAGGTGTGTGCCACACCCAGTATTTCTTTCAGGTCTCAACTGTGGTGTTTTAAGTGCAGGGAAAAGGAACAATCACAGCTATGTGTGACTTTCCTTTTCCCACCTCACCTTGATGTAGGTGTTTCAAGTGAACTTTAGACCAACAGTTGCCCAGTGACCTGCTAAAAAGTCAACTAGCTCAGAGTTTTGCTGGCCTTTATGTGAGAAATCCAAGAAAGTGTTCACTTTTTTGGGATGCGAGACTCCTTGGTCTCATTTGCCTTCACTTTGCATTTGTTAGTGACCTCCACTAACCCCCACTTCCATGCATATTGACGAGGGATCTAGTCTAAGTAAGAATGTCTTTTGCCTGCGCGTGGAGGCACAGTAGAAATCTCAAGGCTTTACCCAGAAGAGCCCAGTCAGGGAGAGGTGTAAATGCAAAATTGCCAAATAGCACAAACAATGAATGTTTTCTGGTTGTTATATAGATGCCAAAATAGCACTTTGATATTTGCAAAGTGCTTTATGCTTTTTAATAATTGTTAGCTGTTTCTCACATCATTGTGAGTTAGATCAGTATTATGACCGCTGTCTTAGGGAAGGCCTGGGAACAGGAGTGTGCAGGCTGTCCTGAAGAGAGGCTGAGGACAGTGTGAATAATTGTAGCCTGACCTTTTGCATTCTCCAGCTCAGCTGCTAGGAAGACTTACTTGTCATGATTTATATAATAAAATTAAGGACACTGAAAATTCTTATGCTTGATGAAAAACTTAAGGCTAGCCTAGAAGGGCCAAACATGTCCTTATTGACAAAGCTGGTCTTTGTCGCCTAATTAGGGTATCCTAGCTATGTTCCATTTCTAGTAAGGGGCTGTAGTTAGATGACTCTTGTATAGATTTCAGTTACTTATGCTGAAGATCCCTGTGCTAGGTTAGCCTTTAGAAGTTAGAGTTGTGGAAAGCAGTATTGTTTTCTTCTCTAGTGATTGTTACCCTACACATTTCATGGAAGCATCTTCACAAAATATCAGACACAGTGGAAGGGGGAAAAAAAGCTACGAGATTGTTTTTACACTTTTAGCAAAGTTTCTGTGGATGCTAGTAATTTATACTTGATCAGTTGTATTCTAGTAAAGAACCTCTTTGGGGACTGTAGGAAAGCATGTTTTTGTGGTTATAAAAACACTTAAAAATCCTGATAATTCTGGGCTTGTATAATGCCTGTTGATCTTGCCCTCTTAATCAGTTTATTGTTATTCACAAATGCAAATAGGTTTTCAAACTACAGACAGTTTTGAAAGACATTAATTCTCATTTTCTTCTAGTCAGGAGTAATACAAGCAAACAAGTGTCCGTTTTGAATTCTGATTTGTAATCTGAATACTAAACATATTAGACCCACCTGAAAATAATATAGCCAATTTCTAGGTAATCTTACTGCTTTGTGGGTTTCTTTCCATGTACATCTACCTCTTCCAGCTGTTTTAAGTTTTCTCAAGTCTGTGCCTATGAAATCTCATCCAACTTTTGATTATTCATGGATTGATTATCCGCTTTTTTTTTGCTTTTTTGCTGCCATTGCTATGCCTGGTCTCGTCTGCATCAAATATACTACATATCAGCAACTTTAGAGAATGGGTTCAACAGGGAGTGGAGAGTGAAGCTAATGTAAAATAGTTTAGTGGCAGTGGGAATCTTTGGACTTCATTTACCTCTCTCATTATTTCTATTACCATGGATAAAAAAGTCAGCTGCTACGTTGATATCCCTTCTATGAGCACATTCTTAGCAGAAGAAAACAATCCAACTACCAACACCCGACTCTATTGGTGCATTTAAAATGTGATTCCATTTTTTCTTACAATTCTTCAGGGAACTTACCTGCATTAAGTGAGGTTAAATGCATTCAGGAGGTTGTTTGTTTCTTCTATCTAGTTTTAGAATAATATTTCTTCGGCAAACCCTGCTAACTGCGGTTCACCCTTGAAAACGTTAATCTGAGGACTTTTTCCACCAACTCATTAATGATGGTGGAAGCAAGTGTATTATTTGTTTCCTGGAGAATTTGATGAAGAGCAGTCTTCCTCTGCTGCCCTTTACTAAGCAAAACCTGGAGCAATTTAAATAGGCTAAATGGTTTTGATTAAATCTTGAGCTCCGAGTTGGAAGGAGAAAATGAGAAGTTAACCCCTTGAGCCATGTGGTCTCTTTACAATCAAGAGACTGTACATATGTGAAAAAATACAAATTAAGGACCTGTGTTCATAGACAATCTAAACTGTGTTTCTGAAGTTTGTGCACATTTTTCTTCACTGTAATGTTATTTTACAGCTGTTTGTTAAAATAGTGAATAATTTAATGATCCTAAAAGTAACAGGTTTCGTGTGAGTGTGCTTGTATACGTGAGATTTGCCTTATTTTCAGGTTGTTTTATTTAACGATGGTTCCTTGGACAGCATTCTGGTGTTCAGCAACCAATATGGAATATTTGTCATTAAATCCATATCAGTCTTTTACCATGTCATTCTTCTTTGCCACACATTAAATGTCACTCAGCTCTATCTATGGAAGCTATGTTCTTGTAGAACAAGGGTTGACAAACTACTAAATCTGCCCTGCATATTTTTGTACATAAAGTTGCATTAGAATACAGTCATACCCATACAGGCACATTTGCATATTATCTGTGCTACTTCACCCTGAATTTGCCGTGAGTGGGCCTCTGCCCACATTCCAATTAGAAAAACTGTACCTGGTCAACCTGGAATTCTTGAGGTTTGATTAGTTTAAGCTACAGATTTTTTTAACCTTGGAGAGCTTTTTGGATTGTTTGCCTTTTAAATGAAGAGAGCAATTAATTGGAGTGAGGCCTAAGTTCCTGTAGTTTTATAGAAACTCCCCAGGTGATTTTAATGAGCAAACAGGGTTGAGAACTCTGTAGGACCAATTAGAGACCCCCCATTCTTTCTTGGGAATTACAGTAAGTATAATAATACATAAGGCTCAAATCCTCTCCTCCGCTGGGGGGTATGGAGGCAAAGGGCAGTGCAAGGTGCATCAGGCTTTGTCTGCTCCTGGTAGGCCTCCTGTCACACAACTGCTCCAAATAGTGAAGACAATATCATAAGTAAGAGCCAGGAAAAGTGCTTGTCTTGGCTGTCCATCAGATGACAATGGAATAGGTGTGGAAGGCTGCTGCTGGCCTTCACCGTCTTCACCACTCATAGTCAGCCTTCCTCCGCTCCTCTCAGATCTTTATTCCCCCAACTCAGCTCACAACAAAGCAAAACCCCAGGCATGACTCCTTTTCTCAGCTGCCCTTGGCAATCACATAATTTCCATCCTCTCTGCCCCTGGTGGGAGGGGAGGAGCACACCTGGCCAGCCTCCAGCATGAATTGCCTAGTGCTTGCTCCTCTGTCTCCCTATCACAGCTGCAAGTACCCTGTAGATTGTAGTTTTCTGCTGCTAGACTGGTTTCAAGGTCATCTCTGCTAACCCAAAGCACATTCCAATGGGTTTCAGTTTCTTGCTGCTCCTGTGGGATCCAGGGCACTGTTCACAATGCTGTCTGCATCCAGCTGGCGCCCTGTCTCATTCCAGCAGCTGGGAATGCTCAGCTTTGGAAGCCAATGAGGTGGGTGGCAAGGTGTTCCATATACCATGTTGCCCTGTGTTTTTAAGGAGGTTGAAAAAGGTGTCAGTGTACGTGCAATGTTTAAATTGGCATTCCCACACACGTATTTGAAGGATTTCCAACCTGAGTAAAGAACTGCCAGACGCCAGTTCCTGGAGACCAGGGATTCACTGGAAGCAGTTCCATGCATTCTTTTTATTCACTGAAGACACTCCACTGAGATGCTTTTCTGAAAGCATCAAGGGCTGAGGTAGGGAGTGGTTCTGCCTGGGTGTTCTGATACCATCTGTGTATGACTGGCCTTCCCCAGGCCCCAAGGCTGTGACTCATTAAGAGCAGAGACCCTGAGAAGTTCACCCCTCAGCTGAGTGGGCAAGTGCCAGGCATAGTGCTCAATGCTAGAGAGACAGATATGAGAGAGGTAGAGATGCTTACACATTCCAACACCATTTAAAGGTGAAGGTGAAGGCCTATTTTGTTTTCTGCCTGCCCAACCTGCTTGGGCGAATTATTTTGCCAACTATAAGTCTGACTTTAAGGATTTGGCCCCTGGGGCTGCAAGGGATGGGAGGTGGACCGGGGGGAACTTCATGTCAAGGCTTCACATGTTATGCTAGGGCAAGATGATACATTCAGCAAAGGCTCAGCATTAAGCAGATTCTCTGCCAAGGACTCTGCAACTATAAGTCAGAGTCCCCACCACTGCTGCAAATCAGGCAATGCCCACTTTAGCTGGCTTTGTTGGGTGAGGGAAGGGACAGTGTGTAACCTTGGAAAAGCTAGTTCACTTTGTCAAGGGGCTGGAAAAGGATCTGGCTAGACTTTTCTCTTGTCAAGTATAGCATTAGCGAATGTCTGAAATGAGGGTCACTTCAAGGTTTTAGCTGAAGTAGTTCTGCCGATTTCTGTGTTGAAGTTAATAGAGTTGGTAGAAATCACAGACATGACTTCACAGCCTGAGATTCACTGGACTGCCACAGCCACTGCTGAGTGTTGCTGCAGCCTAGACCAAGCCCTATAGGTATTCTTGATCTTGCTCCCATCTGTGCAGTGGAAAGATGCGGGTATGAGGTGTGGGGAAATCAAACCAAAGGACAAACATGAAGGCTCTTGTAAGATTCAGGAGCTTGTGTGAATGTTAGGAAGCAAGGTGGTTACCAGGTGGTTGTGCCCAGTGCTGCAGAGAAGGGGCTGCTGAGGGGTGTCCTAAAGTCTTGTGTCATAGCTCCTGGGAGCCTAGAAGGAGGAGAGAGGCAGTTGCTGTGCATATGGACTGTGTCTTCTGGGATTTCCAGCTCCTGGGGCAGGGTGATGAGGGAGTGAGAAGGCATGGCCTCCCTTTCTTGAGAACAGGAAGAAAGAAGGAACTAGTTCTGCTTCTCCTTTGAGGGTGTGCTGTGCGTGGAGTGTGCAGGGCAGAGCTTTGGCATTAACTGGCAGTGGACTTGAGCAAGGCATGACTTTTCTGGGTTTCTGATTCCTTTTCAGTAGGCACTGTCTCTATTGGTCCTGCCCATTTTAATTTCTAGTGATTGTCAAAGAATTAATTTTAAAACCTTCTTGGGAAACATCTATAGCTTAATGCCAAAACAAAAGGCCGTATTTAAGTCAGCATTAAGTTCTGCAGTTTAGTGGTCATCAGATATCAGGGAGGGAGGGAATCGGTTACTACTTGGCCCCACTTCTTGACCCTTCACAACCCTATGAGAGGTATGATGCCCCTTTCCCATTGAGGTGCCAGGTGCCACTAGAGCCAGGGAAGGGCTGGGAAACCACTTTCTCAAATAGCTTTGGCTTCATACAAACAAATAAGCACATGGAGGCTTGTGTTATTATGAAGTTTAGCTGCAGAAGTGTGCAGGTGCCAGAGGATGCAAATCATCTTACACTTTTACAGCCCAGTGTCACTGGCAACAGACCTTAGAACTGAGCCATATCCTTCATTTTGCGGGAAAGGAAACAGACGCAAGAAGGTAAAAAGATTTGCTTAACTTCGATGGCAAAATTGAAATAAGAACCCAGGATTTTCACTCTTCACTCTTATTTGCAAAAATATTCTTCTTCTAAAACAAAAGAATACTCGCTTGTTTTTGCCCTCCACCCCTTTGCTTAGTTTCTCTCACCCCCAGCTACTTTCATTTCTATACCATGAGGCACCTGCCTGTCTCCATTTATGCAGCACCCACGTCCACAAGCTGATGTTCAGATGGGAGGTTGGGCTGTATGGGCCAGACAAATGGATTAGATAGCTGACTTCTGGTTAAACCTGTCCTCTGCCCTCTTTCTAAATGTCTCTCATCCCAGGTTCCCCGCCCCCCGCCCCCCCCACCCCACTTTATGAATATGTTGGTAGGGCAACCTCCTAGTTCTATGCCTTCACCTCCCTTTTCATCTTAAAAGTAGCAAATCCTAGGTCACCATTACAGACGGTGGTCTAGGTGAACATTGAGAAAGCCATCTCACTTCCCAGGCCTCAGTTTCCTCATCGGTAAAATGAAAGAAGGAAAGGAGCCCACAGTTAAAGCTGGAATAAAGGTCCCTAGATCCTTCTTTAACTTCAATTTAATAAAAATTTTAGAGATGAAGTCTTGTCTGATGTTGAATTCCTGGATTCAAGTGATCTTCCCCCTCAGCCTCCCAGTAGCTGGGAATACAGGTGTGCCCCACCATGCCTGATGAAGCTTTCTTTGCTCTAAAATCTGAACTCCACAAAGACATTGATCTGCCCTGTAGGAGCCAGGGAGCTTTTTTCATTTACCCACGATAGGTCAGCAATAGGTGTTTTGCCTGCTGCTGAAAGAAGTTCCCATAATCAGAATTCACTGCATATTTTACAGGGATCAGTGCAAAATGAAATGTGGGGTCCCATGGCAGCCCCTTAAGCCAAGCACAGGCCCTGGGTGACCTCACCGGCCTTGTGCCCAGAGAGCTGCTCTGCTCAGAGCTACACCAGGGATTTGACAGACTCCAGCTGGTGCAGGAGGGAGTTAGTGCCAGGCTCGTGAGAAGGGTATTCCTACTTCAGTGGCCAGCGTTCATGCTAAGATGGCAATAGGCCCGGAGTCCATCTCACGCCCACCTCTCTGTCGCCAGTACCTGTTTTGGAAGAAGGGCTGACTGCATCAGTGCTGGTTCTTCCATGTCTTGAGGAAAGATTGCGCTGTTCAATAAGGAACTTCAGGTTTCCAGAACAGATTACTGACTGTTTTGGAGTCTGCAACTGACCTCAGTGCTCCCTGCCTTTGGGGACAGAGTGGCTAAGCCACTTTCTTTTCATCCAGCCTTCCCTCTCCACTTCCTCATAATGAACCTCTTTCATGCCTCAGATCACCGACCCCATTCCCTGCTCATTACCATTGGGTGGGATCTTGGGCCAAGATAAAGAAAAAGAACGCCCCTCAAATTTCCACCAGAGTCCCTTGATGTCTTAAGAAGCACATGTAGACAGAGAGGTTGCGTGGTCCTCACTTGAGTCAACTAAGAGTGGGAGATTCTCTTCTGAATTCAATTTTCAAAAGCAGCTTTTCCTTTTTTTGTAGTATAAAAATGCTCTGGGCCTTGCACCATTTCAGGTTTTGGATCTAATTCCCAGTCCCTTTATAACCTTGGCAGCTGGGCTTCGCCTTCATCAGCCTTTCCCTTTCCCTGCTCATGGGCCTCTCACAACCCCACTCACTCTTCATATCACACAAATGAGTTCATTCTCAGCACCATACCCACTATGTGGCTTATCTCTTTCCCATCTCTCATCATGATGATCCAGCTTCTTCAGGTTCATCAACACCGTGAAAATTCATCTTTGCATTCTTTCTTGCTTTGTCACTCAAAGCATTCTGCTCCCTGACTCTCCATCCCTCCTGTCTCCATCCTAGCAGTTGAGTTTGCTTGTGTTTCATCCTTCCATCCATCAGCCCATGTGTCTATTTTGTGTCAGTCACTGGGGACAGAGAGATGACATGGTGAGTTACTGTCCTTTGGACACGGCAGTATAGGGGTGGGGAACAGGATATATAAATGAAAAATTAATGGCAGTGGTACTATGCACAAAGCATGGAGGCTGTAAAAAGAGATGCTTTGGATGGTGAATAAGGAGCTGGGAAGGATGCACTGGCAGGAGAGCTTGGCACCCTCTAAGCCGAAGGAACGCAGTGCACTGGCCTGGGTAGATGTAAAAGCATGCTGCATGCAGGAAGCGCTGAGTTTGGAAAGTTGTTGAGGCACAAAGTAGGAGAATCTGGGGATAGGGCAGGGATTGATGAGAATTAGTCTGGAGTGTCAGGCAGGGCTCAGGTCTTCAGAGGCCCTCTGTTATGCTAAGGCTCACAGGCTCACCCTGACAGTCCTGGGGCTCCCCCTCGTGGTTGGTTTTAAGAAAGGGCGTGACATGGTGAGACTAGTTTGGAGAGAACTCTGGCAACACTGCTGAGGATAGGTTTCATGGGTGACTCTCCAAGACAAGGAGGCCTGTTGGGGGTACGAGTAGGAATGATGTTACCAGGGAGGAAGATGACACATTCAAGAGGTGTTGTGGAGGTAAAGTTGGTAGCGCTGAATGATAGGTGGGCGGAGTGGGGGGCTGCCATCCAGGTTTCTGGCTTGAGAAAGTGTGTGCTTGGGAATTCTGTGCCAATACCCAGTCCTGTCTAAACTAGCGGCCATTCTATCTCAGGCCTGCCGCAGTTGCCCCTGTATTCTGTTTTGTTACCAACCCATAAATCAGGCCTTCGTTTCTTACCTAGATTCTTCAAGTATCCTCTTCATCTCTTTCAGTCCATCCTACAACGTGCTGCCAAGGTAATCTTCCAGGGACAGCTGAACAATTCCCATTGCAGAGTGAATGATGTCCCAGCTTTTAGCATCACCATCAATATTCATAGCTAGAGGAGACATTCTTTTCCCATAGATTCCAATTTTTGAGAGAACATGAGGCATGTTGTATGTGTGGAGTAATTGAATGTCAAGTTGTCTTTTTTTTTTTTTTTTTTTTTTTTTTTGAGACAGAGTCTCACTCTGTTACCCAGGCTGGAGTACAATAGTGCAGTCTTGGCTCACTGAAACCTCAGCCTCCTGGATTCAAGCAATTCTCCTGCCTCAGACTCCCAAGTAGCTGGGATTACAGGCGCCAACACCTTGCCTGGCTAATTTTTTGTATTTTTAGTAGAGACGGGCTTTCGCCATGTTGGCCAGGCTGGTCTCGAACCCCTGACCTCAGGTGATCCATCTGCCTCAGCCTCCCAAGGTGCTGGGATTACAGGCGTGAACCACTGTGCCCAGCCCAAGTCGTCTTTAATGGGGACACAGAACTCCTACTCTGAGGTCAGTGAAGGAAGCAGGCAGGTCGTCTCCAGGGGTGGCCCCGGGTGATCCTGTGTGTGCCCATCATGTCTTTCCAGGTGTATCTTCCATTTCTGCCTTGGCGTGGTGCTCTCTGGTCTGGTCTCATTGTTCCCTAAAAGTGACCCCTTTCCCACCTGGGTCTTTGCAGACTCCATTGTCTCCACCTGGAATACTTTCCCTCACATTCCTGTCTGTTGAAATCCTACCCATCTTCTGATATTTAGCCCAAATGCAAGGACTCCATGAATCCCCTATGGGAATGGATCTCCCGGAAGCATTTTCCTTTCTTATGGCACTCTTCACATTTACTGTGCACTGCACCTAACACGTCTCCTATTTTATCTCCCGCACTGGACCACTAGACTGGGAGCAGAAGTGGAAAATCGGAGGCCTTAATCCTGGGGCCAGGCTGTGAGTGTGTTTTCTTAGTTTGCATATTTGTTCCCCACCAAATTTAATTTATTAAAAAATTATAACCTATGTTAAACATACAGGAAAGCTGAGAGTATGATATAATAATGTATATTTGGGACTTATCGCCAAGAATGAATAGATTTGCTGCTGACACCTCGCCACCCACTTTTTAAGATATAAATTATTGCACATACAGTTGGAACACTAGCCCACACATCCCTCTCCTGGAGCAGATCTTCACACTGCTTTTTCAAATTTAGAGTTAGTCACTAATATTTAGAAATCACGGGATTTCACATCATAATGGTCACTTTCCTGCCGGTTCTCACCAGTCCATCACAGGCTCTGGCCCATCCTGGCCCTTGGAACCTGCCTGTCTAGTCTGTGGCTTAGTCTGGCACCCGAGCTCTCTCATCTGCCCTCTGTACATGCTTTCCAGAAGGCGAGGGGCCTCCTCATGCCCCTCCATCCTCCTCTGCACCACTGCTCGGTCTGTGCCCACTGCCTGGACTGAGGAATTCAAGGCCTCATTCAAGCCCCACTGGCTCCTGTGGCTTTTCCCAGTGACTTCGGCTCAGCTCCATTCTCAGTACTCATATACACCTAGCCCTTAAGCCGGTGGTTGAGCATTTGCCTGTGCTTTTATTCAATCCTTTGTCAGGTACCCTGCAGAGCCACCCAGGTGGAGAAAAAGGACCCAAAAATCCCGGCCAGGTCAGGCTTCCTTGTTCTTCCCTCTTAGCCTTTGCTGCCCCCGTGTGGTGCACCACGTGAGGTGCAGCGGGGCTTGGTGCAGGAGCTTTACCTGCTTGGCACTCTCAGGTGTAAGAAGGGATGGCAAATTTTGTTGGCCACAACACTGCGAGGCGTTTGTGCTTGTTCAGTTGAGACTGTTGACTCATCCGGCCCCCTCGTCTCTTTCTTTGAACTCCCCTCGCTGCCCGTCGGAGATCTGTCATTTTCCTTCATTTCCCTGTGAAAATTGCCCTGGTGGTTTCCTAAGTGTAGGGTTTCACTAGGCTGAAAAACCAGGGGAAGGGCTCTTGTCCCTGATTCCACCACCCTCCGTTGATTCCCGTGGTACTTGGCATTAACATATGGATCGTGCGCACGCCTTACAAGAGCTGGAGAGATGCTGGCTCTTGCATTTTGTGCGGTGGCTGGGGAAGGAGGGGTGTTGCATTTTTCACCTTACCCCACTGCCTGGAGCCACTCGCCCCTGATGCTAGTGCTGATCATCTGTTCCTTGGGGTTTTGAAGGTGGTGGAAACCTGTTCATCTGGGCCAGAATGTGGTTCCCTTTTCTCTTCAGAATGAACACTGAAACTAACTCCATTGTGGTAATCAAATTCAACTGATTAATGATCTGTAAATTTCCTGTGTAAGAAAGAAGTCATTTTGATGTTGGATGTGACTCTCATCATGGCTGTGATACACAAAGGTCCAGAGGGAGACAGCTTCCATCTCCACACTCTGGACCCATAGCAACCTCCTCACCTGCTTCAGTTCAACTCTGTCCCTGACGCCCCTGACAGTGTTTCTTTTGAGTGTGTTTTCATTGATTGGTTAATGACTGTGTCATCACTGAAGTCCCCAAACTTGTCTTGATTGGCCTCCTCTCTTCAGGGAAATTGAGAAGAATGAGAGAACCAGTGATTAAAGAGGAGATGGAGGGAAGAAAGAGCCTAAGGATATGGAAGAATAAAGGAAGAAAGTATGTGATTTAAAGAAGAGGAGAAAGGAGAGAGAGAGGCAGTTAAATCTGGGGATGTGGGATAATAGACTTCTAATTTTGGGCTGAGTAGAAGGTATATTTTGGGAGAAGTTCACACTTGTTTTCTTTACTTGCCCAGGAACCCATGGTGTGGCTCATTGTGTGATTTGAAAGGGTGAAATGCAGGGTTATGTATGATCAGAATGGCCAACACACATATAGCCAGGAGTGTTCTAGAGACCTTCTAGGAAATTGGCACCGAAGCTGGTAGAGGCTGAATGCGTTTTTGTTTCTTTCAGCCCTGCTCGGGGCCATTAGGAAAGGCGTGCAATCTCTTTCAGATGCCCCTCAGGGATTCTCCTGGGTTCTAGAGAATCCCCTGCGTGCGACTGGGCAAGAAAGAGGTAACCCAAAAAAGCTGGGGCCCTCCAAAGTATCAGCACCCCATGCTCCAGTGTTCTGCTGTACCACTGACAAGACCAGTTCAGGCTGTGTGATTCCGTGGAAAGATAAGGACTTTCAAGGTCAACTGCCTTTTAGAAGGCCTAGCCATTAATCAGTTAGTGTGACTGTGAACAAGTTTCCTCACCGGTAAAATGGGAATAGTCACCCCTCGTGATAGGTTTCTGATGAGTATTCAGTGAGGGAATATATGTCATATGTAGGTCATGTTGTACACGCCTGAAACATAGTAGAGCTTATTCAGTCTTCATCGCCCTTCCTGACCCTCCCACTACTCTGCCCACCCCTCATCCCCAGCTCCATGCTACTCTCCTAGGTAAAAGATGGTGATACCTGGAAATGAAAAGGAACAAGGAAAGTATGTATTAACAGAAACCACGCCTCCCTCCAGGTTAGGCATTAAAACATTTATTGCTCTTTACATTGAACTGCGTGAAGAAATAGGAGATTTAAAAGAAAAGAAATGAAATCCTTTCTCATTTAAGAGGAGAAATGGAGCTCTAGTAGTTAAAAGCGACCCTCAAGTTAAAAGAGACCACAAGCCGGGCGCGGTGGCTCACGCCTGTAATCCCAGCACTTTGGGAGGCCGAGGCAGGCAGACCACGAGGTCAGGAGATTGATACCATCCTGGCTAACACGGTGAAACCCCGTCTCTACTAAAAATACAAAAAATTAGCTGGGCGTGGTGGCAGGTGCCTGTAGTCCCAGCTGCTCGGGGGGGCTGAGGCAGGAGAATGGTGTGAACCTGGGAGGCGGAGCTTGCAGTGAGCAGAGATTGCGCCACTGCACTCCAGCCTGGGGGACAGAGCCAGACTCTGTCTCAAAGGAAAAAAAAAAAAAGAGAGAGAGACCACAATTGTTCAGAATGAGCCACTGAGATTTGGAAAAAGCAAATCACATTGTATTTCCTCTGGTATATGATTAGGACAGAAAGCTCCTGGTTGAGCCAGGGAATGGGCAGGTTTTGATGACATGAGGAAGACAATAAGTTGGGCATTGTGTGAAAGGGAGACAACAGGACCTGGGCTTGTGCCATTGTCACCTTCTGTATGAAGCCAGGAGGATGGAGCTTGATGACATCACCTAACAATACCCACATGCACATCTCTGTCATCCTTAAATCGCTGAGTCTTGGACTTCACGGTCTCCTTGTGCCAGTCCACAAGGGAAACCCACTCCACGGTTCTAACAGACTCAGGTACATTCTTCTTGGCTTCCTCCCAGCTGTAAAGTGGCTTATATGCCAGATCTTGCTGAGCCTTCTTGTAAGAGAAGGTGAACACGCTATTTGACAATGTCACTCTGTGGTGGTTGAAGGGTGTCGATAGGTGTAAATTGGCCTCAGCAGGAAGCTCACTATTTCCAGCAGGAAGCCAATCCAGTACATCAGAGATAAAGGAAGGCTCCATCTAGAATCAAGGCAGAGGCCGAACTCTTTGCTCAGGATGTAATTAAGGTTATCATAGCTTTGGTGAGGCATGTCATCTGAGATGTAGTAGAACTGTCCTCGGACACTTGGGGCCTTCTTGGGCTCCCGCAGGGCCTCAAGGCCAGAATGTGGGCCCAGGCCATGTTTCCAATATAGACTGGGTTGACTCTGGAGAACTTGCTGAAACTTGACAGGATCCCATGGTTGTTTAGGGCCTCATTTATACCGGCAGAAAGGATTGGGCTTCCTTCCCCATAGATAAACATTGGTCTTAAGGCACAAGTGTACAAGGTGCCACCGTTTTTCAGAGTCCACCCATTAGCCGCCAGCACAGCCTTCTCAGCAAGCTTTTTGCTGTGTGGGTATGGAGCGTACCATGTGTTTTCCAGAGGCTCTTCTTCGTGACTGTTCTGGATGATTTCCTTGTAGGAATTGGGCCCGGCTACCTCTGGGGTACTGGTGTAGATGAAGACTGGCACTGTAGCTTGGACACAGGCCTCCAACAGAAGCTGGGTACCTACCAACGAAAAGCATTCTGTCAGTGTCAGGAAATATCCCTAAGGGGCCCCAACCACGTGCACATATCTCCACTCCCAAGTGCAGTGGTTATAACAGACTCAGGTACATTCTTTTGTGGCTCTGACTGAGACTGGGCCATGCTACAGCCATAGGAAAAACACCAAAATGAAAAGAAACTGACATATGGATTCTGGAGAGCAAGAATTTCTAGACTTTTGGGTGTTTGGATGTGTGTGTGTGTTTTTGTGTGTGTGTGTGTGTGTGTAGTTTAATTTTGGCAAAGGACCTAGGGTTATCACTTTATATTTTGCCAAGTAAGGATGTTGAAAATTATAATGTGACATCAATACCATTAAAGGCAGATTATTGAAAAACTAAAAAATCAGGAAGATATACTCTGAGAATATGGACAGTCCTGGTTCTTTGGCAAAAAAGGGCAGTAGAAGAATTTACATCACACACACAGACACCCATATACAGTTGTATATAAGCAATATACACTCTTAAATATACTGTTGAATATACATGCAATTGCTGGTATTTTTCTCATTTTGAGTGGACTGGTAAAACTTTGTCACCAGGACCATTCCTGGAGTCATTGAGCGAACAGTGGCTTGTGGGGAGATGCTGGAAACCCACACTCTTTTCCTGATTGTGCATTCCCTGGGAAAGCTGCTTCCAATTCTGGCTGTGACTCTGTTTACCTGGTTATGTAAAGTCGGGGTGATAAACCTTCCTTTAAACCCTGCCCTGGCGTTTCCTGTGGAGCCTGGTGGAGGACTGGGGAGAGGAGTGTGCCCTCTGCTGGTAACACCTGTACTGGGAGGACCTTGCCGCCTCCCCTGAGCTGTGTGGAAGTGTAGCTCATGGAGGTGTTCGGAGTGCCTTCCCTTGAAGAAGGAAGGAATTTCCTAGGCAAAGGATTATTATTTTTTCTTATTTTTTTTTATTCTTGGCCCTGTTTAAAGTCTCTGTGGAATTTGAGTTTCTGGAGAGACAGCCTCATGTTTTCAACAATTAATCTGGTGGCAGAGAAAATGCGGAAGTAGTTTACCTTCAAGGGGGAAATGACCAACATTGTGAAATATTTTCTAAGTCTTGGAGTGATAATGGTTTAGGAAACAGATGCCTCTAACACTTCCCCTGTCATTTTACCTTTCTTGTTGTTGGGAGCTGTGGAGAGTTAATAATTCAAATGAAACACTGGTTACTCTTAACACCCTCCTCACACTGTAGAGGTACTTAAAGGTATGCGTAAGTAGAAACTGGAAAGGTTTTTTTTTTTTGAGATGGTGCTGGAGACCCAAAAGCAATTAGTTGCTTTAGAAAAGGTGTCAGAGTAGACTGAATGTGGAGGGCTAGGCCAGTGGTGGGGTGCTGTGGTGCTGAAGAGACTGGGCTCTGGGAATCAGAGGGTGAGACTGCATGACGAGATTCCTTAAGGGAATGTGTCTGAATTTAAAGTAGTTTGGAAAGCTGCAATTCGGAAAGACCACCAAGACTTTAAGGGATGAGGATTGAATGAAGGTGCATGTTGGACACCTGGCTGGGAATGGCTCTGTAATAGCAGGCCCTGTGGCGAGCTGAAGAGACTGTGTATTCTGGACACTGGGAAACCCTTTTTCTTAAGAAAATATTGTGAGAAAGCATGTGCTGGATAATTCAGTCCTGACAGACCTCTGTGGACCAACTTTACTAATTCTCTCGAGAGAACTTCTTTGAGGTGGGCAGGAGGGCTCTGAATGTTCTTGATATGGGAGTGCTGGGAAGGGAAGAGCATGGTCCCTTTAAATGATATGGGAGGGGGGAAGGGAAGTGCTGGGTGAAGGAGGGTGTGGTCCCTGGCTATGGCTCTACTCCCAGGGACCTAGATGAGGACAAACATTTTCTGCCCAAATGTTGCATTTCCCAAGACCACCCTGGCCTGCCATGCCCCAATTCTCTGCCTATAAAACCCCCAAGACCCTAGCAGGACACACACAAACTGCCTGACAATGAGAGGAGCAGATTGGCAGAAGAAGATAGAAGGGGCTGGATGTCAGGAGGGGCACATCAGTGGAGGCACACATCAGCAGAGGAACACATGGGCAGCTGGACGTTGGGAGGAACACACCGCCCAGCAGAATGATGTGGAGTTTCCCTGGGATGGTCGGAGAAGAGTTGGGCAGTTGAACGGCCAACTCCATGGGAAAACCCTCCCCTTCTGGCATCCCCCAGCTGCTGAGAGCTACCTTCACTCAACAAAACCTGGCACTCATTCTCCAAGCCCAGGTGTGATCTAATTTCTCTGGTAACCAAAACAAGAACCCAGGATACAGAAAGCCCTCTGACCTTCCGACAAGGTAGAGGGTCTAATTTAGCTGGTTAAAACAAGCCGCCTGTAGATGTCAAAACTAAAAGAGCAAGACTAAAAGAGCACCATGTAACACACACCCACTGAGGCTTCAGGAGCTGTAAACATTCACCCCAGACACTGCTATGGTGTCGGAGTCCCACAGCCTGCCTGTCTCTATGCTCCCACAGAGGTTTGAGCAGTGAGGCATTGAAGAAGCAAGCCACACCCTCATTGCATGCCTGGTGAGGGGGATGAGGGAATTTTTCCCATTTCATTATCATAAGCCTACGCACAAGGTGACTTGTGTGTAGCACAATGATGACTATGGTGGCACCTGGAAGGTTTGATTCTGTCCCATAGAGGGATATCAAGAGTCTGAAGTTGGAATTTAGTTGACTTTTGATTGAAGCCACTATAGAAAGAGTGTCCACAGCCTTTGGAGTCACACAGGGGTGAGTTTAAAGTCTAACTCTCCTATTTACTTACTTACCTGGGGGGGCCTTGGACAAGTTACTTGCCATCTGTAGCACTGGTTTCCTCATGTAAAAAACTGAAGATAGCAGCTTTGAACTCCCCCAGTTGGTAGTGATCAGCAAAGACACTTGGTCCAGAGCATAGCAGGTGTTCAGTGGAGAGACTTCTTTTCCCTTCCTGTCCTTCTTTGTGATCCTTAATTCCCCACCTTGCTTCATCTCCTCCCCAGGCTACTGTACGTTTCACATTGATGTTCATGATGGACTCTCTGTGAGTGACACCGATGATGTCTATGATGGAGGTGGTGTGGATGATGACCGACATGTCCTGGCAGGCTCTCTTCAGGCATGACTCATCCAGAATGTCTCCTTCCAGCACCGTCAGCTTGGTCTTGTTCTGGAGCTCTGTGTGAACACCGGTCAGGTTATCAGAACGATTTCTGAAACGATTTCTGAAACTGATAAAGATGTTGTTACATAGATGTTCGAGGATGGCTAGAGTCAGGGTGTTGGAGTGGAGGGTGTACATTCCATGGAAGGAACAAGTAAACAGGGACACAGAAGTCAGAATATGTAGCAATTTATTGGGAAAGAGCAAACATCTGTTTCTACCCCATCTCATTTAAGAAAAGTAATCTGAGCAATGAGCTGTCAGGTGTGCTTGGAATATAAGCATTTCTAGAGTCATGGGAGACTCACTAAAATATTTAAAGAGAGTAAGGTGACTGTGGAGAGTTGGGTATAAGAGGGAAAATTTGAATTTAATTCTGCTGGTGATGCGGGATCATGATTTTGGGTCTCCAGCACCATGTCAAAGAAAATCCCTTATTTATATTTGGAATAAGTAGAGAAACAGGCAGAGCATGGTGGCTGACACCTGTAATTCCAGCACTTTGGGAGGCTGAGGTGGGCAGATTGCTTGCACCCAGGAGGTCAAGACCAGCCTGGACAGCCTCGTGAAACCCCGTCTCTACTAAAAACACAAAAATTAGCCAGGCGTAGTGGTGCTTGCCCATAGTCCCAGCTGTTCGGGAGGCTGAAGCAGGAGGATGAATGGGGCCCAGGAGGTGAAGGTGGCAGTGAGCAGAGATCATACCTCTGCACTCCAGCCTTGGTGGCACAGCCAAACCCTGTTAATAAAAAAAGAGAGACAGAGAAACAGAAGCAGAATTGTAATGTAGGAAGTCAACATTGGCTTGAGGATATAAAATGGACTGGTATAGGGGATATGAGAAAGTAAGGTAATTAAGATATTAATCAGAGTATCTGTGCCAAAGTTTCGATGAGGACTGGAAGCAGGGTCCAGCAGTGGAAGCAGAGCAGGGGAGAGATAAAACAGGTTTGAATTTCAGACCTTACCTTGAAGGTCCTGATACCTACTGGATCTGGGCTGAGAGAAAAAGAAGACAAAATCACCCCTATGGTTTCCTCCTTGGGCAATTGGGAGGAGAGTGGAGCCATTACTAGGGAATTGCTGATGGGCTTAAATGAGGAATTTCCATGAAAAACTCATCAGATTTGAAAAGCAGATAGCAATGCTGAAAGTTAGCGACCAATGAACTGATATTCCAGCTGTCTAGCTGAGGGCAGTGGTTAAAACTTTAATGTCTTCACGCTCCTCTGAAATCCACAAGAAGTGATGCTGCCAGTAAAGTTGTCACCTGGAATTAGCCCACGCAATGAACACTGTGGTACATGAAGCTTGGATAAATACACTACACTTGTTTGTGCTTTATAATCTGCATATGACTCACAGCTTGCTTATTTCCTTTTACAGCAATCTCATGAGATAGGTTTTCTGAGTCCCACTTTACTGGTGAGGAAACTGAGGTTCAGAGAGGTTAAGGGACAGATCAAAGGTCGCGTTTCTAGTAGAGGCTCAAACTTGCCCACTCCACCTCCAAGCCTCGTACCCTGCACACCAGGTACAGGACTGGCTGTTTAGAATAAACTTTTCTGAGAAAGAGTAAGAATAAGCCAGTTCAACTGAAATTGGCAACAAAGGCCAAAGAACAGTGAGAGTAAAATTCAGAGCGAAAAATTCAAGACCGGAGCAATTCCTTCCTGGGATACAGGCGGGACCACTTCCTCTCCTAATGCCTCTGCCATGTTTTGTCTACTCCCAGCCCCTTCCTATTGCCAGGCAACTCCAAGAAGGCCATGCTATGGGGGAGGCAGGGAAGAGGCTGCTGGGGAGGACATGGGTGACAGCCTGAGAGTGGAATTTTCTCTGGTTGTATTTCCACCTCTGCACTTCCTGCTCCCTTCCTCTGCTTCCCCTTTGCTGCCAACTTCAGACAGACTGGCTCAAAGGAATTGCCATTTCAAAGCTGAAGAAGTCTAAAGCCAAGAGAAAAGGCTTTTCCTTAATGAGTTCACAGGGATCTAGAGACCAGGAAAGGGGACTTTGTGGATGGAGCCATAGCTCCCTCATTCCCCAAGCTGCTAGGTGAACTACTGCTTAAGAGCACAGATGCCGCACTAGACTGTCTGGGTTCAAATCCAGCTTTGCCATATTCTAACTCTGAGACTTTCAACGAGTTAATTAACCTCTCTATGTCTGTCTCCTAATCTGTGAGAAAGGAGGATAATAATATTAACAATCTCATAGGGTTGCTATGAGTAACAAATGAGTCAGCACATGCAAAACATGTAGCACAGTGCCTGGCACAGAAAGAACACTGAAAGGATTCTCTGTTTTTATCTTTATACAGGCTACTGCCCATCCATTATATCCCCTACCTTTTCACCATAGGAGAACTATTCCTCTAGGCTGAGCGTTGCTTTTTTTCTGGTATTAGGTGTTAGATTGCAAATATTGGTGACACATAAGGATTACAAACATTTCATCTTGGTCTTGTGTTAGTATTTGTTTATGAAAGACACCATTAAAACAGAGGGTGGAGGAAATTGGAAGAGGTCAGAAAAGAGCAAAAGAAGAGCAGAATTTTGGGTGTGGTGGTCCCTGAGTGCTGTCAAGTAGGGGCTTCTCTGAGGGCAGGGCATGACTCTTTGCACAGCCAGAGCCCAGGTGTAGACACACAGTTCACCCACCCCCTGGGTTGGGGAGGAGGACAGGGAATTGGGCACCCAGAGAGGCAAAGGGAGAGACTGAAGACCCACTTTGCCAAGGATCAGCTCCAGAGTAAAGTGATGATGCTTCTGGATGAAGCTCTGGTCTGAGGTCTGCTACACATTAACCAGATGGTCTTAGCAAGTTGTTTTATGTTTCTGGATCTTGATAGTTCATTGTCCAGTTGGATATGACTCCTTTTCTACTTTCCTCATGGAGTTATTTGCACAAGAAGTTGCTACAGCAAATTCTGCAATTTCTTGGGGGTATTGAGCAACAGAAGCAAATGGTTAAAAAATAAAGCCATAAATGAAAAATCGAAAAGAGGGATATCCGGCCTTATACTGCCTCTTACTCTGTCTCTGCTCTGTGCTGTGCACTTGTGCATGCTCTCTCTCTCTCACTGATGCTGTCTCTTTCTCCTATCCTCTCCCTCTCTCTCTCACTCTTTCTCATGCATTCTTTCTCTTTCTCATTCTCTCTCTCTGATTTTCTCTCCCCCTCATTTTCTCTCTCTTTTGCTCTCTCTCTCTCACACACACAAACACACACACTTACACACTCATCTATAACTTCACTTCCTTTTATTTTGCCTTCACCAAAGGTGCCAAGGTTGCTACAAAACAAAACAAAGCTCAGGGAAGTCTAGAGAGGCAGGGACCCACTGGTGAGGTCTTCAGGTAAATGGTGTCCTTTGTGAATGTTGCAAAGCAATTGCCGAGACAAAAAGCTTCAGAACTTAAAATAGTTGCAGACAAGAAAAATAACTGATGTGGGATTTTCTAGATGAGAAGAAAAGGGGGCTGGTGTCCAAAGTGGTTGCCTCTCAAGTTCTGGGTCAGGGACAGAATCCAGTCTCTGGATAGCCCATCCAGAATCTTTCACACTATGCCATTTTATACTATTTAATTTTCTTTTCTTTCTTTTTTTTTAAGACTATCGATGTGAGATTGGCTTAGATTTGACTACTGTTCTCTGTAACTTGCTAGAAAAGGTCCACCTTCCTGCACCCATGCAGTGTCTAAAATGGAACCACACACCCATGAATCAAGTTTACTTACCAGAAAATTCCTTCCTCAATTCCGGTCTGAAGGCCTTGTCCAAGGCCCTGATCTCCTTCAGCTCCTTCTCCTCCACCAAGAGGCGGATGATACTCTAACCCAGAAACCCTCCTGCTCCTGTCACAAGGCAGCTCCAGCCTGTCATGGCCAATCCAAAGTAGCAGACAACACACTCCAGGAAACAGAAGATGCTGGGGAGCAGATCTGATTCTAGGGTGACCCTGGAGAGGGCTAAAAAAAGAGATCAAATGGTTATATACTCACACAGATGTCTTATTTTCCTCTACCCCATTTTTTTTGCAAAAATTCCATGTCTCCACCATTGCCAGGAGTAGCTGAAAGAAAATGAAGAAGCTCTTACTGTTAGATTGTTAAAGCTGGACAAAAGAGTCAGGGTGCTTGTCACTTCATCCCCTAAGGGAGCCCTGGGCCTTTATGCTCCGTGGCTTCTGACTTGCCCCTTATCCCCTTGAACTCCTGCCACATACTCATTTCTCCTGCCTCCTCCAGCATCCCTTTTCTCAGAAGAATAGTGACCTTTAGTCTATATCTCTAATTCTTCCCAGGAACAGGAAGAGAAGTCCAATTCTAAGGCAGCAATGCAGTAAAGAGTCTTAGGTTTAGCCTTAACAGGACACTGGTCAGTTGATACCAGATATCGGGGATCCGCAATCTGTGATCTTAAACTAGGCTGAGAGAAATCTCCAAGTGTAATGTGAACTTTGCTTTTGTGCAGTAAATATGTTTGGAAGGAAATCCACATTAGCTCGTTATCTCCTCTCTCTGAGTGTCATTTGAAATGTTGCTGCTGTCTTGCAAAGTTTAGAAATTTGCAATGGTGACAGCTCCAATCACTAAGTTTTACGGAGGTGACTTACTTACCTATTCAATATATCCAAAACCTCAATTGCAATTTTCCCCCAGAGAGCTCTGGGTTCCTAGATGAAGAACACCATTGAAGGAAAGCTATCTAGTGTTAACCATTTAATGATATGGCCTGTACCACAGGAGTGGGGATTTGTGGTTGTATGCTCCAATGACTCTTATCATAGATGTTTGAACTTTTCCCATATTTTTGGGTACAAAACCATTCTCAGCAAATTTCTGAAGATGCTGTGAATGCTCCTTGAGCGTATACCTGAGAACTGCCCAAATTTCACCACCATAAGCTCTCCAAGATACTTTCCTCTACTTAAAAAAATCGAGGCCAGGCGCAGTGGCTCATGCCTGTAATCCCAGCACTTTGGGAGGCCGAGGCAGGCAGATCATGAATTCAGGAGATCAACACCACCCTGGCTAACACGGTGAAACCCCATCTCTACTAAAAATACAAAAACTTAGCTGGGCCTGGTGGTGGGCGCCTGTAGTCCCAGCTACTCAGGAGGCTGAGGCAGGAGAATGGCGTGAACCCTGGAGGCGGAGCTTGCAGTGAGCTGAGATTGCGCCACTGCACTCCAGCCTGGGCGACACAGTGAGACTCCGTCTCAAAAAAGAAAAAAAAAAAAAATCCAGGTGTAATCAGGTGTAATTTATATTCACTAAAATGCCCAGAGCTCGTGTTTAGTTTGATGAACCTTGACAGTTATGTATGCCCATGTAAGTAGCACCCAAAAAATGTATTGGTCATTTCCTTCACTGCAGAAAGTTCTTTTCTGCCTGTTCTTAGTTAATTCCCTCCCCTGCCCCCAATTTACCCTGGTAGGCAGCTACTTTCTGATTTTTATTCCCACAGAATTTTCATTTTATTCCTATATTTTCTTAATTTATTCTTCTAAGATCTCTGTGGTTCTGGATATATATTTAAATATAAAATCATTCTGAACTGAAGTTTTGTTCATGGAGTACAGAAGGATTGACCATTGATTGTCTCTATTGTTTGTTCATTTTTCTATTTCATGATTTTCTTTGTTTTTATTATCAGCTTATGTTTATTAACTTGGGGGTTGTTTTACTCCTTTTTTTCAGGGTTCTTATTATAAAAGCATATATAATTGACTTTAGTCCTTTGCTCATTTCCACTACAGGCATTTAAAGTTGTAAGTTTCTCTCTAAGCACTGTGTCAGCTGCAGCCAACATTTTGATGCATCGGGTTATCATCACTCAGTTAATGATGTTTTGAATTTTTTCTTGTGAGTTCGTCTTTGACCCAAGTGACCGATACCAACAGAGTATGTAGCTTGTTTTCTGAAATTGGGAATCTTCTAGATATCTTATTGTTTTGAATTTCTAATTAAATACTACTGTGGCCATAGCATATACTCTGTATGATTTTGATCCTTGTGTATATATTGAGACTTGTTTTATGGTGCAGCAAAAGGTCTGTGTTGGTGAACATCCCATAAACACTTGAAACGAATGCTTTCTGCAGTTGTTGGAAGTAATATTCTACAAATGATTTGCTTTGAAACCCCACTCTAGGTCTTGCCCTCCTCCCATGTTGAAAACATTCAACTGCTACTTGGGACCTGACTACCAATGCTTCAAACCCACTTGCCTAGAAAAGGTTGGCCCTGTGCTGCAAGATGTAGCAGCTTGTTCTCCGATAGCTACAGGCCCTGGGTCTTGCTGAGACATGTGGAGCACTATCTGAACCACCCAGGTGCATCACACACCTTTGCCTGCTATAGCACATGCTAGAGTGCACCTTACAGATCCCATCACCTTTCGGATGGGGCCAGACATTCCCTATGCTGTTGAGAGTTCTGGAGGCTGATAGATTTCAGCCAGTGTCTCTTGGAGTCTCTGAGTGGAACCGATAAATAAAAGCCCTAAAGAAAGTGAGAAATTAAACAAAGGGCAAGACTGATGGGGGCCACACTACTAAATTTCTTTTGTTTTTAAACAGCTTTACTGAGGTATAATTGACATAACATTCGCTTGTTTTAAGTGTGCAGTTAAATTATTTTCAGTAAAATTTTAGACTTGTGTGACCATCACCATGATCCTGTTTTGCAACATTTCTATCATTCCTAAGAAATCCCCTATGTTCATCAGTCACCACCACTTTTTCCCAGTCCCCAGCTCCAGGCAACCTCTAATTGACTTTCTGACTCTACAGATTTGCCTTTTCTGGAGACCATATAAATGAAATCATGCAATATGTGGTCTTTTGTATCTGTCTTCTTTCATTTACTTTAATATACTTTTATGGTTCATGTATGTGGCAGCACATATCAATATTTTAATCCTGTTAGGGGACAAATCCTATTAAATTGTATGGATAGCTCCCATTAGTTTATTCATTTATCAGTTGATACATATTTGAGTGTTTCTACTTTATGGACAATTATGGATAAAGTTGCTATGAATATTCACATTCATGTGTTGTGTGGACATAGGTTTTTTTCTTCTGGGTAGATAGCTAGAAGTGATAGTGCTAGGTCATATGGTAAATATATCTTCAACATTTTAAGATACTGCCAAACTGGTTTCCAACGTGACTGCATGTCCCATCAACAATGCGTGAGTGTTTTAGTTTTTCCACGTCATTATTTCACTTCCCCCAGGTGTTACTGTCCTTTTTTATTATAGCATTCTAGTGGGTAAGAAGTGGTGTCTCACTGTAGTTTTGATTTGCATGTCCCTGCTGACTGATGATGCTGACCATCTTTTCATGTATTTTATTGTCTATTCCTACACCTTTTTGATGAAATGGTTATTCAAATATTTTGCCTATTTTAAAATTGGGTTATTTATCTTTTTGTTGCGTAGTTGTAAGTGTATTTCATATTCTGGATATGAGTCCTGTATTAAATATATGATTTGAATTTTTTTTCTCAGTCTCTGGTTTATCTCTTCATTTTCTTATTGGTGGCTTTTAAATGCCAACATTTTTAGTTTTGATCCTGTTTCATTTTTCAACTATTTTTTAACCAGGAAAAGTTGGGTTTTTGCCTAATTCAAGATCATGAATATAATAATCTATGTTTTCTTCTAAGAGGTGTATAGTTTAGCCCTTAAATTTAGGCCTTTATTTTATTTTGAGGGAAGTTTTGCCTATGTGTGGGTTAATGGCCTAAATTCATATGGCCAATTGATTTTGACAATAGCAAATTCAATAGGGAAAAAGATTGTCTTTTAAACAAGTGACACTGAGACAACTGAATTGTCCACATGCTCAGGGAATGTCAGCCTGCTATGTCAAGTGGTGCCCACCCGAGTCACCACCTATTGACATCAGAGTGTGTGAAGAATTTCTCAATATGATAACTATGGGTTAAATAATATGCTGTAGCTTTCTGCTCCTCCCATTCGACAGATAGCCGCATCTTCTTGTGCAGCGCCAGCCGCATCCCTGAGACACCATGGTAAGGGTGAAGGCCAGAGTCAATGGATTTGGCCCCATTGGTTGCCTGGTTACCAAGGCTACTTATAACTGGTAAAGTGGATATTGTCACCATCAATGACCCCTTCATAGTCTACAAATTCCATACTACATGGTCTATGTATTCCAGTATGATTCCACCCGTGGTGAATTCCATGGCACCGTAAAGGCTGAGAACAGGAAGCTTGTCATCAATGGAAATCCCACCACGATCTTCCAAAAGCTAAATCCCACCAAAATCAAATAGGACAATGCTGGCACCAAGTACATCATAGACTCCAGTGTCGTCTTCACTACCATGGAGAAGTGTGTGGCTCATTTGTAGGGGCCAGTTAAATGGATCATCATCTCTAACCCCTCTGCTGACAGCCCCATGTTTGTGATGGGTATGAACCATGAGAAATATAACAACAGCCTCAAGATCATCAACAGTGTTTCTTGTACCACCAACTGCTTAGCATCTCTGGCCAAGATCATCCATGACAACTCCGATTTAGTGGAAGGACTCATGACCACAGTAAATGCTATGATTGCCACCCAGAAGACTGTGGACGGCCCCTCTGTGAAACTGTGGCATGACAGCTGCAGGGCTCAAAGGAACATCATCCTTGCATCTACTGGCACTCTCAAGGCTGTGGGCAAGTATATCAATGAGCTGCATGGGAAGATCACTAGCATGGCATTCCAGGTCCCCACCACGAACATGTTGGTCATGAACCTGACCTGCCCTCAGGAAAAGCATGCCAAATATGATAACATCAAGCAGGTGGTGAAGCAGCATCAGAAGGCCCCCATAAGGGCATCCTGTGCAACACTGAGAACCAGGTTGCCTCCTCCAGCTTAACCATTGACACCCACTCTTCCACCTTCAATCCTGGGACTGGCATTGCCCTCAGTGACCACTTTGTTAAGCTCATTTTCTCATATGATAATGAATTTGGGTACAGCAACAGGATGGTGAACCTCATGGCTCACATAGCCTCCAAGGAGTAAGACCTCTGGGCCACCAGCCCCGCGAGAGCATGAGAGGAAAAGAGAGGCCCTCAGCTGCTGGGGAGTCCCTGCCACACTCAGTCCCCCACCACACTGAGATTCTCCCCTCCATGCAGTTTCCATGCAGACCCCCTGAAGAGGGAGGGGCCTAGGGAACCCCACCTTGTCGTGTACCACCAATAAAGTCCCCTGTCTATGCTCAGAAAAAAAAAAGCGGTATTAGGAAAGCTCACAAAGATTACTGATCAGCAAAAAAATAGACAGCATGATTTCTCCATCCTCCTATTTAATACTGATGCATAAATGGTCAGGAAATGCTGGGCTCACAATGGGAGTCTGCATTCCAGTGTAGGAACAATAGTCTCCCTTGTTATAATTTTTTATCATGTGAGCACAAGGATACAGCTTTATCAGTGGAGGAACACACAGGCTGTTGGTGTGAAACAGTCTAGATTTAGGTTCCAGATGTTCACAAGATTGTCTGGAAAAATCACCTGCCTAGCATCTAGAGTCCTTGGGGCTCATGCAAAGGGTTTCCCTTTTTTTAGGGGAGAAAGCCACCCATTTTGCAGGGAGCTGTACTAGGCACAGTCTCTCATGCTGGGAAAAGGAAAATCCCTCTTCTTGGCCAGCTTACTAAACTCCTGGCTTATTTTAGGATAATTACACCCCTTGTGCTTGAGTCCTAGAGAGGTCATGAGTAGCATAGAATAAGTTTTAAAGGCACATGACTAGACGAAATAAGTTATAAGAATATTCATGGATAATAGGGAAAGTTTCCGGACTGAATCCTGGAATACACATATCAATATTTACAAGTTGAACAGAGAAGGAGGGGCCAGCTAAATATGCTGAGTAGGAGTTGGTGGCAGGAGGGAGAAAAATTACAAGGAGATGGCCTTGTAAAAGTCAAGTTGAAGAAAGTGTTTCAAGAAGAGTTTGGTTCACTATGTTGGATGCTGCTGATCAAATGCAATAGGAAAATAATTGATTATTGATTTTGGCAACATTGTAAGTAATTTGGTAAGAGCAATTTCCACAAATAGTTGGGTTGAAAGTTCAACTGGAAAGTCCAACACACAATTCATTTGTGTGTTGAGGAATAGAAGAAAAATGTGAAGAGAGCGACTCTTAAAAACAACACCTGTTCAAGAAGTTGTGCCATGAAGATCTCAGTAAAAAGGTGTTACAGCCAGTGGAGTGAAGAGTTTGTTTTTGTTGTGTTGTCTTAAACTGGACTACTCCTTTATTGATCCTTAGCACCTTGTACAGAGCAAATGTTCAAACATTGTTGAGTGTTTGACTAAATAAAGTGTTTATGTCTCATACATCGTTTTATTACCATAAGAATTTGCACAACATCTGACACATCATAGGAACTTAATACATGCTTATTGAATAAAGAAATGGAAGGATGAGTGAACAATCAAGACTCTAGAATGTCTTAGTGCTTCTGAAAGTTAGTGCTTATAGACTAATACAAAGAAGGAAATAGAAGAGAACAGTGACCACAAAAATGAAAATACTAGAAAGTTTCCCATAGTAATGAGAGGCTGGAATCATTGCCCAGGCCAAAGCTGTTTGCCAAGGAGAAGCAATTTTCTTCTCATCTATAGCACGGATATGAGTAGGATCCTAGGTATTTGAAGTGTACTTGAAGAGCCAGTTTTCAGAAGTAAAGAACAATGGGCCATCCCCTCCACCATACAGGGAGAACTAGGGCCAGAGCTTTTGGGTTATATGAGCTCAACTTGGCTGTCTTTCCAGGCAAGACCTTCAAAGTGAGAAAGGAGGAGGCTTTAGCAAAATGTCTTTTTTATTTCTTACTGAATTCTGTTTGTCAGTTATTTTTGGGGGAGATCACATAGATGTCACTCAACCATTTCCTCTGGAGTCTGACAATGATGGTATGGTAGCCAGCCTCTAAGTTGAATCCAGTGATCTCTGCTTCCTGGTATTCATTCCCTTGTGTGTGTGCTGAACCTAGTAACTTGCTTTTAATCAGTATAATTGGACCAAAATGATGGAATATTACTTCCATGATTAGGTTAGAAAAGATTGTGACTTCCATCTTGTTTTACACTTCCTCTTTCTCATTGGGCTGGATGAAGCAACCTGCCATGCTGGACAGGACAATATAGTAATGAACTGAGGGCAGCCAACAGTCAAAGGGGAACTGAGGTTCCCAGTCCAATATGCTTCGAGGAAGTGAATTTTCCAACAACTATGAAAGTGAGCTTGAAAGTAGATATTTCCCCAGTTGAGTCCTCAGATGAAACTGGAACTTTGTGCCAGTCAAGTCAAGAGCTCTTGGAACTCCAATGTTTAAGAAGAAAATAGGTAGACTGACATATTTTTAACAAGCTGCTTTCTTTTCTTGGGGATTTCTCTTGCATTACAAAGAACATTAGCCCTTCATTAAACTCAGTTTGAAAACCACAAGTGGTTTAGCAAATATTAGATTCACTGAAGTTACTAAGTGTTGGTGAAGATGTGGGGAGACAGGTGTGTTATCCGTGGAAGTGTAAGTTTATGCAAATTTCTGGTGAGTATCTGACAAAATATTTTAAATTTTCACACACTTGACCCATCCATACGAGTCCACTCCAGATATTTATTTTAAGGAATAATCAGTTGAAATCAGACCAAGATGTCATATGGCACATCTCCTTGCACAAAGAAAGCTCTGCATATGAGCTCTAATATATTAATTGAGCCCTTTACTATGTATCAGGTGCTTTACGTATGTTATCTCATTTAGTTTTTAAAATGGACTTTATTTTCTATGATAGTTTTAGCTTCACAACAAAGTTGAGGGCAAGTGCAGACAGTTCTCATATACTCCCACTCCCACACATACACAGACTCCCCATCTATCACCATTCTGCACCACATGGTACATTTATTACAATCATTGATCTGCATTGACACATCTTTATCACTCAAAGTTCACAGTTTACTCTTGGTCTTGCACATTCTTAGTTTTGACCAATGTATTCTGATATATAACCACCATTTTAGTGTCATCTGCCCTAAAAATCTGCTTCTGTCTGTCAATCCCTCTGTGCACCCTGACTCTGACAGGGTCAGATAGTTGGAATCACACTGTATGTAGCCTGTTCATGTCGACTTCTTGCATTTAGTAATATACATTTAAGCTTCCTCCATGTCTTTTCATGGCTTGATAGCACTTTTTTTTCTTTTAGCACTGAATAATATTTCATTATCCATTGAACTATTGAAGGACAAATTGGCTGCTTCCAGGTTTTGATAATCATGAATAAAACTGCTATAAAGATCTAACCTAGAAGTAGGTTTTTGTGTGGATGTAAGTTTCCAATTTATTTGTGTAAATACAGTGAAGCATAATTGCTGGATTATATGGTAAGAATATGTTTAGTTTTATAAGAAACTGTCAAACTGCCTTACAAGTGTCGGTACCATTTTGCATCCCCACCAGCAATGGATGAGCATTCCTGATGCTCCACATTCTTGCTAGCATTAGTTGTCAGTGTTAAGGATTTTCACCATTCTAATGGGTGTGCAGTGGTATCTCATTTTTGTGTTAGGTTGCAATTCTCTAATGACATATGATGTTGAGTATCTTTTCATACGCTTTCTTATAATTTATATATCTTATTTGGTGGGTGTCTGTTCATGTCTGTTGCCTATATTTGTATCAGATTGCATTCCACGTGTAAGACATTTTTAGGAGTTAAGAGATTCCTTCTGAGATTTCGTATGCATCTCTTCAGTTTACTGTGGACATTCCTTTTCCCATATTTCTAAGCAATGGAGAACAGCCTTTTGGTAGTATCTTGATAAGATTCTTGCTCATTTCCCTTGGAATTTTTGATGTAGCCCCTGAGCCAGATGCAACTTAAAAAATTACACACATTTGTGTCCAGGAGCACAGTTATCACCAGGTAGATGCATACAAAGAGAGCTTCTACTACCTTTTCTTGTAAAGTAAGCTAATGTCGTTGTCTGTATACCAAATTGCTTTAATACCATATGCTCATGTGATTTGTTTTACTCTTACCCCAAACCAATCTCTATTGACTCCCACAAGTCTTCAGCTGGTGATTTCAGGGTCGAAGAGATGACCTTAAGCTGGCCACTACGCTTGCATTGAAGTGCCTGTGATAAAGGCAACTTTGGGAAATTTTGCAACTTGATCACTAACCAGCATAAAAGCATGAAAAAAAATTGATTTACAAGACCGTGATTGGGTGTTTGGATCTTATGTTTTCTCTGATTTCAAGTCTTACCTTCAAGGATTTATTTATTTATTTACTTATCCACAAGGAACAATTTAGCACTAAAATGTTCTTATCTTTTTCTGATGTGAGGAGAATCATGAGACTACAATTATAAACTTAACACAAATAGAAGGGGGCTGAGAAAGGTGGTATCTACAGAACAGTTCTACGATCTGGAAGTGAAATTCCAGAGAGTACACTTCAAGAAAGCATACCAAGTCCCACTGTCCATGAGGCTGACTCTTGATGGATGACAAGGCTATTAGGGTTGGGGAACAGGCCAGAGGAGAGCAAAGTCTGCCTAGATTTGGTCATTTGCTGTGGGATGTGCCTGGTGGGACAGCTGTCTCATGAGTCTGCCCACTGTCTGAGGCCGTGTTCTTGAAGACCCCTGAGTAAGAGACAATTTCTTAGACATTAATCACTGTCATTCATTTAGCTCTGTAGTACTTTATTGAGAAAGTCTCCAAGTATCTACTAAAACTATCCAATATGACCAAAATAAAGATATCTCCTTTCTCATTTCCTGGTGAAGAACTGGGCTAGTTAATATTAACTTGTTTCCAGGGTCCCTGAAACTCTTATCTGAAAACTCTCTTTCTGCTACTTTTCTTGGAGGTCAGTGAATTGCACAGAATAGACATCAGTCCGTGTGCCACAAAATCCTGTAACATCCTAGGTCATGACAATGAATATTTTAGGCTTTCCTTTGCTCCTCTGTTCTTTCTTGTCTCTGGTTTTTGCCCTCTGACTCAAAGTAAAAAATATTCCCAAAGTCCCTTGCAGCAGTGCATGAGTTAGGCTATACCAAATTCACCTTTGTCCTGTATTCCTTCTTGATCTTGTGAAATTGTATGGTCTGAATGTGTTCCTTCCAAATTCATATGTTGAAACTTAATTGCCAATGTGATAGTGTTCAGAATTGGGGCCTTTAGGAAGTGATTGGTATATGAGGACAGGGCCCTTGTGAATGGGATTAGTGACCTCATAAAAGGGCTTGAGGAAACTAGCTGACCCTTTCCATTCTTCTGCCACATGAGGACACAGGCAATGCAGCAACAAGATGCTGTCTTGGAAGGAGACACTGAGCTCCCACCAGACATGGAACCTGCAGACACATTGATCATGCACTTCCTGGCATCTGGAACATGAGAAATAAGTTTCTGTTGTTTGTACATTTTCTAATCTGATATATTTTGTTGTACTAGCACAAATAGACTAAATCATGACACTTCCATTTTTTACAAGTCACTCAAATCAGGGTGTTGAAAGTAATCTTCAAGGCCTGTGGTCATCTAGGCATCCTGTTCCACAATGCAACTGTGACTGCTGTGTCAGCCAGACAGTCACCCCTAGACATGTGCTTTCTTAGTATTTCCCTAAACTTTCAGCACAAGCACTCCATCCTTGCTGCTGGATTAAAGGCCCCTCCTTGGCCTCAAATTATCAGCCCACCAGTGCAGCAGCCAATTTGACACCTAAATAAAAAGTTAAGGCCTCACTCTGGGAGCATGGTCAATTTCCCTTTTCTTTTTACCAACCCAATAAAATTTCATCCGATTTAACCTTCTGTGCTTCTCTTCAATGACCACAATTCTCCAAAGTATCCACTACTCTTCCAAGTATTCTAATGACACGTGGTTTTTTTCCTTTCAACTGATTTAACTTTGCTGCACTGTTTCATAGATAGAGAGTATGATTTCTGTTGGGAAATTTTTATAGGTATAGCTCTTCTGTCCAGAGTGCAAAGTTCCATAGTTTTGGACAGTATGTGCAAAAAATTATAAGCTACTGGCTGTTTCAGTCGTTACTGATCTGCCCTATTAAGATCTTTTGTTCTGAGAAGAATCAATGGGAATTCTTTGAGTCATACAATTAACGAACTATTTTTATTTTATTTTATTTTATTATTATTATTTTTTTGAGACTGAGTCTCACTCTGTCACCTGGGCTGGAGTGCAGTGGCGCAATCTCAGCTCACTGCAAGCTCCTCCTCCTGGGTTCATGCCATTCTCCCACCTCAGTCTCCTGAGTGGCTGGGACTACAGGCACCCGCCACCATGCCTGGCTAATTTTTTGTATTTTTAGTAGAGACAGGTTTTCACCATTCACAGGATGGTCTCGATCTCCTGACCTTGTGATCTGCCCGCCTCGGTCTCCCAAAGTGCTGGGATTACAGGTATGAGCCACTGTGCCCGGCCCGAACTATTTTATTTAAAGGGACTGCTGTTTTGAAAGGTTGGGTGTTCACTTCTTTTTAATTTTGGGATCTGAATTGCAGTTATAGGCAAGCAGAGCTATATGACGATACTTCATTTTCCCTTTCTAAATATTTGGGTGGTGAAGGCACTATATGTATATTTTGGTTAAGCAAATAGGTCTGAAAAGTTATTACCAGGGAGACTGCTATGGGACTGTTTCTCTTTTGGAGTGTTCCATGCAAATGTTTCCTTGACCCAGCCCTTGACTCTGGGGGTTAATCTGGGCAAAAGTGAACCTGCACTGTGGCGTGGGTTCATGCAGGAAAGTGTCCAGTCAAGGAATGATAGAAGACTTTTCACGTCTGTTGGTTTAGGTAGTGACCCATTCTGCTGGCTTCCATCCTAACTCACTGTTTTCCTCCTCTGACTGCTATAATTCTCCAGATGTGATGATGTATTTTGATCCAGCTTTGCCTTCGGTTATTTAATAAATATTTATGGGGCCCTCTATGACATTGGACATGATTCTAGGCTCTTGGGAATGTAGCAGGAAGCAAGATGGTCTAAGGTCCCTATGCAGGTACAGATAAACAACAAAATAGACAACTGATAAGTTAGTTGCAGGTTGTGGTAACAGCTAGGAGGGGAGAAACAGTGTGATGTGACGAGTGAAGCAGATTGTTTTTGGGAGAGGATGGTCAGGGATGTTTCAACTCATTAGGGCAATGACAATTCAGCTGAGATCTACATGTCAATAGAGAGCCAACCATTAGAAGATGAGGAACATCATTTTATGTAAACGGAATGATAGATGTGAAGATCCGGAGGCAAGAAAGTCTTGCGTGTTTATGGAATTGAAGGGAGGCCAATCTGGCTGGGACACTGTGAGTAAAAGAGAGAGTGATGAGGACACGAGTTGGAAGGATGAGCAGATCATGTGGTGCCCGGGAGAGCTGGAGATCAGTTTAGAGTCTATAGTAAATGGAATGGGAAGCCCCAGAAAGGTTTTATATAGGTGAGACATAGGATTTGAGTTTACTTTAAAAAATCTCTCAGGCTGTTATATGGAGAACACAGTTTGGTAAGCAGCAAGAGAGACATTGGAAAAGCCAATGCTGAAGCTATTCATTTAGAGAGAGACTTTTTTTTCTCTAACCTTCTTTTTTTGTTTGTTTTTATGAGGCAGGGTCTTGCTCTGTTACCCAGAGTACTGTTGTGCAGTGGTGCGATCTTCAACTTCCCAGCCCAAGAGATTCTCCTACCTCAGTCTCGGGAGTGTCTAGGACCACAGGTATGCACCACCATGCCTGGCTAGACTTTTAACAAATTTTTAATTCTGTAGAGATGGGGTCTCCCTATGTTGCCCAGGGTGGTCTTCAAATCCTAGGCTCCAGTGATCCTCCTGCTCGGCCACCCAGAGTGCTGAGACTATAGTCGTGAACCTTCATGCTCAACTATCTCTATCTTTGATGTGAGTGAGCCTCTGCCCACATTCCAATTAAAGAAACTGTACCTGATTGCCATGGAATTTTTGAGGTTTGATTAGTTTAAGCAATAGATTTTCTTAACCTTGGAGAGCTTTTCTGTTTGTCTTTTAAATGTAGAGAGCACTTACTTGAAATGAGGCCTAAGTACCTGTAATTTTGTAGAAACTCCCTGGGTGATTTTAATGGGCAAAGAGGGTGAGAACTCTTTAGGACCAATTAGGGACCCCCTTTCTTTCTTGGGGATTACAGTAAGTATAATACATAAGGCTCAAATCCTCTCCTTCACCAGAATTATGGAGGCAAAGGGCAGTGCAAGGTACATCAGGCTTTGTCTGCTCCTGGTAGGCCACCTTTCACACAACTGCTCCAAATAGTGAAGACAATATCATAAGTAAGAGCCAGGAAAAGTGCCTGTCTTGGCTGTCCATCAGATGACAATGGAATAGGTGTGGAAGGCTGCTGCTGGCCTTCACCGTCTTCACCACTCAGAGTCAGCCTTCTTCTGCTTCTCTCAGATCTTTATTCCCCCAACTCAGCTCTCTTAACAAAGCAAAACCCCAGGCATGACTTGTTTTCTCAGCTGCCCTTGGCAATCACATAATTTCCATCCTCTCTGCCCCTGGTGGGAGGGGAGGAGCATACTTGGCCAGTCTCCAGCATGAATTGTCTAGTCTTTGCTCCTCGGTCTCATTGTCACAGCCACAAGTGCCCTGCAGTTTTCTGCTGCCAGACTGTGGTTTCAAGGTCATGTTCACTAACCCAAAGCACATTCCAATGGGTTTCAATTTCCAGCTGCTGCCATGAGATCCAGGCCATTTTCTCAGTGCTCTCTGCATCCAGTGGGTGCCCTACCTCAATCCGGCAGCCGGGATTGCTTAGCTTTGGAAGCCAGTGAGGTGGGTGGCAAGTTGTTCCATATACCATGTTTCCCTCTGTTTAAGAAGTTTGAAAAAGGTATCAGTGTTTGTGCGGTGTTCAAGCTGGCATTCCAGATGTGTTGAAGATGTTCAACACAAGTGAAAGAATTGACAGGCCCCTGTTTCTAGAGACTAGGGAATCACTGGAAGCAGTTCCATGCATTCTTTTTATTCACTGAAGACACTCCACTGAGATGCTTTTCTGAAAGCATCAAGGGCTGAAGTAGGGAGTGGTTCTGCCTGGGTGTTCTGATACCATCTGTGTATGACTGGCCTTCCCCAGACCCCAAGGCTGTGACTCATTAAGAGCAGAGACCCTGAGAAGTTCACCCCTCAGCTGAGTGGCATGTTCCAGGCATAGTGCTCAATGCTGGGGAGACAGATATGAGAGAGGTAGAGATGCTTACACATTCCAACACCATTTAAGGGCGAAGGTGAAGGCTGATTTTGTTTCCTGCCTGTCCAACCTGCTTGGGGTGAATTATTTTGCCAACTGTATGTATGACTTTAAGGATTTGGCCCCTGGGGCTGCAAGGGATGGGAGGTGGACAGGGGGGAACTTCATGTCAAGGCTTCACATGTTATGCTAGGGCAAGACGGTACATTCAACAAAGGCTCAGAGTTAAGCAGATTCTCTGCCAAGGACTTTGCAACTATAAGTCAGAGTTTCCACCACTGCTGCAAATCAGGCAATGTCGACTGTACCTGGCTTTGTTGGGTGAGGGAAGGGACAGTGTGTGACCTTGGAAAAGCTAATTCACTTTGTCAAGGGGCTGGAAAAGTATCTGGCTAGACATTTCTCTTGTTAGGGGTAGCATTAGTGAATGTCTGAAATGAGGGTCACCTCAAGGTTTCACCTGAAGCAGCTCTACTGCTTTCTGTGTTGAAGTTAATAGAGTAGGTAGAAATCACAGACATGACTTCACAGCCTGAGATTCACTGGACTGATACAGCCACTGTTCAATGCTGCTGCAGCCTAGACCAAGCCCTATAGGTATTCTTGATCTTGCTCTCATCTGTGCAGTGGAAAGATGCAGGTATGAGGTGTGGGAAAATCAAATCAAACAAAATGACAAACATGAAGGCTCTTGTAAGATTCACGGGCTTGTGTGAATGTTAGGAAGCAAGGTGGTTACAAGGTGGTCGTGCTCAGTGCTGCAGAGAAGGGGCTGCTGAGGGGCATCCTAAAGTCTTGTATCATAGCTCCTGGGATCCCAGAAGGAGGAGAGAGGCAGTTGCAGTGCATATGGACTCTGTCCTCTGGGATTTCCAGCTCCTAGGGCAGGGTGAAGAGGAAGTGAGAAGGCATGGCCTCCCTTTCCTGAGAACAGGAAGAAAGAAGGAACTAGTTCTGCTCCTCCTTTGAGGGTGTGCTGTGTGTGGAGTGAGCAGGGCAGAGCTTTGGCATTAACTGGCAGTGGACTTGAGCAAGGCATGACTTTTCTGGGTTTCTGATTCCTTTTCAGTAGGCACTGACTCTATTGGTCCTGCCCATTTTAATTTCTAGTGATTGTCTAAGAGTTTTAAAACCTTCTTGGGAAACATCTATAGCTTAATGCCAAAACAAAAGGCTGTATTTAAGTCAGCATTAAGTTCTGCAGTTCAGTGGTCATCAGATATCAGGGAAGGAGGGAATCGGTTCCTACTTGGCCCACTTCTTGATCCTTTACAACCCTATGAGAGGTATGACGCCCCTTTTCCAGTGAGGTGCCATGTGCCACTAGAGCCACGAATGACTGGGAAACCACTTTCTCAAATAGCTTTGGCTTCACACAAACAAATAAGCACAAGGAGGCTTATGTTATTACGAAGTTTAGTGGCAGAAGTGTGCAGGTGCCAGAGGATGCAAATCATCTTACACTTTTGCAGCCCAATGTCACTGGCAAAAGACCTTAGAAATGAGCCATAACCTTCATTTTGTAGGAAAGAAAACAGACCCAGGAAGGTGAAGAGATTTGCTTAACTTCGATGACAAAATTGAAATCAGAACCCAGGATTTTCACTCTTCACTCTTATTTGCAAAAATATTCTTCTTCTAAAACAAAAGAATACTCGCTTGTTTTTTGCCCTCCTTGACCCCTTTCCTTAGTCCCTCTCACCCCCAACTACTTTCATTTCTTTACCATGAAGCACCTGCCTGTCTCCATTTATGCAACATCCACGTCCACAAGCTGATGTTCAGATGAGAGGTTGGGTTATATAGGCAAGATAGATGGTTTAGACAGCAGACTTCTCATTAAACCTACCCTCTGCCCTGTTTCCAAATGTCTCTCATCCCAGTTTTTTTTCCCTTAATAAATATTTTACCTCAAAGGTAGCAAATCATTGGTCACCATTACAGACAGTTGTCTAAGTGAACGTTGGAAAGGTCATCTCACTTCCCAGGCCTCAGTTTTCTCATCAGTAAAATGAAAGCAGGAAAGGAACCCACAGTTAAAAGCTGGAGTAATGGTCTCTAGATCCCTCTTTAACTTCAATTTAATAAAAATTTTAGAGATGAAGTCTTGTCTGATGTTGAATTCCTGGATTCAAGTGATCTTTCCCCTCAGCCTCCCAGTAGCTGGGAATACAGGTGTGCCCTACCATGCCTGATGAAACTTTCTTTGCTCTAAAATCTGAACTCCACAAAGACATTGATCTGTCCTGTAGGAGTCAGGAAGCCTTTTCTATTTAACCATGCTAGGTCAGCAATAGGTGTTTTGCCTGCTGCTGAAAGAAGTTCTCTCAGTCAGGACTGCCTGTGTATTTTACAGGGATCAGTGCAAAATGAAATGTGGGGTCCCATGGCAGCCCCTTAAGCCAAGCACAGGCCCTGGGTGACCTCACCGGCCTTGTGCCCAGAGAGCTGCTCTGCTCAGAGCTACACCAGGGATTTGACAGACTCCAGCTAGTGCAGGAGGGAGTTAGTGCCAGGCTCATGAGAAGGGTATTCCTACTTTAGTGGCCAGCGTTCATGCTAAGATGACAATAGGCCCGGAACCCATATCACGCCCACCTCTCTGTCGCCAGTACCTGTTTTGGAAGAAGGGCTGACTGCATCAGTGCTGGTTCTTCCATTTCTTGAGGAAAGATTGCGCTCTTCAATAAGGAACTTCAGGTTTCCAGAACAGATTACTGACTGTTTTGGAGTCTGCAACTGACCTCAGTGCTCCCTGCCTTTGGGGACAGAGTGGCTAAGCCACTTTCTTTTCATCCAGCCTTCCCTCTCCACTTCCTCATAATGAACCTCTTTCATGCCTCAGATCACCGACTCCATTCCCTGCTCATTACCATTGGGTGGGATCTTGGGCCAAGATAAAGAAAAAGAACGCCCCTCAATTTTCCACCAGAGTCCCCTGATGTCTTAAGAAGCACATGTAGACAGAGAGGTTGCGTGGTCCTCACTTGAGTCAACTAAGAGTGGGAGATTCTCTTCTGAATTCATTTTTCAAAAGCAGTTTTTCCTTTTTTTTGTAGTATAAAAATGCTCTGGGCCTTGCACCATTTCAGGTTTTGGATCCAATTCCCAGTCCCTTTATAACCTTGGCAGCTGGGCTTCGCCTTCAACAGCCTTTCCCTTTCCCTGCTCATGGGCCTCTCACAACCCCACTCTCTCTTTCTATCACACAAATGAGTTCATTCTCAGCACCATACCCACTATGTGGCTTATCTCTTTTCCAGCTCTCATCATGATGATCGAGCTTCTTCAGGTTCATTGACACCCTGAAAATTTGTCTTTGAATTCTCTCTTGCTTTGTCATTGAAAGCATTGTGCTCCCTGACTCCCCATCCCCTCCTCTCTCCGTCCTAACATTTGAGTTTGTTGGTGTTTCATCTTTCTATCCGTGCATCCATCTATCTCTCCATCAGCCCATGTGTCTATTTTGTGTCAGTCACTGGGGACAGAGAGATGACATGGTGAGTTACTGTCCTCAGGACATGGCAGTGTAGGGGTGGGGGACAGGATATATAAATAAAAAATTAATGGCAGTGCAACTAGATATGCACAAAGCACAGAGGCTATAAAAGAGATGCTTTGGATGGTGAATAAGGAGCTGGGAAGGATGTGCTGGCAGGAGAGCTGGGCACCCTCTAAGCAGAAGGAATGCCGTGCACTGGCCTAGGTAGATGTAAAAGCATGCTGCAAGCAGGAAGCCCTGAGTTTTTGAAAATTGTTGAGGCACAAAGTAGGAGAATCTGGGAACAGGGCAGGGATTGGTGAGAATTAGTCTGGGGTGTTAGGCAGGGCCCAGGGCTTCAGAGGCCCTCTATGTTATGTTAAGGCTCTCAGGCTCCTCCTGACAGTCCTGGGGCTCCACCCAGTGGTTGGTTTTAAGGAAGGGCATGACGTGGTGAGACTAGTTTGGAGAGACAACTCTGGCAACACTGCTAAGGATAGGTTTCATGAGTGACTCTCCAAGACAGGGAGGCCTGTGGCAGGTACAAGTAGGAATGATGTTACCAGGGAGGAAGAGGACACATTCAAGAGGTGTTGTGGAGGTAAAGTTGGTAGCACTAAATGATAGGTGGGAAGAGTGGGGGGCTGCTGTCCAGGTTTCTGTCTTGAAAAAGTGGGTGCATGAGAGTTCTGTGCCCACACCCAGTCCTGTCTAAACTAGTGGCCATTCTGCCTCAGGCCTGCCTCATTTGCCCCTGTATTCCATTTTGTTACCAACACATAAATCAGGCCTTCATTTCTTACCTAGATCTTGAAGTATCCTCTTCATCTCTTTCAGTCCATCCTACGACATGCTGCCAAGGTAATCTTCCAGGGACAGCTGAACAATTCCCATTGCAGAGTGAATGACGTCCCAGCTTTTAGCATCACCATCAATATTCATTGCTGGAGGAGACATTCTTTTCCCATAGATTCCAATTTTTGAGAGAACATGAGGCATGTAGTATGTGTGAAGTAATTGAATGTCGTCGGGTTTTTTTGTTGTTTTTGTTTGTTTGTTTCTTTGTTTTACTTATTTATTTACTTATTTATCTTATTTTTTTGAGACAGAGTCCTGCTCTGTCTCCCAGGCTGGAGTACAATGGTGTGATCTCAGCTCACTGCAACCTCTGCCTCCTGAGTTCAAACAATTCTGCCTCAGCCTCCCAAGTAGCTGGGATTACAGGCACCAACATCATGCCCCCTAACTTTTTTGTATTTTTAGTGGAGACAGGCTTTTGCCATGTTGGCCAGGCTGGTCTCGAACTCCTGACCTCAGGTGATCCATCTACCTCAGCATTGCAAACTGCTAGGATTACAGGCGTGAGCCACCGTGCCCGGCCCAAGTCATCTTTAATGGGGACACAGAACTCCTACTCTGAGGTCAATGAAGGAAGGAGGCAGGGTGTCTCCAGGGGTGGCCCCGGGTGATCCTGTGTGTGCCCATCATGTCTTTCCAGGTGTATCTTCCATTTCTCCCTGGCGTGGTGCTCTCTGGTCTGGTCTCATTGTTCCCTAAAAGTGACCCCTTTCCCACTTGGGTCTTTGCAGACTCCATTGTCTCCACCTGGAATACTTTCCCTCACATTCCTGTCTGTTGAAATCCTACCCATCTTCTGATATTTAGCCCAAATGCAAGGACCCCATGAATCCCCTATGGGAATGGATCTCCCGGAAGCATTTTCCTTTCTTATGGCACTCTTCACATTTACTGTGCACTGCACCTAACACGTCTCCTATTTTATCTCCCGCACTGGACCACTAGACTGGGAGCAGAAGTGGAAAATCAGAGGCCTTAATCCTGGGGCCAGGCTGTGAGTGTGTTTTCTTAGTTTGCATATTTGTTCCCCACCAAATTTAATTTATTAAAAAATTATAACCTATGTTAAACATACAGGAAAGCTGAGAGTATGATATAATAATGTATATTTGGGACTTATCGCCAAGAATGAATAGATTTGCTGCTGACACCTCACCACCCACTTTTTAAGATATAAATTATTGCACATACAGTTGGAACACTAGCCCACACATCCCTCTCCTGGAGCAGATCTTCACACTGCTTTTTCAAGTTTAGAGTTAGTCACTAATATTTGGAAATCATGGGATTTCACATCATAAGAGTTGGCCTCTTGTCACTTTCCTGCCAGTTCTCACCAGTCCATCACAGGCTCTGGGGCCCACCCTGGCCCTTGGAATCTGCCTATCTAGTCTGTGGCTTAGTCTGGCACCCGAGCTCTCTCATCTGCGCTCTGTACATGCTTTCCAGAAAGCAGAGGTCCTCCTCATGCCCCTCCATCCTCCTCTGCACCACTGCTCGGGCTGTGCCCATTGCTTGGACTGAGGAATTCAAGGCCTCATTCAAGCTCCACTGGCTCCTGTGGCTTTTCCCAGTGACTTCAGCTCAGCTTCATTCTCTGTACTCATATATACCTAGCCCTTAAGCCGGTGGCTGAGCACTTGCCTTTGCTTTCATTCATTCCTTTGTCAGGTACCCTGCAGAGCCACCCAGGTGGAGAAAAAGGACCCAAAAGTACCTTCCAGGTTAGGCTTCCTTGTTTTTCCCTCCAAGCCTTTCCGCCCCCGTATGGTGCATCCTGTGAGGTGCATCAGGGCTTGGTGCAGGAGCTCTGCCTGGCACCCTCAGTTGTAAGAAGGAATGGCACATTTTGTTGGCCGTAACACTCTGAGGCCTTTGTACCTCTTTAGTGAGATGGCTGACTGATCAGGCCTCCTCGCCTCTTTCGCTGATCACCCCTCACTGCCTGTTGGAGATATGTCCTCTTCCTTCCTTTGCCTGTGAAAACTGCCCTGGTGGTTTCGTAAGCGTAGGGTTTCACCAGGCTGAAAAACCAGGGGAAGGCGTCTTGTCTCTGATTCCACCACCTTCCTTTGGTTCCTATGGTATTTGGCATTAACATATGGATGTTGCGTTTGCCTTACAAGAGCTGGAGCGATGCTGGCTCTTGCATTTTGTGCAGTGGCTGGGGAAGGAGGGGTGTTGCATTTTTCTTTTTTCTTTTTTTTAATTTGTTAATTTTTTATTATACTTTAAGTGCTAGGGTACATGTGCACAACATGCAGGTTTGATACATAGGTATACATGTGCCACATTGGTTTGCTGCACCCATCAACTTGTCATTTACATTAGGTATTTCTCCTAATGCTATCTGTCCCCCAGACCCTCACCCCCAACAGGCCCCGGTGTGTGATATTCCCTGCCCTGTGTCCCTGTGTTCTCGTTCTTCAATTCCCACCTATGAGTGAGAACATGTAGTGTTTGGTTTTCTGTCCTTGTGATAGTTTGCTTAAAATGTTGGTTTCCACCTTCATCCATGTCCCTGCAAAAAAACATGAACTCATCCTTTTTTATGGCTGCATAGTGTTCCATGGTGTATATGTGCCACATTTTCTTAATCCAGTCTATCATTGACGGACATTTGGGTTGGTTCCAAGTCTTTGCTATTGTGAATAGTGCCTTAATAAACATACATGTGCATGTGTCTTTATAGTAGCATGATTTATAATCGTTTGGGTGTATACCCAGTAATGGGATTGCCAGGTCAAATGATATTTCTAGTTCTAGATCCTTGAGGAGTTGCCACACTGTCTTCCACAATGGTTGAACTAATTTACACTCCCACCAACAGTGTAAAAGCATTCCTATTTCTCCACATCCTCTCCAGCATCTGTTGTTTCCTGACTTTTTAATGATTGCCATTCTAACTGGCATGAGTGGTATCTCATTGTGGTTTGGATTTGCATTTCTCTGATGACCAGTGATGATGAGCATTTTTTCATATGTCTGTTGGCTGCATAAATGTCTTCTTTTGAGATGTATCTGTTCATATCCTTTGTCTACTTTTACATGAGGTGATTTGTTGTTTTCTTGTAAATTTGTTTAAGTTCTTTGTCGACTCTGGATATTAGTCCTTTGTCAGATGGGTAGATTGCAAAGATTTTCTCCCATTCTGTAGTTTGCCTGTTCACTCTGATGATAGTTTCTTTTGCTGTGCAGAAGCTCTTTAGTTTAATTAGATCTCATTTGTCAATTTTGGCTTTTGCTGCATTGCTTTTAGTGTTTTAGTCATGAAGTCTTTGCCCATGCCTATGTCCTGAATGGTATTGCCTAGGTTTTCTTCTAGGGTTTTTATGGTGTTAGGTCTTACATTTAAGTATTTAATCCATCTTCAGTTATTTTTCGTACATGGTGTAAGGAAAGGATCCAGTTTCAGCTTTCTACATATGGCTAGCCAGTTTTCCCAGCACCATTTGTTAAATAGGGAATCCTTTCCCCATTGCTTGTTTTTGTCCGGTTTGTCAAAGATCAGATGGTTGTAGATGTGTGGTGTTATTTCTGAGGTCTCTGTTCTGTTCCATTGGTCTGCATGTCTGTTTTGGTACAAGTACCATGCTGTTTTGGTTACTGTAGCCTTATAGTATAGTTTGAAGTCAGATAGCGTGATGCCTCCAGCTTTGTTCTTTTTGCTTAGGATTGTCTTGGCTATGTGGGCTCTTTTTTGGTTCCATATGAAATTTAAAGTATTTTTTTCCCAATTCTTTGAAGAAAGTCAGTGGTAGTTTGATGGGGATAGTATTGAATCTATAAATTACCTTGGGCAGTATAGCCATTTTCATGATATTGATTTTTCCTATCCATGAGCATGGAACATTCTTCCATTTGTTTGTGCCCTCTTTTATTTTGTTGAGCAGTGGTTTGTAGTTTTCCTTGAAGAGGCCCTTCACATCCCTTGTAAGTTGAATTCCTAGGTATTTTATTCTCTTTGAAGCAATTGTGAATGGGAGTTCACTCATGATTTGGCTCTCTGTTTGTCTGTTATTGATGTATAGGAATGCTTGTGATTTTTGCACATTGATTTTGTATCCTGAGACTTTGCTGAAGTTGCTTATCAGCTTAAGGAGATTTTGGGCTGAGAGGATGGGGTTTTCTAAATATACAATTACATTGTCTGCAAACAGAAACAATTTGAGTTCCTCTTTTCTTAATTGAATACCCTTTATTTCTTTCTCTTGCCTGATTGCCCTAGCCAGAACTTCCAAAACTGTGTTGAATAGGAGTGGTGAGGGAGGGCATCTTTGTCTTGTGCCAGTTTTCAAAGGGAATGCTTCCAGTTTTGGCCCATTCAGTACGATATTGGCTGCAGGTTTGTCAGAAATAGCTCTTATTATTTTGAGATATGTTCCATCAATACCTAGTTTATTGAGAGTTTTTAGCATGAAGGGCTGTTGAATTTTGTCACAGGCCTTTTCTGCATCTATTGAGATAATCATGTGGTTTTTGTTGTTGGTTCTGTTTATGTGATGGATTACGAATATTGATTTGTGTATGTTGAACCAGCCTTGCATCCCAGGGATGAAGCCTACTTGATCATGGTGGGTAAGCTTTTTAATGTGCTGCTGCATTCGGTTTGCCAGTATTTTACTGAGGATTTTCACATTGATGTTCATCAGGGATATTGGCCTAAAATTCTATTTTTTTGTTGTGTCTCTACCAGGCTTTGGTATCAGGATGATGCTAGCCTCATAAAATGAGTTAGGGAGGGTTCCCTCTTTTTCTTTTGATTGAAATAGTTTCAGAAGGAATGGTACCAGCTCCTCTGTACCTCTAGTAGAATTCGGCTGTGAATCCATCTGGTCCTGGACTTTTTTTGGTTGCTAGCCTATTAATTATTGCCTCAATTTCAGAACCTGTTATTGGTCTATTCAGAGATTCAACTTCTTCCTGGTTTAGTCTTGGGAAGATGTATGTGTCTAGGAATTTATCCATTTCTTCTAGATTTTCTAGTTTATTTGCATAGAAGTGTTTATAATATTCTCTGATGGTAGTTTGTATTTCTGTGGGATCGGTGGTGATATCCCCTTTATCATTTTTTATTGCATCTATTTGATTCTTCTCTCTTTTCTTTTTTATTAGTTTTCCTAGTAGTCTATCTTTTTTGTTGATCTTTTCAAAAAAACAGCTCTTGGATTCATTGATTTTTTTTTTTTTTTTTTTTTTTTGAGACGGAGTCTCGCTCTGTCGCCCAGGCTGGAGTGCAGTGGCGGGATCTCGGCTCACTGCAAGCTCCGCCTCCCGGGTTCACGCCATTCTCCTGCCTCAGCCTCCCAAGTAGCTGGGACTACAGGCGCCCGCCACTACGCCCGGCTAATTTTTTGTATTTTTAGTAGAGACGGGGTTTCACCGTTTTAGCCGGGATGGTCTCAATCTCCTGACCTCGTGTTCCGCCTGCCTCGGCCTCCCAAAGTGCTGGGATTACAGGCATGAGCCACCGCGCCCGGCCTTCATTGATTTTTTTGAAAGTTTTTTTGTGTCTCTATCTTCTTCAGTTCTGCTCTGATCTTAGTTATTTCTTGTCTTCTGCTAGCTTTTGAATTTGTTTGCTCTTGCTTCTCTAGTTCTTTTAATTGTGATGTTAGGGTGTCGACTTAAGATATTTCCTGCTTTCTCTTGTGGGCATTTAGTGCTATAAATTTCCCTCTACACACTGTTTTAAATGTGTCCCAGAGATTCTGGTACATTGTGTCTTTGTTTTCATTGGTTTCAAAGAAGATTTTTATTTCTGCCTTCATTTCGTTATTTACCCAGTAGTCATTCAGGAGCAGGTTGTTCAGTTTCCATGTAGTTGTGCAGTTTTGAGTGAGTTTCTTAATCCTGAGTTCTAATTTGTTTGCACTGTGGTCTGAGAGACAGTTTGTTGTGATTTCTGTTCTTTTACATTTGCTGAGGAGTGTTTTACTTCCAATTATGTGGTCAATTTTAGAATAAGTGTGATGTGGTGCTGAGAAGAATGTATATTCTGCTGATTTGGAGTGTAGAGTTCTGTAGATGTCTATTAGGTCTGCTTGGTGCAGAGCTGAGTTCAAGTCCTGGATATCCTTGTTAATCTTCTGTCTCACTGATCTGTCTAATATTGACAGTGGGGTATTAAAATGTCCCATTATTATTGTGTGGGAATCTAAGTCTGTTTTGTAGGTCTCTAAGGACTTGCTTTATGAATCTGGGTGCTCCTGTATTAGGTGCATATTTATTTAAGATAGTTAGCTCTTCTTGGCGAACTGATCCCTTACCATTATGTAGTGGCCTTCTTTGTCTTTTTTGATTTTTGTTGGTTTAAAGTCTGTTTTATCAGAGACTAGGAGATTGCATTCCCTGCTTTTTTTTTGCTTACTATTTGCTTGGTAGATCTTCCTCCATCCCTTTATTTTGAGCCTGTGTGTGTCTTTGCACGTGAGATGGGTATCCTGAATACAGCACACTGATGGGTCTTGATTCTTTATCCAATTTGCCAGTCTGTGTCTTTTAATTGGGGCATTTAGGCCATTTACATTTAAGGTTATTATTATGTTTGAATTTGATCCTGTCATTATGATGTTAGCTGATTATTTTGCCCATTAATTGATGCAGTTTCTTCATAGCGTCGATGGTCTTTACCATTTGGCATGTTTTTGCCGTGGCTGGTTTTGCAGTGGTTGTTCCTTTCCATGTTTAGTGCTTCCTTCAGGAGCCTTGTAAGGCAGGCCTGGTGGTGACAAAATCTCTCAGCATTTGTTTGTCTCTAAAGGATTTTATTTCTCCTTCACTTATGAAGCTTAGTTTGGCTGAATATGAGTTTCTGGGTTGAAAATTCTTTTCTTTAAGAATGTCGAATATTGGCCCCCACTCTCTTCTGGCCTGCAGGTTTTCTGCCGAGAGATCCGCTGTTAGTCTGATGGTCTTCCCTTTGTGGGTAACTGAACCTTTCTCTCTGGCTGCCCTTAACATTTTTTCCTTCATTTCAACCTTGGTGAATCTGGCAATTATGTGTCTTGGGGTTGCCCTTCTCGAGGAGTATCTTTGTGGTGTTCTCTGTATTTCCTGAATTTGAATGTTTTCCCGCCTTGCTAGGTTGGGGAAGTTCTCCTGAATAATATCCTCAAGAGTGTTTTCTAACTTGGTTCCATTCTCCCTGTCACTTTCAGGTGCACCAAACAAATGTAGATTTGGTCTTTGCATATAGTGCCATATTTCTTGGAGGCTTCGTTCATTTCTTTTCACTCTTTTTTCTCTAATCTTGTCTTCTCACTTTATTTCATTAGTTTGATCTTCAATCACTGATACCCTTTCTTCCACTTGATTGAATCAGCTGTTGAATCTTATGCATGTGTCACAAAGTTCTCGTGCTGTGGTTTTGAGCTCCATCAGGTCATTTAATGTCTTCTCTACACTGTTTATTCTAGTTAGCAATTCGTCTAACCTTTTTTCAAGGCTTTTAGCTTCCTTGCAATGGGTTAGAACATGCTCCTTTAGCGCGGAGAAGTTTGTTATTACCGAAGGTCTGACGCCTGCTTCTGTCAACTCCTCAAAGTCATTCTCCGTCCAGTTTTGTTCCCTTGCTGGTGAGGAGCTGCGATCCTTTGGAGGAGAAGAGGCACTCTTTTTTGGAATTTTCAGCTTTTCTGCTCTGGTTTCTCCCCATCTTTGTGATTTTATCTACCTTTGGTCTTTGATGTTGATGACTGTGACCTATGGATGGGGTTTTGGTGTGGACGTCCTTTTTTTTGATGTTGATGCTCTTCCTTTCTGTTTGTTAGTTTTCCTTCTAACAGTCAGACCCCTCAGCTGCAGGTCTGTTGGAGTTTGCTGGATATCCACTCCAGACCCTGTTTGGCTGGGTATCAATAGTGGAGGCTGCAGAGCAGCAAGTATTGCCACCTGATCCTTCTTCTGGAAGCTTTGTCCCAGAGGGGCACCCACCTGTTTAAGGTGTCTGTCAGCCCCTACTGGGAGGTGTTTTCCAGTCAGGCTACATGGGGGTCATGGACCTGCTAGAAGAGGCAGTCTGTCTGTTCTCGGATCTGGAATGCCGTGCTGAGAGAACCACTGCTCTCTTCAGAGCTGTCAGACAGGGACATTTAAGTCTGCAGAAGCTGTCTGCTGCCTTTTGTTCTACTGTGTCCTTCCCTCAGAGGTGGAAGCTATAGAGGCAGTAGGCCTTGCTAAGCTGCAGTGGGTTCCACCTAGTTCATGCTTCCCAGCCTCTTTCTTTACACTGTGAGCTACTCAAGCCTCAGCAATGGCAGACGCCCCTCCCCCCCATCAAGCTACAGCATTGCCAGTCTATCTCAGACTGCTGCAGTAGCAGTGAGCAAGGCTCCCTGGGCGTGGGACCCACTGAGCCAGGCAAAGGAGGTTATCTCCTGGTCTGCTGGTTGCTAAGACTGTGGAAAAAGCACAGTATTTGGTCAGGAGTGTACCTTTTCTCCAGGCAAGCCTGTCACAGCTTCCCTTGGCAGGAAAGGGAAATCCCCCAACCCCTTGTGCTTCCTGGATGAGGCAATGCCCCACTCTGCTTCAGCTCGCCCTCTGTGGGCTGCACCCACAGTCCAACCAGTCCCAATGAGATGAACCAGGTACCTCAGTTGGAAATGCAGAAATCACCCATCTTCGGCATCAATCTCTCTGAGAGCTGCAGATCGGAGCTGTTCCTATTCGGCCATCTTGGAAGTGACCACTGGGTGTTGCATTTTTCACCTTACCCCACTGCCTGGGGCCACTCCCCCCTGACGCTGGTGATGATCATCTGTTCCTTGGGCTTTTGAAGATGGTGGTAACCTGTTCATCTGGGCCAGAATGTGGTTCCCTTTTCTCTTCAGAATGAACACTGAAACTAACTCCATTGTGGTAATCAAATTCAACTGAGTAATGATCTGTTAATTTCCTGTGTAAGAAAAAAGCCATCTTGATGTTGGGTGTGACTCTCATCATGGCTGTGATACACAAAGGTCCAGAGGGAGACAGCTTCCACCCCACACTCTGGACCCATAGCAACCTCCTCACCTGCTTCAGTTCAACTCTGTCCCTGATGCCCCTGACAGTGTTTCTTTTGAGTGTGTTTTCATTGATTGGTTAATGACTATGTCATCACTGAAGTCCCCAAACTTGTCTTGATTGGCCTCCTCTCTTCAGGGAAATTGAGAAGAATGAGAGAACCAGTGATTAAAGAGGAGATGGAGAGAAGAAAGAGGCTAAGGATATGGAAGAATAAAGGAAGAAAGGATATGATTTAGAGAAGAGAAGGAGAAAGAAGAGAGAGACAGTTAAATCTGGGGATGTGGGATAGTAGACTTCTAATTTTGGGCTGAGTAGAAGGTATATTTTGGAGGAAGTTCACACTTGTTTTTTGTACTTGTCCAGGAACCCATGGTGTGGCTCATTGTGTGATTTGAAAGGGTGAAATGCAGGGTTATGTATGATCAGAATGGCCAACACACATATAGCCAGGAGTGTTCTAGAGACCTTCAAATAAATTGACACTGAAGCGGGTGGAGGCCTGATGCATTTTTGTTTCTCTCTGCCCTGCTCAGGCCCATTAGGAAAGGCATGCAAACCCTTTCAGATGCCCCTCAGGGATTATCCTTGGTTCTAGAGATTCCCCTGTACCAGATTGGGCAAGAAAGAGGTAACCCCAAAAAGCTGGGGCTCTCCCAAGTATCAGCATCCCATGCTCCAGTGCTCTGCTGTACCACTGATAAGACCAGTTCAGGCTGCATGATTCTAGGGAAAGATAAAGTCTTTCAAGACCAACTTCCTGGTAGCAGGCCTAGCCACTAATCATTAGTGTGATGGTGAACAAGTTTCCTTAAGGGTAAAATGGGAATAGTCACCCCCACGTGATAGGTTTCTGATAAGTATTGAGTGAGGGAATATATGTCACATGTAGGTCATGTTGTAGATGCCTGAAACATAGTAGAGCTTATTCAGTCTTCATCGCCCTTCCAGATCCTCCCACTACTCTGCCAACCCCCCTTCCCCAGCTCCATGCTACTCTCCTAGGTAAAAGATGGTGATACCTGGAAATGAAAAGAAAAGGAGGGAACTAGGTATTAACAGAAACTACACCTCCCTCCAGGTTAAGGATTAAAACATTTATTGCTCTTTACATTGGACTGCGTGAAGAAATAGGAGATTTAAAAGAAAAGAAATCCTTTCTCATTTAAGAGTAGAAATGGAGCTCTAGTAGTTAAAAATGACCTCAAGTTAGAAGAGACTACAATTGTTCGGAATCAGCCACTGAGATATGGAAAAAGCAAATCACATTGTCTTTCCTCTGGTATATGATTAGGACAAAAAGCTTCTGGTTGGGCCAGGGACTGGGCAGGTTTTGATGACATGAGGAAGACAATAAGTTGGCTATTATGTGAAAGGGAGGCAGCAGGACCTGGACTTTTGCCCTTGTCACCTGTATGAAGCCAGGAGGATGGAGCTTGACGACATCTCCTAACAATACCCACATGCACATCTCTGTCATCCTTCGATCACTGAGTCTTGGACTTCAGGGTCTCCTTGTGCCAGTCCACAAGGGAACCAACCCACTCCATGGTTTTCTGCTTGGCTTCCTCCCAGCTGTAAAGTGACTTATATGCCAGATCTTGCTGAGCCTTCTTGTAAGAGAAGGTGAACACGCTATTTGACAATGTCACTCTGTGGTGGTTGAAGGGCGGTCGACAGGTGTAAACTGGCCTCGGCAGGAAGCTCACTATTTCCAGCAGGAAGCCAATCCAGTACGTCAGGGATAAAGGCAGGCTCCAACTGGAATCAAGGCAGAGGCCGAACTCTTTGCTCAAGGTGTAACTAAGGTTATCATAGCTTTGGTGAGGCGTGTCATCTGAGATATAGTAGAACTGTCCTCGGACACTTGGGGCCTTCTTGGGCTCCCGCAGGGCCCTCAAGGCCAGAATGTGGGCCCAGGCTATGTTGCCAACATAGACTGGGTTGACTCTGGAGAACTTGCTGAAACTTGACAGGATTCCATGGTTGTTTAGGGCCTCATTTATACCGGCAGAAAGGATTGGGCTTCCTTCCCCATAGATAAACATTGGTCTTACGGCACAAGTGTACAAGGTGCCACCGTTTTTCAGAGTCAGCCCATTAGCCGCCAGCACAGCCTTCTCAGCAAGCTTTTTGCTGTGTGGGTATGGAGCGTACCATGTGTTTTCCAGAGGCTCTTCTTCATGACCGTTCTGAATGATTTCCTTGTAGGAATTGGGCCTGGCTACCTCTAGGGTACTGGTGTAGATGAAGATTGGCACTGTAGCTTGGACACAGGCCTCCAACAGAAGCTGGGTACCTACCTACGAAAAGCATTCTGTCAGTGTCAGGAAATATAACTAAGGGGCCCCAACAACGTGCATAGATATTTATTCCCAAGTGCAGTGGTTATAACAGACTCGGGGTATATTCTTATGTGACTCTGACTGAGACTGGGCCATGCTACAGCCATAGGAAAAACACCAAAATGAAAAGAAACTGACATGTGGGTTCTGGGGAGCAAGAATTTCTAGACTTTTGGGTATATGGATGTGTGTGTCTGTGTGTGTGTGTGTATATACTGTAATTTTGGCAAAGGACCTAGAATTATCACTTTATATTCTGTCAAGTAATGATGTTGAAAAATTACAATGTGACATCAATACCATTAATGGCAGATTATTGAAAAACTAACAAATCAGGAAGATATACTCTGAGAATATGGACAGTCCCAGTCCTTAGGCAGAAAAGGGCACTGGAAGAATTTATGTCACACACACACCCATACACAATTGTATATAAGCAATATACACTCTGAAATGTACTCTTAAATATACATATAATTGCTGGTATTTTTCTCATTTTGAGTGGACTGGTAAAACTTTGTCACCAGGACCATTCCTGGAGTCATTGAGCGAACAGTGGCTTGTGGGGAGATGCTGGAAACCCACACTCTTTTCCTGATTGTGCATTCCCTGGGAAAGCTGCTTCCAATTCTGGCTGTGACTCTGTTTACCTGGTTATGTAAAGTCGGGGTGATAAACCTTCCTTTAAACCCTGCCCTGGCGTTTCCTGTGGAGCCTGGTGGAGGACTGGGGAGAGGAGTGTGCCCTCTGCTGGTAACACCTGTACTGGGAGGACCTTGCCGCCTCCCCTGAGCTGTGTGGAAGCGAAGCTCATGGAGGTGTTCGGAGTGCCTTCCCTTGAAGAAGGAAGGAATTTCCTAGGCAAAGGATTATTATTTTTTCTTATTTTTTTATTCTTGGCCCTGTTTAAAGTCTCTGTGGAATTTGAGTTTCTGGAGAGACAGCCTCATGTTTTCAACAATTAATCTGGTGGCAGAGAAAATGCGGAAGTAGTTTACCTTCAAGGGGGAAATGACCAACATTGTGAAATATTTTCTAAGCCTTGGAGTGATAATGGTTAGGAAACAGATGCCTCTAACACTTCCCCTGTCATTTCACATTTCTTGTTGTTGGGAGCTGCGGAGAGTTAACAATTCAAATGAAAAACTGGTTACTCTTAACACCCTCCTTGCACTGTAGGGGTACTGAAAGAAATGAGCGAGTAGAAACTGGAAAGGTTTTTTTCTTTCTGTTTCCTTCCTTCCTCTCTTTCTTTCTTTCTTTCTTCCTTCCTTCCTTCCTTCTTTCCTTCCTTCCTTCTTTCCTTTCTTTCTCTTTCTTCTTTCTTTCTTTCTTTCTTTCTTTCTTTCTTTCTTTCTTTCTTTCTTTCTTTCTTCTCTTTTTTTTTTGGTACTGGAGACTCAAAAGCAATTAGTTGCATGAGAAAAGGCATCAGAGTAGACTGAATGTGGAGGGCCAGGCCTGTGGTTGGGTGCTATGGTGCTGAAGAGACTGGACTCTGGGAATCAGAGGGTGAGACTGCATGACGAGATTCCTTAAGGGAATGTGTCTGAATTTAAAGTAGTTTGGGAAGCTGCAATTCGGAAAGACCACCAAGCTTTTAAGGGACGAGGATTGAATGAAGGTGCACTTTGGGCACCTAGTTTGAAATGGTTCTGTAATAGCAGGCCCTTTGGTGAGCTGAAGAGATCATATTCTGCATACTGGGAAACTCTTTTTGTTAAGAAAATATTGTGAGAAAGCATGTGCTGGATAATTCTGTCCTGACAGACCTCTGAGAACCAGCTTTGCTAGTTCTCTCAAGAGAACTTCTTTGAGGTGGGCAGGAGGGCTTTGAATGTTCTTGATATGGGAGTGCTGGGAAGGGAAGAGTGTGGTCCCTTTAAATGATATGAGAGCGGGGAAGGGAAGTGCTGGGTGAAGGAGGGTGTGGTTTCTGGCTAGGGCTGCACCCTCAGGGACCTAGATGAGGACAAGCATTTTCTGCCCAAATGTTGCATTTCCCAAGACCACCCTGGCCTGCCATGCTCCCATTCTCTGCCTATAAAACCCCCCAATACCCTAGCAGGCACATGCACAAGCTGCTGGACATTGAGAGGAGCAGATTGGCAGAAGAAGACAGAAGGGGCTGGATGTCAGGAAGGGCACATCAGTGGAGGCACACATCAGCAGAGGAACACATCAGCAAAGGAATACACGGGCAGCTGGACTTTGGGAGGAACATACCCATGGGCAAAATGATGTGGAGTTTGTCTGGGGTGGTTGGAGAAGAGTTGGGTCATTGAGCAACCGACTCCAGGGGAAAACCCTCCCCTTCTGGCATCCCCCAGCTGCTGAGAGCTACCTCCACTCAAAATAACCTTGTACTCATTCTCCAAGCCCAGGTGTGATCCAATTCTTCCGGTAACCAAAGCAAGAACCCAGGATACAGAAAGCCCTCTGACCTTCCAACAAGGTAGAGGGTCTAATTTAGCTGGTTAAAACAAGCCGCCTATAGATGTCAAAACTAAAAGAGCAAGACTAAAAGAGCACCATGTAACACACACCCACTGGGGCTTCAGGAGCTGTACAATTCACCCCAGACACTGCCATGGTGTCGGAGTCCCACAGCCTGCCTGCCTGTATGCTCCCATAGAGGTTTCAGCAGTGAGGCACTGAAGAAGCAAGCCACACCCCCATTGCATGCTTGGTGAGGGGGGTGAGGGAATTTTTCCCATTTCATTATTATAAGCCTACACACAAGGTTTAAAATGATGACTATGGTGGCACCTGGAAGGTTTGATTCTGTCCCATAGAGGCAAAGAGTGGCTGAATATCAAGAGTCTGAAGTTGGAGTTTAGTTGACTTTTGACTGGAGCCACAATAGAGTGTCCACAGCCTTTGGAGTCACACAGGGGTGAGTTTAAAGTCTAATTCTCCTACTTACTTACTTACCTGGGGGGCCTTGGACAAGTTACTTGCCATCTGTAGCACTGGTTTCCTCATGTAAAAAACTGAAGATAGCAGCTTTGAACTCCCCCAGTTGGTAGTGATCAGCAAAGACACTTGGTCCAGAGCATAGCAGGTGTTCAGTGGAGAGACTTCTTTTCCCTTCCTGTCCTTCTTTGTGATCCTTAATTCCCCACCTTGCTTCATCTCCTCCCCAGGCTACTGTACCTTTCACATTGACATTCATGATGGACTCTGTGAGTGACACCGATGACATATATGATAGAGGCAGTGTGGATGATGACCGACATGTCCTGGCAGGCTCTCTTCAGGAATGGCTCATCCAGAATGTCTCCTTCCAGCACTGTCAGCTTGGTCTTGTTCTGGAGCTCTGTGTGAACACGGGACAGGTTATCGGAATGGTTTCTGAAACTGGCTTGGAAGTTTCCTGATAAAGATGTTGTTGCATAGGTGTTTGAGGATGGCTAGAGTCAGGGTGTTGGAGTGGAGGGTGTACATTCCATGGAAGGAACAAATAAACAGAGACACAGAAGTCAGAATGTGTAGCAATTTATTGGGAAAGAGCAAACATCTGTTTCTACCCCATCTCATTTCAGAAATGTAATCTGAGCAATGAGCTGTCAGGTGTGCTTGGAATATAAGCACTGCTAGGGTCATGGAAAGCCCATCAAAATTTTTAAAAGGAGTAGAGTGATTGTGGAGAGTTGGGTATAAGAGGGAAAATTTGAATTTAATTCTGCTGGTGATGCGGGATCATGATTTTGGGTCTCCAGCACCATATCAGAGAAACCCCTTATTTATATTTGGAATAAGTAGAGAAACAGGCAGAGCATGGTGGCTCACACCTGTAATTCCATCATTTTGGGAGGCTGAGGTGGGCAGATTGCTTGCACCCAGGAGGTCAAGATCAGCCTGGACAACCTCATGAAACCCCATCTCTACTAAAAATACAAAAATTAGCCAGGCGTATTGGTGCATGCCCATAGTCCTGGCTGCTTGGAAGGCTGAAGCAGGAGGATGAATGGGGCCCAGGAGGTGAAGGTGGCAGTGAGCAGAGATCATGCCTTTGCATGCCAGCCTTGGTGGCATAGCCAAACCTTGTTTCAAAAAAAAAAAAAAAAAAAAGAGAGAGAGAAACAGAAGCAGAATTGTGAAGTAGGAAGTCAACATTGGCTTGAGGATATAAAATGGACTGGTATAGGGGATATGAGAAAGTAAGGTAATTAAGATATTAATCAGAGTATCTGTGCCAAAGTTTCGATGAGGACTGGAAGCAGGGTCCAGCAGTGGAAGCAGAGCAGGGGAGAGATAAAACAGGTTTGAATTTCAGACCTTACCTTGAAGGTCCTGGTACCTATTGGATCTGGGCTGAGAGAAAAAGAAGACAAAATCACCCCTATGGTTTCCTGCTTGGGAAATTGGGAGGAGAGTGGAGCCATTACTAGGGAACTGTGGATGGGCATAAATGAGGAATGTCCATGAAAAACTCTTATCAGATATCAAAAGCAGATAGCAATGCTGAAAGTTAGTGACCAATGAACTGATATTCCAGCTGTCTAGCCAAGGGCAGTGGTTACAACTTTAATGTCTTCACGCTCCTCTGAAATCCACAAGACATTACGCGGACAGTAAAGTTGTCACCTGGAATTAGCCCACGCAATGAAAACCGTGGTACCTGGAGCTTGGATAAATACTCTACACTTGTTTGTGCTTTATAATCTGCATATGACTCACAGCTTGCTTATTTCATTTTACAACAATCTCATGAGACAGGTTTTCTGAGTCCCACTTTATTGTGAGGAAACTGAGGATCAGAGAGGTTAAGGGACAGATCTAAGGTCACGTTTCTAGTGGAGACTCAAACTTGCCCACCCCACCTCTAAGTGTTGTACTCTGTACACCGGGTACAGGCCTAGCTGTTTAGAATAAACTTTTCTGAGAAAGAGTAAGAATAAACCAGGTCAACTGAAATTGGCAACAAAGGCCAAAGAACAGTGAGAGTAAAATTCAGAGCGAAAAATTCAAGACCGGAGCAATTCCTTCCAGGGGTTCAGACAGGACCATTTACTCTCCTAATGCCTTTGCCATGTTTTGTCTACTCCCAGCCCCTTCCTATTGCCAGGCACCTCCAAGGAGGCCCTGCAGTTTGGGGAGGCAGGGAAGAGGCTGCTGGGGAGGATGCGGGTAACAGCCTGAGAGTGGAATTTTCTCTGGTTGTATTTCCACCTCTGCACTTCCTGCTCCCTTCCTCTGCTTCCCCTTTGCTGCCAACTTCAGACAGGCTGGCAGAAAGGAATTGCCATTTCAAAGCAGAAGAAGTCTAAAGCCAAGAGAAAAGGCTTTTCCTCAATGAGTTCACAGGGATCTAGAGAGACCAGGAAAAGGGACTTTGTGGTGGAGCCATAGTTCCCTCCTTCCTCAAGCTGCTAGACTAACTACTGCTTAAGAGCACAGATGCTGCACTAGACTGTCTGGGTTCAAATCCAGCTTTGCAATATTCTAACTCTGGGACCTTCGGTGAGTTAATTAACCTCTCTGTGTCTGTCTCCTGATCTGTAAGAAAGGAGGATAATAATATTAACAATCTCATAGGGTTGCTATGAGTAACAAATGAGTCAGCACATGCAAAACATGTAGCACAGTGCCTGGCACAGAAAGAACACTGAAAGGATTCTTTGTTTTTATCTTCATACAGGCCACTGCCTATCCATTATATTCCCTGCCTTTTCACCATAAGGAACAATTCCTCTAGGCTGAGAATTGCTTTTTTCTGGTATTACGTGTTAGATTGTAAATACTGGTGACACATAAGGATTACAAACATTTAATCTTGTTTTGTGTTAATATTTGTTTATGAAAGACACCATTAAAACAGAGGGTGGAGGAAATCGGAAGAGGTCAGAGAAGAGCAAAAGAGGAACAGTGTGTTGGGTGTGGTCCCTGAGTGCTATCAAGTAGAGGCTTCTCTGAGGGCAGGTCATGACTCTCTACACAGCCAGAGCCCACATGTAGACACACAGTACCCTGGGTTGGGGAGGAGGACAGGGAATTGGGCACCCAGGGAGGCAAAGGGAGAGACTGAAGACCCACTTTGCCAAGCATCAGCTCCAGAGTCAAGTGAGGAAGCCTCTGGAGGAAGCTCTGGTCTGAGCTGTGCTACACATTAATTAGATGGTCTCGGCAAGTTGCTTTATGTTTCTGGACTTTGATGGTTCATTGTTCAGTTGGATGCAACCCCTTTTCTACCTTCCTCATGGGGTTATTTGCACAAGGATCTGCTACACCGAATTCTGCAATTTCTTGGCTATTGAGCAACAGAGACAAATGGTTAAAAAATAAAGCCATATATGAAAAATCGAAATGAGGCATATCTGGCCTCATACTGCCTCTTGCCATCTCTGTTCTGTGCTGTGTGCCTGTGCACGGGCTCTCTCTATCACTGATGCTCTCTTTCTCTCTCACTCTTTCTCATGCATTCTCTGTCTTTCTCATTCTCTCTGATTTTCTCTCCCCCCTCATTTTCTCTCTCTGTTTCGCTTTCTGGCACACACACACACTTACACACTCTCCTATACATTCACTTCCTTTTATTTTGCCTTCACTAAAGATGCCAAGGTTGCTACAAAACAAAAAGCTCAGGGCAGTCTAGAAAGGCAGGGACCCACTGGTGAGGTCTCCAGGTAAATGGTGTCCTTTATAAATGTTGCAAAGCAATTGCCAAGACAAAAAGCTTCAGAACATAAAAACGTTGTAGACAAGAAAAATAACTGATGTGGGATTTTCTAGATGAGAAGTAAAGGGGTCTGGTGTCCAAAGTGGCTGCCTCTCAAGTTCTGGGTCAGGGCCAGAATCCAGTCTCTGGACACCCCGTCCAGTGTCTTTCACATGATGCCATTTATACTATTTAATATTCTTTTTATGATGATTGTGAATGTGGGATTGGCTTAGATTTGACTACAACTTTCTGTAACTTGCTAGAAAAGGTTCACCTTCCTGCACCCATGCAGGGTTTAAAATGGAGCCACACATCCATGAATCAAGTTTACTTACCAGAAAATTCCTCCCTCAGCTTTGGTCTGAAGGCCTTGTCCAAGGCCCTGATCTCCTTCAGCTCCTTCTCCTCCACCAAGAGGCGGATGATCCTCTAACCCAGAAACCCTCCTGCTCCTGTCACAAGGCAGCTCCAGCCTGTCATTGCCAATCCAATATTGCAGGAAACACTCGCCAGGAAACAGAAGATGCTGGGGAGCAGATCTGATTCTAGATTGACCCTGGAGAGGGCTGAAAACGAGATCAAATGGTTATATACTCACACAAATGCTTTATTTTCCTCCACCCCATTTTTTTTGGCAAAAATTCCATGTCTTCACCATTGCCAGAAGTAGCTAAAAGAAAATAAAGAAACTCCAACTGTTAGATTATTAAAAAGCTGGATAGAAGAGTCAGAGTGCTGGTCACTTCATCCCCTAAGGTAGCCCTGGAGTTCTATGTTCTGTGGCTCCTGGCTTTCCCCTTATCACTTTGAACTCCTGCCACATACTCATTGCTCCTGTCTCTTCCAGTATGCCTTTTCTCAGAAGAAAAGTGACCTTTAATGTATATCTCTAATTCTTCCCAGGAACAGGAAGAGAAGTCCAATTGTAAGGCTGTAGTGTGGTAAAGGGTCTTAGGTTTAGCCTTAACAGGACACTAGTTGGTTGATTCCAGTTGTCTGGGATCTGCAATCTGTGATCTTAAACTAGACTGAGAGAAATCTCCAAGTGTAATGTGAACTTTGCCTTTGTGCAGTAAATATGTTTGGAGGGAAATCCACATGAGCCCATTCTCTCCTCTCTCAGAGTGTCATTTGAAATGCTGCTGCAGTCTTGCAAAGTTTAGAAATTTGTAATGGTGACAGCTCCAATTACTGTTTTATGGAGTTGACTTTCTTTCCCACTCAATATATCCAAAACCTCAGTTGCCATTTTACCCTGGAGAGCTCTGGGTTCCTAGATGAAGAACATCATTGAAGGAAGGCTGTCTAGTGATAGCCACTTAATTATATGGCCTGTACTGTTGCTGTCAGTTACTACGGCATGAACGAAGGGGGTCAAATGTAGAAAGGAAGACAAAGACAAAAGGATATGTTTTAAAACAAGAGGTCAGGGGGCTCCTTGCTTCTAGTGAGCAAAGGCAGCTCTGAGCTTCTAAAGCCCTTTGTATTTATGAGGTAGAAAGAGCAGGTAGGGAGAGATAATGGTTGGTCAGCTGCTTGATTTATCACAGGTACACATAATTGCTTTCTTTATACAACAGCTTCAGAGGTTCCTATAGATAATCACAAGGAACACTGCACTGGGGGTGTGACGGCCTTCAGCACCCCTTCTGGCAGCAGACATAGTTTGTCAGTTTTAAAACGTCCTGCTTTCATGAGAACAGTTTTCTGTTTGCTCAAATAGCCTCCAGTGGTATACTGAGTTGGTCACGACCCTCATTCTTTTTGGCCTGTAACACTGTACCACAAGAGTGGGGATTTGTGGTTGTATGCCCCAATGACTCTTATCATAGATGTTTGAACTTTTCCCATATTTTTGGGTACAAAACCATTCTCAGCAAATTTCTGAACTGAAGATGTTGTGAATGCTCCTTGAGCCTATGCCAGAGAACTGCCCAAATTTCACCACCATAAGCTCTCCAAGACACTTTCCTCTATCTAAAAAAAGAGGTGTAATTTATATTCATTAACATGCCCAGATCTCAAGTGTTCAGTTCAATGAACATTGACAGTTATATATGTCCATGTAAGTAGCAACCCAAAAATGTATAGGTCATTTTCGTCACTGCAGACAGTTCTTTTCTGCCTGTTATTGGCTAATTCCCTGCCCTACTCCCAATCTACCTGGTAGGCAACTACTTTCTGATTTTTATTCCCACAGAATTCTTATTTTATCCCTATATTTTCTTATTTATTCTTCTAAGATCTCTGTGGTTCTGGATATATATTTAAATATAAAATCATTCTGAAATGAATTTTTGTGCATGGAGTACAGAAGGATTGACCATTGATTGTCTCTATTGTTTGTTCATTTTTCTATTTCATGATTTTCTTTGTTTTTATTATCAGCTTATGTTTATTAACTTGGGGGTTGTTTTACTCCTTTTTTTCAGGGTTCTTATTATAAAAGCATATATAATTGACTTTAGTCCTTTGCTCATTTCCACTACAGGCATTTAAAGTTGTAAGTTTCTCTCTAAGCACTGTGTCAGCTGCAGCCAACATTTTGATGCATCGGGTTATCATCACTCAGTTAATGATGTTTTGAATTTTTTCTTGTGAGTTCGTCTTTGACCCAAGTGACCGATACCAACAGAGTATGTAGCTTGTTTTCTGAAATTGGGAATCTTCTAGATATCTTATTGTTTTGAATTTCTAATTAAATACTACTGTGGCCATAGCATATACTCTGTATGATTTTGATCCTTGTGTATATATTGAGACTTGTTTTATGGTGCAGCATATGGTCTGTGTTGGTGAACATCCCATAAACACTTGAAACGAATGCTTTCTGCAGTTGTTGGAAGTAATATTCTACAAATGATTTGCTTTGAAACCCCACTCTAGGTCTTGCCCTCCTCCCATGTTGAAAACATTCAACTGCTACTTGGGACCTGACTACCAATGCTTCAAACCCACTTGCCTAGAAAAGGTTGGCCCTGTGCTGCAAGATGTAGCAGCTTGTTCTCTGATAGCTACAGGCCCTGGGTCTTGCTGAGACATGTGGAGCACTATCTGAACCACCCAGGTGCATCACACACCTTTGCCTGCTATAGCACATGCTAGAGTGCACCTTACAGATCCCATCACCTTTCAGATGGGGCCAGACATTCCCTATGCTGTTGAGAGTTCTGGAGGCTGATAGATTTCAGCCAGTGTCTCTTGGAGTCTCTGAGTGGAACCGATAAATAAAAGCCCTAAAGAAAGTGAGAAATTAAACAAAGGGCAAGACTGATGGGGGCCACACTACTAAATTTCTTTTGTTTTTAAACAGCTTTACTGAGGTATAATTGACATAACATTCGCTTGTTTTAGGTGTGCAGTTAAATTATTTTCAGTAAAATTTTAGACTTGTGTGACCGTCACCATGATCCTGTTTTGCAACATTTCTATCATTCCTAAGAAATCCCCCATGTTCATCAGTCACCACCACTTTTTCCCAGTCCCCAGCTCCAGGCAACCTCTAATTGACTTTCTGACTCTACAGATTTGCCTTTTCTGGAGACCATATAAATGAAATCATGCAATATGTGGTCTTTTGTATCTGTCTTCTTTCATTTACTTTAATATACTTTTATGGTTCATGTATGTGGCAGCACATATCAATATTTTAATCCTGTTAGGTGACAAATCCTATTAAATTGGATGGATAGCTCCCATTAGTTTATTCATTTATCAGTTGATACATATTTGAGTGTTTCCACTTTATGGACAATTATGGATAAAGTTGCTATGAATATTCACATTCATGTGTTGTGTGGACATAGGTTTTTTTCTTCTGGGTAGACAGCTAGAAGTGATAGTGCTAGGTCATATGGTAAATATATCTCAACATTTTAAGATACTGCCAAACTGGTTTCCAACGTGACTACATGTCCCATCAACAATGCGTGAGTATTTTAGTTTTTCCACGTCATTATTTCACTTCCCCCAGGTGTTGCTGTCCTTTTTTATTATAGCATTCTAGTGGGTAAGAAGTGGTGTCTCACTGTAGTTTTGATTTGCATGTCCCTGCTGACTGATGATGCTGACCATCTTTTCATGTATTTTATTGTCTATTCCTACACCTTTTTGATGAAATGGTTATTCAAATATTTTGCCTATTTTAAAATTGGGTTATTTATCTTTTTGTTGCGTAGTTGTAAGTGTATTTCATATTCTGGATATGAGTCCTGTATTAAATATATGATTTGAATTTTTTTTCTCAGTCTCTGGTTTATCTCTTCATTTTCTTATTGGTGGCTTTTAAACGCCAACATTTTTAGTTTTGATCCTGTTTCATTTTTCAACTATTTTTTAACCAGGAAAAGTTGGGTTTTTGCCTAATTCAAGATCATGAATATAATAATCTATGTTTTCTTCTAAGAGGTGTATAGTTTAGCCCTTAAATTTAGGCCTTTATTTTATTTTGAGGGAAGTTTTGCCTATGTGTGGGTTAATGGCCTAAATTCATATGGCCAATTGATTTTGACAATAGCAAATTCAATAGGGAAAAAGATTGTCTTTTAAACAGGTGACACTGAGACAACTGAATTGTCCACATGCTCAGGGAATGTCAGCCTGCTATGTCAAGTGATGCTCACCCGAGTCACCACCTATTGACATCAGAGTGTGTGAAGAATTTCTCAATATGATAACTATGGGTTAAATAATATGCTGTAGCTTTCTGCTTCTCCCATTCGACAGACAGCCGCATCTTCTTGTGCAGCACTAGCCACATCCCTGAGACACCATGGTAAGGGTGAAGGCCAGAGTCAATGGATTTGTCCCTATTGGGTACCTGGTCACCAGGGGTACTTATAACTCTGGTAAAGTGGATATTGTCACCATCAATGACCCCTTCATTGAGCTCAACTACATGGTCTACATGTTCCAGTATGATTCCACCTATGACAAATTCCATGGCACCATCAAGGCTGAGAACAGGAAGCTTTTCATAAATAGAAATCCCACCACCATCCTCCAAAAGCTAGATCCCACCAAAATCAATTAGGGCAAGGCTGGCACTAAGTACATCATGGAGTACAGTGGCATGGAGTACCATGGAGAAGGCTGTGGCTCACCTATAGTGGAGAGCTAAAAGGGTCATTATCTCTGGCTTTTCTGCTCATACCCCCATGTTCGTGATGGGTGTGAACCATGAGAAATATGACAACAGCCTCATGATCATCAGCAATGCTTCTTGATGATGTTAAAACATGCTTCCCACCAAATGCTTAGCAACTGTGACCAAGATCATCCATGACAACTCTGATATGGTGGAAGGACTCATGACCACAGTCAATGCTATCATTGCCACCCTGAAGACTGTGGATGACCCCTCTGTGAAAATGTGGCAAGAAAACTGCAGGGCTCAAAGGAACATCATCTTTGCATCTCCTGGAACTGTCAAGGCTGTAAGCGAGTATATCAATAAGCTGCACAGGAAACTCAGTGGCATGGCATTCCATGTACCTACCACCATCATGTTGGTCATGGACCTGACCTACCATCTGGAAAAACCTGCCAAATATGATAACATCAAGAAGGTGGTGAAGCAGGCATCAGAGGGTCCCCATAAGGGCATCCTTTGCTACACTGAGAACCAGGTTGTCTCCAGCTTAACCACTGACACCCACTCTTCTACCTTGGATCCTGGAACTGGCATTGCCCTCAATGACCATTTGTTAAGCTCATTTTCTGATATGAAAATGAATTTGGCTACAGCAACAGGGTGGGGAACCTCATGGCTCACATGGCCTCCAAGGAGTAAGACCTCTAGACCACCAGCCCCAGCGAGAGCATGAGAGGAAAAGAGAGGCCCTCAGCTGCTGGGGAGTCCCTGCCACACTCAGTCCCCCACCACACTGAGAATCTCCCCTTCTCACAGTTTCCATGCAGACCCCCTGAAGAGGGAGGGGCCTAGGGAACTCCATCTTGTCATGTACCGTCAATAAAGTCCCTTGTCTGTGCTCAGAAAAAAAAAATGCTGTATTAGGAAAGCTCACAAAGATTACTGATCAGAAAAAGAATAGACAGCATGATTTCTCCATCCTCCTATTTAATACTGATGCATAAATGGTCAGGAAATGCTGGGCTCACAATGGGAGTCTGCATTCCAGTGTGGGAGCATTAGTCTCCCTTGTTATAATTTTTTATTATTTTAAGCACAAGGACACAGCTTTATCAGTGGAGGAGCACACAGTCTTTTGGTGTGAAACAGTCTAGATTTAGGTGCCAGCTGTTCACAAGATCATCTGGAAAAATCAACTACCCAGCACCTGAAGTCCTTGGGGCTCAGGCAAAGGGCTTCATTTTTCTTAGAGGAGAAAGCCACCCATTCTACAAGGAGCTGTACTAGGCACAGCCCCCCATGCTGGGAAAAGGAAAATTCCTCTCCTTGGCCAGCTTATTAAACTCCTGGGTTACTTTAGGATACTTACATCCCTTGTGCTTGAGTCCTAGAGAGGTCAATTTGGACATGAGTAGCATAGAATAAGTTTTAAAGGCACAGGAGTAGTTTAAATAAGCTAGGGTAAGAATATTCATGGATAATAGGGAAAGTTTCTGGACTGAACCCTGGAATACACATATCAACATTTGGAAGTTGAACAGAGAAGGAGGGGCCAGCTAAATATGCTGAGTAGGAGTTGGTGGCAGGAAGGAGAAAAATTACAAGGAGATGGCCTTGTAAAAGTCAAGTGAAGAAAGTGTTTTAAGAAGAGTTTGGTCCACTATGTCGGATGCTGCTGACACATCAAATGCAATAGTAAAATAATTGATTACTGGTTTTGGCAAAATTGTAAGTAATTTGTAAGAGCAATTTCCACAAATAGTTGGGTTGAAAGTTCAACTGGAAAGTCCAACACACAATTCATCTGCGTGTTGAGGAACAGAAGAAAAATGTGAAGAGAGTGACTATTAAAAACAACACCTGTTCAAGAAGTTGAACCATGAAGATCTCAGTAAAAAGGTGTTACAGCCAATGGAGTGAAGAGTTTGTTTTTGTTGTGTTGTCTTAAACTGGACTACTCCTTTATTGATCCTTAGCACCTTGTACAGAGCAAATGTTCAAACATTGTTGAGTGTTTGACTAAATAAAGTGTTTATGTCTCATACGTCTTTTTATTACCGTAAGAATTTGCACATATGACATAATAGGAACTTAACGCATGTTTATTGAATAAAGGAATGGAAGGATGAGTGAACAATCAAGGACTCTAGAATGTCTTAGTGCTTTTGAAAGTTAGTGCTTGTGGACTAATACAAAGAAGGAGATAGAAGAGAACAGTGACCACAAAAATGAAAATACTAGAACGTTTCCCATACTAATGAGAGGCTGGAATCATTGCTCAGGCCAAAGCTGTTTGCCAAGGAGAAGCAAATTTCTTCTCATCTATAGCACGGATATGAGTAGGATCCCAGGTGTTTGAAGTGTACTTGAAGAGCCAGTTTTCAGAAGTAAGGAACAGTGGGCCATCCCCTCCACCATGTAGGGAGAACTAGGGCCAGAGCTTTTGGGTTATATGAGCTCAGCTTGGCTGTATTTCCAAGCAAGACCTTCAAAGTGAGAAAGGAGAAGGCTTTAGCAAAATCTCTTTTTAATTTCTTACTGAATCCTCTGTTTGTCAATTATTTTTTGAGGGGGGTCAGATAGATGTCACTCAACCATTTCCTCCGGAGTCTGACAATGATGGTATGGTAGCCAGCCTCTAAGTTGAGTCCAGTGATCTCTGCTTCCTGGTATTCATTCCCTTGTGTGTGGGCTGAACCTAGTAACTTGCTTTTAATCAGTATAATCGGACAAAAATGATGGAATGTTGCTTCCATGATTAGGTTAGAAAAGATCATGACTTCCATCTTCTTTTACACTTCCTCTTTCTCATTGGGCTGGATGAAGCAAGCTGCCATGCTGAAGAGGACAATATAGTAATGAACTGAGGTCAGCCAACAGTCAAATGGGAACTGAGGCTCTCAGTCCAATAATCTTCGAGGAAGTAAGTTTTCCAACACCTATGTAAGTGAGCTTGAAAGTAGATATTTCCCCAGTTGAGTTTTCTGATGAAATTGGAATTTTGTGCCAATCAAGAACTCTTCGTACTCCAACGTTTAAGAAGAAAAAGGTAAACTGACATACTTTTAACAAGCTGCTTTCTTTTCTTGGGAATTTCTCTTGCATTACAAAGAACATTATCCCTTCATTAAACTCAGTTTGAAAACTACGAGTGGTTTAGCAAATATTAGATTCACTGAAGTTACTAAGTGTTGGTGAAGATGTGGAGAGACAGGCATGTTATTCGTGGAAGTGTAAGTTAACACAAACATCTGGTGAGTATGTGACAAGATATTTTAAACTTTCACACCCTTGACCCAGCAAGTTCAGCCAGATATTTATTTTAAGGAATAATCAGTTGAGATTAGACCAAGAGGTCATATGGGACATCTCCTTGCACATAGAAAGCTCTACATATGAGCTCTAACATATTAATCGAGCCCTTTACTATGTATCAGGTGCCTTACATATATTATCTCATTTAGTTTTTAAAACGGACTTTATTTTCTATGATAGTTTTAACAGCTAGGAGGAGAGAAACAGTGTGATGTGATGAGTGAAGCAGAGCCTATTCGGCAGAGGATGGTCAGGGACGTCTCACCTCACTGGGGCGGTGACAGTTCAGCTGAGATCTACATGTCAACAGAAAGCCAACCATGAGAACATGGGGAACATCATTTTATGTAAAGGGAATGATAAATGTGAAGATCCAGAGGCAAGAAAGTATTGCGTGTTTACAGAATTGAAGGAAGGCCAATCTGGCTGGGACACCATGAGTAAAAGAGAGAGTGATGAAGACAGAAGTTGGAAGGATGAGATCATGCGGTGCCCAGGAGAGCTGGAGATCAGTTTAGAGTCTATAGTAAATGGAATGGGAAGCCCCAGAAAGGTTTTATATAGGTGAGACATAGGATTTGAGTTTACTTAAAACATCTCTCAGGCTGTTGTATGGAGAACAGAATGTGGCAAGCAGCAAGAGAGATTATGGGAAAAGCCAGTGCTGAGGGTGTTCATTTAGAGAGAGATTTTTTTTCTCTAACCTTCTTTCGTTTTTTGTTTTTTAGTGACAGGGTCTTGCTCTGTCACCCAGAGCACTGGTGTGCAGTGGCGCGATCCTCAACTTCCCAGACCAAGAGATTCTCCTACCCCAGTCTCAGGAGTGTCTAGGACAACAGGTATGCACCACCATGGCTGGCTAGGCTTTTAATTAATTTTTAATTCTGTAGAGATGGGGTCTCCCTATGTTGCCCAGGGTGGTCTTGAAATCTTAGACTCAAGTGATCCTCCTGCCTTGGCCTCCCAGAGTGCTGGGATTATAGACATGAGATTTTGTGCCCAGCTATCTCTAACTTTGATGTGTGTGAGCCTCTGCCCAGATTCCAATTAAAGAAACTATACCTGGTCACCGTGGAATTCTTGAGGTTTGATTAGTTTAAGCGACAGATTTTCTTAACCTTGGAGAACTTTTCTGTTTGTCTTTTAAATGTGGAGAGCAATTAGTTGAAGTGAAGCCTAAGTACCTGTAATTTTGTAGAAACTCCCTGGGTGATTTTAATGGGCAAAGAGGGTGAGAACTCTTTAGGACCAATTAGGGACCCCCTTTCTTTCTTGGGGATTACAGTAAGTATAATACATAAGGCTCAAATCCTCTCCTCCCCCAGAATTATGGAGGCAAAGGGCAGTGCAAGGTGCATCAGGCTTTGTCTGCTCCTGGCAGGCCACCTTTCACACAACTACTCCAAATAGGGAAGACAATATCATAAGTAAGAGCCAGGAAAAGTGCCTGTCTTGGCTGTCCATCAGATGACAATGGAATAGGTGTGGAAGGCTGCTGCTGGCCTTCACTGTCTTCACCACTCACAGTCAGCCTTCTTCTGCTTCTCTCAGATCTTTATTCCCCCAACTCAGCTCACTTAACAAAGCAAAACCCCAGGCATGACTTGTTTTCTCAGCTGCCCTTGGCAATCACATAATTTCCATCCTCTCTGCCCCTGGTGGGAGGGGAGGAGCACACTTGGCCAGTCTCCAGCATGAATTGCCTAGTGTTTGCTCCTCTGTCTCCCTATCACAGCTGCAAGTACCCTGTAGATAGCAGTTTTCTGCTGCCAGACTGTGGTTTTAAGGTCATTTCTGCTAATGCAAAGCACATTCCAATGGGTTTCAATTTCCAGCTGCTCCTGTGAGATCCAGGCCACTTTTCTCAGTGCTCTCTGCATTCAGCCAGTGCCCTGCCTTATTCTAGCAGCCAGGAATGTTCAGCTTTGGAAGCCAGTGAGGTGGGTGGCAAGTTGTTCCATATACCACGTTTCCCTCTGTTTAAGAAGTTTGAAAATGGTATCAGTGTATGTGCGGTGTTCAAGCTGGCATTCTCACGAACATATTTGAAGGATGTTCAACACAAGTAAAGCAACTGACAGACTCCTGTTCATGGAGACTAGGGATTCACTGGAAGCAGTTCCATGCAGTCTTTTTATTCACTGAAGACACTCCACTGAGATGCTTTTCTGAAAGCATCAAGGGCTGAGGTAGGGAGTGGTTCTGCCTGGGTGTTCTGATACCATCTGTGTATGGCTGGCCTTCCCCAGGCCCCAAGACTGTGACTCATTAAGAGCAGAGACTCTGGGAAGTTCACCCCTCAG